>NC_000021.9:19215808-20465808 GCF_000001405.40 Homo sapiens | reverse complement strand
CAGTTAGGAGGCATAAGTATGGGAAATTTATTTAACAGTGTGGTGACTACAGTTAACAATAATGTATCGTATACTTGAAAATTGCTGAGAGTAGATTTGTAAATCATTTTACCCTCCCCCCAAATTATCTATATGTGAGGTGATGAATATGTTAACTAGCTCGACAATTATTCTACAACGTATATATATATATATATATATATATCAAAGTTTTACATTGCCCACCATAAATATATACAATATCAATTTGTCAATTAATTAACCAAACAAAAAAAAACGCACGTAGAAAAAAAAATTCCAGTGTGAATGGAGTGCGCTAAATAAAGTTAGGGTGTTTCTAGAAACATACAAATAAAAATTTAAATGTAAGTTTAATTTAGAAATTTAAATTTAAAAAAATAATTTTTTTTCCTAATCTTTTAGCCAGGTTGTTATTTAGAATAGAATAACATAATCAGAATATACACCACTCTCAGCTTCAGTAGGATCCTATAAGCACCCTATTGAGCTATGAATTGATCCCTTTGTAGCTTTATTATGGAAAAGTCTATGAGTTCTTGGGTTAAATAGAGGTGTTCAGATCTATAGGCACATAATTGGGAAGCTCTGGGAAGTGATTCTTTCCCAGTGGGTTCAGAATATGGCGATCTTTTAAAACTGGTAAAGTACTAGTTATATTCTTATGCAATTTCAGTTTTTTACTATGGGTCCAAGAGCTGAAAATTCAAATGTAATCAAAGGCAGAATCAAGTCTTCAATTTCAATGTAAATATAAAATATGAAAATAAAGGAAATTTCATATGTGGTTTGCAGTCTATTAGTTTTAAAAGTATGTATGATATTGTACTTGTACATGAGTAGCCCATATGGAACCTCATATAAATTAAAATACATTTCCCTTCTTGCAGGTGCAAACAGACCCATCCCTCTTTTCATTATGTAGTGAAGAACACAAGTTGGATTTAAGCTCTTATGTGTCACTCAGTGTATTTGGCCAGTGCACAGCTTGAAACAGTGTATACATCAGACTTAATGCTATAATTTCTTAAAGATGATGTATATGTATAGAGTTGTGAAAAGTAGAGAATAAAAGAGTAATTGTCTCGCAGTAATAGTGAGTTTCATATATATATATGAATACATATATAAAGTATTCAAACATTCTTCTTTGAAATGCATTAGTGCACTGCATTAGTGCATTTCAAAGAAGAAAGCTTGAATATTTCAAAATACTAACATCCAGTTCTGCAAACTCTTGTTAGCGGAAAGACAAGAAATAGTCATCACTAATATTACGCTGTGAGAAAAGGTATTGGAGACAAAAATAACATTTTAAAAATTTTATATTCTCTTTATTTGTAGGTTTATGGAGAAATTATCTTCAATCCAAGAAAAGGACTGTTTGAATATTTGCTTTAAAATGCCACTAGAAAATCCTTCATTGCATTTTTATTCATAGTTGATGGACACACGGCAATGACAGTGCTATGTGTCTGAGCCAAGTCACCAGCTGAAATGAACTTTTATTTCCTTATAAGAATATGACAGAAAATAACTTAAAATTTCACTTTCTTTGTTACTTTAGTTTTTAATGAAAACACTAATTATCCTCAATAGGAGCTCAGGTAATACATTATTTAATCTTTCTTTGTTCAAATAACCCAAACGCTGTCAAACTATTCCAAGTAGTTTTATCAGTTTTTAAAATGCAGTCTTTTCATCAAATGTGAGTAGAGAGGTTGATGAAATAACCTGACAGAATTCATTGGTAAATAATAATTCAGTTTGCATTATTAAAGCATTCTTCATTTTACAATTGTGATTAAAATTCTGAGCTTTTTCTTTTTCATTTTGTGATGGTTTGAAAGTATATCAGTAAACCTACAAAGATATTATTTTTCCTTATTAAAATATTTTACATAAACACATCTGAAGTAAAAGGGAAAATTTGTTTTTATGGCTGATTTTTCACAGTGACTCACAAAGACAGAATTTTAACTAAAATTGTATAGCATATTTAAATTGAGAAACTCTTCTTATCTCAGAATTGGTTTTCTGCTTTTCACAGTACATTTTATGAATCCTCTAGCTGTTTGTATTTTAATACAAATGTTTAGGACCAAAGAAGTGTATGGATTAAAACAAGCACTGTAAGTGATTTGAAGGATCTAAATAAATGCCTAAGAGTAAAACTGTGTGCCCAGGCTGTGTTGATAACTTGAGTTGTAGTTAAGTAAAAAATGCTGACTTATCTTAAAAGCCACCTTTATAAATCTGTTTTGCCTAAGATTTTGAAGAGCTTCTGGGAACAGCATTGTAATGATAACTATGCTGAGAATATTTTATTACTCAGCAAAACAATCTAATAGACCAGATTTCTTTTTAATAGAGTAGAAAACATAAGCTTTTTTCCTTTTAATGTGATGTCTCTACCCATACTTACAAAGAATTTACATTCAAAATAAACTGATTCAGCATGTGTTACTTATGTCAAAGTACTTCTAATGCTGAATATTTTCATTGATAAATAAAAGGTTGAATATAGGTAAATTTTATTGAATGCGAAAATGTTACTTAAACTACATCCGACAAAATGTATAATGGATCTTAAAGATATTTCAAAAATCAATTCCTTGATATTGGCTGAATTTATGTATTCCAACCTTAAACAACTTCACAAAAATGTTAATAATACACCTAATATTATAAGAATATGATTGGTAAGTGTATCAAATATGAAAAAAGGTGAAAATAGATGTATTTGGTATTTTACAGTTCTATGGATTTTATAGAATAATGATGTTTTCTGATTTTATTGAGGTATAACTGACAAAGGTATATTTAAAGTATAAAATGTGATGATTTGAGATATATATGTTATAGTATATAATATACACTTTATATATATATAAACATACATTTTAAAATGAGGACTATAATCGAGCTAATTAACACATTCATCACTTCACATAATTATCATTTATATGTGTGAGTGATGAGAACACTTAAGATCTATAAGACTCAAAATTCAAGTATATGATACATTGTTACTAATTACAGTCATCATGCTGTAAGTTAGATTGCCAGAACTTACCTTGTAACCGAAAGTTTATAACTTTTGACCAACATCTCCCCATCCACCCCACTCATAAACCCAGCCCCTGGCAACCATCATTCTGTTCTCTATTTCCATGAGTTTGACTTCCTTTTTTTAAATTAATTAATTTATTTATTTATTATACTTTAAGTTCTAGGGTACATGTGCACAACGTGCAGATTTGTTACATATGTAGACATGTGCCATGTTGGTGTGCTGCACCCATTAACTTGTCATTTACATTAGGTATATCTCCTAATGCTATCCCTCCCCCATCACCCCACCCCACGACAGGCCCTGGTGTGTGATGTTCCCTGCTCTGTGTCCAAGTGTTCTCATTGTTCAAATCCCACCTGTGAGTGAGAACATGCGGTGTTTTGTTTTCTGTACTTGCGATAGTTTTCATTCTGAGTTTGACTTCTTTAGATTCCACTGATAAGTGTAGTATACAATATTGGTCTTTCTTTGTCTTATTTCACTAGCACAATCTAGGTTCATCCATGTTATTGAAAATGACATGATTTACTTCCTTTTAAGTCTGAATAATATTCCATTGCATGTATATATACACACAGGTAATCTTTATTACATTTTCTTTATCTATTTATCTGTTGATGGACATTTGTGTTATTTCCATAGCTTGGGTATTAGGAATACTGCTACAATGAACATGAGCGTACAAATAATTCTTCATGATTCTATTTTCAGTTGTTTTGGTTATATACCCAGAAATGGAATACTGGATCATATGATAGATCTATTTTGAATTTTTTGTGGAATTTCCACACTGTTTTCCATAATGGCTGTACCAATATACAATTCCCACCAACAGTGTACAGGAGTTTTCTTTTCTCCTTACCCTAATCAACTTTTGTTATCCTGTCTTTGTGATAACCACCATTCTAACAGATGTGAGGTAATAACTTATAGTTTTAGTTTATATTTCACCGGTGATGGTTGATTTGAAGCACCTTCCCCTATACCTGTTGGTCGTTTGTATGTCTTCTTTCGGGAAATATCTATTCAGGTCCTTTGCCCATTCTTAATTAGGTTATTTATTTATTTTATGCTATTGAATTTAGTTCTTTAAATATTTTGAATATTATCCCTTATTGTATATGTGGTTTGCATATATTTTTCCCAGTCTGAGATTGCCTTTTCATTTTGTTGATTGTTTTCTTTGCTCTGCAGTAAGTTTTTAGTTTGATGGAGTCCCACTTGTTTATTTTTGTTTTGTTTTGTTTAACCAGTGCTTTTGATGCAATATCCAAAAAATTATTTCCAAGACCAATGTCAAGGAGCTTTTTCTCTATGTTTTCTTCTAGGAGTTTTACCATTTCAGATCTTACTTTTAAGTCTGTAATCCATTTGGGTTAACTTATATATGATAAAAGGACCCAGTTTCATCATTTTGTATATGGCTATCTAGTTTTCCAAACACCATTTATTGAAGAGATGAAACTTTCCTCCTTGGGTACTTTCAGAGCTCTTCTCAAAGATGGTTGTAGATTCTCAGAAATTGGTTGTGTATGCATGAGTTTATTTCTGAGCTCTCTATTTTGTTCCATTGTCCTGTGTATCTGTTTTTATGCCAGTACCATACTGTTTTGATTACTAAAGGCTTGTAATGTAGTTTGAAATCAGTAAGTGTGATGACTCCAGCTTTGTTCTTCTTACTCAAGATTGCTTTGGCTCTTCAGGGTCTTTTGTAGCTCCATACTAATTTTAGATCTAGTATATTTCTTCACTTTCTTTTATCCACCAACTGGCTAATTTCAAATGACCTGACTTCAAGTTTGATGATTCTTTCTTCTGAGTGACTGTCTGCTATTGCAACTGTTTATTAAAATTTTCAGTCCTGTCACTGTACTCTTTAGCTCAGGATTCTGCCTGGTCCTTTTTTATTTTTTCTATTTCTTTTTAAACTTATAATTTTGTTTATGCATTTAAAAATTGTTTAGCTTTTTTATCTGTGTTCTGTTGCATCTCACTGCATTTCCTTAAGAGGATTATTTGGAATTATTTTCCAGGAAAGCCAAAATCTCTTCTCTCTCTCTCTTCTCTCTCTCTCTCTCTCTCTGTGTGTGTGTGTGTATCCATTATTAGAGCTTTATTGGTTTCCTTGGTAATGTCATGTTTGCTTGATTCTTCATAATTTGTGTATTATTGCATTGGTGTCTGTTTATTTGAAGGATCAAACACCTCTTCCAGTCTTTACGGATTTCTTTTGGCAGTTAAAGACCTACTGCTCTCAGGTCTCTGAGATTATGTGCTTGCTTCTGGGATTGCGGGGCTGGAGCTTAGTGACATCGAGGCTGTTATATCCACAGGCCTATTACCAGGGGCTCAGGCAGGCAGGGATCCCATCTGATCTCTAGGCAGACTAGACTGTCTCCAGGACCTTGATCAGTAGGGCTGGCAATAGGGCCAAGGTCAGTGGGCCTGCCTCCTGGGTCATGGCCAGGCGTGTCTCTTGTTGGGTCCCTAGGTAGACAGGACAACTCTCAGACCATAGATGGGAGGGGCAGTTACTTAAATTTAAGACCTGGAACAATAAAATTTCTAGAAGAAAACATAGGGAAAAAGCTCCTGGACATTAACCGTGGCAATGATTTTTTTCAGCGATGACATCAAAAGTGAGTCACAGGGCCCTGTTAAGATCTGTGGTTAGATCAAAGTAAACAGTCCTGCCTCTGGGGACAAGGATTGGTATCTCTTTCCCCTGGGCCCTGGGTAGGTGGGACTGTAAAATAGAGTGGCTGGCGATGGTTTACAGGGCTGCTTCAGTATCCACAGTTCTACTGAGTTTGGCAGCCTCAACTTTGAGGCATACATGGGTATGTCTTCTGCTGCGTCCCTGTTTGAACAGGATTGTACCCAGATCAAGGCTGAGAGGAGCTGAAGGTGGGTCACAAGATGCTTCAGGGTCCACAGCTAGGACCAAGGTCAGTAGTCTTTATACCTAAGGAGCTGGCAGGATTGGCTTCTCCAGGGTCTCTTGGTGGATGATGCTCATAGCAGGGGATGTAATTAAGCCCACAATGAGAAGGACTCTTTCCAGGTCTGTATCCTGGACTCTGATCAGTGAGCCTGTCACGGGTGAGGATCTGCTTTCTCAAAATGACCCTCGTTGGTCTTGGGCTCTACTTTGGATTCACGCCTTTTTCCTACCTGGATCCCAAAGATCCCACGAAGACACTTTTATCCATGGTTGGCTGCCAGATTACTTTTGCTGTGGGGAGATATGAATGTGGTACCTCCTGTTTCACCATTTTGCTTACATCTTAATGAAATTTTTAAAATAGTGAAAATAAGGGAAAAGTATAAAATGTTCTTCATTATTTAAAACAGTAATTGAAAATATTTTATAATGAGATAACATATTTAATGAATGTATTTTCAAAGATTTCTATTTAAATACCACACACAATATTGGTTTCAAAAAATCAAGAAATTAAAATTATTCAATTTAAATTTAGGGGAAATTTTAAAATTTTATTTACAAATATGTAATTTGTTACAATAAATTTTGTATAAAGATTATAAGAATGTATTTATGCAATGTCAACAGAATGTTCAATAAGGATTAAAATGATAAAGTAGAAGATACAAAGTTACCTTTAATTCAACATTTATTATAGAACACTTTCTTTTCCATTGAGAAATAGAACGGTATGATTCTAAAAAATGAGTTTCAATAAATTTAAGGTAAAACAAAATATGACAAGAAGATTCCAATTGTTTTAATAGAAGGCATTTCAACTTCGCTCACTCATCCTTGTTTTGATTATCCAATATTAAATCAACATTATCAAAAGGAATTTGAATAGCGGAAGAAAATACGTAGAGGAAAATGTAAAGTCATGGAATTGGAAAGAGAATGGGCATTATAAAAGACAATGCTCGGAATTTAATAGAAAGGATGCCTAAATTCTTTTAGTTTAAAAATCACAATCACAATCTTACCTAGTCTGTAAACTATCTTGCCATTCCAATCTACATTTGATATGTAAGAGCTTGGGCAAATTGCTTACCATAAATCATCATGATGATTTTTTTCCTGTGGCAGCTGCTATCCTTGGCCCATATATGGCCTGAAGATCTTCCAGGATACAATTTCAATGGCCTGAAGACTTTTATTGCTATAACTGTTGCATGCAGAACTGCCAGCCTAAAGAAGTGCTGGCACCATCAGAACCCCCAAACAACGACTTCGTATTTTGTGTAAACATATTCTAGCTATTTTTGCCCTCAAATAGGATAATTTTGAGATGTGTTCATTTGCTATGTTTCCACTTTTTCTGTGGGATTAAGATTACTATTCTTAATTATTATACATCAACTGAAGCCGATGATACCTGGTAGTCACAAGAAACACATTCATGTAGTATATTACCTCTCTATATACTATGTTAATTATTTAATTTAGAATATTTCATCAAGTTCACAAACCTATTCGTTTTAAATTTATTCACTTTAATTAAACAAGGTTACCAGCACTAACAGGAGCTCGGTGTTGTGCCAATTATGGGGACAGGCCTCAAGACCTTCTTAGATACTCTTCATGATTTACAACATTGTTCTTAGACACTCTTCATGAATTGTAATAGTATTCAAAAACAGTTACAATTTCATATGACACTTTCATAACACTAGACCACAGTCAGGGTCATAAATGCATTTTTAACAAAAAAAGAGAATAGATATCATACACAGTATGCTCTTAGACCACTAGGAAATTAAACTAGAAATTGATAACAGAAATATAGCTGAAACAGCACACTTTTAAATAAAACAGGGTTAAATAAGAAGTTCCAAGATAAATTAAAATATATTTCAAACTAAATGAAAATGAAAAAGAACCTACAAAAGTTTGTTAGATGCAGCAAAATCAGTTAATAAAAGAAAAATTATAGCACTGAATGCATATATTAGAAAACAAAAAGATGTAAAATTAGTATTTGTATCACTACCCTTAGGAAAATAGACAAAGAAGAGGAAATTAAATACAATGTAAGTAGAAGGTAGAATAAAAAGCAGAGTATATATAAATAAAATTGAAAGCAGGAAAACCTCAGAGAAAATTAAAGAAAGCAAAAATTGATTTTTCGAAAATATTAATACAATGGATCAACTCCTAGCCCGACTAAGAAAAGCAGAGAACAAACACATTACCAGCTTAAGACACAAAAGGGCCACACTACCAATCCCATGAACACTAAAAAAAAAATAAAAGAATATTATAAACAACTCTATGGCTACAAGTTTAATCACTTGTATGAAAAGGACTAGTTCCTTGAAAAATTACAATCTATCAAAACTTAAACACCTGTCATCTATCCATCTATCTATCTACATAGCTACCTACCTATAATTTAATCAGTAACCAATTATCTTCAAAATTATTAAGCATCAGACCCAGATGGTTTCACTGGTAAATTCGCCAGACATTTAAAAAATAAATTATAGTATGTCAATTATTTACAATCTCTTTGTAAAAAACAGAAGCACAGAAAACATTTTCTAATTCACTCTTTGAAGCCATCACTATCCTAACTCCAAAAGCAGAACAAATACATTACAAGAAAGGAAAACTGCAGATCAATATTTATAATGAACAAAGATACAACACTCCTTTAAGAAAGTAGCAGCAAATTAAATACAAAAGTGTATAAAATAATTATACGCCACAACAAATGTGGATTTATTTCAAGAATGCAAGACTGATTCTACATTCAAAAATCAATTTTTATAATCCATAACATCAATAGGCTAAAAAAGAAAATTTATAAGTCATCTCAATAGATGATGAAGCATTTGACAAAATCCAACACCTATTCGTGATAACCACTCTGTGTAAAATAAGAATAGAAGGCAACTTTTTCAACATGATAAAGAACATATGCAAAAATCTTACATTCATATCATAGTGGTGAGAAACTAGAATCTTTCTTACAAAGATCAGGAAGAAGGAAAAATGTTCCTGCCACTGCTTCTATTCATCATTGTACTAGAAGTCCTTGCTAATGCAGTAAGTCAATTAAAACAAGAAATACAGCTTGGGAGGAAGACATAAACATATTATTTTTCATAAATAACATAATTGTCAAAGTAGAAATTTCCAAAAGAATTAGCAAAAAAAAACTCCTAGAACTTAGGCTGCAGGATATGAAGTTAATATATAAGAGTCAATTGCTTTCTTATATGCTAGCAATAAGCAATTGGAATTTGAAATAAACATAACACCCTTTAGCAACATAAAAGTCAGATATTTAGTTATAAATATAACAAAATATATACAATGTCTGTATGAGAAAATGTATAATACTCTGATGAATAAAATCAAATAATATCTAAATAAATGGAGAAATAGTCCATGTTCATGAATAGAAAAACATGCTGTAGTTAAGATGTCAGTTATTCTCAACTTGATCTATAGGTTTAGTGCAATCTCAAACAAAATCACAGAAAGCTATTTTGTGATATCAACAAACCAATTCTAAAGTTTCTATGGAAAGGAAAAATACCCAGAATAGCTATCACAATATTGAAGAAGGACAAAGTCAGAGGACTGCCATCCCCCAACTTCAAGTCTCACTACTCAAACAGTGTAATACTGGCAAAATAATAGACAAATAGATCAATGAACAGAATAGTGAAATAGAAGTAGTCTCAAATGAATACAGTCAACTGACCTTTGAAAAAGCAGCAAATAATGGATTAAAAACATTTTAACAAATGGTATTAAAATATCTGGATATCTACATTTTAAGCCACAGATTAGGAGCAACTATTTGCAAAGCATGTATCAGTAAAAGACTTGTATCCACAATAACCACCTCCTCAAAAAAAGCTCTCTTAAAACCTAAAACTCAACAGTTCAAAAAACAAATGTCCTAACTGAACAAATTGAAAAGTTAAAAAGTAGGCAACAATCTGAACAGACACCTAACAAAAGAAGGTATACAAATGACAAATAAGCATATGAAAAGGTGTTCAACATTATATGTCATTAGGGAATTGTAAATCAAAACAATGCCAAGATACCACTACACATCTATTCAAATGGCTAAAGTCCTAGAAACTGACAACCCAAATGCTGGTGAGGATAGGGAGCAGTAGAAATTCTGATTCATTGTTTCTGGGACTGTAAAATGCAGTAGAAATTCTCATTCATTGTTTCTGGGACTGTAAAATGCAGTCGAAATTCTCATTCATTATTTCTGGGACTCTAAAATGGTACAGCCACTCTGGAAGACACTTTGGCAGTTTCTTACAAAATTGAACATAGCTTAGGTATGAGCCCGTAGTCCACTCTCTTCTGCATTTACCACAATGAGTTGAAAACTTAAATCTGTACAAAAAATATGCACACAACTGTTTATAAGCAGTTTATATCATAATTGCCCCAAATTTGAAAGTAACTAAGATGTTCTTTCATAGGGGAATGGATAAGCAAACTGCTTATAGCCATATAATAGAAAATTATCTCATGATAAAAAAAAAGGAGTGTCTGGGCGTAGTGGCTCACACCTGTAATCCCAGCACTCTGGGAGGCCGAGGCAGGTGGATCACTTGAGGTCAGGAGTTTGAGACCAGCCTGGCCAACATGGCAAAATCCCATCTCTACTAAAAATACAAAATTAGCCAGGTGTGGTGGCTTATGCCTGTAATCCCAGCTACTTGGGAGGCTAAGGCAGGAGAATGGCTTGAACCCGGGAGGTGGAGGTTGCACTGAGCCGAAATCGTGCCACAGCACTCCAGCCTGGGCAACAGAGCGAAAACTCTGTGTTTAAAAAAAAAAAAAAGAAAAGAGCTATCCAGCCCCAAAAAGACATGGATATCTTAAGTAAGTATTGCTAAGTGAAACAAGCCACGTCTGAAAATCTGTATGATTCTAACCATATTATATATGGAAAAGACAGAATGAAAAGGAGAGTAAAAAGATCAGTGGTTGCCATCCCAATCAATGGTTGGGATGAGGGGAAGGAATGAGTAGGCAAAGTACAGGGATTTTTAAGACAGTATAGTAGCATTCTATTCTGTATGACACTATAATGATGGACAAATGACTATGTATAGAACTATACAACAAAAGAGTGGAACATTAATGTAAACCTAGAATTCAGTCAATGATGATGTATCAGTACTGGTTCTTCAGTTGTAACAAATGTATCACACCAAGGCAAGATGTTCATAGGGGAACCCGGAGATGACAGAGGGAGAGAATATAGGGAAACTCTTTGTACTTTCTGTTCAATTTTTCTCTTAAAAGTGCTCTGAAAAGTAAAGTCTAATAACCAAAAATAAAAATAACCAATCTACTCCCCAAAAAAGGACTACATGTACAAGTCATCTGCTTATGGTCAATTTTGAAAATCTATGCCTGCTGGATCAATGGATTATATTTAAATTTAATTTATGCAGTAGCTAAGAGAAAATATAGTTTAAAAGTTAAATGCCACAGTGAATTGTACAGAGACTAAACAATATGGTCTTTATGAAGTTTTCCCTGATCACCCAATTTACAATTACATCTCCCCAAACCTGAAACTCCTCATTCGCCCTTTCTAATTATACTTCACCACAGCACAAACTACCATTTCGCCTACTAATAAAGTTACCTTCCGTCTTCCCTTATATGATGTAATTTCCTTCGGAGCAATTATTTTTGACTGGTTAACTAACTGCTGTATCTCCAGGGAACTGTACAGTGCCTAGAACATGGTAAGTGCATTATATGTGATTGAATACATGAATAAATGGGAAAAATTAAGGTGGACAATAGTTACAAATACTCTTCGATAATAGAGGAAGGTGAATTAGAACCGATCTTCAAATTATTTGTGTCTTGGAGTTTCGCAGAAGAGAATGAGTGAGACCACACACGGTGGTAACAACTATGATGTAACTCACAGGAGTAAACATTGGCTCATATGGGACTAAAGTAAATTTGGCTCAGGCCAGCCAGAGAATGGGAGTAGATGTGTTATAGTACCACAAAAACAATCCCTGTCAGCTGCAAGGGGTGCAGTTACCAAGTTGCATGATGGGAATCATGTATCTGCTCTAGGTTAAAAGACCTTATTCCCAGATTCTAATGCATTGCAAAGTCTACCAAAATTCTTTACTCACAAAATCAGCTAAATATTTTGGGTTATTTGTACCCACATTTTGTTGCAAAGCACCCCTTGATGTGTTCCATACATGACAGAGTAAAATAGTGTTTTCAGTATGATATAAATGTAAGAAAAAACAAAGAAATGCACACACAATAATACAACTGGATAATTACACATTCATTTATTTCTCCATCAGATATATTTTGAAGACACAAATATGAGCTAGAAAATGTACATAGTATAAGGAATGGGATACATGTTTTGTAACCACAATTAAATAACTGTAATGTCTTTTGTTCATATGTGACATAGACAGCGAGGCTTGAAGCAAAACAACACTGTCCATTAAAACCACGCCAAAAACAAGATAAAAAAGTGGGAGAAATCATGCATATTACACAAGATCATAGGAGTAAACAACATTGCATATGTTTCTCAAGCAGCAGACATATTTCATAGTCAGCAGATTTGAAGCCAGTGCTGAAGGATGAAAGAAAACAAGGTACAGAAAGATAGGAAGTCATTTCTGAGCGGGGTTAGATTTGCTACTTAACTTGAAATTCATTTCGTGCTTCCACAATTCTTCCCACTTATACCTGATCTGTTACACTTCACTTTACTGCAGAGCTTCTCAGCACATGTCTTTGAACTTCACAAAGTAAAAATTGCCTTACTCAACTTGGAATAATCAGTTCTTAGCACTGTAGTTTTAAAATTTCTTAATTTGGTTTTAATGAACACATGCATTGAGGAAATGCAAATACATTTTAAATAAATTAAAACATTCTGGGGCAAAATATATCTTGTGGTGAATTTGAAAGCCATTTATAACCTTTGAAATATTCACTGTTTTAAGTTACACTCTAACTTGTTCTAACTCTATTTCACATTGAGCAAAATTATACTTTCCTTTATTTCAAGAAAGCCAAGAAATGCATTATAAAGGAACAGGGTAGGATGTTATTGAAGATTTATAATGTGTATTAAAACGTTGGCAACAAATTCCTAAGGTAGTTTTTATTTTCTTCTTGTTAGCGTTAAGAAAACAGTGGCCCTGGGTGTCTCAGTTACTTGCCCAAGGTCACAGAGTAAGTAAATGGCAAGCAATTTCTCCTTTTCTCCAAAGATTCTTCTTTTAATATATCATATTAAGTGGTAGAGAACAGCAGAGGGGGAGAAATGACTTTTTCTAAGCCATGGGAGTATTTTGTGTCAATGTCTATGAAAAATTTTCAGTCATGTATTTCCAACCCAGAGTCATAAGGAATAAAGATAAGCCTCTAAAATAGCACCAAATAGCAGAAGAACATGAAATTTCTTGTGCACAATTCCCAACTCTATCAATCATGAGTTGTGTAGCCTTATGTAGGTCACGTTAACCTCTCTAAGCTACCAAACTCTCATCCATAAAACAGAGATTTAAAAAATCACATTCATAGTGTTGTGATGAAGATTAACTAAAACAATATTTTAGCATGCTTGTTAGCAGCCAGCTCATAAAAACATCCAAGGGCATATTAGGTGCTGCTTTTTTAAACTTTTTGCCTATTTCTCTAACCTCCAAACACATATTAAGTCAATCATTCAGCAAAAGGTAACACAGTAGTTATTATGTTCCAGACGCCATATCTAGATACTTGATCATATTATGATCTACAACAAGACAAGATCTTAGCTTTTATCCTCTAGAAAACAGAAATGGAAGAAAATAAAGAGGCTCATAATTTATTTAGGGGGTGTATTAGGGTTCTCTAGAATGATGGAACTAATAGGATAGATGTAGGTATAAAGATATAAAGAGGAATTTATTAAGGAGGAGTATTAACTCACACAATCACAAGGTGAAGTCCCATAATAGGCCATCTGCAAGCTGAGGAGTAAGGAAGCCAGTCTGAGTCCCAAAGCTGAAGAACCTGGAGTCTGATGTTCGAGCGCAGGAAGCATCCGGCATGGGAGAAAAATGTAAGCTGGGAGGCTAAGCCAGTCTAGTCCTTCCACGTTCTTCTGCCTGCTTTTGTTCTGGCTGTGCTGGCAGCTGATTAGATGGTGCCCACCCAGATTGAGGCTGGGTCTGCCTTTCCCAGTTCACTGACCAAATGTTAATCTCCTTTGGCAACACCCTCACAGGCACACCCAGAATCAATACTTTGCATCCTTCAATCCAATCAAGTCGACCCTCAATATTAACCATCAAAGTGGGTGAGAATTTAGGGCATTGTTGTGACAAACAAAAAGTGAGATAAAGGAAAATGCAAACAATTGTATCGTGAGGCATGAATTTGCTGCCTGCTATTTGACAGATGACCCAGAACTGACTCATTTCTACAGGTGGCTCACAAATGTGCTCTTTGGCCCACAGGGAAAACATCTCTGCTCAGACTGCAAGGTGCACTCAGGCCTCATAGTGGTAAATAGGAGAAAAGTTAGAGAGAAATTATGTGCCAATCTCCTTCCTATCTCCTGCTTCTCATTGGTTACAGTTGACCCCATAGGGAAATACCTTGCCCTCACTGCTGGAATACAATACATAGTGCTTTGGACTCTTTGTGATGTGTTGCTTCAGCCAAATCTATTAATAGGTGAAAAGTCTAAAATTCCATGATATTGCTGGTTGGGCCAGCTCTACAGAAATGGCCAGGAGGAAAGGCCCAGGAGATTTTTTTTATTTTTGAGACAGGATCTCACTTTGTCACACAAGCTGGAGTGCAGTGGCGCGATCTCAGCTCACTGCAGCCCTGACTGCTTGGGCTCAGGCGGTCCTCCCACCAGAGTCCCCAAAGTAGCTGGGACTACAGGCATGCGCCACCAGGCCCTGCTAATTTGTTCTTTTTCTTTTTTTTTTTCTGTAGGGATGGAGTTTCACCATATTGCACAGGCTGGTCTCAAACTCCTGAGCTCAAGTGATCCACCCCCCTCAGCCTCCCTAAGTGCTAGAATTTCAAGGCATGAGCTACAGCACCTGCCGGCCCAGGACTGTGATGGCAAGTGAGTTGTTGGCCGTCAGGCACGGTGGCATATTCCAGGAGGTCAAAGTAAACTATCAAAGCGTTGTGCCACTGGAACCAAGAGAGAAACATGTTTAAAAAAGAAAAAAAACACAGTTAAAAAATGTCCATTGCTGCCAAGACAGTTTTTGCCAGGAAAGCTTCGGTTGGATTGAATAGCATGGACAGCCTAGTTAATATATGAAAGAGCACATTTTTTGGTGGTGGAGTCCAAAAGATAGATTTGAGTGAAAAGGAAGCACAGGCTCTGACTGCCTATCTAACATTCAATGCCAGGCAAAAAATGTAGGAAACTGTATCACACACTGAGGGGCTCCAGGCCCAGAATCAGAAAATAGAGTGCTTTGATGTATGAGAAATATTGAGGCATTCCCCAAGGGACTGAAAATAAACTGACTTTGGTCAAGTAAAAGAATAGTAATGAAGGCCATCAAATGTACAATATGTAGAATAAAATAATAAAATTGAGAGTAGCAGTACTAGAGGTATATGACCAGAATTATTGGTAGAAATTAGAAAGATATAAAAAACTGGAGGTGGGGAAATATAACTGTTTCTCTCTCTCTCTCTCTCTCTCTCTCTCTCTCTCTCTATATATATATATATATATATATATATATACACATATATATATATATACACATATATATGTATATATAAACACAGAGACACACATATATATGTGTATATGTATACATATATATACACACACACACATATATAACAAGTCATGAGAAGATAATTTCCAAGAGGGAGAGTGAGCAGTAGTCAAAACTATAAAAATTAGAGCTAAACTGAGAAATAAAAACATATACAACTAAAATTAAGAATTAAAGGATGAATACTAAAAGTTTCAATATTTGAACTAAGATATTGAGATTCAGGGTGTCTCTTTCCAAGGAGGAGAATGGCAATATATGATTAATAAAGACTATTAACACAAAAGGAGATCAGAAAGAAGAAATAAAAAAGGGAATAAAGAAAATGCAAGAAAAATACAGAGTTCATAGTAAGAGAATGGAGATATATATATATATATATATATCACCTTTGGATATATATACATACACACACTATATATGTATATGTGTAGTAATCTTATGATTACTAAAACATACCTACATATATATAAATTCAGAAGATTACTGCACATATACATATATATGTGTGTGTGTATATCCAAAGAGAGTGTATGTGTGTGTGTGTGTGTGTGTGTGTGTGTGTGTGTGTATATATAAATTCTCTTCCTATGATCTATTTTTCTTGCTTTTTCTTTATTCTCTTTTTTATTTCTTCTTTCTGATCTTCTTTTGTGCTAATGGTCTTCATTAATCATATATTGCCATTCTCCTCCTTAGAAAGGAGGAGAATTCCTTTACACACACACATATATATGTGGAATGGATTATATCTATGCATATATATGTATGTAGGTATGTTTTAGTAATCACAAGAAATATAAATGTATTAATATTTTTGATTGGAGTATAGAAATCATCAGATTGGACTGTAAATAATCTGATACTATTTACAAAAGACTGGCATAAAGGAGAATAGGAAGTGTAATAGCAGGCAAAAAAATACAACTAGCACACACCAACCAGATAAAATCCAGAACAGATATAATAAACATCAGACAAAATTAACTTGACTATAAAAAACTTTATTTGAGATAGAGAAAGCCTCTATTAAGAATGATTTAAATGTTCAAAAACAAGTTAAAAGATTGGCTAATTTTTTTTTAAAAAAAGCAAAGTGGTTAACGAATAGAAGAGATAATTCAAAAAGTATCATTACTCACAGATGATGTCTACTAAGATCTTTTAAAATTAATGAGTGCAACCTTGTTGCTGTATATAAGGTTAAAGAATCAATTGAATTTCTTTTTCTCAGTAACAAATTTTAAAAAATAGTAGATACCATTTTCAACTAAAAAACATAAAATGAATCTTGGAATAAATCTAAAAATGATGTGAAAGAACTCAATAGACACTATTACAATGTTGAAATGATTTTAAGAACACCAAAATAGAGGAAGATAAACAATTTGTTGATCTTATCCAACCACATGTTATGGCTTATTTTAAAGCTGTAACAATTAAAATTTTGTGCACAGACATACAATAATAATGCACACATAGCCCAGTGGAATAGAATACACAGCCCATTATTGAAGCAGCATATATAATAATATGAAAAATGGTCATATTACTTTGTTAAACAGAAAAAATAAATGTGTTACCTGACAATATAACCACCATGATCTCAATTACATAGAAAAACATATAACCAAAGGAGAATGGCAGCATGTTAGAAGTGATTACATACAAATAGTGTATTTACAAATCTTTTACAAAACGTTTTCCTCTATTAAAAAATAATTATTCACAAAATCTGTTTTATAAACAAAAATACCAGCCAATATTATTTTAATTGACAATAAATATTACCAGTAAAGAGTGAATGGGAGGTCAAAAGGGGATACTATGTGTGGACAACTCTTTTTAGATTTTTGGCAGAAAGAAAATCAATATACAACATCAAGAATGAACCTCACTGTTAATGATGGACTTTGAGTGACAGTGATGCCTCAATGCAGGTTTGTCAATCGTAACCAATGTATCACTCTCGTGGAGGATGTTGATAACGGTGAAAGCTATGCATGTGTAAGGACCAGGGTATATGAAAAACCTGTGTACGTTCCTCTCAAGGTTTTTTGTGAATCTAAAACTGCTCTAAGATAAAATAAAATCTATTAAAAGAAGAAAAAGAAAATCAGAAAACAAGGGTGGGGGGGCAATAATAAAGACTTTTGTCCACTGACTTTGTAAGAAATGGGAACATAAATATGTTTCTACTTCTAGTGTTCCTTTATTGGTTACTGCCAGTTAGCATCCTTGGAGAGTTTTCAAATTGGATTAAATGAATGTTCGCACCTACAATGCCAGAAAGGGGGCATCATCATGTTAACTAAGATATCTCCTGGTAGTTTGTGAATTCCTTTTAAATCTTTCAAGAAATATTTGAATAGTTTATTATTTTCCATCGGTAACATCTGTAAATAATTTGCTTGCTAAAATGATCCATTAAACTTTAACTTTTGAACTGATCCATTTTACTGCTTATTAATTACATGTTTTCTAATATTTGGAAGAAGCTGTAAGAAAAATTTCTGAATTCTTTCAATCTGATTAAATGTATCAAGCAGAATCCAGGTTAAATAATCAAATTAATTCCCTTTGATGTTAATGCTTAGCCTGAGGAGTCTGATTTACCCAAATGTTTAAAATTTCTCACACATGCACACTCACACACACACACATATACACGCTAGTTTTTTTCATTGTTCTGGTTATAATATGTTTGAGAAATATTTCATGAACAAAAATAGAAAGTGGAAGAAAATAAATTAGTTCTCAACTGATTGAAAACATTAAAGTTAGCTAGTTCATATTAACAATTCTCCTGTCTCCTTGTTCACTGGTAATGAACAAAAATGCCTCCTTCGGCAATAGCTATAATAAATAGTTAGATAATATATGCCTTTTAGTATTAACAAAGTAGAAATGTGGTGATCATATCTAACTACAATGCTGAAATAGTGTACTATAAATTTTCTGCAATTATAATGTCTTCTAAATTATATATTTTCTCTAATTTTCTGATTTTATGAATAAAAATTTGTTGATCAAAACTATTTCTCAGTTCCTATTTATGGGCTTTATTTTTATTTGTCTTTCCTTCAGCTCTATTTTGTTCACTTTCATCTCATGGTTTAGCTTTTTACATTTCACTCAATCTGTTAAATTTCCATTTTTAAAACTATTTTTTTAGAACATGAACTCCTTTTTGGTCTTTTTAAAAAAGTTTTTCTGTTTTACTTTTTCCTTTTCTTTTTTTGAGACAGGGTCTCTCACTCTGTTGCCCAGGATAGAATGCAGTGGCGTTATCACAGCTCACGGCAGCCTTGACCTCCCAGGCTCAGGTGATCCTCCCACCTCAGCCTCCCAAGTAGCTGGGACTACAGGTGCATGCTACCGTGCCCAGCTAATTTTTTTTATTTTTAGTGGAGACAGAGTTTCACCATGTTGCCCAGTCTGGTCTCCAACTCCTGGACTCAAGTGATTCACCCATCTCGCCCTCCCAAAGTGCTGGGATTACAGGTTTGAGCCACAGTGCCTGGCTAAGTTTACCTGTTTTTCCATTTTATGTTATTGTTTTACAGTGTTTCGTCTCTACAAAAGTTCATTGTAATTATGAAAAATATATTTTTTCTTTCAGTTAGAGTGTGTGTGTTTCTCACATTTTGAAGTTTGATTCCAAAAGTTCCAATGAGAATACAACAAGTGGGAAAAAGCTCTGTTTTTCTATCCTGTTCAGTTGCATTTTGCAATCCATTCTTTGCTCTCTGAGGCTATGATTGCAGATTTGTAGTGACTAATACTTATTAAGCAATTTCAATGTTGTGGGCACTGTTCGTTGTGTTTTATATCCATCTTCTATTTTAATTTTCTACTGAGCAGAAAAAAAAATGTATACATTAACCTTTGCTCCCTATTTGTACCTTTTAATATTGCATTTCACACCTTCTCTTTTTGTCATTTAGGGAGTTGAACTTTCTGCAGTCATTGACTCAGAGAAGGCTAACCAAAAAGAATTACATTCTTAGCCTATGTGTTAAAAATATAAAACTTTGGATGAAATCACTAAATTTGGAAGATGCTATTTATCAAAAAAAGATTTATCTAGCAACTCTGTATTTTCTCATAGCTCCTACACTCCCTTCTTACATACACACACACACACACACACACACACACACACACACACATTCCTTTGATTTTGGAAATAGGGAGGAAGATGTAGAAGAAAACAAAGAGATCTTAGTCACGGATGGATCCCTGAGAAGGTGTCCAATGCTGCAATCCACATTGAGCCAAGTCTTGTGGGGCAGTAAATGGGAGAGAGGATCCTAATATAGGTAGATTCCAAAGAGCTTAGGAAACCTCTGCCCTTATTATTCAAGAAAAGTATTAAGATCCAAGAGATATCTCCTCAGCCTACCATAGTTTAGGAGCCTCAAAATTAGCTAAGATGTCTAAATCCACAAGCCAAAGAGTGTGCAGAGTTGTGTAGTAGTATTAATCTTATGCCAAAAACTACATGTAGTTAGCACTGAGAGATAATGAACCTGAGGAAAATCACGTGAAAAACATCTGCAGCCTGAAACAAAAGCCTCACTGGGCAGATATCAGCAGGTAAAAGCAAGGACTGGGCCTCATGCAGTGTGCCTCGGTCCCCAGTCACACAAACACATACTCTTGCCATGCTATTTGTGTGTCTGATTTTTCCAATCACCCTCTTATCCAGAATTGAGGTAATGCTCAGGAAAATTAGAAAAGGAACATGACTAAAGTGAGATTTTATGTATCAGCCAGTGGAATAAAGAATTTATTTAACACATAATTATGGATAAATTAAGAACATAGTTTCCACATGTGCATTTTAACTTGCTGTTTGTACATACTGCATCTTCAGACTAGCATGCTTTGTTTGATAGATGAGGAAAACAAGGCTCAGTGTGACTTACTAACCTCCAAAGGCCGCATAGCTAGAAAGTGCTGGAGCCAGAATTGAGATGCGTAAAGGCTGATCCTGGGCCCACACTTTTAAAAGATGTGTCTTCTCAGAAATTGTTCTTTATCGTGAAATAGCTGAAATTTCTCTGTGTTCTTCCAACCAAGCAGCATACGGGTAGAGGTGGATTATGCCAATTAATATACACATGAGAAAAATATGTATATATTTGTGGAATTTTGCTTAAATGTTTAATATATTTTCCTCTTTATTTTTATTTAAAATAAACAAAAAGGTGAGTAATATTTTAAAATTGTACTTTTAAAATTTATCAGAAATTAATCTATCATTAGATTAAAATATATAGACTGACATCTTCTTTGTCCAAATTATTATGTAACTGAAACACACAGTCCCTGATCTCAAAGCATAAATTTGGAGACAGGTATTTTAATGTTGATGTCATATAGTAACTCAAGCATGTATTAAAATGAGGATACAGTTAAGATGTGTGATCTTCATCAGGAGTGATAGTTTCTGTTTTAAAATGTCAATGAATAAGATGTCATGTGAGTCCAATTGTGAGGCAATTTAGTAGAATACGTATATAGGCAGAAACATAAAACAGTGATAATCTAACTTGGGGATAATATTTCAAAACCCAGTGGCAAAATGATACAAGTTGCATTTAGAGTATCTGTAGCATAAGGTAGGTAGTGATCGAAGAGGCTTGAAGTATTACTTAGACATTAATAAGAGAAAAAATAGCATAACCTTTCAGCTTTGTTCTTAAGGAAGTGATGAATATCTATAAGGAATTAAACTATGTGATCCAAGGTAAAATACATGCGAATATTTAACGTCTTAGTGCGTAGTTCAGGCAAACTTTCCACTGAATAACTCAAAATAGTGTGGATCATTCATATAGAATCCAATGTAAGTTACTACCCCCACCCTCCGCGACCTCCCCCGCGGCCCCGTGGAATTGTGTGAGATGCTGGCTCTGAAGATAACTGTTTTCAGAGAAAGGGATACAGAAAAATAGCAGTGGCAATGGAAAATGAGACCTAGTCACAAAGTGCATACCCATGTGAATTTGAGACAGTGGTTTTATAAATACTTGTTTCCGAGAATCAATGAAGCATGTTCTAGGTTTCAGTGAATTGCTCTTGGCTCCAAACGCACATTTCTTTACCTGATCTGCACTAGAGCTTTTTAAACACATAATATTAATCTTTGCCAGTAGACGGCGATAGAGAGACATTGCATTGCAATACCAAGGTGTTTGTCACCTGTTTTAGTCAGGGTCCTCTAAACGGACAGAACTATTAGGATAGATGAGTATATGAAGGGGCGTTTATCAGGATAATTGACTCACATGGATAAGTGATCACTTCACATGATCACAAGGTGAAGTCCCACAATAGGCTGTCTGCAAGCTGAGGAGCCAGGAAGCCAGTCCGAGTCCCAAAACCTCAAAACTCTGGAAACCGACAGTGCAGCCTTCAGTGTGGGGTTGAAAGCCCGAGAGCCCCTGGCAAACTACCAGTGTAAGACCAAGAGTCCAAAAGCTGAGGAACTTGGAGTCTGATGTTTGAGGGCAGGAAGCATCCAGCACGGGGGAAAGATGGAGGCCAAAAAACTCAGCTAGTCTAGACCTTCCACGTTCCTCTCCCTGCTTTTTTTTTTTTTTTTTTTTTTTGAGACGGAGTCTTGCTCTGTCGCCCAGGCTGGAGTGAAGTGGCGCGATCTCGGCTCACTGCAAGCTCCGCCTCCCGGGTTCACGCCATTCTCCTGCCTCAGCCTCCCGAGTAGCTGAGACTACAGGCGCCCGCCACCGCACCCAGCTAATTTTTTGTATTTTTAGTAGAGACGGGGTTTCACCATGGTCTTGATCTCCTGACCTCGTGATCCACCCGCCTCAGCCTCCCAAAGTGCTGGGATTACAGGCGTGAGCCGCCGCGCCCGGCCTCTCCCTGCTTTTATCCTAGCCGTGCTGGCAGCTGATTAGACGGTGCCCACCTGGGTTGAGGGCGGGTCTACTTCTCCCTGTCCACTGACTCAAATGTTAATCTCCTTTAGCAACACCCTCACAGACTCATCCAGGAACAAGACTTTGCCTCTTTTAGTCCAATCAAGTTGACATTCAATATTAACCAACACATCATCTAATACTGTTTTGTTGCTATTTTTGTTTCTTCTTGCTCTGCTGCATCACTGTGAGAGGGACTCTGTTAAAGCCTAGAGCACAGTCTCTTAGCAAGCTTACAGCCCTGGCCCTGGCCTGGTGACCATCTTTCTATGGCCCTCCTGAAACAGACATTGTGCTCCCAAGACCTCACACTGCTTTGTCAGCTAGGAGGTTCCCTAAGCTCCAGCTCGCCCTACACTCTTGCTTGCCAGCATCAGTAGGCCTGCACCTATGAAGGTAAGAGGATAGCTTTAGGCAGCTCTACCAACAATGTGCAATACACTTAGCCCCCTGAAACCCATACTTCTGCACACCTTTCTGTCAGCCTCACTCATCAACACACCCTATGGGGTGTTTCCAGTTAACATGGAAATAGTGGGCCAACTCTGGCTGGGGCAGCCCCATGAACTTTTCTGCCATCCAATGGGCTGCTGCCACGATTTCCCCAAAGGAAGTCAGTAACCTAGCTTTTGGGAAGGGAACACTCTCCAAATTTTATCCTTCCTTCCTTGTGTACTTTAAATTTCTCTTTACTACTCTGTGGTTACTTCGCTCTCCTTGTTAATGATTATTTATATTAAACTTCTCTTGTTCAAGTTGAATTGTGATAGCTGCCTCTCAATTGGACACTGATGCAAGGAAGATCAAATAAAGGTGGAAGAAAGGGTGAATTGGAGGCCAACTATTAGATGTAAGATACATAATTGAATTTAAGATAACTGTAAGTTAGAGAATTGGAGTTTGTGTTTTTTTGCAATTTGAAAGAGTAACAGTGCAATAAATTCTGGGAAAGTTATAAACGAAATTAGGGAAATAATTGTCAGCATACTTCTTTCGTTGCCTAATAAAAAAGATGCTTAATAGGGCCAAGCGCGGTGGCTCAAGCCTGTAATCCCAGCACTTTGGGATGCCGAGGCAGGTGGATCACGAGGTCAGGAGTTCAAGACCAGCCTGGTCAAGATGGTGAAACCCCGTCTCTACTAAAAAAATACTGGGTGTGGTGGCGGGCGCCTATAATCCCAGCTACGCCGGAGGCTGAGGCAGAGAACTGCTTGAACCCGGGAGGCAGAAGTTGCAGTGAACTGAGATCACACCACTGCACCCCAGCCTGAGCTACAGAGTGAGACTCCGTCTCGAAAGAAAAAAAAAAAAAAAAAGATGCTTAATAAATACTTGACTTCCTGGCAGATAACCAACTAACTAAGTAAAGCTAATGAATGATGACTTGGTCATTACATTCCATGTTCCAGTCCTCACTTCAAAGTTTTTAGTTTGAAATTATTAATGTATTCAGAAAGGATAAATACGTTAATCACATTTGCAATACATTCATGTTTTATAGGCATTAATTTATTTACAAAGAAAATATAACTTTCTAGGATGGCATAATGTTACTGTCAGCTTATCAAATGTATGTTAAATATATGCTGAAATCAGCTGGTTGGAATGTCTTTTATCTTTGAAGTTACAAAGAATTTCCCCAAAAAAATTTGCTGTTTGGTTCCTGCTTCACTAGGCTCTATTGATTATCACCTTCTTTTATATTGCTCTTTCTTCCCTAGAGGACAACGTCATTGCTTAGTTTGAGCATATTTGTTATGCTCTGCTTCTAGAGCACATAGAATAGAAATTGGATGTTTCTAAATGTTTTCAACTATTTATTTATAAATTATTTTTTGGTGGGATAATTGTCACAGATTGATGATTATACATCTCATGTATCCTCATTTTATTTACAGTGCGTGTATGAGCTTCCTAGTGCTGCTGTAACAAATTATCACAAACTGGGTGGCTTAAAACAGCAGTAATTGGGCCGGGTGCGGTGGCTTATGCCTGTAATCCCAGCACTTTGGGAGGCCAAGGCAGGTGGATCACAAGGTCAGGAGTTCAAGACAAACCTGGCCAAGATGGTGAAATCCTATCTCTACTAAACATACAAAAATGAGCTGGGCATGGTGGCGGGCACCTGTAATTCCAGCTACTCAGGAGGCTGATGCAGAGAATTGCTTGAACCCGAGAGGCAGAGGTTTCAGTGAGCTGAGATCGTGCCACTGCTCTCCAGCCTGGGCGACAGAGTGAGACTTCGTCTCAAAAAAATAAATACAAAATGTTTTAAAAGGCAGGAATTTATTCTTTCACAGTTATGGAGACTGAAAGTCTGAAATAAAGGTAGTGGCAGGGTTATGCTTCTTCCAAAGGCTCCGGGGAATAGTTCTTTCTTGCTTTGTCCAACTGTAAGGGCTTCTAATGTACCATGGCATACTTTAGTTCGTAGCAGCATACTTTCATTTCTGCATCCCTGTTCCTGCTCCACCCCGCTTTTTTTTTTTTTTTTCAGTATTCATGTATTCGTGTGTCCTCTTCTCTTCTCAATAGGACACCAGTCATTGGATTTAGGGTCCATCATAATTCAGGATGACCTCATTTTAACTAATCATATCTGCAAAGTCCCTCTATAAGGTCACATTCTGAGATTTCTGATTGACATTAATTTTTAAGGTATGCTCACCACTGTTGGGGAGGATATTTTAATTTCAAGTCTTAGGAGATTTTCTTGGTTGATTTCTGAAACAGATAAGCAAATTAGAAATAATCTATTTCAGTTCTTCTTAATCTAAATTTATACTTGGAATATATAATTGGCTTTTTAATGCTAACCACTCAAAAATGAAGAGAAAAATGAATATATATAGATACGGTGAACATTCATTCATGTTCTAACCCTTCTGCTTCTTCTACTTTTAGTAAGGATGTTGCTTTGTTTAAGCCATCTGTGGCCCTTGATACTGTTGGATAAATCCCTACCAAGTTTCTCCTGGGAGTCAGAGTGGAGCTATTCAATCCCTAGATGATATCCAAATAAGAAAGCAATAAGGCCAGCTGACAGAGCTCCAATCTGAGAACATCATTCAGATATTTTATAGTGGACTTTTCTTAATTTCTTCCCATAATATCAAGGTGATGTTCCCAGAACTTTCCTGCCCAAACCAGAAATTATTGTTAACTAACTTATTTCTAAGACTCGGATAAGTATTTATTGACACTCACAAGAGAAGTTTGAGAATATTTTCCAGATAGGTCTCAATCACATGTACAATATAAATTTAATTTTTGATAAATTTAAGCCAAGGCATTTTTAATATCAATTTGTGTGTTTTGTTTTCTCCTTTGAAATGGAGGAAACTGTAATGATTTCCGGTACTCAAATTCTAATTCATAAGATTATAAATTTGTTTAACTTTTCCCATTCCCAAAATAGATAATCATTAAATAAACCTTTAAAAGAGCTTCATGGGAGGAAGTACACCTTACTCTGTTCTCAATAATTGCTTTATAGATTGTTAAGATAGTATATTATTCTGTTAAATAATCCCTAAGATATATAAGCTTTTTGGCTCTATTCTTTATTTTATCATGAAACTTGAGCTTTATTGTTTGTTTGTTTTTTAATTTTATTTTATTTTAAGTTCCAGGATACATGTGCAGGACGTGCAGGCTTGTTACATAGGTAAATGTTTGCCATGGTAGTTTGCTACACTTATCAACCGATCATCTAGGTATTAAGCCTCACATCCATTAGCTATTAATCCTGATGCTCTCCCTGACTCCGCCACCCCCAGCAGGCCCCAGTGTGGGTGGTTCCCCTCCCTGTGTGGATGTGTTCTCATTGTTCAGCTCCCACTTATAAGTGAGAACATGCAGTGTTTGTTTTTCTTTTCCTGTGTTAGTTTGCTGAAGATAATGGTCTCCAGCTCCATCCATGTCCCTGCAAAGGACATGACCTCTTTTGTTTTTTATGGCTACATAGTATTCCATGGTGTATATGTACCACATTTTCTTTATCTAGTCTATCATTGATGAGCACTTGGGTTGATTCCATGTCTTTACTGTTGTGAATAGTGCTGCAATGAACATATGTGTGCATGTATCTTTATAATAAAATGATGTAAATTCTTTTGGGAATATACCCAGTAATGGGATTGCTAGGTCAAATTGTATTCCTGGTTGTAGGTCTTTGAGGAATCGTCACACTGTCTTCCATAATGGTTGAACTAATTTACATTCCCACCAACAGTGTAAAACTGTTCCTATTTCTCCACAGCCTCACCGGCATCTGTTGTTTCTTGACATTTTAACAATTGCCATTTTGACTGGCTAGAGATGATATCTCATTGTGGTTTTGATTTGCATTTCTCTAATGATCAGTGATGTTGAGCTTTTTTCCATATGTTTCTTGGCCACATAAATATCTTTTTTTGAGAAGTGTCTGTTCTTGTCCTTTGCCGACTTTTTAATGGAGTTTTATTTTTTCTTTTAAGTTTATTTAAAGTCCTTGTGGATTCTGGATATTAGACCTTTGTCAGATGGGTAGATTGTTCTCCCATTCTGTAGGTTTTCTGTTCACTCTGATAGTAGTTTCTTTTGCTGTGCAGAAGCTCTTTAATTAGATCCCATTTGTCTACTGTTGCTTTTGTAGAAATTGTTTTTGATGTTTTCATTATGAAATTTTTGCCCATGCCTATCTACTGAATGGTAGTGCCTAGATTTTCTTCTACGGTTTTTATAGTTTTGGGTTTTACATTTAAGTCTTGAATCCATCTTCAGTTAATTTGTGTATAAGGTGTGAGGAATGGGTCCAGTTTCAATTTTCTGCATATAGCTATCTAGTTTTCCCAGCACCATTTATTCAATAGGGAATCCTGTCCCCATAGCTTTTTTTGTCAGTTTTGTCAAAGACAAGATGGTTGAAGATGTGTGGTTTTATTTCTGAGATCTCTATTCTTTTCTATTGGTCTATGTGTCTGCTTTTGTACGAGTACCATGCTGTTTTGGTTACTGTAGCCTTGTATAGTTTGAAGTCAGGTAGCGTGATGCCTCCAGCTTTTTCCTTTTTGCTTAGGATTGTCTTTGCTATACAGGCTCTTTTTTGGTTCCATATGAATTTTAAATTAGTTTTTTCTAAATCTGTGAGGAATGTCAATGGTAGTTTAATGAAAATAGCATTGAATCCATACATTTCTTTAGGCAGTGTGGCCATTTTAGTGATATTAATTCTTCCTATCCATGAGCTTGGAATTTTTTTTTCATTTATTTGTGTCCTTGAGCAGTGTTTTGTAGTTCTCCTTGAAGAGGTCCTTCATTTCCCTTGTTAGCTGTATTCCTAGGTATTTTATTCTCTTTGTAGCAATTGTGAATGAGAGTTCATTCATGATTTGCCTCTCTGCTTGTCTATTGTTGGTGTATAGGAATGCTTGTGTTTTCTGAACATTGATTTTGTATCCTGAGACATTGCTGAAATTGCCTGTCAGCTTACAAACCTTTTGGGCAGAGATGATGGGGTTTTCTAGATGTAGCATCATGTCATCTGCAAACAGAGACATTTTGACTTCCTCTATTCCTATTTGAATACTCTTTATTTATTTCCTTTGCCTGACTGCCCTGGCCAGAACTTTCAATACGATGTTGAATAGGAGTGGTGAGAGATGATATCCTTGTATTGTGCAAGTTTTCGAGGGGAATGTTTTCAGCCCATTTAGCATGATATTGGGTCTGGGTTTGTCATAAATGGCTCTTATTATTTTGAGTTATGTTCTATAAATACCTAGTTTATTGAGAGTTTTTAACATAAAAGGATGTTGAATTTTATCAAAGGCCTTTTCTACACCTATTGAGATAATCATGTGGTTTTTGTCTTTAGTTCTGTTTATGTGATGAATTATGTTTATTAATTTATATATGTTGACTTACATCCCGAGGATGAAGTTGACTTGATCACCGTGGATAAGCTTTTTTGATGTGTTGCTGGATTTGGTTTACTAGTATTTTACTGAGAATTTTTTGCATCAGTGTTCATTAGGGTTATTGCCTTTAAGTTTTCATTTTTGGTTGTACCTGTGACAGATTTTGGTATCAGGATGATGTTGGCCTCATAGAATGAGTGAGGAAGAAGTCCCTCCTTTTCAATTGTTTGGAATAGTTTCAGAAGAAATGGTACCAGATCCTCCTTTTACCTCTGGTAGAATTTGGCTGTGAATCCATCTGGTCTTGGGCTTTTTTTGGCTGGAAGGCTATTTATTACTGCCTCAGTTTCAGAACTTGTTATCATTCTATTCAGGGATTCAACTTCTTCCTAGTTCGGTCTTGGGAGGGTGTACGTGTCCAGGAATTTGTCAATTTTTTTCTAGATTTTCCAGTTTATTTGTATGAAGGTGTTTATATGGTTGTTTGCATTTCTGCAAAGTCAGTGTTGATATACCCTTTATCATTTTGTATTGTGTCTATTTGATTCTTCTTTATTAGTCTATCTATTTTATTAATTTTTTCAAAAAAACCAGCTCCTGGATTCATTTATTTTTTTGAATATTTTTTTTTATGTCTGTATCCCCTTCAGTTCTGTTCTGATTTTGGTTATTTTTTGTCTTCTGCTAATTTTGCAGTTTGTTTGCTCTTGCTTCTCTAGTTCTTTTAGTTGTTATGTTAGTTGTGTCAATTTGAGATCTTTTTAGCTTTTTTATGTGGGCATTTAGTGCTATAAATTTCTGTCTTAACACTGCTTTAGCTGCGTCCCAGAGATCTGGAACGTTGTCTTTATGTTCTCATTTGTTTCAAAACACTTCTTGATATCTGCCTTAATTTTATTATTTACCCAGGAGTCACTGAGGAGTAGGGTGTTCTATTTCCATGTAGTTGTGTGGTTTTAAGTGAGTTTCTTAATTTTGAGTTGTAATTTGATTGTGCTGTGGTCTGAGAGACTATTATGATTTCGGTTCTTTTGCATCTGCTGAAAAGTGTTTACTTCCAATTATGTGATCAATTTTAGAGTAAGTGACATGTGGCGCCAAGAAGAATGTATATTCTGTTGTTTTTGGGTGGAGAGTTCTGTACATATCTATCAGGTCCACTTGATCCAGAGAAGAGTTCAAGTCCTGAGTATCCTTGTTAATTTTCTGTCTTGATGATCTGTTTAATATTCACAGTGGTGTGTAAACGTCTCCCACTATTATTGTGTGGGAATATAAGTCTCTTTGTAGGTCCCTAAGAACTTGTTTTATGAATCTGGGTGCTCCTGTATTGAGTGGATATATATTTAGGATAGTTAGCTTTTCATGTTGAATTGATCCCTTTACCATTATGTAATGCTCTTCTTTGTCTGTTTTTGATCTTTGTCGGTTTAAAGTCTGTTTTGTCAGAAACTAGGATTTCAACCCCTGCTTTTTTCTGCTTTCCATTTGCTTGATAAAGTTTCCTCCATCCCTTTATTTCGAGCCAAATTGTGTCTTTGCACATAAGATGGGTCTCTTTTTTTTTTTTTTTTTTTTTTGAGATGGAGTCTCACTCTGTCGCCCACGCTGGAGTGCAGTGGTGCGATATCAGCTCACTGCAAGCTCCACCTCCCAGGTTCACCCCATTCTCCTGACTCAGCCTCCTGAGTAGCTGCGACTACAGGCGCCTGCCACCACCCCCGGCTAATTTTTTTGTATTTTTAGTAGACATGGCATTTCACCATTTTAGCCAGGATGGTCTCAATCTCCTGACCTTGTGATCTGCCTGCCTCAGCTTCCCAAAGTTCTGGGATTACACGTGTGAACCACATGCCCGGCCAGGTCTCTTGAATATAGCACACCAGTGAGTCTTGACTCTTTATCTAGCCTGCCATTTTGGCCTTTCAACTGGGGTATTTAGCCCATTTACATTTAAGGTTAATATTGTTTTGTGTGAATTTCATCCTGTCATCATGATGCCAGCTGGTTATTTTGCACACTTGTTGATGAAGTAGCTTCATAGTGTCATTGGTCCTTGTACTTCAGTGTGTTTTTGCAGTGGCTGGTACCAGTTTTTCCTTTCCATATTTAGTGCTTCCTTCAGGAGCTCTTGCAAGGCAGGCCTGGTGATGATGAATTCCCTCAGCATTTACTTGTCAGAAAAGGCTTTTATTTCTCCTTCACTTATGAAGCTTAGTTTGGCTGGATATGAAACTCTAGGTGGGAAATTCTTTTCTTTAAGAATATTGAAAATTGACCCCCAATCTCTTCCAGCTTGTAGGGTTTCTGATGAGAGATCCGTATGAGTGTGATCGGCTTCCCTTTGTAGGTAACCTGGCTTTTCTCCTGGCTGCCCTTAACATTGTTTCCTTCATTTCAACTTTGGAGAATCTGACGATTATGTGTCTTGGGGTTGATCTTCTCATGGAGTATCTTACTGGGGTTCTCTGGACTTCCTTAATTTGAATGTTGGTCTGTCATGTTAGGCTGGGGAAGTTCTCCTGGATGACATTCTGAAGTATGTTTTCCAGCTTGGTTCCATTCTCCCCATCTCTTTCAGGTACCCCAACCAGTCATAGATTTAGTCTTTTTGCACAACCCCATTGTCCTCAGAGGCTTCACTTATTCCTTTTCATTCCTTTTTCTCTAATCTTGTCTGCCTGTCTTATTTTAGCAAGACAGCCTTAAAGCTCTGAAATTCTTTCCTCTGTTTGGTCTATTCAGTTGTTGATACTCGTGGTTGCATGGTGAAGTTCTCGTGTTGTGTTTTTCAGCTCTATCAGGTCATGTATGTTCCTCACTAACTGGTTATTCTGGGTAACAGCTCCTGTAATGTTTTATCGTGGTTCTTAGCTTCTTTGCACTGGGTTAGAACATGCTCTTTTAGCTGAGCAAAGTTCATTATGATCCACTTTCTGAAGCCTACTTCTGTCAATTCATCCATCTCAGCCTCTTCCCAGTTCTGCGTCCTTGCTGGATAGGTGTTGAGATCATTTGGAGGAGAAGAAGAAATACGGCTTTTTAAGTTTTCAATATGTTTTTGTGGATTCCTTCTCACCTTTGTGAGTTTATTTAGCTTCAATCTTTGAGGCTGCTAATGCTTGGATGGGGTTTTGTGGGGACTTTTCTGTTGATGCTGTTGTCATGGTTGCTTTCCATTTGTCTGTTTTTCTTTTAACAGTCAGGCCTCTCTTCTGTAGGGCTGCTGCAGTTTGCCGGGGGCCCACTCCAGATCCTATTTGCCTGGGTCCCTCCCTCACCTGGAGGTGTCACCAGTGGAGGCTGCAGAACAGCAAAGATAGCTGAGATAGCTACCTGCTTCTTCCTTTGGCATCTCTGTCCCAGAGGGGCACTGACCGGATGCCAGCAGGAACGCTCCTGTATAAAGTACCTGGCCACCCCTGTTGGGGGTCTCTCACCCATTCAGGAGGCACAGGATCCGGGACCCACTTAATGAAGCATTTTGGCTGCCCCTTTGTGGAGGGATGTGCTGAGCTGTGGGGAATCCCATTCATCTGAACTGCCTGGATTCCTCAGGACCAGCAGGGAGAAAGACTAGGTCTGCTGATCTGTGGAGACCACAGCCTCCCCTCTCCCCAGGGGCTCAGATGCGGGAGATCAGGGTTCTGTCCCTAAACCCCTTGCTAGAGTAGCTGAAATTCCTGCAGGGAGGCCCCACCTAGTGAAAAGAGATGGGTCAGAGTCTGGCCTGAAGAGGCAGTCAGGCCGTGTTCTGTGACAGCCAGTGTGCTGCACTGTGGAGAATTCCTCCTAGGTCTAAAGCATCCAATCTCTCCGGCACCAGCAGGAGAAAAAAACGGCAAACTGGACCTGCAGTGATGGTGGCTGCCCCTCTCCCTGGGAGCTCAGTCATTTTAGGCAGCAGGCAGCCACAGTAATGATGGCCACCCCTCCCCCTGGAAACTCGATAGTCTTAGGCAGTCTCCAGCCAAGTGGCCATTGAGAATCTGCACAGCTCTGTGCTTGGGACCCAAGGCCCCGGCGGCGTGGGCTCACGGGGGGAACTCCTGAGCCATGGGTTGCACAGATCCGTGGAAAAAGTGTGGCTTCTCAGGCAAGTAACATGATCACTCACTGCCTCCCTTTAGCTGGGGGTGAGAGTTCCCCTTGCCCCGTGTAGCTCCCAGGTGGGCCGTCGCACCACCCTGCTTTTCCTCACTCTGTGGTTCGCACCAACTGCCTGGTCAATCCCAGTGAGAGAACCTGGATACCTCAGTTGCCGATGCTGGTTTCACTTGCTGTGTTCACTCTTCCCAATGGGAGCCTCCGACAGCAGCTGTTTCTAGTTGGCCATCTTGACCCCTCCCCACTTTCTTCTTAATTATTAACAAAAAATGTATTGCAAGATAATTAAGCATGTTTTTTCTTTCCCAAGACATTACGTACCCTATCTGCTTTCTTTTGGCTTCTGAGTATTTATTCGCATAATTTGTGAAAGCAACCATAACATTTGTACTTGGCTTTTTAGTATTTCAGGTGCTTTGTTAATGAGCTTCATTGACAGAGCCATCTTTTCCATTAAGATGTAACTTTCTAAGTTTCAAACATGAAACTAGTTTCTTTTTCCTGGAAGAAAATAATGAAATAACCAGTACTATCTTCTGTCTTCTTAAGTATGAAAAAAAAATTGTTGTTCTACTTATCCACTTGTTTATTGTATTTTGTTCTCAATTATTAATCATTATGTGTTGTGTACTTTATTTGCCTGACAGTTTTTTCTCTAATAATTATAAATTCATACCTTATATCACCCTCTGATAAGTACATTTAAACATTAGCCTTTTGGCTTTATCTATATTTTCTTTTGTTTCTTAAATTCTTAAGATGTCATCCTAGTTTCTGTTTGTATCATTTAACCCAGTATAACACATGACTCTTTCCTTTTCTATAGATGTGCCAATTTTTATCTAATAGTCGGTGAGTACTGCCTTTAACTTTTAACTATTATGTATAACTCATTCCAGCATCTTATCATACCCTCTATCTCTACTGCAGATGATTGATGAACAAATAACTATCTTATCTGCTTTTATTCTATTCTAGACTTCATAGTTTCTTTAGTTGCTGAATAAAATATATTTTTCATCTTTCTGTTATTCTGTTTCTTTTTATACAACCACTCTGCCATTTATTACTCATTCATTCACCTACCATACCAGAAGTTGTTATAGGGCACTGGGATTGCTACACTGTACGAAACAAGCAAAAATGTGTGTTTTCGTAGAGCTCATATTATAATGGATGGACGATAAGCCAATAAATGAAGAAATAAATAAAGGATCCAGTGTGTTAGAACATGATAGGCATATGGGTAATAATTAAAAAGGGAAGGGAGATGAAAATTTCAGGATAGGGCTAATTGAGAATGGCAATATGTGAGTAAAGGAGATGTATATACATATATGTATATATGTATTATATTACATAATATATATTATATTATATATTATACTTATATTACATATATGTATTAGATTGCACATATATTAATATATTATATTGCACATCTATTAATATATTATATTATATATTATTATTAATTATATAATATATTAATATATTATATAATTAATAATAATATATAATATATTATATAATATAATGTATTATGTAATATATTAATATATTATTTAATATATAATCTATATTATATTATATAATATGTTTATATATTATATAATATATTAATATATGTTATATATTTATATATATTTATATATTTTATATATATACACAGAGAGAGCGAGTAGGTCTCACTCTGTTGCCCAGGTTGATGTGCAGTAGTGGAATCGCTTCTCACTGCAACCTCTGCCTCCTATAGGCTCAAGTGATTCTCTCACCTCAGTCTCCTGAGTAGCTGGGACCACAGGCACCACCAGGCTCAGCTATATTTGTTTGTAGGTTTTGTAGAGAAGGGGGTCTCACTATGTTGCTCAAGCTGTTCTTGAACTCCTAGACTCAAGTGATCCACCCACCTCTGTCTCCCAAAGTGCAGGGATTACAGGCATGAGCCACAGTGCCCAGCTGATATATATATATGACTATATATGTTATATATATGAGTATATATGTTACATATATATGACTATATATGTAACATATATAAGGAAATGTACATACATATAAAGTATATATGTAAATAAATTTATATATAAAAAGTTATGTAAATAAAGTTGTATATATTTATATATGTATTTATTTCTGGGTATATATATATATACACACACACACACACATATATATATGTGTATATATATATATGTATATATATACCTCCTGTGCTCAGCACCAACAGGTACACCAAATCCAGAAGAAGATGATGAAAATCATGACCCAAGGAGAGGTGCTGACAAATGCTTTGAAAGAAGGGGTTCATAAATTGATTCCAGGCAGCACTGGAAAAACATAGAAAAGCCTTGCCAGTCTATTTATCCCCTTTATGATGTTCTCATTAGAAAAGTAAAAATGCTGAAGAAGCCCTAGTCTGAATTGGGTAAAGGTAGTAGCTCTGGAAAAGCCACTGGGGATGAGACAGGTGCTAAAGATGTATAAGCTGATGAATATAAACCACCAGTCCAAGAATGTGTTTAAAGTTCAGACTTACAATAGTGTCAAATAAAAAGTCCTATTTGTGATGGTCAAAAAAGTTAAAAATTAAAACAATAAATTTTCTGGAGCCATTGTCAGGCTGTAAATTTTTCAAACTTTTATTCTCTGTTTCCCTTCTAAAACTCAATGCTTTTAACAGCACCAAAGTCACTGCTTGAATGCTTTGTTGCTTAGAAATTTCTTCCACCAGACACCCTAAATCATCTCCCTCAAGTTCAAGAGACCCTCTAGCGTCTCTCTCCCTAGAGACCCTGCATAGATCTCTAGGTCAGGGGCAAAATGCCGCTAGTCTCTTTGCTAAAACATAACAAGAGTCACCTTAGTTCCAGTTCCCAACAAGTTCCTCATCTCCATCTGAGACCACCTCTACCTGAACCTTATAGTCCATATCGCTATCAGTATTTTGGGCAAAGCCATTCAACAAGTCTCTAGGAAGTTCCAAACTTTCACACATTTTCCTGTCTTCTGAATCCTCCAAACCATTCCAACCTCTGCCTGTTACCCAGTTCCAAAGTCGCTTCCACATTTTTGGGTATCTTCTCAGCAGTGCGCCACTCCCGACATGAATTAATTGTATTAGTCCATTTTTATGCTGCTGATAAAGACGTACCCAAGACTGCGCAATTTACAAAATAAAGAGGTTTAACTGGACTTAACAGTTCCAAGGCTGGGGAAGCCTTGCAATCATTGCACAAGACAGGGAGGAGCGATTTCCATCTTACAGAGATGGCAGCAGGCAAAGACAGAATGAGGAAGATGCAAAAGTGGAAACCACTAATAAAACCATGAGATCTTATAAGACTTACTCACGACCATGAGAACAGGATTTTTGCACTGGTTATTTCTCTCTGGTCATTCTGGAGTTTTAAAACTTGACTGCCCTGCTGGATTTCGGATTTGCATGGGCCCTGTAGCCTCTTTGTTATGGCCAATTTCTCCCATTTGAAATGGTTGTATTTACCCAATGTCTGTACCCTCATTTTATCTAGGAAATAACTAGCTTGCTTTTGATTTTAAAGGCTCATAGGTTGAAGGGACTTGCCTTGTCTCATATGAGACTTTGGACTGTGGACTTTTGAGTTAATGCTGAAATGAGCTAAGACTTTGGGGGACTGTTTGAATAGCATGATTGGTTTAAAATGTGAGGACATGAAATTTGGCAGGGGCCAGGGACATAATGATATGGTTTGGCTGTGTCCCCACCCAAATCTCATCTTGAATTGTACTCCCATAATTCCCAGGTGTTGTGGGAGGGACCTGCTGGGAGATATGGGAGGGACCTACTGGGAGATAATTGAATCATGGCATGGGGGGCGGGTGGTCCCCCATACTGTTCTCATGGTCATGAATAAGTCTCATGAGATCTGATGGTTTTATCAGGGGTTTCCACTTTTGCATCTTCTTCATTCTCTCTTTGCCTGCTGTCGTCCATGTAAGGTGGGACTTGCTCTTCCTTGCCTTCCACCATGATTGTGAAGGTTCCCCAGCCACGTGGAACTGTAAATCCAATTAAACTTTCTTTTGTAAATTGCCCAGTCTCAGGTATGTCTTTATCAGCAGCATGAAAATGGACTAATACAAGGGTAAACAACCAATACTTAAAATAATTTTGAAGAACACTATTCCTGTTAAACCATCCACAAGTGTGGATGTTCCAGTGCCTCTGCATGCTATTCTTGAGCCTCATCAGAAGAGACAGAGATTGATGATCCTGTCACTGTAGCATCCTCTGCAACCTGCAATTAATTTTAATTCAATACCTCAGATGTTCTTCAGGCCCAACATGCTTTCAACTCTGTACATTAATGGTGAGTACTTATACAACGATTCCGTTTTTCACTTTCAGTTTAGTGTTCAATAAATTACATGAGATAGTTAACATTTTATTTTAAAATAGACTTTGTGTTAGATGATTTTGCCTAACTGGTAATGTAAGCATTTTGAGCACATTTAAGGTAGACTAGGCTAAGCTATGATGTTTCATAGGCTAAGTGTGTTAAACGTGTTTTTTTTTAATTTATGAGATTTTCACCTTACAATATGCATATTGGGACACAACCCCATTGTAAATTGAGGAGCATCTATAGCCTAGGTGGAGGATCAACAAATGTAGAAGCAGAATACTAAATTAATAAGAGAGAGTTTACTGCAATAATCCAGGTGAGAGATGATGTGGCTTTGACCAGGGTGTGAGGAGTGGAAGTAACAAGGTTTAGCAGTACTTTAAAATATTTTTATATATTCTCTAACAGAAGTTTAGTGATATTGTAACTCATGCATTTGCATAAGTAAATTACCTCTTGTCAAATTCAGCAATGACTTGTACATTACTAAAGCCAATGATCAAATCTCACCCCTCGTCTCATAGGATCTGCTGCCTGATTAAAAGGTAGATTACCCATCTATAGTGATGACAAAGCAAACAGGTACAAAAGATCTTGGGAAGGCAATCAGGAATTCAGGTCTGGGCATGTGTAACCTGAGATGTCTATAGGATACCCAGATGGATATATTGTATAGGTAGTCAAATATATAAATCCAGAGTATAAGAGGAAAATTCAGTTAGAGAGGTACATTTTAGAGCGATATGATTGGTACTTTTAGTGAGGAAGCAGAATGAAATCAATAAGGGAGTGAGTATGTCAGAGGAAGCAAAGGGGGCTGCTATAGTTTAGATGTTTGTTCCCTACAAACTCCATGTTGAAATTTAAGCCCAACGTGTTGGTGTTGGTAGGTGGGGCTTAGTGGGAGGTATTTGGGTCATGGGGGCAGATCCCTCATGAATAAATTAGTGCCCTTCCTTAAGGGTGAGTTCTCACTCTATTAGTTCCCAGGAAAACAGGTTGTTAAAAAGTTCTGGCAGCATTTGCGTCTCTCTCTTGCTTCCTCTCTCCACATGTGATCTCTGCACATGCTGGCTCCCCTTCTCTTTTTGCCATAAGTGGAAGCAGCCTGATGCGCTTACCAGATGCCCAATCTTTAACTTTTTCAGACATCACAATTGCAAGCCAAATAAACAACATTTTTTTTTCTTAATAAATTACTCAGCCCCTATATCCCTTTTAGCAACACAAAACAGACTAAGTCAGGGGCATTTGATATTAAGAAGTCAGAAAGAGAGGAAAAAGCAACCAAAAGAATGAGAAGGGGTAGCAGCTAGTGGGGAAGGAATAAAATGAAAAGTAAGTGCTGTCTAGGCTGATAAAAGTGGTGCGTCAAAGATATGGGAGTAATAATGAGTTGTGGTAAATACTTCTTCTAGGTCAAGTGAGACTGGGATGGAGAACTAACCAACGGTTTAGCAATGCAGAATTCATTGGTGACTTTGACTAGAGGCAGTTTACCTAGGTAAATTTGGACAAATCACAAAAGCTCTGAGCTTGAGTCTAAATGTATAAAAATGGTTATATTAATTGGCCCATTTGCCTCATTAGACTGTGACTCAAATAGGAGATCATTATGTCAGAAGTACCATAAAATTGGTAAAGGATTAAAAACAATGCAATATAATATATCTTCTATTATTATTAATAATTGACATTCCATGCACCTTTTATTTTTGTCAATAGACTCTATTAAACAACCATTTGCTATGCAATTGCAATATTATATTGCTATGCATATATATCTTCTATTATTATTAATAATTGACATTCCATGCATCTTTTCTTTTTGTCAATAGACTCTATTAAGCAACCATTTGCTATGCTTTTTGTTTTTTTTTTTTTACTTACGTTAATCTAGATGCTCATACTCTGTGTTTTAAAAATAAAGGTAAAACTTCTGAGAGTTAATAGGAATTATTTTACTAACCTTTTCCCTTTACACCATGTCATTTATGTCTTTCCAATGGAGTATCTATTGCACTTTGTTTTAAATCTCATTTTTACAGGATTTTTACCTGTCAAGAAGTGTTCAATATGAGGCTTTGAACAAACTATTTTCTAAAAGGTGATATGGATTTGCATTGTCTCATAAATACATATGGGGTTCAAGTATTTAAAACAAGATTTATTTTGTTTGAGAACATAGGGTTATAGAAAACATATGAGGGTATGATTTGCTGCTGTTATGAAACCTGTGGCTCAGAGGAGAAAATATTTACATTTTTCTAATTCATACATTCATGTCTAAAATTAGCATATTAATTTAGGTTTTTATTTAAATTCTTCCTACTTTTTAATTTCTGTGATTAATTTCTTAGAATGATGCTCAAAAAAGCCTGAGTCCTCTCCTCTCTCTCTCCTCCCAGACAGCATGAGCTTCACCACTCGCTCCACCTTCTCCACCATCTACGCAGGCACCGAGTCTCTGGTTCCCGGATCTTGGTGTCCTGCTCCACCAGCTTCCGGGTCGGTTTGGGGTCCGGGGTCCTGGCTGCCTGAATGGCCGGGGTTCTGGCTGGAATGGGAGGCATCCAGAATGCGGAGACGATGCAAAGCCTGAACAACTGGCTGGCCTCCTACCTGGACAGAGTGAGGAGCCTGGAGACGGAGAACTGGAAGCTGGAGAGCAAAATCCGGGAGCCCCTGGAGAAGAAGGGACCCCAGGTCAGAGACTGGGACCATTACTTCAAGACCATCGAGGACCTGAGTGCTCATATCTTCGCAAATACTGTGGATAGTTCCTGCATCGTTCTGCAGATCGACAATGCCCGTATTGCTGCTAATGACTTTAGAGTCACGTATGAGTCAGAGCTGGCCATGCACCAGTCTGTGGAGAGCAACATCCATGGGCTCCACAAGATCGCTGATGACACCAATGTCACTCAACTGCAGCTGGAGACAGAGATGGAAGCTCTCAAGGAGGAGCTGCTCTTCATGAAGAAGAACCACGAAGTGGAAGTAAAAGGCCTACAAGCCCAGATTGCCAGCTCTGGGTTGACCGTGGAAGTAGATGCCCTCAAATTGCAGGACCTCACCAAGATCATGGCAGACATCCAGGCCCAATACGATGAGCTGGCTCGGAAAAACCGAGAGGAGCTGGACAAATACTAGTCTCGGCTGATTGAGGAGAGTACCACAGTGGTCACCACACAGTTCATCGAGGTTGGAGCTGCTGAGATGATACTCATGGGGATGAGACATACAGTTCAGTCCTTGGAGATCGACCTGTACTCGATGAGAAATCTGAAGGCCAGCTTGGAGAACAGCCTGAAGGAGGTGGAGGCCCGCTATGCCCTGCAAATGGAGCAGCCCAAGGGGACCCTGATGCACCTGGAGTCCGAGTTGCCACAGACCTGGGCAGAGGGGCAGCACCAGGCCCAGGAGTAGGAGGCGCTGCTGAACATAAGGTCAAGCTGGAGGCTGAGATCGCCACCTACCACCCCCTGCTGGAAGATGGTGAGGACTTCAATCTTGGTAATGCCCTGGACAGCAGCAACTCTATGCAAACCATCCAAAAGACTGCCACCTGCCAGACAGTGGATGGCAAAGTGGTGTCTGGGACCAATGACACCGAAGTTCTCAGACATTAAGCCAGCAGAAGCAGAGTACCTTTGGGGAGCAGGAGGCCAATAAAAAGTTCAGAGGTTAAAAAAAAAATGATGCTCAAAGATATTTGTTCCCATATTTCCAGTTACTTCCTTTCTTCCAGCTTTCCTGGATATCTTATTTTATTGTATTATAAATAACTTTTTAGGTGTACTATGTTACTCTTTCAAAAAAATCCTTTAAAGTGCTTTTTTAAACTCAGTAAAATTTAATGAAAAAAAGTTCCTTATACAAATAGTTTATTAAGGTTTATTACACTAGTTTGAGGAAAATAATTAATATTAAAAGATTGACACTGAGAAATGTTTTATGAAATTCAACTCTTTCACACACCTAGCATTTAAGACCCATTTTTGAAAACAAAATTAAGCATAATCAGAACTTATAAAAAAGTACACAAGTAAAGTGAGTTAATGACTATATCCCTGAAGCAATCAAATTTCTGTAGATGTTCCATAAATTGACAAAATATTTTAAGCAATCAGTTAAGTAAATCTGAATAAACAATTGTTATATACTTACCATTGGGTAAATAGGAATTGTTTTGGATGCTATGTGATATGGTTTGGTTGTGTCACCAATCAAATCTCATTTTTAATTGTAGCTCCCATAATCCCCACGTATCATGGGAGGTATCTGGTGGGAGATAACTGAATCATGGGAGGAGATTTTCCCATCCTGTTGTCATGAGAGTAAATAAATCTCTGAGATCTAATGGTTTTACAAAGGGCAGTTCCCCTGCACACACTCTCTTGCCTGCCACCATGCAAGATGTGCCTTTGCTCCTCCTTTGCTTTCTGCCATGACTGTGAGCCTCCCTAGCCATGTGGAACTTTGAGTTCATTAACCTATTTTTCTTATAAATTACTCAGTCTTGGGTATTTCTTCATAGCATTATGAAAATTGGCTAACACAGTATTTGCGATTCAATGTTGAACAATGCACACACTCTGCCTTCAAGTCATTAATAATGCAATAAAAAGATATGATCAAATTATTTATGGTGATTCTAATAGATGTTAGGTACTGTGTTAGGTCCTGAGGCTTTGATAGTAAATAAGATAACAGTTCTTTCCCTTTGGAATTTACAGTATAACAGGGAAGTAAATGAGTATGAAAATAATTAAATAACATCTGAAAAGTTTTACGGCATGAATGGTAAGAATGCAATGGGAATTCAATTGAAAGCCATTTAATTCAATTTTACAAATATAAGGAAAGTGAGAATGGAATTCCATTCCAAACCTGAAAGACTGGGAGAGTTAAACCCAGGAAATAATATATAGATAAGCCTACATTTGAGTGAGCCACATTTGGAGAAGTAATGTATTTCACCAAAATTTATATGTTGAAGTCCTAAGACCTCAGACTGTGACTGTATTGGGAGATGATCTTTAAAGAGGTAATTTTTGAAACTGGATCACTTACTTGCTGGCTGATGGGCCATGAGGACCAGAGAATTGGAGGCACATGGAGTAGTGATAGCCCCTCACTACAGCTGTACTACAATTGACTACTGAGGAATTCAGATGTGATACCGACGGAATGAAATGAACTGAATTGTGCAATAGCTCAGAAGAGTTGTGAGCTGTGGTGGGAATTGGCAGTCATAAGGACTGTGGTATCAGATGGCTATTATTAAGTCCTACAAATATATATTGGAGAAAGATAAGGAGAAACTGACATTGTTAATCAAAGTTTAAGTGACTGTGAAAGTGAGAAGGCTGCCTTGAAAAAGATATTTATTTTTGGTACTTAAAGGGCAGAAACTTTAAAATAAGGCACAAAATTTAATTATAAGTGTGGAATATTTCCAGGACATGTTGGGTTCTCAACCTAATAATTCCGCTCTTTCTGTAGGGTTTTTTTTTTTTTTTTAATTCTGCAATTCAGATAAGAACACCGATTGGGATGATACACAATTTCAGAGTTGGAGTGGGGAACTTCTGAGTCAATGTCCTTGACAACAACAAAACCCCAGATCTCCAGAACTCCCTGGGCCTGAAGAAGTGCCTCATTCTTTTCATATAAGTCTGAATCTTACCCCTTATGTATCATAATTACATACCTCCTCCTTGATAATAGAGCCCACCACTTTTTAGAGATCTATCCATTCTTCTTTTCTTGGTCATCAGATTATTAATGAGGGTTAAGTAAAATTAGTTCTGGTCCTGCTAATGGAAGAAAGGGGCCTAGTCAGCATATACTAGGAAAAGCCAGCAGAGTATCTAGGGACTGGATTCTGTCAGGGCTGTGTCAAAAGGGGAGCAGAAATATCTTGTTAGAAAATGATCATTGTAGAGTAGACATGTGACATAAGATCAGAAAACTCACCAGCTGATGATGTTTTACATAAGAACTCAGAAGACACTCTATTATTAGGGACAACAGCATTGCTGCAAAGCTCAATGATGGCTGTCCTCTCTAGGACATGACTGACAATAAGGGATTTCGTTATAGAATTGGTCTTCTTAAAAACAACAGGAAACAATGGGAATAATTGGATCTCAAAATAATAGGGACCAGCTGGCTATGTTTAAATACAGGAAAAAGCAGGAGTACAATTAAGCAATAAACAACGTCGAGACAGAAATTCTCAACTGCAGAGGGTTATGGAAATAATGATTAGAACATAATGTTCTGAGAGGACGGGAGATGGGTAGCCAATGAGAGTATTTCTCAATGTATAGGATAAACATGTACATACACTAAAGGTGAATGATCAGGAGGTAAGTGCAGATGATACAATAAAATTCATCATCACTTGCTCAGTTTCTGGAGCTGAGCCAGTACTCAGACTTGGAAATTTTGATTGAAGTAGAGGCCCTCTTGAAAAAAAAATGTTGTCGCAATAATTCTCCCCAAAATGCACCTAATGCCAATTACACGGCAATCATACAGTAGAAAAATTAGAGTACTCAGACATTTCAAAAACTATTGAAGTTGTCACTGATGCATGGGCATCACCATGCATTGAATAATAAAACATAGAGCACTGTTTCTAAAGCTGACTCATGTTCATTGGATCCATTAAACTACCGAGACAGAGAGAATTCAAAATTGGAGGGCACATGGAGTAGTGATAGCCCCTCACTACAGTTGTACAATTGATTACTGAGGAATTCAGATGCGATACTGACAGAATGAAATGAACTGAATTGTGCAATAGCTCAGAAGAGTTGTGAGCTGTGGTGGGAATTGGCAGTCATAAGGACTGTGGTATCAGATGGCTGTTATTAAGTCCTACAAATATATGTTGGAGAAAGATAAGGAGAAACTGACATTGTTAATCAAAGTTTAAGTGACTGTGAAAGTGAGAAGGCTGCCTTGAAAAAGATATTTATTTTTGGTACTTAAAGGGCAGAAACTTTAAAATAAGGCACAAAATTTAATTATAAGTGTAGAATATTTCCAGGACATGTTGGGTTCTCAACCTAATAATTCCACTCTTTCTGTAGAGTTTTTGTTTTTGTTTTTTTTTTTAATTCTGCAATTCAGATAAGAACACCAATTGGGATGATACACAATTTTCAGAGTTGGAGTGGGCACTAATACACTTTGGCTGTGTCCCCACCCAAATCTCATCTTGAATTGTAGTTCTCATAATCCCCACATGTCATGGGAGAGGCCTTGTGGGAGGTAACTGAATCATGGGAGTGGTTTTCCTCCTTGCTGTTCTCATGATAGTGAGTGTGTTCTCATGAGATCTGATGGTTTTATCAGGTGCTCTCCCTTAGCTCAGCACTCATTCTTTCCCTTCCTGCCGCCATGAGAAGTAGGATGTGTTTGCTTCCCCTTTTACCATGATCGTAAGTTTTCTGATGTCTCCCCAGCCCTGCAGGGAGTCAATTAAACCTCTTTCCTTTACAGATTACCCAGTCTTTGGAAGTTGTTTATAGCAGTATGAAAATGGACTAATACAGGTACTAAGCAACCATGTAAACAGAATGGCATAGTTGACAGGCATCAGCAAACCTCTGTCATTGCATATTGGCTAAATAATTCATAACAGAGTAGCCATAGTAGCAGAAATCATAGCTATTTACTGCCCAAGCCTAATGTTCAAATATCTAATAGAATAAATCAATGTTGAACCCCCAAAACCTGTTGGCACATTTATTAGGTATTACTACTTTTAATCTGAAAGGTCAGTGATTCTTCTTGATGAGATCAGTATCTATTCCGGCTAAGGGTTTGTCTTTCCTGCCCACAGGGCTTTAGCCATATAAAATTTATAGATTTGCAGATGTGTAATTTCACATTTGATTTTTTAAAACTGTCTTTTTTGACAAGGAACTCATGACCATGGAATCTGCCGGTCACATTGCAAGTCATAACACCCAGAAACTACTATCCCGATAGAGCAAAGAAATATGTTTTAAAGCTGCAGGTGATGCACCCTTTTGGAAGTGATACTTTTAAATGATGGGGTTCCATGGTTCCATGTTCCATAGTGCAGCATTCATTTCAAAGTAATTATCATTTTATGGTGTTGTGTCCCCAGTAGGTAGAATACACAGGTGCAGATATCAAAGAATGAAAATAGAAGTGTTTCACCCATTGTCACTTCCAACATGGGAAATTCATGTTTCCTGTCTCCAAGTCTTTAGGTTCCATGGGTCAAAAGTTTCTAGTTTCCTGAGAAGAAATGCTTTCACCAGGAAGCATAGTAAGAGTACCACTGAACTTTAATTTGTGGTTGCCACCTAGTGATTATATCTCTCTATATCAAAGAAGAGTGTCACCATTAGCAAGGGAGGAACTAGGGGTGATATTATACAGGGGAGGCCGGGAAGAATTAATTTCATATTCAGGTGAAACATTGGGGTATCTCTTGCTACTCTCCTGTCCAACTTGTATTTCAAATGGACAAGTGCAGTAGTCACATCCTGAGAAATGCATGCAGAAGATGGATAAGCCCAGACACCTCTGGAATGCATGTATGACTCACTCTACCTTCTAATGCACTTAGGCTAACAGAGATGTGAAGAGAGGGTGTGGGTCATGTAAACTAGGCAGACATGATAAGAGTTGCCTGCAGAATTGCTACACCACTGTAAAACTTTCCTCTGTCCAATTAACCTTCCTCTTCTAAGTTTCTCCATGAAAGAGAATACGAATCTTAGAGAATCTGTACCAAGCTGGGGTTGATTCATGTTTTGGATATTGTGTACTGCAATAGATACTTCTTGAGCCTCCAACATCACTCTTTGGAAATGAGGCATTCATTCATCCAGCTACCAGGAATGATGCCAACTAGCTCACTAAGGCCAGCTGTTGGCTCATCTGAGGCTTTCCTAAAGATCTGTCTTTCCGAAAGGAAATACATCTTTCAAGGTTCCTAACCATCCTTCAATGGTCAGGCAAAATGGTGAATGCCTTGGTATAAAGACACAACTGTTTTGCCTCAATTTGGAACAACTCAGAAGGTTTCAGCTTTAGAGCTTACTGTGGTATTAACTAAAGCCTATTTTGCAACTGCATTGAAATTCAGCTCCTCTTTCTTCTAAGCCCACTCTCCCTACTCTCCTACCAGCAGCATTCCCCTGAAATTTTCTAGCTACAAATTTCCATCTGTAAGTCCATTTCCAGGAAGCCCTGCCAAATACAGGAACCACGAACAAAACCAAATTAGAAGAAACATGTAGAGAACTTAGTTGATATTTATGGTGCTTTGGGATCTGCAGGAGCCTCGTGGATACATGGACTTGGAGCTCATTAAGGTGGGCTGAGCTGGAGATGTATTTTGAAGACAGCCTCATAGAGATGGTAACAGAAATAATGGGAATAATGGAGATCACCTAGCACAAGTGTTCAAGTGAGAAGAGATGAAAGCCTAGGACAGAATTCTGAAGAAACAGCAAATTCTATGGGTGGATGAATGGTTAATTTCCAGTAAGCAAAAGTGGACATCCAGGATGGAAAAAAAAATCATTTAAGAAGAAGGGTCCTCAATAAATACAACTAATGCTGACAAGTCAGGATAGATAAGGTATGAAAAGTTACCCTTTACAGAAAAGTTAGCACTGTTCTGTTGGACAAGAGCAAAATACAGTGGTGGAGGCAGGAAATCAGATTGCAGTAGCATAAACAATATGTGGTAAAGGCCTGGAATCACTGATTTAAGTCTTTTAAGAGATTTAACTGTGAAAGGGAAAGATGACTGAAATGAGATGTGGGATTTAATGAGGTTTTACAATTTTTATTTATTTAGTAGAGACGGGGTTTCTCTATGTTGGTCAGTCTGGTCTCGAACTCCCAAACTTAGGTGATCCACCTGCCTCAGTCTCCCAAAGTGCTGGGATTATAGTCATGAGCCACCACGCCCAGACTAAAATCTTCCGACGTTCACAAAACACAGGGGGAAAGAAGTTTAGCTGAGTTGACACTATTGTTTGATTACTTTGGGCTACATTTAAGTTATAAAGTCCTGGGGAGTAGCTAGGGGTTGATTTAGTTCTACTTCTTAGACAAGGTATTATACTTACATAGCTGTTAATTATTTCTACATGGCTTTCTAATTGTTGAATTTCTATTGGCTCCCTGTTGAAATCACGAGGTAACTAGTCAAAAATACCTACCCAATAGGGAAGGGCAGGGATAAAGTAATCAGACAGTGTGGCAGAGTCTTACCTTAGTATAATGCATTCTATGATGCAGAAGTCAAATGTTCAATCAACACCAGATTACTGACTACAGTGAAAAACATCAAGGAATTGTTTTGAAGGTGAAGATTGTATAATGGGTTAAAATAAAATGTCAATTTTTTTTTGTTGTGGAGAGGGAGTCGCTCTGTCACCCAGGCTGGAGTACAGTGGCGCAATCTCGGCTCACTGCAACCTCTGCCTCCTGGGTTCAAGGGATTCTCTTGACCCAGCCTCCCGAGTAGCTAGGATTACAGGCATGTGCCACCACACTCTGCTAACTTTTGTATTTTTAGTAGGGATGGGGTTTCACCATGTTGGTCAGGCTGGTCTTGAACTCCTTCCTGACCTCACGCAATCCACCCACCTCAGCCTCCCAAAGTGCTGGGATTATAGGCATGAGCCACTGCACCCAGCCCCATTTGTTTTGAATGTTACTTTTTGAAGACACACACTCTACGTGTTTGAATAATTTGTTTTGAAAATATTATCAAGAACATAAACTTCATTTGATATCAAAGTTAAATTCAGCTTAACAGTGTGAAATAAATGTGAGGATGAGGAAATTAATAATTGCTTTGTATAAAGTCAATAGTCTCTGTGTTGATTGAATTGATATAAAGGCAAGTTGTGACTGGAAATCAAATGTACAGAGAAAATAAAGCAGTGGAGGATTTCTATGTGTACTAGAACTTGTTATCACCACCTGAAGAGAAAGCTGCATTTTTTTGTTCATTGTGTTTCTGTCCTCCGCAGCTGTTGACAATTGATAAAGCAGTATAAATCCTACTCAATGACAACCATTCAATAACCCGGTTAACTACCTTTGATTTGTGGCTTCTGTTAAATAGAGAAGCTAGACAAATCACATGGTACTCAATGGACTTGAAAAGCTAAGAAATTAAGTCACCTGATGACAGCGTTAAAGCTGGAAAGGCATGTGCTTTATGGCATGATCACACACTGGACCTTGAGCAAGGCAGAGAAATCAAAGGCAGATACTCCAGATGGAGACACGCTTGCAGGGAGAGACTGGAGTGAGGGAAAGAGAAAGAAGAAAGAAACAGAAAGGGAAGGAGGTAGGGGGAGAGAAAGAAAGAGAGAAGGAGGGGTAGAAGAAAATTCCTCTCCTAAGAAAATTCCTCTCCTCCATGTTAAATCATGACCTCCTGGAACATGACATATGTAATGCACCATGTTTTAAAATAATTAAATATATCATGTCAAAGGCTATTACACACCACAAAGCAAAGAGAGAGAGAGAGAGAGACAGAGAAGGGGGAGAAGGGACAAAGAATGGGGGATTAGAAATGGAGAAAGCAAGAGAGAAACACACAGAAGACTGTTGGGTTTGCAGATCTTCCATGACTCCTTCCAATTCAAGACCTCTTGTTTATGTTTTCCTAACGATCAGGTGTCTGTGTCCTTCCGTGCACCTTAAAATTTTTTTAATAATCCTATTGCTTTCAATTTAAAGTTTATTCTAAATATGAAAGACAAAGTAATTTTGTGGAAAATGATGAAGGATATGAGTTTAAAGGGTATACAAAAAGAATAAAGATAAACGGGAAAGGAAAACAAGAGGCCGGAGCAAACTGAAGGTAGTAAGTGAGAAAATTTTTGTAAATAAAAATTTAAAAGGCGATGTGAGACTTTGTTGACTTGTTGATTTGAATTATGATCCCTACTATTGGGTTTGTTCTTTTGTCCTCCTTGAATTTCATATGTTCACTGATGTGTACAATGACTGTTTCCCAATGTTGATTCATGATTTGCAAAGTCCAGTGTCTATATTTTTACAGTGATATAGGTCTATCTATTTTCAGTTTTAAATATCTAAATATTAGTATTTTGGGACTCTTTTAGACTTAGAACAAATTGTATGAATTATAGTGCAACATTTGTTTCTAAAACACAAAGGAAATATTCTTATCATGTTTAAGCACTTATTTTGGGGGGAGGTAGTTGCAATAATTTACAGTTTTAATCTTGTCCATTTTATTTTTTCTCTATTTACAACATTGCAAGTATAGTGAGATATAGTAATAAAGGATTGAATTCTTAAGGCTGTTCGGGGAATATATCCAGAATGTTAGCATCTTCTACTGCATCTACTAGATGTATTCACATTTGGCACATTACATGCTCATGAAAATGATGAACCCAAAGAGAAAATTAGACATAAAACTGTCCTTCACACAATGAAGAAAGAAAAGTCAGGAAGAATATGTATATAGCTTATTTTTGTTACACTGGGTAATTGTGTGGACATCTTCAATTCTCTAGCATCTGCTTTTGTTTCTGAAGAATATTCCTCTCCTCCATGTTAAATCATGACCTCCTGGGACATGACATACGTGATGCACCATGTTTTAAAATAATTAAATATAACATGTCAAGGGTTATTATACACCACAAAGCAAATAAAACAAAGGAGGTAGGAAAAAGAAGGAGCCACAAAGCTCCAGACAATTTATTTCATAGTGTTTGGAATATTAGTGACTGATACATCACATTTCAACTTGAAAGTAGAGAAGATTGATAATGTTGTTATTCTTGGCTCTGCTTCTATAAAAGGGTTACCTTGGAATGCACAATAACAATCAAAGTGAGAAAGAAAAACAGTATAAAAGAAACTGTCGAGCAATCTCACTATCAACATAGTTTTTCATAAGGCTTATAAAATCACAACCCAAGAATTGAACTGATGTAATCATAGTTTGTAACTGAGATTTATAATCAATATACCAACATATGTTTGTGTTTAAAATATTGTACATATACACACCCACTTAATAAAAGTTCTTGAGCAGTAAATGTATGCTTGGATATATAAATGGAAAGAACAACTTTATCTTCTCAGGATAATGAAAGAAAGAGCTATGTAAACAGAACCAAAATTCATCAGTGATATCATCAACCTATCTGAGAATGCACCTGTGTGTGTGCATGTCTGTGTGTATGATGTGTGTGTCTCCTCCAAATTTGATAGAAAGTCTGTACTCTTCAGCACGGTCATCTCCCCAATCAATGCTAGATGCATATTAGAATTCCACTGTTTCCCTTTTTTCTCCACTGAACATTCATTTGTTCCTGACTGAAACATTCTTCATTTTAGACATTAATTTTACAACAGACTTAAGCCTGTCCATACAGGTAGTCTTTTTCTAAAGCAAGATCCTGACCTCTTTTTTGAAAAAAAATGCTTAATCACCCATTTGTCTGTTATTGCTTGGAATAATTCTACTTTATGCAAGGCTAGGTCAACCACTGCAAGTTGATATTACCATAATTCTATTCTTAAGTTCTGGGAGGATTTTGCTTTGCTGCTTAGAGTGATGAATGCTTCAATAGAGGTAGGAAAATTGACCTTGCAGCACAGAAAAGGAATAAGTTCTGAATGTCATTATTTCTGATGGATCATATTAATATAAGACTTTTTTTGTATGGGGAGCTTTGAAAATGCACTGTATCTGACCTGAGTTGGAGTATTTAGTAGGAGAAGGTAGGAGACAACATTTCAAGAAGTAATAAGTAATAGCATTGAGCAATGAAGTTTGTTAGTACTAGAAAAAGACAAAAATGAATTGGAATACACATTACCACCTACTTTAATGTCAGAGCGTACTCTCACCTCTCTGGCTGCTTCCTTATTCAGAACAAAGAGATCTGTTAATTTTTCTTTAAATTCAATTATGTATTTATCACTATGTTAAAAGCAATAATTAAACTTTAAATAAAGAACCAGTACCTACTGTAAAACAGCTACTTCTCAAAGGGAGGAAAAAAATTTAAAAATAATTATGATAAAGATAATAATGGAGGTAGCTTCCAGGATCAAAGAAAATAATCAATGACTAAGTCAGCAAGGTTGAGCAAGATAGGCTGGGTAGGGGAGGCAGGGAACAAAGAAGGTTTCATGGTGGAGAAAACAAAGGGCCTGATTTATTTTGGAAAATCAGAGACTGAAAAGATGAAGTAAGAAAGTCATTTTAATCTGAGGAAATGGCAAAGTTATGGAGATTGTAGATAATTCTAGAACATTGAGTATAAGCCTGGGAGCAGTGAAAATTTATGGATGAGATAATGTCAAGAGATCCTCCCAGGAAGGCCCTGTGTTCCATGCTAAGCTGCACATTGATCTAGACCCATGAGATCAGCTTTTGAAGGATTTGAAAAGAGAAGGTACACCATCAGCAGTGCATATGAGAGAGATGACCCTGCAGATTAGTGGATGATGGGTTTGAGGATGCATTCTAAAAGGAGGGACAATGGGTCCCAGTAGTTGATTGACAGATGATGAGAAGCCTTTAAAGCAGTATCATTAGCATTAGAGATTAGTGTACTGATTTTTTTTTAATGAGGCAAGATATGTCTGTCTTTGTGATTAAGTTGTATGGGAGACAAGGGAGAAGAAATACATTTGAATTTCAGCTTTGTAGCTGTGGTAAGTTGATGGACAGTAGTATCAGTAAATTAGATAAAATATAAAGAGGAGAATGATGGTATGACCATCAGAGTGAACAAGTTTGTTTATTTTTGTTGCATTTTAGAACATCAACTAAAATGGCAAGAGGCATACAGGTCCATGAGAAAAAAAATAGAAAAGAAAACACCTTGAAGAAACAATGTCACTATGTATTTTAAAAGAAAGGGAGGAAATGGACTCTAGCAGAGCAGAGAAAGCTGGAACCTAAGGATGAAGAGGGGTAATGATAGAGATAAAACTAGTCGCATTCACTTGACTCCTTGAGGTGTTTTGAGTTTGGAGGGACTGTGGAGGTCAGGTGAAAAATTTGGGGCTGAAGTTAGAAGAACTGGATGAATGGCTGAATCATTTCTTCTCCCAGGCTTCTAAGAGGACCAGAATTTTAGTCTCTGGGAATATTGAACCACAGTGATCCTGACTCCAGGGTATATGGCACAGAAGCAGACAAAAATGAGGCAATGGACAGAAAATAGGGGCGTATGTAAATATCTTTACATTGGCTCTTGTGGGCTCCCAGGCACTTCCAGAATGTTCCTGGGGTCTGCTCCTAGAATTCTCTCTGACATGCATATAAACTCTGTCTCACCTCTGGGTTTGGAAAATATTTTCAGAAAAAAAAATAAAAACAGTCAGCCACAGATGAAATATCATGAAATATCCACCCATTAGAAAAGCCTATTTACTTTTAAATAACCTTAGAGGATTTAGCCTTAGAGGATTCAGCTAGAATCCTCCCCACCCAACCACTTTTCACCTTATAGTCACGTGCCATACCCCCACTTTGCACTCTACATTAGTATCCTGGGGATGCTATAAAAAATTACTACAAATTTTGTGGGTTAAAACAACAGAAGTGTACCCTTTCACAATTCTGGAGGCCAAAGTCTGTAATGAATGTGTTGACAGGACCACACTGTTTCTGAAGGCTTTAGAGGAGAAGGCTTTCTTGCTTCTTTCATCTCCTAATGGCTCCAGGCTTGTGGCAGGATCACTCTAATCTGCCTTCATCTTCACTTGGCTTTTTTCCATTTGTGTCTGTCTTCTCTTCTCTTATAAAGATACTTGTTGGATTTAAGATGATCTAAATCTAGGATGATGTCTGTTATTAGCCACACCAATTGATATGTTAATTAGGTTCACCACTTTCTAGGTGTGCTAACTCTGACCTAACTAAGTTGTAGGATTTCCCAGTGACTCAAAGCCAATTATATATGCTCAAATTCATTGTTTGCTGCAAGACCTTCACACACTACCAGTTGAACAACTAGTATTCAGTACACAGGCAGTAATAAGACTAGGGTGGCGAAACACAGCATGGTTTGGGAGGTCAACATGCTAACAGAAGAGTTGAAAGGTTCTGGAAGTCCTTCAGACATCAATCAGCTGGGCGATCGCTACCTCTCTCAGCCAGAGCTTCTAGCAGCAGCTGCCAAAATTGAAAGAAGTCCTCAGTGTTCTCTCAGGCAGAGCCTCCCAAGGCCTCTTGAACAAGGTCAGGACCTGGCTGCTTTCATGATTCTCCCAGGTGGGTCTGTTTTTATTTTATCTCTGTGATGTTTCACTTTTATCTGTTCAGGTCTCAGGTGGAACAGGGCAGCAGCAGGTGTATCTGATCACTTCAGTATATTACATATGTTTATTGCTTTGAGGTTGCTGGTGACTGACACTGGAGTGATAGATTCTTTTTAAGAAGATTAAGAGACCTCGTGACTCAACTATTCATACCATGAATCATGAGGTAGGTCAAGAGGACTCCAAAGAAAGTGGTTTTAGCACTGAAGAAACAACAACTGGTAGCTTTTTCTACTTCCAACATCATTAAGCACAACTTACATAGCCAAGTTGCAGGTGGAAGGGAGAAATTTTGCACACAAAACAATAAACCTGAACTTCTTAACAAAGACATTTCTCCTCAATTTCCTTATTTGCTTTGACAATATCTGAATTTATAGCATGATCTTTGCGAATAAAATATTACCACTGTCTACCATGAATATACCATAAATTTCATAACCTTAGTCATATTTTTCCAGATATTTTTTCTTTAAATGTTGTTGTATTCTTTTATTTGGTGAACCAGACTTTCTTGTTTGATTGCCTTTCATTCTCTAAAAGTGTTAAAAAAAAGGCCATGAAATCTGCAGAGACAAAAAGAGAGAGAGAGGGCACGGACCTTATTTTCGGAAAGCAATCTACAGGTTGGGGAGATGTAGCTTTCAGGACAAAGTTAAAAGCTCTTCAAGGGGACGTTGGAGAGTTAGAGATTATAAAGACAAAAACTGCAAGGCTGAGGAGTGGGATCAGAGCCTTGATTGGACAACCCTTAAGCCTAAAACCACAAGTCTCTCTTTATTGGCTGACTCTAGGTGGTCAGTCCTTTGTCAGTTGGGAGATTCCCCACTGTAGCCTATTTTGGTTTAACTTGATGGCAGAAACGAACGGAAGTCTTGTGATACTTTTGCAACATTTTGTGAGCACACATGGAGTGTAACTGCCCAACCCCCCAACCCTCCCCACCCCATCCTGCTAGGGCCTCCTGGTTTTGCTTTAACTTAAGCATCTCAGTTATCCACAAAGAGTTCATTTTGTCTATAGGTTGGAGCATCATTTGACAAAAGTAACTTTCTTTTTAAAAGTAACTCCTGTTCTAAATGCTTCTGCTCTCTTTTCTTGGCAGCATCGTGGAGAATATGTAAGAGCCAGGCTAAAGATCAGGTGTGGAGGAAGTGAAGGAAGGAGATATCTGAAGCAGCAGAGAGGTTGTGTCCTGAGAGAGGAATACCACACTTGATAATTTCTGAGGCGGAATCATTTACATGAGAATGTGTACTTTGTGAATCAAATGGAACAGAAATCTAGGCCACTAAAATTAAGAAAAGTCATTCCTTTTAAGGAGTTTTCTGAGACATTAAACTCTCCTAAGATTATTGTAGAAGTTGGAATGCGCCCGTAGTAGGGAGCTACTTAAAATCTGTAAGTGGAAGGGACATTTCTAGAAAATATGGATCCAAAGATTAGAAAAGTACTGAGTATAATCATATGGACCCAAAAGAAGGGTTTCATGTAATTGAAAGAAATTCATTATGGAATACATGATAGGAAGCCAGGAGAGTCCATCTTCTCTTGTATCACCTTCCCCACAACTTTCTATCACAGAGTTTGAGATGCCCTAGATTTATAAATATGAGGATCCCACACTGGACTATAGGCAGTGTGGTGGTTTTAAAATATGCCCCCAAAACTCTGATGCTTCTCCCTTCAAGAGGTAGAACCTAAGTCCCTCCCCTAGAAAGTGGGCTGGACTTAGTAACTCACTACTAATGAGTAGGACAAAGTAGAATTGATGGCGTGTGCGACTTTAGAGACTTCATTATTATTAGCATTGCATTACTGCAAATTCCACCACGATCCATTGCATTGTTCTTTCTGCCATGCTCTTTCTGCTATGTTGAGAGGCCATTTGATACTGTTTGGCTGTGTCCCCACACAAATCTCATCTTGAATTGTAGTTCCCATAATTCTCACATGTTGTCAGAGGGACCCAGTGGGAGATAATTGAATCATTGGGGCAGCTTCCTCCACACTGTTCATGTGGTAGTGAATAAGTCTAAAGAGATCCAATGGTTTTACAAGGGGTTTTCTCTTTTACTCGGCTGTCATTCTCTCTCTTGCCTGCTATGATGTAAGATGTCTCTTTCGCCTTCTGCTGAGACTGTGAGGCCTCCCCAGCTATGTAGAACTGTGATTCCATTAAACTTCTTTTTCTTTACAAATTACCCAGCTTCTGGTATGTCTTTATTAGCAGTGTGAAAATGAACTAATACATCATTCAAGCAGCCTGTGGACAGATCTGGGTGGCAAGGGACTGAGCTCTATGCCAATGGCCATGTGAGTGAGACTCTTTGGTGCCAGCCCTAGTCACGCCTTCTGAGGACAGCAGCCCCAGCTGACATCCTAATTGCAACCAAATGAAAGACATTGAGTTGCCTAGCTAAGCCAGCTTCAAATTTCTGACCACAGAAATTGGATGATAATAAATGTTTGTTCTCATAAACCACTACATTTGAGATAATTTGCAGCAATATGTAACTAACACAGGCAGAGACAGGTCACACTTAAGGGAATAAACAATAAATAATAAATTTGTGAAAAATTAAGAATATTGTAGACTTTATTAATAATTAATTCAAGAAAACACAATATAAAAGTTCAGAAGGTGAGGAATATCTGGAAAGTCTAGAAGTGCATGATTTCACAAGGAGACAATTATATGTTATTAAGGAACACAAACAGGTGTAGAGGATATATATTTTCTTTAAAGAAATAGGGTGTGAACATTTTGAGAAATGTTTATGCACAATAGAAGATAATATTCTATGTTTACAGATAGTAAATGCATTTGCGGATCTCCAAAATTTTTCATGGATTCCTAAAAAAGTGGGTCATATCACCTTCAGGAAATAAAGATTTGGCCAGTCATAAAAATCTTTACTGTGTTAACCAAAACGTATCTGAGACAAGTCTCAATCAGTTTGGAAGTTTATTTTGCCAAGGTTAAGGACATGCCCATGAGACAGCCTCAGGAGGTCCTGAGAACATTTGCACAAGGCGGCTTGGTCACAATTTTATTTTGTACATTTTAGGGAGGCAGAAGTTACAGGCAGACATCAATGAATACATGTAAGGTGTATATTGGTTCAGGGTGGAAAGGCAGGACATCTCTAAGAAGGGCTTTCAGGGAGGTAAGGAGGTTTCTAGGTGTTAGAGAGATTCAAAGATTCCTGACTGGCAATTTGCTGAAAGAGTTAAGTTTTGCCTAAAGAGTTCAAGTCAACAGAAAGAAATACTTGGGGTTAAGGTAAGGTTAGGCTGTGAAAACCAAGATTCTTCCCATGCAGATGAAGCCTCCAGGAAGCTTACTTCAGAGACAGTAGATGGTTTAGGTCTTCTTATCAGACCTTAAAAGGTGATAGACTCTCCTGAAAAGACCTAGTAAGTGAAGGAGATTCTCTACAAAATGTAAATTTCCCCCCACAATAGACAGCTTTGCAGGGTCATTTTAAGATATGTCAAAGAAATACATTTTGAGGTAACGTACTTTGTTTAATTTCAGGGTTTGTTATCTATCATGTGATGCTATACTAGAGAGTCAGGTTCGAATTTGGTACCTTATTGCTACAGAGTATGTTTTGTGAGTGTTAAGATCTCTGTTTTAATGTTCAGGCTGGTCAGTTGTGCCTGAATTCCAAAGAGAAGAGAGTATAATGAGGCTTCCTCAACCCCCCTTCCCATCATGGTTTGAACTAGTTTTTCAGGTTAACTTTGGAAGGCCCTTGGCTAAGAGGAGGGGTTCATTCAGTAAGTTGGGGTGCTTATAATTTTATTTTTGGTTTATATTCTCCATCCTCACAAGTGTTTATATACTCTGCTGACCAACCTTCAAAAATATGTGGGACAGTTACACACACACATACACATACACATACATACATATTTGGATACATCAGCTAAGCTCCTTGGCATCCATGAAATGGTGCAAAAGAAAGAAAAACATAGTGAGATTCCAACTTTAAAGCAATTTTTAAAATTATACAAGTGTAGTGTCATGCACCAGCTACTTGGGAGGCTGAGGTGGAAGGATCACTTGACCCCAGGAGTTTAAGGCTGCAGAGAGCTATGATAGCACCATTGTACTCCAGCCTGGGCAACAGATCAAGACTCCAACTCATAAAAACAAAACAAAACAAAAACCTTCAACACCTTCCAAACTGTCCACTTGAATTGAGTGAAGCAAAACTCTATTCTTTGGGGGACCTTCTTTTGGAAGGCTCAGTCCTTCTGCAAAGGGAAAGAAAGCACTTGGAGTTAAACTCACATCGCTGACAGAAGAGAAAAAAACAAAGAGGTACGGTGAAAGAAGATGGCAGTGATGAAGACTGTGGTTGGATATGACTGGTCTCAAATACCTTAACACTTACACTGTCATTTGGGTACTTTATAACTCAAAACATTATTTTCAGATTTGACATGTTGGTACTAAAAATAATTTTAATATAAAATATCATGGTAAAATATTTGAGTCGGGAATAAAAGCCCTACACAATTTTGGAATCTAACCTCCTCCCCTGCCAGTCTACCCACTGCATACATAGCAGGCCAGTGCTATGGTGTGAGGAAAAAAATAGCTGAGACCAGTGTGAGCTATGTGAGGTATGCCAGAGACAAGAGTATGAAGATAGGACTTCAGTCACACCCACTCCACCCCCATCCAACCCCTATGCCCAGGGACAATAGTTTTTCAAGGATTTTTTTCCCTGACTAGTTGCCTCACCCATTATCTTCATGTTCCTGGAATTTGCGATACAAAGAACAATGTAGAATCAATTAACAGCTTATATTATTTTGATGCAAATTCTTGGTAAGCAACCTAGAAATTGCCTCTCTTTTTTTCCCCCTTAAAAACTCACTTGTAACTGCTGCTAATTGGAGTGCATATTCATAGCAACTTGAATCTATGCTCCTGGGTGGCCATCCTCAAGCTTTGGGGTTGAAAAAACTCTATGCTGAATTGTATTTTCTGAATCTTGTTATTTAAGGCTGACAGGTGTTACACCACTACAAGTCATCTCCTGCTAACTCTGAAGGTCTATAGGAAAAGACCATATGGTTAAGAGACAAAAGAAAAGAGTAAGGAAAAAAAAATTCAATCCTTTGTCCTAGGTAGGCTAACCAACAAATTTCATTGACTTTCCTGTATGCACTCACCTCCTAATCTTCTGAAAGGGTCATGTTGCCCACACGTTCTTAACCCCACACTAGGGCCCCTACTGGAGTCCCCACTGCCCTCATGCAAAATGACCTACGCTTTCATTCCACCACCAAGGATTTCATGATACTGGGCTATTTTTTATGTTGGGAGCATTACATTTGAGAAATGTATCTAAAAACTCATGAACATTTGTTATTATTGTTTTTGTTTTGTTTGCTGATATAATATAGAACTTGTACACATAAATAAGAAGCCTGAGAGATATTATTTAGAAAGAAAGATGAAGACTGAATAAACATATAGTATCTTTGCTAAGAAAAAATATATACCAAAATTGCTAATAAACATGAAAATAAAATTAGAGAGAATACTGGAAACAGCTAAAGATATATCTTCCAAGTTCACCAGATATTACAAGGAATTTGAAAGTAAACAAAGTAAGCCAGTAATTGTGAGAGAAAGAAAACTGTAAATTACAGATTCAGATTTCTTTGAACTGAAAGATATTTGTTGTCGCTCCAACATACCTGCTAGTGAGCTAAAGGTCTTTTGCAACCAATCATGCCTTTTGCTTGCAGTAAAGTCACAGTTCTTCACAGGTGTTAAATGTTGAAAAGCACAGAGTTCTGTTGACAATGTGAATATAGTAAACCAATTATGAACAGACAAAGATATCCTGAGGCGAAAAAAGTGGGTCAGAAAGAGCAACGATTTTATTTTTTCTGTTGTAAAATGTTGGGATAGCAGTTGGATGCAAGGGAAAATAAAGTCTGCATGCTTAAAACCTTTACAAAAATTCTCAGCTACAACTAACACAATATGGTGTGACTTAATCTTCCTTATAAAAGTATTTGTGTTTACGTATAAGTTGACATAATTATACATCTATGTGGGTGAGTGTATTCATGCACACAATTATTTTTCCTTACATAAAATAGAAAAAAATAAATAGGCTGGGTGCGGTGGCTCAAGCCTGTAATCCCAGCACTTTGGGAGGCTGAGGTGGGCAGAGCACGAGGTCAGGAGATCGAGACCAACCTGGCCAACATGGTGAAACCCCATCTCTACTAAAAATACAAAAATTAGCTGGGTGTGGAGGCACATGCCTGTAATTCCAGCTACTCGGGAGGCTGAGGCAGGAGAATCACTTGAATCAGGGAGTTGGAGGTTGCAATGAGCCGAGATGCCGTCATTGCATTCCAGGCTGGCGACAGAGCAAGACTCCGTCTCAATATATATTAATAATACTTGAAACTGACCAAACCACAGTAATAGGCTTTTGAGGAAAAAAAAAAAGTGTTTACAAAAAGAGTAAAAAATTAGTTTCATTAATTCAATTACAAGATCAGAAGATATTAGTAAACCGACTCCATTTTATCATAGCTCATGTCTCCTACTACACCTGTATGGAAATGTTCCAAAATGTAAATAATTCTGAGGAAACAGAAGTGAGCAGCTTCCTGAGGAATGTGAATGAGTTCCCACAGAGACACACAAATAGAGGCTAAAGGGGGTAAATAACTATAATGATAATTGTAAGTCTTTAATACCTGTCCTATTGAGCCTTCAAATGGTGTAAAAGTACCCCTGATACATGCCAGTGACAAGTAAGAGGTAACTTGTCCATAGCTGAGCTCCTGAAGGAGAAAATCCTAGAGAGGGTCCTGGTCACTTTCAAATCCAGTGCTTAATTCATTCTGTCTCAAAGCTTAGACCCGTGTCTCAGTTCATTCATCACCAATGGTGTGGCAAAGATCTTACTACATAATACAACTGCAACTGCAATTCTTGTATCCCTGCCCCCAAACATATCAGGGGAAAGAGTTTCCCCTCCAAACCTCAGCCCCTACACTGAGCTGGCTATAGAGGGCTGCCGCGATTCAAACATCTGAACTATGGCATTGCTTATGTATGCTGGCCCCTACTGACACTAGAGGAGAAGTTCTCTGGTTCTTTCTTAAAGCCCCACAGTGCACGGGCGGCCCTGTGTTTTCCTCAGTCTCATTTGGGTTCCTAGGAGCTTACTTTGGATGTCTATCAGCTGCCTCTGGTGGTGATGGGATAATGGGAATCGCATACCTGTCACCAAGTTGTAACATTAACTGTTGCTCCAGTAAGCTTCCTATTGCTGCTTGACTATTTATGCCCTTTTCTTTTTTGCATAACAGCCAGAACACAGTAACATTCAGATACACATAGAAATCACTGTCTCTCCAACTCTGATTCCTAACGGCAGTTTGGAGCCTCTTAACAAATTCTAGTTGAACAAGAACATTCTCGATCCATCTTGCATTTTTGGCTCACAATGCACTCATTTGAACCATATAAATAAGAAAAAGGTCAAAACTTTTAATATATACTCATAATATTTCCTCAAAATCATTCATTTCCAAATATCATTTTGTTTTGTTGGTAAACAGAAAGAGGGCAAGAAAATGATGTAAATGTTTCAAATATGAACTTCCCTATTTAACACGTTCTCCCCAGAAGCAAATCTCTTTTACAAACATGTGATAAATTAGAAAGAGGGCAAAAGATTTATTGGTTTGGGACTAAGAGTACAGCTATGTACGTGAACTCATCATTTTTCATCTTTTGTTTTCAAGTTGTGGATTCTTCGTGGAGTTGCTGAACACTGAAAGTTAAGTGGATCTAAAAAACAACATATAACATTTGTTTTACAATCAATATATGATATTTCTTACAAATCAAATGGTAAGTTTACAAATTACTAATTTAATGCAGGATTTCAGTTTAAGATGCAAGCAAATCTTTAAACTCTTCATTTAAAAAATTGGACCTCTATATCTAACAAATGTCTCTGTTGAAATATTAAATAGTGTAATTTATCATTTAGGAATTACTGTATTGCACCAAAAATGGATTTAAATGACACCATTAAAATAATGTCACCATAGAGAAGCACTATAAATGATCTTGACTCTCAGTCCCTTCAAATACTTGAAATTGAGGTAGAATAAATCTTCACTTTGCCGTATTTCTTAATTAGTATTGATATTTTATGAATCATTACCTTTTGGATGCATTATACTGTGAAACACTTGATACCCTAGGAGAGTAAGCAACACTAGTTCCTCTGGTCTATATTATTTGCTTTTTTGGGGTGACTAATTTGGGTTTGCTGAAAAAGCACTGGATCCCGAGTAATCACTCAATAGTTTCTGGGTGAATGAAATAAGAAGCCGCAACACACCTGGACAAGTAATCAGAATGTCATTAAGAAAGCTTAATATAATTCCCTCGCATGGAAACTGTAAATGAGTATATGGTACCAAAGTCCTGAGAGGTGAAGCCAGCTGGGCTTCTGGGTAGGGTGGGGACTTGGAGAACTTCTGTGTCTAGCTAAAGGGTTGTAAATGCACCAATCAGCACTCTGTAAAAACACACCAATCAGCACTCTGTAAAATGGACCAATCAGCACTCTGTAAAATGGACCAATCAGCAGGATGTGGGTGGGGCCAAATAAGGGAATAAACGCTGGCCACCGGAGCTAGCACTGCCAATCCGCTTGGGTTACCTTCCAGATTGTGGTACGTTTGTACTTTCGCTCTTGACAATAAATCTTATTGCTGCTTACTCTTTGGGTCCCTAAGAGCTATAACACTCACTCACCGCGAGGGTCTGGGGCTTCATTCTTAAAGTCAGTGAGACCAAGAACCCACCAGAAGGAATAAATTCCGGACACAGTCCTTGCCATTAGAATGGCCCAGGATGATCTGCACTTAGCTACTGTCTCCAACCTCCTCTCCCTCCACTCTTTCTTTATTCTTTTTGTTTCATCCTCCCTGGCTTGCATTTATTTCCACGAACATAGCACACTCCATCTTACCTCTGTCTGGCATTGTCTTTATCTAAATGTGCTTTCACTTTTTTAATCTATTCATTCTTCATGATCGTTTTATAGGTTTCATTGGAGAGAACTTTCTTTTCTTCCTCATACTAGGTTAAATACTGTTCTTCCACCATTTCTTAGCATTGCTCATTTTTACTTTTCCATTTTTTGGTTACATATTTATTTTGAGCATTATTGAGCGTATTTTTGTCTCCTCCCTAAATTGTCAGCTCTATGAAGGCAAGTACTGTTTTTTTTTTTGTTCACCTTTTTACTCCCAGGGTGCAATGGCAGACAAAGAAAAAGTGCATAATAAATATTATGTATGGATAAGTGAAAGAATATATGGATGAATGGAAACGAATCACAACTTGCTGTGAGTCAATTAATAATATTAGAAATCCAATAATAGATGTAAGATTTTTAATATGCTCGTCTTCCCTGATACTGTTACCTTAGCATATTTGTGACACGGCAAAGAGATGTAGGAGAGAACACATTGCCTACAATTTGGTCACAATGAGGTCACCACTACCTCTGCTTCTGACACCCATACATACATTACATGTTATCTCAACATCATGATATCTGAATATTGGGAATGGAGTAGTAGAAAGTACTACTACAAAAATGACATTGCAACATTTGTATATTCAATATATTACATGAATTCTGAAGCTTAAGATTTTGTTGTCTTTGTACTGTTATTGAGTTAAAAATTATGTTCATTAAGACAGGAAGTTATTGTTTCAGAAACAATTAAAAGGGTATTCCATTATCACGTAAGTATCCACCTACTTTCACCATCCCCATTAATTATTTCAGTCTCACTGCAACCTTGGCAGTGTAGAAGAAAAAAATCCAAAACACAAAACCAAAACAATAAAAAAATGGGACAGCAGGGAAGGATCTAGTCAAACACTTTTTAAAAAAATTTTACAGTAGGAGTAGCATTAAAAGAATGTCAAGTTTATCATTTATAGTCATCTTAATACATTGCTATCTAATACATGAGCTCTTGGGAGGGTATCCTTGGGGACTGAAACTATCCTTGCGTGATCACAATAGTGAGATAATATATTTGTTTTTCCCTTGAGTAAAATGAGCTAGTTATTTGATCTTTACTTTCACTTAACTTTGCATTCTATAGCTGTCCTTAGTCAAAAGAGTGTTACACAAAATAAGAAAATGTTAAAATAACCTTTTACAATTTTCCACCACTTTATTACTTGGATTTTGATATGTAGCATTTGGGATGCCTAAATATCCCTGAATATATTGATTTTTTTTTTCTGAGAGAAAACCTTCTAAATGTTTATATTAAACCAAAACAAAAACCTTCAAGTCATATAAAATAATTTAGACAATGGTACTCTGTGTTTTCTGAAAATCATGAAGTGATTTACTGAAAACTATTCATGATAAAATTAGTAAATTTTATATTGAATTTTATCAATATTAACATAAATTTTCGGAAAACCAATCTCTTATAACTGAGAAATTTTAACTATATATTTTTGCTAAAATATTTCCAATGAAAGCTGAAAGATGTTAGGCCATCTGCTCCTTGTAATCTTATATATTGCTATCATGATAATGATTACCTAGTTTAGGAGACTTTATAATGTAAATTGTAAAGACTGTACATAATGATTTAGGCATGTAAGAGCTATCTAAATGCTTTTAAATTGAAACAGTGCTTGTCTGATAAAATAAAATATGACTAATAATCACTATCAAATAGTCTCTTCAAGCTATTGATTTAAGAAATATTTTCAGATAAACACTGCAAGTAGAGAACATGATTAATGATTACAGTATCCTTGGAAGCATTACAGTCTATCATGCATTTCAAAACTTATGATGAATTTCAAACCAGGCTATGTGTATTTTAGACATAATTAATTTATTTACTATTCTTTTAACAAAAGAGATATTTTTTATATTTGCAAGCCAATAATATTTATACAATATACCATAGGATGTAGATGTATAGATAAATGCAAAGTATTAAAGTTCTTCAAAATTTCTCTTTTGAATATTTGAGAACAGTTGACTTCTAACTTGACTGACAATCTACTTCTTATGCATTAATTACATAGCCTAAAATTTTATAATTAAAAGTAAGTGAATTTTTATAGAAATATAGTCACAGTACAACAAAAGGTGCTCATTTCATATTTTAAAGTTCAAAATTAATTGGTCCAACAGAGTACAAGTGTTCAACCACGCATGAATTTTATTAATTTTACCAGAGGAAATAAAAACGTCGTAAAAACAAAAATGTACAGAAATTAAAGTGTCAAAGAAATATTGACCTTAATTCCTGCACAAATTCCGGACTGAATTGCCATTTGCAGAGTAAGCTCAATTACAAAATCATTCTAGTTTATTCAGAAAAATGGCTTTCAAAATTTTAGATTAATTTCATATGTATGGGTGGCGATTTGGTTTTAAATCTAAAGAAATAAAAAATTCCTTGCATGAAGATTATAAGTAGTGTTCCTACAATAAGCAAGAGTGCTTCAGCAATTTCAAAGCCAAATAGATTTTAATCAAAAATTTTTTTTAAATAGTATTTAATATGTACCTTTTGTTCTCTTTGAGAACATAGTATTTCAACTTAGGTGGATGAGTTTAATCTAGTAAATTATTCACTTAACCATAAACAATGTTTAATGATGGATTGACTTCAAAAGGAGGAATAGTAAAAACAATTGTTCATGAGAAAATATTGTTTGGCAACGATATTGTTTGAACTGAATTAAAGACCCAGCAGAATATAAGTTGAGGGCACATTTTTCAACAGATCAATTTAATATTGTAATTAATATTCGAATGTAGAGTGTTCCTACCAAGGCAGTTATTCGATCCCATTTAGAAAAAAAATATATACTATATGTTTTATTCCATTCATATTATTATGTAAAAATATAAGTTCATGCAACACAAATTAAATAACTTATGTGACTTATTCTTTGGGGGCAATTTTCTGATGTTTAATTTGTTCATTTTTTAGCTGTGTTTTCACTTCATGTACAATCATATTACACATTGATGTTCCAAATTAGGTTTGTCATATCCTTGAAGAATTAGGAATTACCATTAAAAAATACCCATAGTCAGTAGTTTTCCTATATATACAACAAATGTTTTCACTATTTTTGATGTATTTTGGAACTTTCAGCAAATTGCCTTTGTTTTTTGATCTATTAGATGTTTCATTTTAAAGTAGTCCTTCAATTTCTACCCTTCACATTACAGTTGGGTAATATGTTGATTTTATTTTGATTTGACCTTCAGTAAATTCTACTTACATATTTTCTTTTTTTTACATTTTCTTCCAAGTACATATTTAACTTATATGCATATATATAAATGAAGTTATGCGGAATTTATTTTGTAAATGTACACAACACAAACTGGAATAATTTTATATTTTCACATATACATGTGCTTTTCAAGAGGGTGAAAAGTTTCATAAGACTTAGCTTGAATAATTCTATTTATAAAAATCTATATCTTTATATACTTGTTTTGTTACTTCTCTCCATTTCTCTTTATCATTAATAGCCACCTCCCCAAACTACATGGTACAGGAATCATTCTCAAAGAATCATTTAAATGCCTTGCTTTTAGGTCCCTGCTGTAAATTGATTCTACACACAGCAGTCTAACGAAACCATATAAAAATAGCTTTGTAATTTCGAACCACAGAAACACGTGGATGCTCCTTTGCTACAAGATGAACTTAAACCCTGGCGTAATTCTTTGTCTATTCACATTATCTTTTCTAAATAAAGTAGCAAAACCGTGAAGCCCAGAGAGAGCTCTTGGGTTAAGTGTTTGTGTAAGTCTTTTTCTCAGTATGCAGGTTCTTAAGTCTCCTCTATTTCTTTAACTGACTCAGTATATATCCTCATTATGTCTTTCTTTAGCAATGCTTCAAAATACTTTCATTAGTGAAAAGGCTCTTTGCTCTGAGACCAAGTGATAAAGGTGGAAATTACATGACTAGAAGAAGAATAGATGCACCCTAGGAATATAAACCCACTTTGCCTTCATAATTTGGACAAAATCATTCAGTGAGCTAATGAGCTGTGAGAAATGAGCTACATCTTAAACAAATTGTTTAGTACTTAGTGCAGAGAATGCTTTATCAGGCTTGATCCTACCATTTGAGGGTTGTGGTCTCATACACTGTGTTGAGGAATTCAGAATATGCTTAACATGTCTTGTATTTTTAGAAAGAGTCAGAAAAAGAGGGAGAATTATCAAGACACCAGTGCCAGTGTTGTTTTTCTTTTTTAAGAAATATACGTTATTTAACATCCCTCTTTATGGCCAATAGTATTTTACGTTTTGTGTATCTGGTTTAATACACAAAGTAACTAAAGAAATTGAAAGATTCACATTGACCTTAATTCCTGCACAGATTCTGGATTGAACTGCCAGTTGCAGAATAAGCTCAATTACAAAATCATTCTAGTTTATTCAGAAAACTGACTTTTAAAATTTTAGGTTTATATATATATATATATATGTGGAGATTTTCATTAAAATCTTAAGAAATAAAACATTCATTGGATGAAGATTACATAGTGTTCCAACAATAGGCAGAGTATTTCAGCAATTTCAAAGCCAAATAGATTTGAATCAAAAATTGTTTAAAAGTTAATATTTAATATGTATCTTTTGTTCATAGTATTTCAACTTAGGTAGATGAGTTTAATCTAGTAAATTATTCACTTAAGCATAAACAATGTTTAATGATGGATTGACTTCAAAAAGAGGAATAGTAAAAACAATTGTTCATGTGAAAATATTGTTTAACAACAATATTGTTTGAACTGAATTAAAGCACCAGCAGAATATAAGTTGAAGGCACATTTTTCTACAGATCAGTATAATATTGGATAGAAATAAGGAATATTGGTAGGAATAAAGAATTGCTTTATTCAAAACAATTTCTCAAGGTTGACAGACTTCATAAGAAGAGCCTGCTTGTGAATCGGAACAGCTGATGTATAGAAAAATAATTACTCAAGATTGGCAGTGGGTCTAAAGCTCAGCCAAATGGAAAGGTAGAGATTCAATTAAGTGTCAGGTACCACAGATTAATAAAAGTGTAAACCAAATGCAGAGAAACAGAGAGGATTAGAAAAAAAGGCTTTCTTGCTAAGCTCCTGCATTCAAAGGAATGAATTCTTCAAGCATTTTAAAGATTATTTTACAGAAACATGGTGAAGCAACTACTCCATGTTTCCCATGAGGTATAAAAGACAGAAACTGTCCTCTATATGCAGCATGGTGATGTTTTTTTGTTGTTGTTGAAATAAATAGATTTTGATTCCATTATTACAGAATTACTGTGACCATACTATTTATATAAAATGCATAGGTAAAATAAGCTTTAACTACAAGAAAATACTGATAACAACAGAAGGCAGCCAAATGCCTAGGCAGATAGGGGCGGGTACCCAGTGAAATCCCACCTCCAAGCTGAAGACAGTTTAAAGCCTGACACCCAAACTACAAGTTAAATCCTCAGACCTCCTCAGACTGGATTGAAAACGTGTACTCCCGTGTGGCATGCTTTCCTCGGATTGATCCCCACCTTCCACCTGTTTTACATATCCCCACCATTTCCTAATTGTTTTTTCTACAGTGTTGTGCCCACCTTTGAGTGGTGTCATCAAGTTAACATTTTTTGCATACTCACAAACCAATCAGCACGCACTCCCCTCCCTGTGCCTATAAAGACCCCAGACTCAGTCAGTAGAGAGGGAGAAAGCCTGACTTCATGGAAGAGACACCCTGACTTTGGAGAAGATAACCTGCCCTTCCCACTCCCTCTCCAACTCCCCTCTGCACTGAAAGCCCTTTTCATCACTCAATGAAATTAAACACCTTCACCATCCTTAAATTGCCCCTGTGAGCTCATTCTTCTTGTATGTTGGTCAAGAGCTTGGGACTCACTGAGTATGGGTATCCAAAAAGGCTGTCACATTGGCCCTTTGCCCTTGCCAGTGGAAGGCAGCTGCCCCATGCAACGAGGCAAAGGGCCAGCTGAGCTGCTAACACACCACCGTCCATCAGACTGCGGTGGCAGAACTAAAAGAGTACTGTAACACCCACTGTGGGGTTTTGGGGTCGTGGGCACCCTCACCTGGATTCCGTCACATTCCCCTTCAGATGACACACCTGGTCTGGCCATGGGCCCCTCATGGAGCATGCTCCTGTGTCAGTGCCTAGAGCAGCTGGCCAGATCCCCCACTCACTCGTTCACCTGCTCCTTCCCACAAGGGGCTGAGCGCAGTGGGTCAAGTAGACGGAGAGCCCCTGTTGGGAATACGGCAAAGAGGTCGAGAAAAATCCTGCACCAGTATCATTGAACATTTTCTAATGTATTTCCAAATAATGTATAGAAAATCTAAGAGGCATAGCTGCCCGTTTCTAGATGACTATGAAAATGACCAAATAATGCAGTGGAAATATGCCTTGTTCTTATCACCAAGTGGTAAAAAATGAGATCTAGTTACACTTGTGTCTTCATTAAAAGATGATGTGTCGATAAAATACTAAAAACACAATATACTTAAAATGTCACACATGAAATTTTGATATCTTATGTTTTAGGTAGGAACAATCCTTTCATACGTTATAATTTTATTAAATGAATGCAGCATTTTCTCATTTCATCAATCTTTTTGATTGTAGCTAGAAGTAATAACAATAGCTGATATTTATTGACTATATACTTGTACTGTGGCAGAATTTTTTAGCTCTCCACTAAATCCATTCTCCTGTTTTTACCTAGGAATAGGGTTGCTCCTAGGCATGTGGCTTTCTGGCTAGAGAATTCATTTCTCAGCCCACCTTAGAAGTAGACATAGACAAATAAAATTAAATTATCCCTTGGGAAAGTGAATGGCAATGAGCTACTTTGAGGTCTGACTCTGTAAGACTGTGACCTCTTCCATATACTGTCTTTCTGGTTCCTCACTTGATGGAACTGGACTCCAGTCACCACTGTGCAGAACGCATATTATCCCAGATGTTTGCTACTGCCTCCCAGGAAAACCATTATATGAAAAAGATATGCTTCTTTGTTTCTTTTTTTTTAGTTAAAATATTGCTTTTTTTAAAAAAAAAAAAAGTCATAATGGTTTAGGCTTTTATTCCAGCTAATAAATTTAATGTGTGCCTTGCAATTTTCTAAGTGCTTTACGTGAACTTTATTATTTAATCATCAAAACAGTTTAAATAGGTGGGTACTTTTATTGTCACCCTTTTTTGAAAATAAAAAAGCTCAGATTTATGTAGATGACGTGATTTGCCCATTCTGCTACTGCCATATTTCATTAACTGTAATATGCACATTTTTTTTCCAAATCACTACATCTCTGAACTCAATATACATCTTGAAATAATTGTAATCCTACAAGTCATTTGCAGGTGGGTGGGCAATAGTATGTAGAGTAATGATGCCCATTAAAAACTAATGTATTCAATTTGATAAAACATAGTAGACATGGTTGTAGGCATTCAAACCCAGGCAGCCTTGCTTCAGAACTCTTGAACTGAAGTATTCCTTCACTTAAAAAACAAAATTATTTTAATGTGTATAAAAATAATGTATTTAATGTATGTAAAAACAAGACAGTGTTGTGTGTTTTCCAAGTATATTTGATTCTATTTATTTTTGTTTTCCATATCTCTTCTAGATAATTTATCAAATTACTTGATAAATAACTTTTACCTTCAAGAATAAAAAACTGCCCCTTTGAAATATCCGAACAATAGTGATAGGTGGCAAGGATGTTCCAGCTTTTTCTTTATATTATAATGGCAAAAACCACAGTTACTTTTGTACCAACCTAATAGTTCCTTGTGATGCAAGAATGTAAGAGAGGGCTAAATCTCCATCTCTCAGGATATCTGCTGCTGTAACATGGAGTTAATGAATCAGGTAAAATGTATGATTCACAAGTAGGACATGTTTGAAAATGTCAATTTTCACAAATGAGTACACCCCTACTAAGTTTCTGCCAGGGTGATCATGCACTTTTCCCTTCTTTCTTCCTCCTTATTTCTCTCTGTCTCTCTCTCTCTCTTTATCTCTCTCTCTCGCCGCCCCCACCCCCGCCAACCTTCTCACTCTCTGCCTTTCTTTGAAGATACAATTTCAGCCATTTGAACGGTTTGGAAATATTCCTGGATGATAAAACTACATGATAAATTTTAGTTTATTTACAAGATTCTGAACTTCTTGAAGATCATCTATGACTTAAATGTCTCTCTGTGCCACAGCCCTTGGTCTCGTGAGTCTGTTAAATTTCACTGCTTTTGAACAAACAGGGTGGTACAAATTTTTTCAATTGCTTAATTCAAGGATCTTGAGCACTTCCTATATAGCAATAAGTATTTCTGGCACAGTTCAAGTGCAAGAAGTACATTTATATATACTGGGGGTATCCTAAAGGATAAATTATTTAGGTAATCACGTTGAAGAAAAGGATCAATTTCTATTACATTTTTTTCTTAGTGTTTTTACTTTCCCTCACAAATTTCGACTGTGTTCATCAAAAACAAACAAGAAACACTTAATTTCCAATAATACATTTTTATGTAATTTAATCATATAGACACATTATTTCAAATAACCATTCTCCTTCAGAAAATCACCCCTAAAGAAATTATGACAAATAGTAAAACATTTAAAAATATTTTTAAAATATATGTTTGTAACTGGATTTTATAAGCAATAAATGGGAAATGATCCCTGATTATATACCTGAAAGTAAGTATATCACAATAAAATAGTAATAGTCTTAGAGTTTTGATAACAGGGTATATTTTTCTCTTTTATTTTCCTGTGATTATAAGTGTTATGTATAGGTCTTTGTAGTAGGAACTATATAGGAATAATGAAATATCATGTGATGTTTTTTGAAGGCTTGTAAGGGCTAATCGCTATGCAACACAATTTATAAATTATTACTTCCATTATTCAATACAAGATTATGAGCTATTGTATTATTATTCTCATTTTCTTTCTGAGTGGATAGCGCAGGGAAGTAAATTATTCAAAAAATTGCAAATTAGAGGAACCTGGACTGGAACCCATGTAATTATAGAACTGCCTTTTGACCAATTGGTTATATCATTTCCCCTGAAAAAGTTGAACAAACAGTATTCCTATACACAAGTAATAGGGCCAATAGTACGCACATGGAACATTGCTAAACAGTGTTTGAAAATGAAAATAAAAATAAGCTTGGACTGAAAAAGACAAAAAGCTCTCTCATTAATCAGGCTAGAGGGGAGATGGGGTGGACAGGCATAGAAAACAACAGCTACAATAAGAAGCCATCTCATGCCACTCAGAATGGTGATTATTATAAAGTCAGGAAACAATAGATTCTGATGAGGCTGTGGAGAAATAGGAATGCTTTTACGCTGTTGGTGGGAGTGTAAATTAGTTCAACCATTGCGGAAGACAGTGTAGCGATTCCTCAAGGATCTAGAACCAGAAATACCATTTGATTCAGCAATCCCATCACCAGGTATATAACCAAAGGATTATAAATCATTCTACTATAAAGACACATGCACACATATGTTTATTGCAGCACTATTTACAATAGCAAAGACTTCAAACCAAACCAAATGCCCATCAATGATAGACTGGATTAAAAAAATGTGGCATATATACACCATGGAATACTATACAAACATAAAAAAGAATGAGTTTATGTCCTTTGCAGGGATATGGATGAAGCTAGAAGCCACGATTCTCACCAAACTAACACAGGGACAGACAACCAAACACTACATGTTTGCACTCATGATTGGAGTTGAACAATGAAAACGCATGGACACAGGGAGGGAAACAACACACACTGCGGGCCTGTCGGGGGGTGAGGGGCCAGGGGAGGGAGAGCATTAGTACCAATACCTAACGCATGCAGGGCTTAAAACCTAGATAATGGGTTTATAGATGCAGCAAACCACCATGGTACGTGTATACCTATGTAAAAAACCTACACATTCTGTACATGTATCCCGGAACTTAAAGTAAAAAAAAAAAAAAGAGAGAGAAATAAGACTCTAATTATTAAAAAAACACTAACAATGAAAATTTAAAAATAAATATAGAATAATAATAATAAAAGAACACAGTGGCTACTACATTAGCAGGAAATATTGTTTCTTCCGTATTCATATCATGAGGATCTCCTTTTGGAGTGACTATTGCTTTCCTGCAATCACATTCCCAGCTCTATCATGCTTCTTGTGTTTATAACTGGAGATACCCAATTACTACACCATCCTCACTTTATGCAGGCACCCAATGCCAAATTAATCCCCAATTCTAATCCTGTCTGAGAAAAAGTGAATCATCCAAAACTGATATTTTCTTAAACCTTTCTCAAAATCATCCCATGGAAAGCCAAATCCTACAAAGATACTCCTGGTTTGTGAGATTACAGGTTCGTCCCTGTGGCCTTTTATTGACTAGACTTTACCACCTAGATTGCTTTAATAGAAAGCAGAATGTGCTAAATGCTGTTAAACATGTTTAAGTATTCTGTAGTTGGGGTGTTAAAGAGGAAGTGATTACTTTAAATTTCATATGGAACCAAAAAAGAGCCCGTATAGTCAAGACAATCCTAAGCAAAAAGAACAAAGCTGGAGGCATCACGCTACCTGACTTCAAACTATACTACAAGGCTACAGTAACCACAACAGCATGGTACTGGTACCAAAACATATATAGACCAATGGAACAGAACAGAGACCTCAGAAATAACACACAACATCTACAAATATCTGATCTTTGAAAAACCTGACAAAAACAAGCAATGGGGAAAGCATTCCCTATTTAACAAATGGTGCTGGGAAAACTGGCTAGCCATACACAAAAAACTGAAACTGGACCCCTTCCTTACCCCTTAAACAAAAATTAACTCAAGATGGACTAAAGAGTTAAATGTAAGACCTAAAACCATAAAAACCCTAGAAGAAAATCTAGGCAATACCATTCAGGACATAGGCATGAGCAAAGTCTTCATGACTAAAACACCAATAGCAATTGCAACAAAAGCAAAAATTGACAAATGGGATCTGATTAAACTAAAGAGCTTCTGCATAGCAAAAGAAACTATCATCAGAGTGAACAGGCAACCTACAGAATAGGAGAAAATTTTTGCAATCTATCCATCTGACAAAGGGCTAATATCCAGAATCTACAAGGAACTTAAACAAATTTACAAGAAGAAAAACAACGCCATCAAAAAGTGGGCAAAGGATATGAACAGACACTTCTCAAAAGAAGACATTTATGTGGCCAACAAACATATGAAAAAAAGCTCATCATCACTGGTCATTAGAGAAATGCCAATCAAATCCACAATGAGATACCATCTCACACTTGTTAGAATGGCAATCATCAAAAAATCAGGAAACAACAGATGCTGGAGAGGATGTGGAGAAATAGGAATGCTTTTACACTGTTGGTGGGAGTGTAAATTAGATCAACCATTGTGGAAGAGTGTGGCGATTCCTCAAGGATCTACAACCAGAAATACCATTTGACCCAGCAATCCCATTACTGGGTATATAACCAAAAGATTAGATATCATTCTACTATAAAGACACATGCTGTAAAGACACGAATGTTTATTGCAGCACTATTCACAATAGCAAAAACTTGGAACCAACCCAAATGCCCATCAATGTTAGACTAGATAAAGAAAATGTGGCACATATACACCATGGAATACTAAGCACCCATAAAAAAGGATGAGTTCATGTCCTTTGCAGGGACATGGATGAAGCTGGAAACCATCATTCTCAGCAAACTAACACAGGAACAGAAAAGCAAACTCTGCATGTTCTCACTCATACTTAGGAGTTGAACAATGAGAACACATGGACACAGGGAGGGGAACATCACTGACTGGGGCCTGTTGGGGGGTGGGGGGCTAGGGGAGAGATTGCATTAGGAGAAATACCTAATGAAGATGATGGGTTGACAGGTGCAGCAAACCACCACGGCACGTGTATACCTATGTAACAAGCCTGCACGTTCTGTATCCCAGAATGTATCCCAGATACATGTATCCCAGATAAATGTATCCCAGAAGTATAAAAAAAAAAAAAAGAAATTAGGAACACACTGTGGCAGGCACCTGTAATCCCAGCTTCTTGGGATGCTTAGGCAGGAGAATTGCCTGGAAAAAAAAGTCATTAAACCTAAAGAGTATACATCATATATGTGAATGCCATGATTAACTTCAATTAACATTTCATCTAAAACTTCTCCTGGGCTTACATATCTAATTTATTTTAACTTCAATGCTGCTAACTCACCATATAGGAAAAATGCCAAACAGGTTAATTTCCCTGTGAATGTGAGAATTTTTATCACCTATCATTTTTTGCCAGATATTTTTTTTCCTAATGCTGGAATACCATTCTCAACACAAGAGCTGCGTAATATTTTATAACTTACCCTTTATATGTTGAGTCATTCCCAGAACTGCCAAGATAGCCTTTAAGGACAATGCTGTGTCAATTACTGTAATCACTTCCCGCTTCTTTCTCTCTTAGACATTTGCCATTTAAGTCACAGCTTCATTCTGAATGGTCTCTTGATTTTAAACCTCTTGTTGAGAGATTCGCTGACTTCTCAAATAAGAGTCAATTTATTAATTTTTCCAGAGCTTTTGACATTTCTGAAAAAGTCACTTTCTCTTCACTTTAAATATCATTTTCACCAGGTAATCACTTGTCTATTAATTTAAGGGTAAAATTCCTTCTTGATGTTCTTTATAAAAAAAATGTTATGTTCTTCTATTGCCTTGCCCTGAAGATGTCATAATTTTTATGGCATTCTACAACATACTTATTGATGTATTCTCCATTTTATCTGTGGCAAGTAGCAATCTCCTTTTTTTTTTTCCCCTGCAGGCCTACTCTTTTTGGTTTCAAATACTTTCTTAAAATTCACTTATTCAATACATTCTGAACACTTTCTTAATGACTTTATAATTGCTAACAAACAAAAAAAAACCTCTAAATTGGGGCCAGATTAGTTTTTCTATCACATGAAAGTTAATGACAATGGAAAATATCTTGCCTTGCCAAACACGTGAAGAAATTGCCCTTCAAAGTATCTAATAAGTATTTTTAAATGCTTTGATGAGCCGTGTCATTTCTATATATGCAAAACTATTTAAAATATTTATAAGGAAATTACTTTCTTCCCTATGTCCCACATTTTATTTGCATCAAATTAAGTCTACTTTCCTGAACATACAACTAGAAACTTCCTTCCATGTATTTCATTCTGGGAAGCTCTTGTCAAAGCCCCACCAACCTACCTTTTAACCTACGTATTTCTAAATGTATGCCTAAAATACAAACTTCTCCAAGAAGACATTCTCTCACCCCTGCCCTCAATCCTTTCCTTAATCTCCACTGCCTTTTTTTTTAAGTTTCTGTAGCATTTCTCTGGCATTAAGCAGAAATTACAATGGTGTGAAAATATTCATGGTCACAGAAGGGACCAATCTTGTTAAACCAAATATGGACTTTTTAATCATGTCATTTTCTGCTAAACTCACATTTCTCTCTTCATTATCATTTGCTACCTATGGCTTTGTCTAAACCCATACTCATTATGTAACGCCAAAGGTTCTTGCCTTAGCAACGCCAAAGTACTGGTGTGGCGGCAGCCTGCGGCAAGTGAGAGGGACACGACTGAGAGAAAAAAAAACAAAACAAAACTGTAGGCTTTTTTGAGCAGAGTGACAGTACAAAGCTTCCATAGCATGGAAGGGGTCCCAAGTGGGTAGACAGTGTTAGATTTTTCGATCACCTTTTAAATAGGCGGGAAATAGGTGCAGAGGGAAGATGTTACCAGAGCGAGAAACAAAGGCAGTAAATTATTTTGTGACATATCTTAGATTTTAAGGAAAACCAGAATTGTAACTTAGGTTTCATCTACTTTATGACCTTGCAGTGTCATGGCAAAGGAGACAGGATTTTACAGGACTTTACAAAGTATGATTACAAGGAATTGGAACTGGGAGCATAGATAAGGTCCAACGCTCACAGAGAAACGTGCTTTTAACATTCCTTTGAGTTTTAGGGGAGGGGAGAAGGAGAGAGAACATAGGGAAGCTTACAGCAAAATTTTTGCTATTTATAGCTTTCTTGGGGAAGAAAACACGTGCACAAATTCTGATGTTAGAAGTATTTTAAGCATATATCTTCAATATTATTCATCCAGGACCAAAGTAAGTCCTGATGCAGGAAATGAGGTCCGCCCAGTCTCAGTCTGATAGGAACTCTGCAGGAAGAGCTTCATCAGGTTCAGGTAACAGGGCTGCTCCCGGCAATAGCGCTTCAGCAGGCGGTAGATATATGCTTCCAGAAGGATAGCATCACTGATGGCATCCAAACCTACGCCTGGCTTCTGATACCAGCAGATCTGTCCCCATTGGGTGAGAGATGAATCTGTGATGTCACCTGCCACCAGGAAGAAAGTTTGCAGCAGTTCCACACACCATCCCACAGCAGGGCCCGCTAGAGACCATCAGCATCCTGTTCCCTTGGCTCTATCAGCTTCCTGAATGCTACTAGCACTCTCAAAGCCTGCTGATACTTGCCTCCACTGGCGTTGTACTCCAGGACCTCCTTGAGCTGGGCAATAGCATCTCCTGTCTGTGGGTGCCCCATCTCATCCTCAGTCAGCACTCTAAAGATCTGGGAGAAGTGCCGAATGAAATCCTGCTTTTCTTGGGCATAAATATCTGATTTCTGGTCTCCATTCTGAGGGAGGAGCAAAGGGCTCTGTTCCTGGATGCGGGTTCCTGCTCTTATCATCTTTTATTAAATAACTTTCAGCACGGTAAAATGCGATCCTAATTGATGATTAACTACCATTTTTACATTTTTTTCTTTAACCCCAAAATATGCTGTAATTGCAAATCAATTCAGTCTTTGGGGATGAGTTAAGCCACAGACCCATATGGCACAAACCTTGATGACTCAATGACATTTCACTGTGGATATTAATATTGTGCTTTAGTGCTACCCACTCTTTTGCTGGTAATGCTTCTGCCTCTACTTTTAATTATATTTAGCATGCCCTTTTATAATATGTGAGACATGGCTCATGGAAATATGGAGAGCGTGTTTACATCAACAAATAGAAGAAAAAGGAAGACTAAAAAGAATGCCAGCAATCCCAGCATTTCTGGAGAAAAAAAATAAAGTGGATGGGGCCTTTTTTTTAATAGACTACTTTTTTTGCTTCAGAAAGACATCTTTTATACATTTTTTTCTCAAATACTGAAAAACTTAAAGAACCCTGTGGAAAAAAAAGCAAGGAAAAATAATACATAAAAAATTGATACTTGGAGATGTTTACCTATTATTTTTTGCTTCATAGAATTTCTTGGTTTTTAGGGGCAGTTTAATTACCCGTATACTTTGCTTTTCCTTTCCCTTATCCCTACCAGTGTCAACATAGGAAGCAGGCCATATGAATTTATGAGAACACATGTCCAGTTAATATCTAGTAATAGCTGTCATTTAATGCCTGCTTGTCGTGCGCTAGGCACTGTTGTTAAGTGCTTTATGCACATTTGTACACGCCCCCATCATCTAGAAATGTAGGATGTAGGTACTTATTCTCATTTTACAATCGAAGAGATTGAATTTTTGATAATTAAGAAATATGCCCAAGGTTTTATTCATATACCTATCAAGGTATAGCACTCTGAAGCTAGAAGCTATATCCTTTATGATAATGTAACCACACTTTCTTTTCTTTTTTGCAGATTAAGATATGAAACTCTCAGAGGAAAATCTGCATTGTTGAAGCTAACTCTGAATAATATTTGAACCCTCAGTATATGCATGTGTGTGTGTGTGTGTGTATTTATATATATATTAAAAAACAAAATATTTGGTATAATTACTCCTCCAACTTTTAGCCATCATTAATATTTTATAATGTTAAATTGCAATTTGGCAAACTGCAAATAAGATTTTTAAATAAAAATAGAAATATTGTTTTCTATTTATTTTAATATGAGATTTAATGTCATATACAATACCAAAAACTAATTATATATATATTTTTTGTAGCATTTATAGTATATATACACAATATATACTGTTTATATACTTATATATTATATTTATTATATATAACATGTGTATATATGGATGTGTATATATATATAAAATATGTAAATGAAAAATGCATAAATTAGATAACTTTTTATTTTTAAAAGTTTTTATAATAACGTTCTTATTGATTATATGTGATATGTTTTATCTGATAATATAAATTTTGGGGCAAATATTCAGATAAAATTATTAATATCTGTTTAAAATTGATTCTATTTATTTCATATGCTAATGATCAACTCCCTATTACCTTAAAAAGCATGCCAAACAATCTGTCATATAAGCGCCTTAGAAGTCAACCACTCTGTCTTAACAACAAGTAAAAAGATGAACAAAACTCAAAAATAAAAATTTCTTCTTAGACTGTCAGAGAAATTGACATCACAAGACAAACTACTATCCTCAAAACTGCAGAAATCTCTGCAGGAGTCCAGGTAAGAAAACCTAAACTGTAATGAATGGATTGCTGGAGGCTAAGGTTGGAAAAGTCTGACAGTAAAAAGCACAGGACAGGGTCATGGGAGGCCCCATCCTTTTGTGAGTTTTACTTTTAGTAGCTATTCCAGCTCCTCACAATAAATATTAGGAAAAAATAATATCTTCATGCTTTTAGTAGGGGAACAGGAAAAGAAATAATTTTAACATATGGCAGAGCATTCTGTTCTTTTTAACAATGGCTGTCCTCAGTAGAATCTATTTTACTATAGCCTAACCTGATGGGATTTTATCAGAGTTTACCCTACCTGGAAAAGGGGAATACCAAACTCCAGTTAGTTTTAGCTCTTTCTTTCTATGAAGGGAAATACCCAATCGTAGTCTTCTCTAGCCATCCAGTCCCACCTAAGGGAGAGGGGGAATAACACTGAGAGTCACTAATATAGTTTGTAGTCTAGGAACACAGGCTCACCAATACTGAGACCTAACCATAGAACTATATAACTCTTGCCCTCTCTAACTCCTAACCTTACCATCACACCACTAAAGGCCTATTTGCTGGAGTTTCATTCACCCAGTATATCATGTCCAGATTTCAGCAACGAATTACAAGGCATACTAAAAGGCAAAAACCAACCATTTAAAAACCAGTTTAAAGAGACTGAAAAAGTATAAGAATTGGAGTCATATATGGCAGGGATGTTGGAATTATCACACTAGGAATTTAAAATAATGATGAGGGTGCCAATGGAAAAAGTAGACAACATTCAAGGACAGATAGGTAATTTAAGCAGAAAGATAAAATTTTAAGAATGGATGAAGAAGAAATATTAGAGAAAATAAACACCATAATAGAAATGAACAATGCTTTCTTCAGTTGTGTCCATTAATAAACTGGACACAGCTGAAGAAAGAATCTCAGATCTTGAGAACATGACAATAGAAACTTCCAAAACTGAAAAGCAAGAAGGAAAAACAGACTGAATAAAAAGAAAAAAATAAAAAGCAGAGCAGAATATCCATGAACTATGGAGCAACTGTTACAGATTATGTAATATATACATACTGAGAATACCAGAGGAAGATAAGAGAGAAAGAAACTAAGCCAATATTTGAAGCAGTAATGACTGTGAATGTTTTCAAATTAGCATCAGCCACCAAAGCACAGTTCCAGGAAATTCTGAGAACACCAAGCAGAATAAGTTCTAAGAAATCGACACTTAGGCATATCGTATTCAAACTTTAGAAGATGAAGAAAATTTTGAAAGCAGACAAAGGGAAACAGCACTTCATCTATAGTGGAGGAAAAATAAAAATTACATTCATTTTCTCCTCAGAAACCACAGAAGCAGAGAATGGCATGAAATCTTTAAAGCATTCAGAGAAAAAATTATCACCAATCTTGTATCCTGTAAAAGCATCTTTCAAAAGTGAAGGAAAAATAAAGATATTCTCAGACAAGCAAAAATTAAGGAAATTTGTTGCAAGTAAGCTCTGCCTTGCAAGATATAGTAAAGGAGGTTCTTAAGGTTTCTTGCCCCCTTTTTGTTTGAGTTATTTATTTATTTATTTGCTATTGTGTTACATGGGTTTTTTATACACTTTGGATATTAACTCCTTATCATACACATAGTCTGTGAAAACATTTTGAATTGACTTTTGTATATGTTGTGAAATAAAGGTCTGATAATTATTTTTCTGCTCATGGATATTCAGTTTTTTCAACACTGTTTATTGAAAAGACTATTGTTTTTCTATTTGTATATTCTTGGCACTCTTGAATTTCTCAAAAGATGACATACAAATGGCCAACAGATATATGAAAAGGTGCTTAGCATCACTCATCATCAGATAAATGGAAATCAAAACCATAAGGGGTTATCAGCTTACAACTCTTACAATGACAATTATAAAAAAGACGAAAAGTGTGGGCAGGGAAATTCACCCTTAATAAAGAAGGAAATCCTGACATGTATGACAACATAGAATAACGTGGAGGAAGACATTATGCTAAATAAAATAAGCCATACACAGAAAGACAAATATTGCATGATATCAATTACATGTGGACTCTAAAATAGTCAAACTCATCAAAGCAGAGAATAGAATAGTGGTTACCAAGGACTGCAGGGGTAGCAGTGAAGAAATGGGTAGGTGTTTGTCAAAGGGTAGAAACTTTCAGTTGTAAGATGAGCGAATTCTGTTGACCTAATATACAATATGCTGACCACAGTGAATGCACTCTATTGCATATTAGAAAATTTTTAATAGAGTGGATCTTATACCACACACATATACACACATACAAATGACAAATGTGAGATAATGGTTATGTTAATTAGCTTGATTGTGGTGATCATTTCACAGTGTATCTGTATGTCAAAACATCAGGTTGTATACCTTAAATGTATACAATTTTTATTTTGTCAATTATATCTCAATAAAGTTGAAAAAAAGGTTCTTCAGAGGGAGAAGATAACGATACAGATTAGACACTTTTATCTACATACAGAAAGGAAGAGGGTCAAATAATGAATAAGTGAAGGTAAGATAAAACTTTTTTCATATTTAATTGATCCAACCAATAACAATTTGTTCAAAATAGTAGAAAAATGTTTTCAATTATGTGTACTCGAATGCATATCTATATTTATATATGATCATGTATACCTATGTATAAATTAAATGACCAATGATGATACAAAAGGTGAAGGAATTAGAAATATATTGTTACCATGAGGTGCTTGCATTATCTGCAAAGCAGTATACTGTTACTTAGAAGTTAATATGAATTAGTTGTAAATATATGCAGTGTAAATTTTAGGGCAATCACTAAGTAAGGTATATATATATTTGTGTATGTACGTGAGTTTGTGTATAATTGATGTGTTAAAGAAATGAGAAAAAATAGAATCTTAAATAATGCTGAATTAAAACCCAAAAGACATAAATAATGTAGAAGACGAAAACAGAAACAAAGAGCATGGGCAACAAATAGAAATCTGTAGCAAATATGGTAGATATCAATGTAATAATAACAATCATCACTTTAAATGTCAATGGTCTAAATACACCAACTAAAGATCAATACTGTCACAGTGAATAAAAGAAGATACCCAACTATGTACCACCTACAAGAAACCCACTTTATTTATTTATATTTTTCTTTTGCAACTTTTATTTTAGATTCAGGGGTTACATGTGCAGGTTTGTTATATGGGTAAATTGAGTGTCAGGGTTTGGTGTACGAATCATTTTGTCGCCCAGGTAGTGAGCATAGTCTTTTGACCCTCGCCCTTCTCCCTTCTTCACCTTCAAGTAGGCCCTGGTATCTATTAGGTTGCGATTTGTGTCCATGTTTACTCAATGTTTAGCTCCCACTTACAAGTGAGAATATGTGGCATTTGGTTTTCTGTTTCTGCATTAATTCATTTAGGATAATGGCCTCCAGCTGCATCCATAGTGCTGCAAAGAAAATTATTTTTTTCTTTTGTATGGCTTCATAGTATTCCATGATGTATATGTACTACATTATCTTTGTCCAGTCTACTGTGATGGATATCTAGGTTGGTTCTACGTGTTTGCTATTAGGAATAGTGCTGCAATGAACATACACGTGCCTGTGTATTTTTGGTAGAATGATTTATATTCCTTTGGGTATATACCCAGTAATTGGATTTCTGGGTTGAATGGTAGTTCTTTGAGAAACCTCCAGACTGCTTTCCATAGTCGCTAAACTAGTTTACATTCCCACCAGCAGTGTATACGTGTTCCCTTTTCTCCAAAATGTCGCCAAAATCTGTTATTTTTTGACTGGTAATTAATAGCCATTCTGATTGGTATGAGATGATATCTCATTGTAGTTTGATTTGCATTTCTCTAATGATTAATGATGTTAAATATTTTTTCATATTCTTGTTAACTGTGTGTCTTCTTTTGAGAGATGTCCATTTCCTTGGCCCATTTACTCATGTGGTTGTTTTTACTCATAGACTTAAGTTCCTTATAGATCCTAGATATTACACCTTTGTCAGATGCATAGTTTGAGAATGTTTTCTCCCATTCTGTAGGTTATCTGTTTAATCTGTTGATAGTTTCTTTCGCTCTTCAGCTTTAGTTTCCACTTGCCTGTTTTGTTGCTGTTGTTGTTGCAATTGCTTTTGGAAACTTCATCATGAATTATTTGCAAAGGCCTATATCTAAAATGGTATTTCCTAGGTTTTTTTCTAGATTTTTATAGTTTTAAGTCTTACATTTAAGTCTTTAATCCATCTTGAGTTGATTTTTGTATATGGTGAAATGAAGGGGTCTAGAAGAAACTCTCCTTAAATATAAAGACAAGTATAGATTCAAAGTAAAGGGACAGAAAATAATATACCATGCTAACACTAATGAAAATAAAGTAAAAACAAGTATATTAATTTCATACAGAGCACACTTTGCAGCAAGAAAATTTATCAAGGATAAAGAGGGGCATTAAATCACAACAACGTGGTCAATATTCCAAGAAGACTTAACAGTCCTTACTATGTATCTGCTTAACAACAGAGCATCAAATTACGAGGCAAAACCTGATAAAACTACAAGGACAAATAGATGAATCCACTATTATAGTCAGAAATTTTAACATCCCTCTATCAGAAGTAGAGAGACTCAGATGAGAGAAAATCAGTAAATACATAATTGAAATAATGAAAATGATCAATAAACTGAATATAATTGAAATCTACAGACAATTAAAAAATCATTAGGCCAGGCACGGTGGCTCACACCTGTAATCCTAGCACTTTAGGAGGCCAAGGCAGGAGGATCACTTGAGCCCAGAAATTTGAGACTAGCCTGGGCAACACAGAGAGACTTCATCTTTACAAAAAAAAAAAAAAAATAGCCAGGTGTGGTCACGTGCACCTTTAGTCCCATCCACTTGGGATGCTGAGAAGGGAGGATCACTTAAACCAGGGAAGTCAAGGCTGCAGTGAACCATGATCATGAGACCTTGCCTAAAAAAAAAAAGCAGTAGATTACACTTTATTCTCAAGCTCATATGGCACATTCACTAAAGCAAACCACCTTTTGAGAAGTAAAACACATATTAACAAATTTAAAAGAATAGAAAATATATGATGTTTGTTTTCACACCACAATGGATTAAACTAAAAATAAATAGCTGAAAGATAAATTGAAAATCCCCCCAAATTTAGAGATAACACACTACTAAATAACACATGGGTCATAGAAGAAGTCTCAATAAAGGTTTTAATTGAACTGAATGAAAATGAAAATACAACTTTTCAAAATACAACTATCAGTAATGTGTAGAATACAGCAAAAACAGTGCTTAGAAATTGTATTTGTTTATTTATTTATTTATTTATTTATTTATTTATTTATTTTTGAGGCAGGGCCTTGCTCTGCTTCTTAGACTGGAGTGCAATGGTGTTATCACGGCTCACTGCAGCCTTGACTCCCCAGGCTTACACGAGCCTCCCACTTCAGCCTCCCAAGTAGCTAGGACTACACGCACGTGCTGCCACATTCAGCTAATTTTTTTTTTTTTCTGGAGATGAGGTCTCACTATATTGCCCAGGCTGGTCTCAAACTCCTGGGCTCAAGTGATCTGCTTGCCTCAGCCTCCCAATGTGCTGGGATTAGAGGCATGAGCCATCGCACTTGGCCTACAGCAATATTTTTAGCATCGAAAGCATATATAAGAAACAAAGAATATATAAAACTAATAATATAAACTGTACCTTAGAAAACTAGAAAAAGAAGAGCAAATAAAATCCTTAGCAGTAGAAAAGAAATAATGAAAATTAGAGTAGAAATAGAGAAAATTGGAATTAGGACATCAATAGGGAATACACTCGCAAGGCCAAAAGTTGATATTTTAAAATGATGTCACTAGTTGGAATAAATAAGGAAGGAGAAAAAAAGAATAAAAGTTACTAATACCAAGAAATGAAAAAGGGTATATCACTACAGACCCTATGGACATTAAAAGGAAAATAAATGAATATTACAAACAGTTCTATGGCCACATATTAGATAACCTAGATAAAGTGGATGAATTATGTGAAAGACACAGTCTGCCAAAAGTCCCACAAGAAGAAATAAACAATCTGAATAGGCCTATCTATACTTATTAAAGAAATTGAATCAAAAATTAATATCCTTCCAAAACAGACAGCATCAGGTCCAGACGAGTTTACTGGTAAATTCTACCAAACATGTAAGGAGGAAATTATATCAGTTCCCTACAGTTACTTTCAGAATATATGAGCAGAGGGAATACTCCCTAAATTAATTTTGGGGTAATCAGAATTACCCTGATACTAAAACTAGACAAAGATTACACCTAAACTACAGATGGTTATCTCTCATGAACATAGATACAAAAATTCTCAACAAATCATTAGCAAATTGAATCCAATAATGTGTAAAAAGAATTATGCACTATCAACAAGTGGGATTTATTTCAAGTATACAAGATTTATTCAACATTCGGAAATCAATTAATATAATCTATCACATCATCAGGATAAACAATACAAATTATAGATTATTTCAATGGATGCCAAAAATGTTTTTAACAAAATACAACTGATTAAAATTCTCAGCAAACTAAAAATAGAGAAAAATTTTCTCAGTTTGATAAAGAACATCTACAAAAATCTTACCATTAATGTCATTTTTATTGGCAAGGAACTAGAAGCTTTCCTGTGAAGGTCAGGAGCAAGACAAAGATGATTTCTCTCACCACTGCTTTTCAACATTATACTGGAAGTTCTAGATAATGCAATAATTATGAAAAGAATAAGCTTATACAGGGAAGAAAAAATAGAACAAAATTTGTTTTCAGATAACATAAACATTTATGTAGAAAATTTGAAATAATCAATAAAAAAGCTCCTGCAATTAATAACTGATTATAGAAAGGTGGCAAGATACGATGTTAATATACAAAAATCATTTTTTGTCTCATATACCAGCAGTGAACAAATAGGATATGAAATTGAAAAAAAAACACCATTTCTACTCAAATCTCCCAAAATTAAATATCTAGTTATAAATATACCAAAATATGCACAAGATTTAGATAAGAAAAAACCACAAAACTCTGATGTTAAGGCATTATTCTTTAGAATAAACAGATGGAGATATATTCCATGTTCATGGGTAGGAAGACTCACTATTGTCAAGATGTTAGTTCTTCCCAATCTGATCTATAGGTTCCATGCAATCCCAGTCAAAATCTAAGCAAGTTATTTTGTAGGTATGAGCAAACTAATTCTAAAATTTATATACAGAGAAAAAAAAGGGCCAGAATAGCCCACTTAGTATTTAAAAAGACCCAAGTCACTATCCTGCGTCATAACATACTATAAAGCTACAGTAAACAAGAGAGTGTGATATTGGTAAAAGAATAGGCAAATAGATCAATGGAACAGAATATATAGTGCAGAAATAAGCCCATATAAATCTAGTCAGCTCACCTTTGATGAAGAATCAAAGGCAGTAAAATGGAACATATATAAACTTTTCAACTAATGGTGTTGGAACAAATGGACATCCACATGCAAAAAATAAATAAATCTAGACACAGTAATCACACTCTTCACAAAAATTAACACAAAATGCAAAATTATAAAACTCCTATATTACAGGAAGAAACCCTACATGAACTTGAGTATAGTGGTGACTTTTTAGATATAATGCAAAATGTACAATTTATAAAAGAAATAACTGAAAACCTGGACTTCATTAAAACTAAAATCTTTTGTGCTAATTCAATAGAATGAGAAGACAAACCACAGACTAGGAAAAAATATTTGTAAAAGACACATGTGACAAAGAACTGTTATCAAAAAAGTACACACAACTTTTAAAACTCAACAATAGGTAAATACCCAATTTAAAAAATGAGCAAAACATCTGAACAAACACATCAACAAAGAAGATATACAGATGGCAAATAGGCCTATGGAAATGTTCAACATCATATATCCTTAGAGAATTGCAAATTAAAACTACTGTGTTAAACCACCACACACCTGTTAGAATGGCCAAAATCCACAACATGGACAACACTAAATGGTAGCAATGTTGAGGAAGAACAGGAACTCCCATTCATTGGTGGTGGGAATATAAAATTTTACAGTTACTTTTGAAAAAAAAGTTATTTACCTAGCAAAAATACTCTTACCATAAGATTCAGCAATCACATGCCTTGGAATTTACCAACATGAATTAAAAATGTACATCTACACCAAACCTACACATGGATGTTTATAGCAGCTTTCTTTACATTAATAATTGCCAAAACTTTGAAGCAAGAAAAATGTCCTTCAATAAGTGAATGCATAAATAATTGTGGAATATCCAGACAATGAAATACTATTCGATGCCAAAATGATCTATGAAGCCATAAAAAGACATGGAGAAAAATTAAATGTTAATACTAAGATAACAAAGCCAATCTATAAAGGCTCCATACTGTATAATTTCAACCATTTTCCGTTTTGGAAAAGTTAAACCTGTGGAGACAGTGAAAAGATTAGTGACTGTCAGGGCTTGAGATGGGTGAGTATGAATGGGCAAAACACAGAGGATTTTTAGGGCAGTAAAACTATTCTGCATGATACTATAATGGTGGATATATGTCATTACACATTGTTGAAACCTACAGAATGTACACCACCAAGAGTGAACACTAATGTAAACTATGGATTCAGGGCAATATTATGTGTTATGTTCATTGATTGTAAGGAATGTATCACTGTGGCGCAGGAAGTTGATAGTGAGATGTGATTATGTGTATGTGGGGACCTGGAATACAGTCATGCACTTATCAACCAGTGATGTCGTAGTTGTTATAATGTTGTAGCACAACACATTACCTTTTCCATGTTTAGGTATGTTTACATAAACAAATACCATTGTATTACAGTTGCCTACAGTACTTAGTATCATAACATGCTGTACAAGTTTGTAGCATAAGAGCAGTAGGCTATACCATACAGCCTGGCTGTTTACTGGGCTGTTCAATCCACGTTTGTGTAAGTATACTTTATGATGTTTGCACAATGATAAAATTGCCTAATAGTGCATTTCTCAGAACATGTACCCATTGTTAAGCAACACATGACTTCCTCATTATACTATCTGCACTACTTTATATTTTAGCTTTAAGAATAGACAGGTGATAGATAGATAGATAGATAGATGGATAGATAGATAGAGATATTCTTATATATACCATATCTATATATGATATATATATATATATATATATATATATATATGTGGTGTGGGTAATTTGGCAAACTAAGCTGGAGATTTGAAATATATATCTGTATAGCTCACATGTTCATCAAATGATACGTAGATAAGCAAATTATGGCATATCCATTTGATAGAAAGGACTCAACAATAAAAAGAAATATACTAATGAGACAAGCAATATAACAGATGAATGTCAAAATCATTTTGCAGAGTGGAAAAATTCAAACAGAAGAATGCAGAGAAAAGATAAGAATGACTGAAATATTTTATGTTGTAAACGTAACCGTGATTGCATAAATGTGTACATCTTTTGAACTCACCACCTGTGCATTTTAAATGGCTTAACATTACTGTAAGTAGATTATACCTCAAAGGTTATGTAAAATAGTATATAAAACTCAATATTCCTTATTTGGAGCCACCTGTGTAGATGCTTGTCTCCGTTTATTTTCTACTGCAGTAACAGAATACCACAGACTGGGTAATTTATAAAGAAAAGAGATTTACTTGGCATGTAGTTCTCAAGGCTGGAAAGTTCAAGATGAAGGAGCCACATCTGATGAGGGCCTTGCTGCTACATCATAATATTTTGGAAAGTGTTACATGGTGAGAAAGCAAGTGTGTGAGACAGAGAACAAGACAGAGAAGGGCTGAACTCATGCTTTTTATCAGAAACTCACTTCCATAATGACTAATCTGTGATAATGTCATTCATCCATTCGTGAGGGCTGACCTCTCATGATCTAATCACCTCTTAAAGGTCCCACATCTAAATATTGTCACAATGGCTGTTAAATTTTGATATGAGTTTTGGAGGGGACATTCAAACTAAAGCAAAGTTCAATAACCTTGAGTGCTGATTTTGCTGGTAAGTCATTACTTATCTCTTCCATTTGTTGTTGTTGCTGTTCTGTTCTCCAAATCTGAAAGACATGTCTTCAATCTTTTATTCTAAGCTCACTCTTCTCAAATGTGAATAGATTCATATTCAAAAAGGGTAATGGTATAGGGTGCAATAAAATGGTGAAGAGGGCCTATAAATTTCAATAGAATGGACATCCCAAAGTGGCAATTTTAAATAATTTACTGTTAACTCTAGCTTATTTTAAAATATATTGCAGGCACATGAATATTCCATACTTATTAATAAGATGTCTTATTAAATGGGGGTACTTGCAGGGTGTTGCCCTTTTGTACTAAGCTCCATTGCAAGATGTTCATGGCCATTAGGAAGGACAGTTTCACTCTCTGTTTAGATTTACTTTATCAGAGAAATTTTGAATACAGTGTGAATCAGCACTTTAATGTTGAACAAATTATTTCCTTGGATATGGTAGATTCTCAGTTCAGTAAGTCATCAATGCATAAATAAGTAATCTTTGTTAATGTTTTTCCATGAAGTACAAATATACTAATAAATTGTTTTTTCATTATACTTAGAGATCTCTGAAGATATTTTCCACATGTCTATCAGAAAGCTAATAGCAAATATTTTTACTTTAACACTATACATTTTCAGAGAGGATAGGCATCTTCAGGGGTATTGTATTCCTATAGAAAAGAAGGGCAAGGAAAATCTAGGCAAGAGTAACTGTCCTCTTTATCACAGTAAATGAGAAATGCCTAGGAAAGGGTAAAGAGAAAAGGTATTCACTAATTCTAATGTCAATAACCTCTTATCATCATTGATAGTACAATATGCAATTAATACTTCTTATATTGTTTCTTAATTAAGAGTGAAGGCTCCGGGTTTGAAAACTGCATGTCTAATTTACCAATCTTCTAATTATAGGCAATTTGTTTGAACAATGTGTACCTTATTTTGTCTTCTGAAAATCGGGGTTATTGTTAGTATGTATCTTTTAGCATTTTTGTATGAAGTTTAAGTATGTTAATATCTGTGAGACAGCTTTAAAAAGATCTGAAATAGAGTAAGAGCTCAGTAAAAGTTAACTATATTTATTATGTTTAATTTTGATATCCCTACAATCTGTGAGCATTCTGTTAGGCACATTAATTATTTTTACATAAATTTCCTTTCTTTATCATTGTTCATTAAATGCAAAATAAGAGTTTAGTTTTTAAGATAACTAATTTTGAAAATACTGTTTATATCTTTCAAAACTAACCTTAAAATTCTGCCTATTTTTTAAAAATCTGCTTTGGTGCTTCTAGGATGAAGTTCCCCTGCTTCACCATAGACAACACTCAGAATTGACTGACCCTCATAACTCCACACTTGGCGCTTTAATATTTCTGTCACTGACCTATTTTCAGACATTTCAGATATTTTATTAAGGTGTTGAAAGTTCAACTGGAGTGCGACAAAACAGTCAGCTATTTGAAGTTTTGTTCTACATCTCATTGTAATGAGAAACATATAACTTTTTTTTTTCTTTTTTTTTTTTTAAGGCGGAGTCTCGCTCTGTCGCCCACGCTGGAGTGCAGTGGCGCGATCTCGGCTCACTGCAAGCTCCGCCTCCCGGGTTCACGCCATTCTCCTGCCTCAGCCTCCCGAGTGGCTGGGACTACAGGCACCCGCCACCACACCCGGCTAATTTTTTGTATTTTTAGTAGAGACGGGGTTTCACCGTGTTAGCCAGGATGGTCTCGATCTTCTGACCTCGTGATCTGCCCGCCTCGGCCTTCGAAAGTGCTGGGATTACAGGTGTGAGCCACCGAGCCCGGCCAAGAAACTTATAACATTTGAGAATTAATAGTTTTGTTATGTGGCAATTATAACATGAAATAACAGTACTTTTAAACATTAATTATAATAAAATAACCTAATAAAATATATATTATAATTAATAAAATAACCATACCAGTGGAACTGGTATGCTACTTCAGGCAGTGGGGCTTTAGAGTCTAAAGAAATGTACAATATTTCTGTCATTAAAAGATGCAATTTTAGTGAAAAAGTAAAGTAGAAAAATACATTCTTTTATGGAATGAGTTAATATTTTAGTCAACTTTTTTGAAGTTTATCTGATGATTTGTAGAATAAATGTAAGGAGAAAAAAAATTCTGCATGTTCCACAGAGTTAAAACAGGCTCTTGTTCAAAAGTCTTTATGCCATTGCCTCAGATCAGAGTAACTGAGTATTTAACAGTAATTACTGTCTTGTGATAGTAGTAAATAGTAAATAGTAATTTGTTCTGTCTAGCACAAGTACACACACACACACACACACACATCAGACACTGTTGTATTGTTGATATAATATGATTTGATATGTACATGTCCATAAACATCATATTTTTCACACTTATGTATTTTGGAGAAATATTTTACATCTAAAAAGCTATTGAGATCTCTGTGGATCAACATTGTGTTTCTATCCCCCACAAAAAACAACAAGAAAAAAAAAAAAACCGAAGAAATAGGCACTACTGTCTACGAAAAAAAAAAGGTTGAGTTTTTATTGGACATATTGTATTTTTTAAGGGATTCATAAGCATGAAGAAATTCCAAATAAAAAGCCGTTTTTTCTTTATTCTAAAAGTTTAGTGTACTTTATAAGTAGAAACTTTCTGAGGACAGATGAGCACCTGCTAGATGTAATGGTTTATTCTGAGGCACTTTTCCTTTTAGCTGCAAATTTCTGCTGTTCATTTCAAGTAAGGTTTTAAAACTTGGTGATTTTACTTTTAAATGAAAATTCTTCCTACTTTTTTGATATGCTGATATCTTAGGATATCATACCTTTTATTGAAACTATAGTGAATACTTTCTTTCTAGTCTTTTTTTGCCCATTCTTTTTTTTCTTTCCCCCAAAGGCATTTCCTTGAAATGTAATACATTGCTTTTATACTCCTTCATAAACGCATGGAATGTAAAGTCCTTTGTACCTAGATCTCATTTATTTGATTTGTTCCCACTTTCAAGCAGTTCCTGTATGGTTGTGAAACGTACATTTAGAATAATTTCTTCTTTTTGAATTCTCCGATTTAGACAATGTAATTGACCCCTCTGCAACCAAGAAATCTTTCTGGTCTATTTTTAACTACATTTGTCACCCTCCAGCTGTCTAGATAGTTAAAATTCCTTTGGAGAACACTGTTAAACAGTGTTGTAAAAATTGCATTTCAACTGCAAAATTTTACAGCATGGAAATATGTGGGTTCACAGTGACCACCTGCTAACGTGGATCAATATATAATCTTTTATCAAATAAAATTATGGTCAATATTTCTGGATAATAGTAAATAAGCATCACAGAGATTTTTTCAATAAAAAACAATATTTTTTACATAACTTCCAGAAAGTTTTTCCTCTTCAATATTGAAATATACTTGGAAAAGAATGGAAAGCAGAAAGAATTCAATTCAACATATAACATGGGTACTTTGTATTTAAAATTGAATACTACAGAGAAAAGAAAGTAATCATGGTTTTAAAATAAGTAACTTTTAAAGAAACGTAATTTTAATCTTTAAACATAATTAAATGCCTTTCTTTCTTCACATATGGCTAAATACTGTTATAAGAAAATTTTAGAAAAGACAGTCTTAAAAACATTATATTGTAATTTGTTTAAGGCAGTAAATTTCATAAAATAAAATAATTACAACGGTGGAAAACCACTAAATTTAGTGGCTCTTCATCCACTAAAATTAATTGACCATAAATTAGTTAGCAGTCGGGCTTTGAAGTGGGATGGAACTAAGGTGCAGGTCTACATTATTTTAATGAACAATGATGTGTGAAACGAATCATAGCCTTGTCAACAAGATAATGGTGAATTATAGCCTACTCGTGGAGGCTATATGACAAGCACATGGAGTAGTTTGTAAAAGATGCCGATTGAGGTTTGTATTTGAAACCGGAAAAACTAAAGGAAGCTCATAGCTTTCAGGACATGCCCATGCAATAAATACACTACACACCGCATCCCTGTTCTGAAGATTTTGGATTAAGTAGAACATTTGATTGGTTTTCTATTGCTGCTGTAACAAATTTACCACAAATTCAGCAACTTAAGTCAATGCAAGTTTATTTCCTTACAGTTCTGTAGGTCAGAAGTTTGACATAGGTCTCATCAGACTAAAATCAAGGTGTAGGTAAGGCCGCATCCCTTTCTGGGGTCTCTAGGGGAAAATTCATTTCTCTTTATGTGGGTTGTTGACAAAATTGAGTTTCTTGCGGTCGCAGGTCTGAGATCAGTTTGTCCTTGCTGACTCTCAGCTGAGGACTGTTTCTGGCTTCTAGAGGCTCCTTGTGTCCCTTGATTCATGGCTACTTTCCTTCATCTTCAAAGCCAGTAACAATTCGTTAAGACCCTCTCATCCTTCAAATCTCTTCTTCTCTTTCTCCTTCTCCTTCCCTTCTCAGTCTCCTTTCTTCTCTTCCTCCTTCTTGTATCATCTCTCTGACCTGACCAGGACAGATTCTCTGCTTTAGGGTCTCATGTACAGGTGTATCTGGTTTTATTGCTCTTTGCTTTATTGAACTTCACAGATACTGTATTTTTTTTAAGATTGAAAGTTTGTGGCAACTCTGCATGGAACAAGTCTATCAGTGCTATTTCTCCAACAGCATGGGCTCACTTTGTGTCTCTGTGTCAGACGATTGTTAGCATATTTTAGAAATAAAATATTTTTAAGTTCAGGTATGCACATTTTTGAAACATAATACTATTGCACGCTTAATAGGCTTCAGTATAGTGTAAACGTACATTTTATGCACTGGAAAACCAAAATGTATGTGTTACTTACTTTGTTCATTTTATTACAGTGGTCTGGAACCCAACCCCCAATACTTCCGAGGTATCCAATACTTCCAAGGTATGCCTTGAATTAGATTGAGCCAACCAGAATAATCTTCCCAGTTCTACAGGCTAGACATGCAAGATCAAAGTGTCAGCGAGTTTGATTTGTTCTGAGGACTCTCCCCTTGGTTTCCAGATGATTGCATTACTGCTGTGTCCTTACATGGTATTTTTGTGTGTGTGCATATATCACTGGTGTCCTGTGTGTCCAAATGTTCTTTTCTCAGAAGGATACCAGTAAAATTGGATTAGGATGCATCTTAATGGTCTCATTTTAACTTAATCACCTCTTTTTTTTTTTTTTTTTTAAAGATGGAGTCTCACTCATTGCCCAGGCTGGAATGCAGTGGTGCCATCCCAGCTCACTGCAACTTCCACCTCATGGATTCAAGCAATTCTTCTGCCTCAGCCTCCCAAATAGCTGGGATTACAGGCACCTGCCACCACACCTGGCAAATTTTGGTGTTTTAAGTAGAGACAGAGTTTCACCATCTTGGCCAGGCTGATCTGGAACTCCTGGACTCAAGTGATCCACCCGCCTCAGCCTCCTGAAGTGCTGGTTTTACAGGTATGAGCCACAGAGCCTGGCCTTAATCACCTCTTTAATGGCCCTACCTTCAAATATAGTCACATTCTGAGGTACTGGAGGTTAGGACTTCAACATATACATTTTGGAAGTGATACAATAAAATCCCTAACATCCAGTAATATTAGGATTTTGGGATTCTAAAGGAGGAAGGAACTTAAGCCATTTTCACTTGAAGGTCAATTGAGGAAAACAGTAATCAGATAAATTAAGTAGCTTAAAGTGCCCTAGGCAGCCAGTTGTATGCCAAGAATACCAATCCAAGACACCACATTTTCAGCGCAGACTTTAATTTTCCAATATGCCATATTCTCCTTCCACACAGAGTTATATAATTTTAATACATATATTACCAAATTTCAATAATAGGGATTGATTTTGCAAAATAAGCACATAAAAGAACAGTATGCTATATATTGTGGTTTCTGAATTTATAATACTTTTTTGGTATCCATATAATTGCACAGGTTTAAACTTCTGATTTATCTGCTCTCCTGAGTTTCATTACTGGAAACATTTTTTTCAAGACTCAAGGAAAACTGTACTTCTTTATGTTAAATATACACCAAATTATTTTCAGGACCTAATTTATACGTATGTATGTATATTCCTCTAGGCTTAAACATATAATAATTAAATGAGTCTGGCTCTGACTTTGAACAATACACAATGAATTGAAGCATCCGATAAGGAAACTGGAAATTCCAATACACTGTGATTATATGCCACAATTTGGGGTTGTCTAGGCTTCACACAGGAGGCACACACAGAAAAGGAAATAGCTCTGTTGTGGGGTAGAATTGGGGCACTTTAATGGAGGAAATAACACAAAGTTTGCCCTGTGAAAGAATGGGGGTGAGTGGAGAAAGAATAAAGAAAGCAATGTGAATTCAATGAGTTCTAAGTCTCAGAAGAGGGAAATAGAGCATTGCCAATTCAAGTAACTGAAGGCATGTAGCGTTTTCTGCCCAGAATCTGGAGTACCAAGGGTGGTTTTGAAAGGTAGACAAGAAGGACCATGCTTGGAAGATGGGAACATGAACGGACAGTCATAAAACTAGTGATACAACAAGGTACTGATGATAAAAGGCCTATCATGCTCTCAAAAAATCTATGAGTTCATCTTGAAGGCAAATGGGAGTTTCTGATGAGCTATAGGTAGATAAATGAAATGATCATATGTATATTTTATTAAAGTAAGTCCAGATGATGGGTGAAGGATGAATGAGGGTGGAATCCGAGAATATGAAACAAGTAACAAACTGTGGTAATAACACAAAATAAGTAACATTAATTGAGCTCTTACTATATACCAGCTATTTTGCTGGATGCTGAAATAATGCACCTTCTTTAGATCTAACTTTTTGAAATAAGTATTGTTTTCAGCCATATTTAGCCAACATGGAAACAAAAAAGCAGAAAGTTTAAAAGACTCACCCCAAATAAAATATCTAAGTGGTAGACATGTGATTTGTGCACTAGTGATCTGACTCTCGAGGTCATGCTCTTAAATACTATTTAAGAATAATACAACACAATTACAATTACTTATATGCAAAATATACACAATATACATCCTAAAAAAGGAAAGAAAATGAAATAAAGAAAATTCCAAAGGGCTCAAGACATAGAATGGACAAAACCTGTTAAAAAGATTGGGTTTATAAAGTGAAGAACAAGAAGAATGACACATAATTCCCTGGCTCAGAAAACCCTCAGAAAATCGTATTTATATAATTTTTCTGTGTTTCAATAGCAATTCTTATATTCCTGAACTTTGGATGTTTTCATACTCAATTTTAATTTAGAGCTTTCTTCTTTTTATACCTAGCTTCAAATTCTTCATGGATAATTCTAAGTTTTATTTGTCTTTGTAAATTCAAACCTCAACTCCTAGCATGGTGCTTTCCATATAGCAGGGCACAGTACCTATTTAAATAGAAAATTAGTGTGAAGTCTTTGATTTCAAATGACAAAACTCCAATTTGTGCGTAGAAATAAATAAAATTTAATAATTTTTATAATTAGACTTTGGGCAGTAGAATAATTCAGCAGAATTTTGGAGCAATAAGATTGCGGGATAAAACAAGAGCAGCGTTTCTTTTTCCCAAGCTCTGCATTCACTGGATATTAGCTGATGAGCATATAATATAGATTGGCTTTTCTACCTTATGTGGAGAATGGTGTTGTTGAGGAAATAAAACAGTTCTGCCAACCAAAGTCCTTTCTTTTTTGTGATGGAGTCTTGCTCTGTTGCCAGGCTGGAGTGCAGTGCAATGGCGCGATCTCAGCTCACGGCAACCTCCGCCTCCCAGGTTCAAGCAATTCTCCTGCCTCAGCCTCCCAAGTAGCTGGGACTATAGGCACGCACCACCATGCCCAGCCAATTTTTGTATTTTTAGTAGAGACGGGGTTTCACCATGTTGGCCAGCATGGTCTTGATCTCTTGACCTTGTGATCTGCCTGCCTCAGCCTCCCAAAGTGCTGGGATTACAGGTGTGAGCCACCGCACCCAACTCCAAAGTCTTTCTATATATTAAGATGATAAAAAGTTTCCCAACAATAAATATACATATTCTTCCTTGAGGTAGAAAGGAAAAGGAAGTACGCTCATCCATCCATATCAATGGATTCCACATCTGTAAATTCAACCAACCATGAATCAAAAATACTCAAAAAATTGTTGTGTCTGTACAGAATATTTTAAAGTCTTTTAAAATTATTATTTCCTAAACCATACAATATAGCAATGACAGTTGATCCTTGAATAATCACGTTTGAACTGCATAAGTTTGCTTCTGTGAAAACTTTTTTCAATAAGTATACTGGAATTTTTTTTGAGATTTGCCACAGTTTGAAGAAAAAACTCAGATGAACTGCATAGCCTAGAAATATAGAGAAAAATAAGAAAAAGTTAGGTATGTTATAAGTGCATAAAATCAATGTAGATACTTACTTGTTTTATCATTTACTACCATAAAATAGACACAGTTTTATGATAAGAAGTTAAAGTTTATAAAATATTACACATATAAACACAGATCTACATGGTGCCATTCACAGTTGAGATAAATGTAAACCAATGTTAAGATGCACTATTAAATTACAACTGCATAAAATTAACTGTAGTACATATTGTACTACTGTAATAATTTGGTAGCCACATCCTGTTTCTGTTGTGGTGAGCTCAAGTGTTGCCAATATCAGCTTAAAAGTCATGCAATGAGGCCAGGCGCGGTGGCTCATGCCTGTAATCCCAGCACTTTGGAAGGCCAAGGCAGGCAGATCACGAGGTCAAGAGATCGAGACCATCCTGGCCAACATGGTAAAACCTCATCTGTGCTAAAAATACAAAAATTAGCTGGGCATGGTGGTACCTGCATGTAGTCCCAGCTACTCAGGAGGCTGAGGCAGGAGAATCGCTTGAACCCGGGAGGCAGAGGTTGCCGTGAGCCGAGATTGCATCACTGCACTCCAGCCTGGTGACAGAGCAAGACTGCATCTCAAAAAAAAAGAAAAAAGAAAAGCCATGCAATGTTAATAATCTCCATGTGAGCAGTTCATCTCTCCAGTAAATTGTGTACTATAGTAAAAAGTGATCTCCTATGGTTCTCACATATTTTCATGTTTAGTGCAAGACTGTGAACCTTGATTAACAGCGTGAGACTCATACAAAATGCCGTTAGTGATGCTTGAAGTGGTCCTGAGAATCATAGAAAAGTCATGACATTACAAGAAAACATTACCTTGTTTGATATGTGATGTATGTTGAAGTCTGCAGCTGCGGTTGCCCAGTATTTCAAGATAAATTAATCTAGTGTAAGAACCATTGAAAAAAAAAAAAGAAAAGAAAATTTATTAAGCCATTGCTGCATTTATGCCAACAGATGTGAAAACCTTGCACTTTTTGCAAAGTACCCTTTTATCTCATCTTCTTTTGAAAATGTAGTTTTTATACGAGGCCAAAATTGCTATAGCATACCTGGCTGGGCATGGTGGCTCACACCTGTAATCCCAGCACTTTGGGAGGCGGAGGTGGGTGGATCAGGAGGTCAGGAGACCGAGACCATTCTGGCTAACACGGTGAAACCTCATCTCTACTAAAAATACAAAAAATTAGCCAGGTGTGGTGACACATGCCTGTAGTCCCAGCTAGTCGGGAGACTGAGGCAGAGGAATCGCTTGAATCGGGAGGCAGAGGTTGCAGTGAACAGAGATGGCGCCACTGCACTCCAGCATGGGTGACAGAGGGAGACTCCATCTCACACACACACACAAAAAGACACACCTCTATATTTTAACATAATTTGAGAAAAAGCAAAGTCATTATATGACAACTTAAAGCAAAGGAAAGGATAGGCTAACTCTACTGTTTTGTGCAAATGCAGTTGGGTTTATGGTCAGAACTGCCCTCATCTAAAAAGCTACTAATTCCCCAGCCTTGAAGAGAAAAGATAAATACGAGCTGCTAGCCTTTTGGTTGTACAAGAAGACTTGGACAACAAGAAATTTTTAGTCTGGATTGGTTTTATTGATGCTTTGTCTCTGAAGTCTGGAAGTACTTTGCCAGCAAAGGACTACCTTTTAAAGTTCTTTTGATATTAGACAATGTCCCTGGTCACCCAGAACCCCGTGAGATCATCTCTGAAGACTTCGAAGGGGTCTACTTTTCCCAAAGTCTCTAGTTCAGCCTTGAGATCAGGAAGTAGTAAGGACTTTTTAGCTCATTATGCATGATACTCTATGGAAAAGATTCTCAATGCTATAAAAAGGAACACTCACAGAGAAAACATAATAAAAGTCTGGGAGAATTACACCATTAAAAATGCCATTGCTGTTATAGAAAAAGCCATGAAAGTCATTAAGCCCAAAATAATAAATTCCTCCTAGGGAAAACTGTGTCCAGATGTTTTGCATTCTAAAACATCTAATTTACAATAAAGTCAATCAAGGAAATCATGAAAGAAATTGTGGATATGGCAAAAAAAAAAAAAAAAAGGTAGAGGGGGAAGGGACTCAAGATTTGGATCTTGAAAAAATTTAAGAGCTAATAGACACCACTCCAGAGGAATTAACAGAAGATGACTTGATGGAGATGGGTGGCGTGCTTTTGAGCCAGTGCCAGATGATGAGAAGAAGAATTAGAAGCAGCAGTACCAGGAAACAAACTGACATTAGAGAATCTAGCAGAATTGTTCCGATTCTTCAAGACTGCTTTTTACTTCTTTTATGACATGGTCCCTTACATGACACAGACGCTGAAAGTAAAGCAAACAGTGGGGAAAGGATTAGTACTGTATGCACAAAAGTTAGACAGAAATTACAATGAGTTCTGTAAAGTTACACTGAGTTTGCCAGCCTCTCCTGCCTCCTCCACCCCTTCTACTCTGCCATGCCTGAGACAGCAAGACCAACTCCTCCTTTCCCTCCTCCCCCTCAGTCTGTCCAAAGTGAAAACATGAAGATGAAAACCTTTATAATGATTCACTTCCACTTAATGAATAGTAAATATATTTTATCTTCTCATGATTTTCTTAATAACATTTTATTTTTTCCTAGCTTACTTTATGAGGAGAACACAGCATATAATACATATAACATATAAAATATGTGTAATTGTTTATGGTATTGGTAAGGCTCCTAGTCAACAGTAGGCTATTAATAGTTAAGTTTTTGGGGAGTCAAAAACTGTATGCAGATTTTTGACTACATGGGGAGTCAGCATTCCTGACCTGCCACATTGTTCAAGGATAATATTTACATCGTGTTAGGTATTATAAGTAATGTGGGGATGATTTAAAGACTATACACATAGTACACCTAAGGCTACATGCAGACACTACACCATTTATATAATGGACTTGAGTATCCACGGATTTGTGTATCCTCAGGGAGTTCTAGAACCAATCCCCTATGAATGCAAAGAGGTGATTGTATATAAAATAAAGATATTTGCAAATAAGGGATTGTTGGGTATACCTGCCATAATAAGTAAGAAGACATATTAATTATTCTCTGACAAAATAGCTTTATGTTACAAAGAAAAGAAACCTTAAGAAAAATCTCCTGTTAAATATTTCCTGTAAAAAGATCTATCAAGCAACAAATATTCTAAAATGGAAACTTAACTTGAAATTTCCAAAATGTAAACAGATGCTCCCAAGCAACCTCACCTATATGACAAAATCTATTTACACACTTAAGAGTATATTTGGCAGATAATTTATTCTGAAATGTCCATCAAGATGTACTTCTACTTGAAAGCAGATTTTCTACTACCATCTTGCTCCTATATGAACATAAATGGGCAATTTATAACACCTGTTCTTAAATATTTTTAGCTCCAGATGGTCTGCTCTAAGATTTATGGTGCTGAACTTTGGATCTCGAACTGCACATGTCTAAGTACCTAGCTAAAATCCAAACTTTTTTGGAGGAAAAATAATAAAATACTTTGTCTCACCCCATGCACTCCTGTGTCCTCTGTCTTTTTAAAATGAAATAGCCATCTGTCTGAAGGAGAATTCAAGTAAAACTCATACATTTTTACAATAGCATGTCAATTAATTCTTACATATATTTTCTTTAAAACATATAGGTCACCATTTATTCAACAAATAGAATACTGACATATTGAGATCTTAAGAAGAATTTCAATGTGACCCATGTCTTCAGCTCTTGCTTGACAAAGTTAAGATATTAAATAAATTTTATTTGTTTCAGCCTTTGAAATTCTAGTCCTGTACTAAGCTAGATCATTAGAAAATAATATAATACATTATTTATGTTAGTTTCCATAGAAACATATTCATTGAGTGAAAGTCACATTTTGAGCTTTTATAGAGACACAAGAAACTAGAATATTTGCCATATTTTGTCATATATTATCAAATATAGCTTTTATAAATGTCAAGTTGATAAAATTCTTCCAGGAATCATTTCTAGTTGAAAAGGCCTAGCTTTCCTTATGTAATTGACTATCATCAGACAGTTCAAACTTTGAAATGTCATGTGTATCTCTTATTCTCTTTCTTATCAGATTCTCAAAGCTAACTTTGATAATCTTATCCTATTCAATTTGCAAATCAATGATTTTTTTCTAATTCAATTGCTCCAAATATGTATTTTCATAGGCCTGTCCTCCACCCTGAAATAGATATATCATTATTATTATAGTTGATTTTGTCAAGTAGAATGGATGTGTCAGGCACTATGCATTCATTACATTATTTAATCCTAAAAACAAAACTGTAAGTATCACACACCGTATGGATGTAAAGGGAAGTTAAGTATGAGGTTGGATGCTATGAATAAAGATGCAAAACTATATAAACATCACCTTACACATCATTCCATTTTTCTACCTGAGAACACAAGATGCAATAACAGAACAGGTTTTTGACAACCGCTTTGCAAGAACTCAGTACAGCAATAAAGAGCTCAGTAAAAGGACGTTTAAGTTTAGTACATAAAGGAAGTTTCCCACTTATGTAGATCTAAATCTGAGCATCTGAATTTATGCAATTTAGAGAAAAATAGAAAGAGAGAGAGAGGAAGTATCAAAAAATTGTGTATCACAAGGGGAAAAAACAGAGAAAATAAGAAATGTATGCTTTTTAATACACAGTTAATGCCTTGGGATATAATCAATCATATTCATAACTTCATTTTCCCTGGGGAATAGGAGAAAAAGAAGAGACAACTAGAATGCTCTAAGAAGGAATTAGAGAAGTTTCTCTTTTTTCATACTAAACAAATCTCGGTATTGATTCGTAATTAGTCATCTATTGGTTGTGTGATGCTTTGACAAGTTACTTACATTTGTTAATTACTTCATTAATTACACATGAACGTATGCTGATAACTGGAAAATTTTTACTTCAGGATTAATGAGCCTATGTAGTTGTAGCATCTAGCACATACTAATTGGTTCATAAATGTTAATTATCTTTTTTTTCATTACTTTGATCATCAAGGAACTTTTAATCAGAAGATGTTATCATCTAATAGTGTCTCTAATTTTCCCATTTCCAAAGAGGAAAGATACAGTTAAATTCAGTAATAAAGGAAGTTAATGCTGAGGCAAAATAATATAACATAAACTATTATTCAAGTAGATGTTTAGGTAAATAATTTTGTGTCAAAAATGTTTTGTCACAAAGACATAGATGACCACCATTTCAGCATATTTCATTGCACTTAGTATTATTCCCAACCACAATCAGCTTTATGGGTATGCAAAAGGGTCTTATACGTGGTTTAATGTGCTACTGTTGGTGTTGTAAAATTCCCAATAATTTTTTAACAAGAAGCCTACATTTCTATTTTTTAACTGGTCCTCACAAATTAGGTAGCTGGTCCTGCTCCCAGCTATCAAAATATAAATATCCGGTATCCTCCTATTTACTCTTTCAGCATTAATTAGCATTAAAAAATCAAAATCAACTTTTTGCAGAAACATCCAGAATATTGCAACCTTGTAAATATTTATTAATATTATGTACATTTGACAGATTTTTAAAAATTGATTTGTGTCCCAAAATCCTGACCTTTTCTCCAAAGATCTAGGCTTGGAGACCTATATGCTTTTCAACTAAAAATTTTACCCTTGGCAGTCTCGGGACTCATATTCTAAGTCTCTCCTCTGTTTATTATGCTTTCCCAAATACCTCAAAGACAGTTGCTGTCTTTTAGAGAAGGGAAAAATGGGTAATACTTTCCATTGTTTCCCTATATTGTTGTTTTTTTTTCTCCTATTTGAACCCTTCCCAGCTCTTCTATGGTTTGTTGTTGGTGTTGGTGGTGGTGGTGTTGTTAATTTTGTTTGCACTCTCCCTAGTGGTTATCAAATGAAGAACCCCAACAATTTGTTAGATTAGGAAGGTTAATTCTTTCACTCATTCATTTTATAATTTTTGTTATATCACTATACTTTGCCTAGTCTTATTATAGATAATGGGGATGCAGTATTGAAGACACAAAATTCTTTCCCGTGGGGGCTTACATTCTGATTATTATTTCTAAATCTTTTAGGTAACTCTGACATATATGACATCATAACAAGAACAAAAATAAGACCACCAGTAGTATAGATATTTGCTTTATCAAATGAATGTTTTCATTTCCATGGGGAAAAACTAGAGGATAGTTTTTCTGAGCTGGAAGAAAATTTGAAAATTTTGATGCCACCAAGTTTAGGATAGGGTTTTGGGATAGGTGTTCCCTAAAAGGAAATGCTCTTTTTAGGTGAATCCATTCAAGTATTTATTCATTTTTATTTTTATTTTTTATTTTGTGGGTACATAGTAGACGTATATATTTATAGAGTACATGAGATGTTTTGATATAGGCATGCAGTTTGAAATAAGCACATCATCTAGAATGGGGGTATTCATCCCCTCAAGCATTTATCCTTTGAGTTACAAACCATCCAATTACACTCCTTAAGTTATTTTTAAGCATATAATTGACTATAGCCACCCTATTGTGTTATCAAATAGTAGGCGTTTTTCATTTTTTCTGTTTTTTTGTACGCATTAACCATCCTTACCTCTCCCTCAGCCACCTATACCACTACCCTTCCCAGTCTCTGGTAACTATCCTTTTACTCTTGAACTCATGTCCATGAGTTCAATTGTTTTGATTTTTAGATCCCACAAGTAAGCGAGGACATGCAATGTTTGTGTTTCTGTGCCTCACTTATTTTCCTTAACATATTGATCTCCAGTTCCATCCATGTTGTTGCAAATGACTGAATCTCATTTTTTATGGCTGAATGGTACTCCATTGTGTATATGTACCACATTTCCTTTATCCAGTCATCTGTTGATGGACACTTGGTTGGCTTCTAAATCTTAGCTATTGTGAACAGTGCTGCAACAAACACAGGAGTGCAGATACCTCTTTGATATACTGATTTATTTTCTTTTGGGTATATACCCAGCAGAGGAATTGTTGGATCACAAGGTAACTCAATTTTTAGTTTTGTGAGGAACCTCCAAACTGTTCTCCAAAGTGGTTTTACTAATTTACATTTCCACCAAGAGCGTACAAAGGTTTCCTTTTTTTCACATCCTCACAAACATTTGTTATTACCTGTCTTTTGGATAAAAGCCATTTTAACAAGGGAGACATGATATCTCATTGCAGTTTCAATTTGCATTTCTCTGATGATCAATGATGTTGAGTACATTTTCATATGTCTGGTTGTCATCTGTATGTCTTTTTTGGGGAAATGTCTATTCCAATCTTTTTTCAATTTTTGACTGGATTATTAGATTATTTTCCTATGGAGCTCTTTGAGTTCTTTATATATATATTCTGGTTATTAATCTCTTGTAAGAGGAGTAGTTTGCAAATCTTTTCTCCCATTTTTGTGGGTTGTTTCTTCACTTTGTTGATTGTATCTTTTGCTGTGCAGAAGCTTTTTTAACATGATGTCATCCCCTTCGTCCACGTTTGCCTGTGCTTATGGGGCATTGCTCAAGAAATTTTTGCCCAGATCAATGGCCTGGAGAGTGTCTCCAAAGTTTTTTTTTTTTTTTTTTTCTAGTAGCTTCATAGTTTGACGTCTTAGATTTAAGTCTTTAATTCGTTTTGATTTCATTTTTTGTATATGATGAGAGATAAGGGTCTAGTTTCATTCTTCTGCATATGAATTTTTCCCAGCACCATTTATTGAAGAGATTGTTCTTGCTCCAATGTATGTTCTTGACATCTTTGTCAAGAATGAATTCACTGTAGGTGGGCAGATTTGTTTCTGGGTTCTCTATTCTGCTCCCTTGGTTTATGTGTTTGTTTTTATGCCGGGGCCATGCTATTTCAGTTATATAGCTCTGTAGTATAATTTGAAGTCAGGTAATGTGATTCTTCTAGTTTTGTTCTTTTCACTTAGCATAGCTTTGGCTAGTCAGGTCTTTGTGGTTCCATATACATTTTATAATTTTTTTTCCTACATCTGTGAATAATGTCATTGGTATTTGGATAGGGATTGCATCGAATCTATAGATGCTTTGGGTAATATGAACATTTTAACAATGGTGAATCTTCCAGTCCATGAGATTGGCATGGTGACCAAATAATTGGTATAGAAATCCTTTTTTTGTTTGTTTGTTTTGAGACAGGGTCTCTCTCTGTGGCTCAGTCTGGAGTTCAGTGGTGTGATTACAGCTTATACAGCCTTGACCTCTCAGCCTCAAGTGATCCTTCCACCTCAGCCTCTTAAGTAGCCTGGACCATGGGCACGCACCACCCCACCAGGATACAACTTTTTAATTTTTTATTTTTGTAAAGATGGTATCTCCCTATGTTATCCACACTGGTCTTGAACTCCTGGACTCAAATGATCCTTTCTCCTTGGCCTCCCAAAGTGTTAAGATTACAAGCATGAGCGAACATGCCCAACCTAGAACAATTCTTCATCAAGAACAAAGTTCTTGCAAAATAATAATAATTATCATAGTAATAAGATATTTAATATTTGTTTAAGTTGTGCAGTGAAAAAGACATTGGTTGTTTCCAAATTTCTAAAATATACTGTATCTACTGATAAGAGCCACATTTTACAAATGGGTTGACAGAAAGCTAAGAGAAAAGAGTTGTGAAAAGAGTTATAACTTTCAGCAGAAGAAGGAACTAGGAAACAGACACGGGAACAAAAATTGCAGGGAGAGGCAATTCATACAGCATTTGGAGAAAGGTATTGAGTTTTTCATAAGACATAGCTCAGGAAACTCAAAGAAATTTCATTAAGTCTCAAAAGATAGTCAACTGTCTCCATAAAGTCTATCTCCAGATAATCAGTACTAGGCCTCTATTTTATTTTGATATTCTCCTCTCTTTTGGTGTTTAGTCCTGCCACAAATTCCTGTTCACTTTTTATCATTGCAGTTTACCTGATTTTTATTCGTTGTTCTATAATCACCTAAATCAGACAGGTTTTTATTAAAATGGACAGTTTTTAAGAGGTAATCTGCTAAGATTAGGTAAATAATATTTTCACAAAGTTCTACAAGTAATTGGGTGATTTAATATAGTGCAGTATGTGTGAAGGTAGAGAATTGCAGGGTGCTATGAAATCTACATAAGATGTATTCTATTATGATGGGCTTCCTAGTTGAAGTGGCACTTAGGATGAGAAAAGAAACTATGTGTTATATTGGACATCCCATATACAGTATATATTATTTTATATGTAATATAAGGAAAGAGTGAAATTGAAGTAGCAGGATACCAAATCTGAAAAGGTGAGCTTGTGAAAGTGGCAGGAATTTGATATGCATGGAGTGCGGAGTGCAGAGTACAAGAGAGGGAAGCAAAGAGACTAGGCCAAAGGAGAGCGAAGTTATGATCACCAGGGATATTTACTGAAGGCTATTGCAGAGTTTGAGCTCTTTCCTAAAAATGAAAACGTTTGCAGAGTTTCAAGCAGGGGATAACATGATCAGTTTCCTATTTCAGAAATTTTACTATGGCTACATTATACAAAATGGATCAGAGAGAATAGTGTGAAAATTCAGAAACTAGTTAGGTAGTATTGTGGGAATTGAGATGATAATCATTATCGTGTACCCCAGCGGAATAGTATTGGGAATGGAAAACAGGAAGAAGTATGAAAGAATTCACTGTGGGCCAATGTTAATAAAAATTTCTTGACAATTGAAGAAATTGGTGGCTTTGTATTTTTGATATTAAAGGCAAAATCTCTCTGGTTAAACTGGCTGTCAATTATTAAATTGTCTTTTGCTGCCTGGATCAAGGTTTGACTTATACTTTGAAAATGACAGAAAATGAGAAATTCCTTTTGTACTTTTTTTATTTGGTTTCCTGAGAGAAAATACTAATAAAGAAGAGCAAATGAATGAAATAATATTTTCCTTCAAATTAGAGAAGTTATGGGACAAGAAAGTGGCAGATTACGTAAAAATTTAAGATTCATTTCTTTTATCCCGTCAGAGATCCCATATAATCTCAGGATTAGAAGAACCAATTGAACGTCTAGTTCAATTCCATACACAAGAAGGTCCCTTTTAAAGCATCCCTCTGTGCTGTTAAAGCACATAACCTGGTGTTTCTCAAATTTCATATGTATACAAAGGCCTGTTAAAATGCAGATTCCAATTTAGTAGTTTGCAGGAGAGGCATTTTTAAGAAGTTTAATAAAGGATTTTACATTTTTGATAAGTTTTCAACTGTTGCTGATATTCTTGCTTGTGGACTATCTTTGAGTGCCAAATATTTAACTTATATTTGAAAACAACTGGTTATAAAGAGTTCATTGCTGATCCTGATATTATAGCAATGTGAGGTACTGCAATGTCCAGAACATGCATTTATGTTTGTTAAATATTTTGATCTTCTGATCAAAGAGTCCATCTAAGCTCCAGTTCTTCCTGCAAAGTGAAAGGTAGATGGGTCCATTTTTTTTCTGCAAGATACCTTGCATTAGAGTTGATTGATATACACAACTCAGAATATCTCCCAGTGAATTAACTGACCAAAATAAGCCCATTTATTTAAAAGTGAGAATGAAATGTGTCTGTATCTATATGCAAATTATTTTACTTTTCCTTATATTTTTCACCATTAACAAAAATACAGATGGTTTATAATAGCACATTTTTTACATTCAGAAGAGCTGCTCCTTTTGTTTAAGTTAAAAATTTAGAATGAAGGTGAAACCAGAATGTGTGATTTTATAAACAACTGACAGAATCACTAATAAATCTGAATAGTTTAACTTTCAAAATAACACTCATTTAAGAAGCTTCAGTGAGTTTTTACTTTGTACCTAATATTCTTTTGAAAAATATAAAAAAGACAAATATTCTTTCTTAAATTAGTTTCTGACCATATGTTTTTAATGACTGTTTGATTTAGCAATAATACGTGAATTACAACCAGTGGTGAAGTTATGCATGTAAATGAGCTGGAAGAGTTTCACAGGACATAAAGTCCATTTAGGAAGAGAGGACATTTTTAGCCATGTTGTATGAGAAATATTTATGCAATTCAATTGACTTTTTGTGTATTTGTTTTATTCATACATTTTAGTAATGAATCATTTATACCCTAAACAGAAGAACAGTCTTTTAATGAACACATCATCCTCATCCTCCATGAGCTTGCAACGCAGAGCCATGAAGGAGGCAGGGGACACTGGCCTAGCCAGCTGGATCAACCAGGTCAACCTGGCAATCAATGGGGTGACCCAGGTGGCAGCCAGATCCACCTCACATCTGATCAATAATTTATAAAGTTTACAAACATTTTTTGCTGTTCATTGTTCATGCATCTTATGTAGCTATACAGTAGAATCTTGTTCATGCTAACTATTTAGCTATGCAATGGAATCTTGTTCATGCTTTCTATTTAATTCTGCAGTAGAATCAAAGGCACATGTATTAGTATGATATTGTTTTTCTACTTATGTTTCCATTTACAATGAGGATTCTAGGTTTTCTGCTATCAATATACAATGCTCTTTTGGTGCAAACAATGCACAGTGGCTTTACTAAGTCCAAAAGTAACACTGTGGATTTTTCATCTAGTTTAACTTTTTTGCCTGGACAAAGTTGTTTTAAAGAAAAGACTATAATAAGAACAAGAAAGCACAAAAAGAAATGGAGGTATTTTTTCATTGTTTTTGTATTTGTAAGACATGTAAAATTGTGGTCATTAAATAAACATTATCAGAAAATATATTTGTTTCATTAATATATTTAACTTTCAAGTAATCAGCTTATTGATATTAGTTTAGTAAATGGAACTGGTTCCTCAAATAAAGTTGCTAAATCCATTTACACAACTAAAATCCACATGAAAGTCAACATTCTCTTTCACCATATTGTTTTATCATGTAAACCTCCAATGGTAAAAAATGTCAACTTCATGACATAATTCATTCTTTCCCTATCCAGATGGCTTTTGGGGGGTAATGCAAAGATTTATTTTTATTTTAAAGAGGTGATTAACTGGCCATCCTCTCAATGTAGCCCCTGAATCTCAACTATCCTTGTAATAATAATAAAAAGAGATTCTGTGTTCAAGTAGATAGCATATCTACTAAAACTGGAATAATACAGAAAAGGCTAGCATATACCTGCAAAAAATGGCATGCAAATTTGTGAAGCATTTCATATTTTTATTTTCTAATAAAAATTATGTATATTTTTTAGAAAAGATTGGGCAGGATGATGTCTGATTTGGCTTATATAAGTGAGCTATAGATGAGATAAAAATAATGTAATTCTATGTAAGTGAGAACTCATAAAAATGAAGTAATGAAATTTTAAGAAAATTTTCCCTGGTATGTAGTCAAATGTTATTTTTAAAATGATGTATTTTTACCTTTCCTTCACTGTAGAACCCAGTTTGTAAAAAGCACCTTTATAAATTCAAAAGACTTCAGATTGCCAATTTTCCATTGCCTAAGTCTATGATATAATTGTTTAATTATTAGTTTCATTTTGTCTGGATAGACTTGATGCTGGTATTGACATTTGAAGTGATTTTAGCATTATTAACACTTGTTTTAAGAAGTGTCCAATGAAAAGAAATGCAAAATCAAACAGAAAAAAAAGTCTTTCTTTTATAGAAGTAGGCAGAACTTTGCAGAAATGTCTAAGGGGAAATTAGGCAAGCAATGAGGAGTGAGTACATCGCATGACAGGCACCACGACAGGAAATGTACCTGGGGTAGTCAGCTGATACTTGGGATGACCTAATGAACAGGGTATATTCTGCATCTTAGCGCTTCCTCAGGTATGGGGATAAGCCAAAGTTCAAGTGTCTGTGGGGAACAGAGAAATCTGGCTATATGGTCAAAACAAACTGTAAGAAATGGGCAAACGTGAACATTTGATGGGGAGCTACAACAAGATACGTGTGTGTGTGCGCGGGACGTATATTAATTGGTGGCCTAGTATTTCACCTTGTTTGTGATAATCTAATTCCGTGGGTTGGTATATAGTTGTGGTATCATAGGAAAACACTTGACCCTTCTGTAATCCCAGCACTTTGGGATGCTGAAGTGGGCGGATCACAAGTTCAGGAGTTTGAGACCAGCCTGGCCAACATGGAGAAACCCCGTCTCTACCAAAGATACAAAAAATTAGCTGGGCGTGGTGGCACGCGCCTGTAATCCCAGCTACTCGGGGGCCTGGAGCAGGAGAATCACTTGAACCCAGGAGGCGGAGGTTGCAGTGAGCCAATATCATGCCACTGCACTCCAGCCTGGGTGACAGGGCAAGACTCCATCTCAAAAAAAAGAAAGAAAAAAAACATGTAGTCTTTGTCCCTGCTACCTGGCACAGAATTTGTAAAACCCTTGGAATTTTCTCAGTGAAAAGGATGATGGAGTCTTTTATGCCCTGATGAGGAAACTCTTAGTGGGCACATACCTTCAGGGCGGAAGCTGATTACCAAAAAGACCAAGAATTGGTTAACTATAAGCCCTACTTTCCCCAACCTCCAGGAATGGGAAAGGATCTGTAGATTGGGCTATTCACCAATGGCTGAAGAAAACCTAAATGACAGGGTTTAGAGTTTCTGGGTTGGTGAATATATGGAAATAATGGAAGTGTGCACCCAGAAAGAGCGTGGAAGCTCCGCGTTTCCTTCCTCCCTCATCTTGCCTTGTGTGTCTCTTTCTTTTGGCTGTTCTGAGTTGTAGTATTTATAATAAATCGGTCAATGTAAGTAAAGATTTTTTTAAATTCTGTGTTGCCATTTAGCAAATAATCACATGTGAAGATGGGGTCATGGGAACTCTCAATTTACAGTCATTTAGTCAGAAGCACAGGTAGTAACTGTAACTAGTGTCCGAAGTGGAGGCAGTCTTGACCCTTTAACTCGTATGATCTGACACTCTAGTGTCAGATAGTGTCAGAATGAAATTGAATTGAATTGTTGAAACCTAGTTGGTGTTGGAGAATCAGAGAATTGGTGAATTAGTTGGTGTGAGGGGGACAAAAAACTTTCAACAGTAAAAGATCAAAGACAGTCTCTATTAAAGTTAGAGTGTTTATCTTTTTTTCTTTTACAAGCAGCATCATCCGTGCTGCCTCATTACATGAATTCTATTGTTTATCAGAGGAATTGAAGGTAGGATTTTTTTTTTAATTTGCTAGAAGCTATTCTCATCCCTGAGAAAAATAACTTTAAGTACATGTTTTTACTGTTGATGGGCTAGTAATTTTAAATTTGCTTATGAAGGACAGCATGTTATTTTTACCTTTCAAGAACTGGGAGACTATTAACATATCTTTAGACAACTAATCCTTAAGTAAACAATACATTTTTACTTCCTGCAATCTTTCTTCATAACTCAGTGAGTTGCTTCCATTAATCATTCTGATCTTCTCAGAACGCCTTCCAAATCCCTGTGTACATCCAGTATTAAGGTAAATAAATGAGAGTGAAACGAATATAGTGTTTCCAGTGTCACAAGCTACAGGTAACAGATTAATTCTTATTCTTGACTCAAGAAGCCATCACCAGCCCACCAGTGATGATCAGAAGCTAATAGGTTTTCTTTTTCTTTTTCCTTTTTTTTTTTTTTTTGAGACAGAGTCTTACTCTGTCGCCCAGGCTGGAGTGCAATGGCATGATCTCATCTTGCTGCAACCTCCGCCTCCCGGGTTCAAGAAATTATCCTGCCTCAGCGTCCCGAGTAGCTGGGATTACAGTTGTGTGCCGCCATGCCTGGCTAATTTTTGTATTTTTAGTAGAGACAGGGTTTCACCATGTTGGTCAGGCTGGTCTCCAACTCCTGACCTCGTGATCAGCCCGCCTGAGCCTCCCGAAGTGCTGGGATTACAGGCATGAGCCACCACGTCCAGCCACAAGCTACTAGGTTTTCGACTCTGCACAGCTCAGCTCTTGGTAGGTTTGGGTGTGTAAAGTGCCCTCTAATGTAAGCTCAACTCTATCTTCAGGAAAATCCAAGACCTCACCCTCTATGGCATATGAAAGGAACCACTGTCTCAGAAGATAACTCTGAATGAAGACAGCCTTGTTGTCAGTACCACACAACCTATTACTCTAACTTTCTGTGTTTCTGCAACTAAATTCCACTTGCTAGTCTCTTTGGGTGATGAATGGCTCTCTTTAATCTCAGGATTTAGGCTTTAACACTCCCTGTAATTTTATAGGTAGAGCTCAAGTCCTACTATTTATGCTTCTATTCTGAAATATCGAGGCTTTTTCACAAAACAAATAATCTTATTCTGTGTACCCACTTAGCACTAGGTACTGTAGTACCTGCTATACATACATAATTTTATTTGGTACTGATAGCAAAAATATGGTATAGATATTTTTCTACTTTTGCTGGAGAAGTAAACCAATTAAAACCTGTGATTAACAACTCTTAAATAGCAAACATTCAATAGGAACTCAGGTTAAATTGACTCTGTTCTTCCTATTGTAGTCCTCTGTTGCTCTCAGTCTATGCCCTATGTTCCAGTGTGTTGGTCTACATTGCACACCTAGTTCCTAACTCCATTTACTTCATGTGGTCAGTTACTTGTAGCCAATAACACCCCCAAAAGCCTTGTTTTTGGCCAAACTGAAACCTTGTAAGAATAATTCTTCTATGTCTCTGGATTGTTAGCTATTCCTACTTTTCCAGTGTGCAGAGCAGGGGTTTTAAAGGTGGGTTCCATGCATCCCTCTGGGTCCAATAGTTGGTTTTAGGGAATTCTATTATACCCATAACACTATGTAAAACAAAAACAAAAACAAAGCAATGGGCTGGGCACAGTGGCTCACGCCTGTAATCCCAGCACTTTGGGAGGCCAAGGTGGGTGGATCACCTGAGGTAATCAGTTTGAGACCAGCCTGACCAACATGGTTAAACCCCATCTCTACTAAAAATACAAAATTAGCTGGGCATGGTGGCGCCTGCCTGTAATCCCAACTACTTGGGAGGCTGAGGCAGGAGAATTGCTTGAACCTGGGAGACGGAGGTTGTGGTGAGCCGAGATTGCACCATTGCACTCCAGCCTGGGCAACGAGCAAAACTCAGTCTCAAAAAAAAAAAAAAGTGTGTCCATCTGTGTGTGTCTCTCTGTGTGTGTATTTGAGTGTGTGTTTGTAAATACATGCTTTTTCTTAGTGCAGTTTACTGATTTGACTGACCAGTTATCTTCTTTACAGGTATTTAAGGGAAGGGTCACATCATTCAAGGGCGTCTCTCATACTCAGAGTGCTTTGATTCTAAAGGTCACTCATGAGCAGCTTCATTCTCTCTTCACGTGTGGGAGAAGAATCCACAGCTGTATTTTGTGGTTCCACACATACAGCAGGGCAGAGGAAAGGAGAGATTTTGTTTATGTCTTATCTACTCTTTCATTACTATTTTTCATTCTGCTTCTATCATCTAGGTCATCATCTAAAAGGATTTCTCCTTTGTGACATATTTATTTTTAGTATTATTTTCATTATGTGTGAGTACAAGTTCATTTTTATATGAATATCAAAAGCAATTTTAATTATTTCAGTTTCTTAGATGAGAGCTTAATGAGATATCTCATTTTGATAAATGTTGCGTAATTTTTTCTTGGGTTATTCACTTCAAATTACTTTTATCTTCTTTATATTTGTTTATATTTATTTTAGACAAGGTCTTGCTCGATAACCTAGGTTGGAGTGCACTGGCCTGAGCACAGCTTTCCACAGCCTCAACCTCCTGGGCTCAAGAGATCCTTCCATCTCAGCCTCCCGAGTAGCTAGGTCTACAGGTACGTACCAACACGCCCAGCTAATTTATTTTATCTTTTATGTATTTATGAAGATGGGATCTCACTATGTTGCCCAGGCTGATCTCAAACTCCTGGCCTCAAGCAACCCTCCTGGGTCAGCTTCCCAGAATGTTAAGATTACAGGCATGAGCCTCTGCATCTGGCCAAAATGACTTCCTGTACTCATAATTTTTAAACATTCTTACTGAGAGATACTTCACATATAAAATTCACCCATGTGTAGTGTACAGTTCAGTGATTTCTAGTATGTTCACTGAGTTGTATAACGATTGTCACATTTTAAATTTAGAAAATTTTCATCAGCCAGCAAATAAATCACATACCCATTAGTAATCACTTCCTCCCCTCCCCTCTATCCCTAGGCAACAGCAAATCTAGTTTCTGTCTTTATTGATTTGGCTATTCTGGGCATTATGTACAAAGGAAATTATACAATATGTGGTCTTTTTGTGATTGACTTCTCTTTCTCTTATAATATTTTCAAGTTTTATCCATCTTATAGCACATATCAGTAATTCATTCCTTTTTATTCTAAAATTACATATATTGTATATATTATATGAATATTACAGATACACAAAAACAAGGATGGGTAAAGTTCACATAGGGCAAAATGCTTTACATTTTTGGCAGGCTAGAACTTTCAACTTAGGATGATAGCAAAAGTCTATCTGTTCCACAAGTCAAAATTTCTTCCCACAGTTGAAAAGAAAACAAAAAAAGTATACTTTTGATATAAACAATTGTTTTTGATCAGTGCTTCTGGTTCAGGTATAATAGTACAAGTCAACTATATGGATTAACATGTACATTCCACAACTTCATTTGAAAATATTTATGTTGGCAAATAACTTATAAACATTATTTCTAAAAGCAGTGCATATCTTTCACTGAAAATCTAATTTTCTTAAATATTTTTAATGAAAAAAGTAAACAATCTCTAACCAATTTCCAATGTGCTTTTGGAGCCCATCTTAACATAAAATTGTATGTTGCTTTTTTCTAAAATCTCAGTGGGAATCCTTTGCCAAGTGTTGCAATGATTAGATCTTAGTTTTGTGGCACATTGAAATACTTTAAATCAGGACAGAGGAGAAGAAAGGGCTCTTAGTTAAACAGATAACTTGTGTACAGCAAGGTGTTCTTTTGTTTATGGGCTTCTGAGAGACTTCTTTGTACATTATACAAGTTCACATTGTGAAGAACAAAGACTGGTTTTCAAAGGCTTGCCTCTTTTGTGATGGAAGAAAAAGCATTTTTCCTCTCTAGGTGAATATTTCCAAGAAAGATTAATAGGTAGAGAAAAGATCATCTTCAGAAAAGATCAGAGCTTGAGCTGTGCCATTTGAGCTTTACGGTTTTCTATATCCCCTCAGTGAGCATGGGACATGAGAGGAAAATGTTTTTGTTTTTGCAAACTTTCAATTGCCTCAAGTTAAGTAACAAATACAGCCATGTCTGACAGAGTAAAGTCTGCAATTTAGTGGGCATAGACATTGTATGAATTCTACTGTGTGCAAATTTCCTTAACAGCTTTCATTTGCTATTAAGACCACATTTTCCCCTTCTGCTATCTTTCTCTTTTACTCTTCATTAAGTCATTTTGTGTAGCCCCTTACACACCTGTTCTCACGCTTCTGAAGGACTTTGCTGCCGTTACGCCCTTGTCTCAGCATGCCTTCTCCAGCCTCTACAATCCAACCCAACCTTCCTTTTGACCACCCACTTTGTTTCTTTTGTCTTCGAAAATTTTAAATGTTCTATCCTAAATCATTATGTATTTCCACATCATCTATTAAAAATCAAGCTTCTCCTGGCAAATTTCTGTAACGATAATGTTCTATTTCCTGCTGTTTTAAAATAATTACCAGCATGAATTATCTCATGCCTGATATTTGTCCCTGTATAATGTATGCCTGTCAAGATTGAATGTTTAGAAATACATTTTCTCTGTAGAGTTTAACCTACTGTAAAGTAGGTTGCTTGGCATTGCCATTGCATTTTACTGTATAAATAACATTCATAAATAATCAAGAAGAGTGCTTTTGTAGATCAAGGACAATTTACAGGGCTTGGAAGGAACTTAGCTGAGCAAACAATGTTGTGAATATATTATAAAATCAGCTTATACTCCATTTTTTTGAAAATGAAATTCCAGGAAATTGGTTAAATGTTATAGTGGTCCTAAAATCTTTCCGATCATAGAGCTAAACAAAATTCTACTTCTTGTTTATGTAAAAATATTTAAAATGACATATAAGTTTTTATTAGGAAGTAGACAGCACCCTCACGGCCAAATGAAAATAGACCAAAAAAAAACCCTAACTAAAAACAAAACACAACAAAATCAAATAAAAAAATAATAATGTGGCTAGAATATACTAAGAGCAAGGCACAAGATTGTTAGAGAAAGGGACCAAGAATGAGGCAAAAGGTGATAGATTCCTTTATCTCATCTTTCTTAAATGAATAAAATAATTTTCACAGGAAGCCGTTTTTGTTTCCTATTTTGCTGTTAACGAGAAATTGCCTCAGAAAAACAAGGTATTTAAACCATCAAAAAAATAAAATTGAAAACAAAGCAAGATAATAAGTGAAATATATAAAAGGCTAGGTTGAAGGACTCAGGAAAAGATTCATAAAATAAGAAACAGAAGCTAAGTAAAAAAGGACTAACTTTCAAGTTCCAAAATTTATGTGACTAGTCAGCTCACAAATTTATTCATATGGCACTCAGATTTACAGAGTAAATATTTTATTTAATTCTCTAAACTTTCTTTTTGATGAGCTTTCTCCTCATGATAAACCTGGGTATAGAAGAAATAAAAATAATTTTAGCAAAAATTAATTTAAAACTTAGTTTGATCCAATAATTTATATAGAATCTAGAAGTTAAAGTTAATGTCTTTGGGATCATAATTCATGCTTAAGGTGTCTCCATCTTCCCTTGCTCCTCTCACAGTTGTCATTAGAGATATGAGAAATGAACTTTTATGACTTTGAGTCATTAGAGGAAAGGCATGTCTCTCGCCTAATCTCCAGGTCTAGTCCTTGAGTACGTACTGTTAAATGCAAACCATTTTGGATGTCAGTAAAAAGAAACCTTACTCAAAATGATTGTTTCAATAAAGGATTGAGGACTATGGTAATAGAGCAGAAGGACTTCTGCAATAGGAACAGGGGATTGTTGCAATATGAAGACCCTTCAGTAGGAGATAATCTACAACTGTATCACATGGCGTTGAAAAGGGGCTTCCTTTTTCAGGGAGTGGTAAATAAGGCTAGAAATAACCTGGTGTCAAAGAGTTGGATACGTGGTAGTACGAAAGGGCCGTTGATTAGGAGATATTTTTTCCTGAGGTAGGTCAACCAATTCTGGGGCAAGGGTGGGGGTTGGCCATTAAGGAAGAGTTGTTTAGCATTACAATGTTTAAAATGGAATAAAGTTTCAGGAGACTAGGGTAGGAGAGAAACCTGACTATTGTTTGGTCGTTAGAAGGCATTTTGTCTAGATTGGTTAGTGGTGAAAAACTGTTCAAGTAATCATTTATAATACAAAAAATGGGAGTTGCAGAGGCCTGTCTGGACTTGTCTTAGGTAAAACAGGGGCCGTTCATGAGTCTTATCAAAGTCATGTGTCAAACGCTGGTTCTTTGCAGTCAGCCATGTCGGAGAACCCCAAATGCTTGGGAGATTCTTGACTGTTCCTGTGTTTTGGGAGCACAGGGCTGGGGCCGTGCTTAACGTTGTCAGAAACTGGGCCATGCTTGACATTGTCAGAAACCATTGAGACTCTGCTGGCAAGCTCTTCAAATGCCCGTGCTTGGTCAGCCTGCCATCTCCACTTTCTCAGCTCAGTCAGAGCAAAGACACTGACTTTGGGTGGTTCAGGTTCCTGTCACCTCCTGTTCATGCTAAAGACCCCTGTGAGTTTATGCCATACACTCAATTTGGCTCTTGGTCCAGGTTGTCCTGTCCCTAGCAACAGTGCCTCAGCCACAGGGAATTACAAGTCAGGTCTGACAATTCTCAACTTTGCATACACACCATGAAGGAAATGAAGAGTTCAAACCGGGAAAGCTGGCTGCCTGACCATCCTTATTTACTCTCCTAATTCTTCAGGAACATATATTGGTGCTATATCACCCTGAATGATGACGTTGTTGCTACGGGTAAATTTTGAGTTTTGGAGTAGTGAACAACCTCTTTTTTCTCAACAGAACCTTTCTTGTGTACAATGTAATTATAACGCAATGGCTATCTTAGGCTAACCAGAGAGACAATAAATATATGATTAAATAAGGGTAGGTAGAGGCAGGGGAAACACATATTTAAAAATATATGTATTGCCCAGTTACTCTTACAAAGTATATATTCAGGAACACATCGATTTAAAACAAATTTACTATATATGTGTTCTCAGGCCAAAAAGTAGAGAAACATAAACAATTAGACATCAATGGAGAAAATTAATCAGATTAAAGAAAGCTAGTAATTATGTATTTTACAGTAATAGTCAAAGAAAGTAATCTCTTCAAGAAACAGTTTCTTGGTAGCCAAGGTACAGAACTTGGCAGTGACAGGGGAATTAAACCAACCAGACACCTGCTAATTAGGAAAGATTGTCTTTTGCAAAAGGCAGAGGAATAGACATGGGTGGCTGAGCCTCTTTATTTGATTCTTGTGCACCCAAGAGAACTGCATGATGTGATCTGCACAAAATTTACCAGGAACTAATAGAGCTGGGAAAATGAAAAGCAGAATGTGGATGGATGTTAGACAACAAAAATCTATGTTACCAAAAAGTAATTTTAAAGAGGTTTAAGAAACAAGTTTCCTTTTTTTAAGTCTTATAGTACAGAGAAATTCAAGGGGCAGTGAAGAGTAAGACATATGCCTTTAAAAAATTATAGGGTTTATTTTGTTTGTGAAATAAGCAAAAAGACTGGGAAAACCTAATTAACTGTAACAATAATTTGAGGGAGCTGAAAATCAAGCAGTGATTCCTAAATATATATTTCTTTTGCAGCAATGGATGACAGCCCAACAGAAATTTCTTTAAAGACAAGGAAATTTGCATTGCTCTAATGATTAGTAATGTTCAGGTTTTTTCCCTGTGTTTCTTTGCCATATAAATGTCTTCTTTTGAGAAGTGTCTGTCCTTTGCCCACTTTTCAATGGGGTTATTTGTTTAATTCTTGTAAATTTGTTTAAGTTCCTTGTAGATTATGGATATTAGACCTTTGCCACATGGATAGATTGCAAAAATATTCTCCCATTCTGTAGGTTGTCTGTTCATTTTGGTGGTAGGTTTGTGTGTGTGTGTGTGTGTGTGTGTGTGTTTCTGTTCAGCAGTTTTTTAATTTAATTAGATTCCATTTGTCAATTTTGGCTTTGGTTGCAATTGCTTTTGACATTTTTGTCATGAAATGTTTGCCCATGCCTATGGGTGTTGCCTAGATTTTCTTCTAGGGTTTTTATATTTTAGGATTTTTACATTTAAGTCTTTAATTCATCTTGAGTTAACTTTTGTATAAGGTGTTGGAAAGGGGTCCAGTTACAATTTTCTGCATATGACTAGTGAGTTTTCTCAGCACCACTTAGTAAATAGGGAATCCTTTCCCATTACTTCTTTTTGTCAGTTTTACCAAATACCAGATGTTTGTAGATGTGCAGTCTTATTTCTGAGATGTCTATTCCGTTCCTTTGTTCTACGTGTCTGTTTTTGTGCCAGTACCATGTTGTTTTGGTTATTGTAGCCTTGTAGTATAGTTTGAAGTCAGGTAATGAGATACCATCTCACACCAGTCACAATAGTGATTATTAAAATGAAAGAACAGATCAAGAAATAACAGATGCTCGTGAGGCTGTGGAGAAATATGAACACTTTTACACTGTTGGTGGGAATGCAAATTAGTTCAACCATTGTGGAAGACAGTGTGATGATGATTCCTCAAAGATCTAGAACCAGAAATACCATTTGACCCAGCAATCCCATTACTGGATATATACTCAAAGGAATATAAATCATTCTATTATAAAAATACATGCACTTGTATATTTATTGCAGCACTATTCACAATAGCAAAGACATGGAGTCAACCCAAATGCCCATCAGTCATAGAGTGGATAAAGGAAATGTGGTACATATATACCATGGAATACTATGTGACCATAAAAAAAGAATGAGATCATGTCCTTTGCAGGGACATGGATGGAGCTGGAAACCATTATACTAAGCAAACTAACAGAAGAACAGAAAACCAAACACTACATGTTCTCTCTTTATAAGAGGGAACTGAACAATGAGACAACATGGACACAGGGAGGGGAACAACACGCATTGGGGCCTGTTTCAGGGTTGGAGGGATGGAGAGCATCCAAACAAATAGTTAATGCACGTGGGGCTTAATACCTAGGTGATGGGTAGATAGGTGCAGTAAAACACCACATTTACCTATGTAACAAACCTGCATGTCCTGTACATGTATCCTGGAACATAAAATAAAATAAAATAAAATAAAATAAAATAAAATAAAATAAAATATTTAAAAAAGATAAAGAAATTTAGAGTAGATCACTTTACAAACCCTTTATTTTTCATTTATTATATGCTAGGCAGTAACATTTTATTTTTCCTTTACAATGGGCTGGAGAGTACACAAAAATTACAAGAAGAAACAATAGGTTAGGTAGTACTTCTTTCTAAAATGAATATTGACTTTCTGCTAAAATCTTTTAACTTTGCCCAAGATATTTGGACCAAAGTCTGAACTCTTTGGAATTTCAGATGATTTTCAAGTATTACTCACTAATCTTTCAACCATTATATGTTGACACTCCCTGCTTTTCACCATGTATCTCAGCCATTCTGATTTCCTTTATTTTTCATTTATTTTATTATTTTCTTTTAAGATGGAGTCTCACTCTGTCTCCCACGCTGGAGTGCAGTGGTGCAATCTCGACTCACTGCAACCTCCACCTCCCTGCCTCAGCCTCCCGAGTAGCTGGGATTATAGGCACATGACACCACGTCTGGCTAATTTTTTTGTGTTTTTAGTAGAGACGGGGTTTCACCATGTTGGCCAGACTGGTCTCAAACTCCTGACCTCAGGCAATCCGCCCTCCTCAGCCTCCCAAAGTGCGGGGATTGCAGGAGTGAGCCACCACACCCGGCATCCTTTAACTATTTTACAGATAATGTGTGCCACTGTGGCCAGTTCTTTGTACATTCTGTTCTGTAAGATTGTAATGCTCTTCCCTCCATCTTTCTACTCGTTTGTCAAATCACATCTCATAAAGTTCTTTGTTGTTGTTTTAACTTGATCAAAGTAAATATTTTTTCCCTGGGATCTCATTGAAGAATTCCATCTAATCATCTTCTATTAGTTTACCTATCACACAAGGCTATAAAAGTCACCTGTTAGTTTAGTTTCCTTAGTAGCATGAGAGCTCAGTCAGATCAGGATCTTGATCTTGTATACCTCTTCACACCAGTATCTATTCCACTGCCTGAAATAAAATAAACTTGGCGTTTGTTTTATAAATGATTGCTGAATGCAATTATGTGCACTAAGTGTATATTATGTACGATTCCAGTAAACTTATTGGCTCCATTCTTTACAAACTAGTGTAGGGAAAGGGGAGATTTTATCTAATATCCTTCTTGAGTTATTCTTACAGTAGTTACCTCAGTTTCAACTGATCGCCTTGTTCCTGTCTAACCTTTCATGCACCACCTCTCACTGCCCTCATTGTCATTCAGTTCAACTTCGCAGGATAGAATGCTATTCTTTCCCCACGGGTGATTAAAAAACATAAGGTAAGTCACATTTTCTTACAGCGTTTTCCTTATTTCTAACTATTATTAAGAAGATATATCAAGCTTTATCAACTTTCTGATTAAATTAAAATTAATTATTCTGAAGGAGGAAAAATTGTTAAATAACGTGAAATAAGATTTATTTTCACATAGTACAAAAGAAAATACTAAAAAAAGTCAGACCTTCATGAGGTGTGGGTTTTTCTCAAGGCCATTTCTAGTTCCTGTCCTCACTCCCCCTTTTAGATTCATGCTTTTCTAAACAGCATTTCTTAATTTAAAATCAAGTGGGTGTGTATTCAACTTTGGAAAATCCAATTCCCATCCAGAAAGAATAATCTCAGCCCGGGCTACAAACTCCTCTCTCTAGCAATTCATCCAGACCTTCCACCCTCAATCCAGCCGTTAACCAACTCAGGAACATGCCCTCTTCACTAATTAAAGCTTGGTCAAAAGTTTCAAATTTACTAATCATAAATGACCAAAATAGATGTCAGTTCCTATCAGCCCTTGCTAATACTGTTTAATCACTTAGATAAGTAATCACACATCTTAACAAGTCACCTTTCTGTCCTCATCTTGTATTTCTCTCCTGCTCACCCATGATTCTGGTCTCAGATTGGCCAACTTTATGCCCAGTAAAACTGTGGAATTCCTTCCAGGCCATAAGGCCTTTGCATTGCCTATTTTCTCTGCCTGGAACGATCCTTCTTCTGACCTTTATGTGTGAAAGGTAAATCAGATAGCATCTCAAATGTTAACCTTTTTTAAGGTCTTTTCTGACTCTCTAACCTGAAGAATGCCATACTAATTTTGTATTATTTTCTGATAGCCTTTGTCACTAATCCAAATGATTTTGTCTAAATATTTGCTTACTTATCTTGTATTCTCCCCATAGCTAGACTATCAGACCCAAAGAGTAGGGAGCTTGTTTCTTGTACAATATTATATCTCTACATTGGGGTATTATTTCCTCAAGGATGTTAGATTCTCTAAATGAATGAGAGAAAAAATGAGCCATAGAGAAAATGTTCCACCTACAGACATTCTCATTCTTTTCTTGGAAGACAGGGAGTAAAAGATAATTTCATTATTCCAGTAACAACTATAATAGTTTTAAATAATAGCAGTAATTGTCACATTTGCTATAACAGCAAGGCAAACATTGCTGATTGACAAGTGGAATTGAGATATTGGCAAGAGGTTTACGGACTATGCAAAAATGCTTATTCAGAAAGTTAAATGAGAATATCCCAGGACCAAGTAGTTTAACTGAAACTGATGAAAACATGTGAACAAAAAAATGCCCTTGAAGAGGCCGCTAAGAGTTTTTCTGATTCCAAATCTGTTAAGAATAGCAAGTCACTAGTTGACAAAACAACTTAAAATACAGTGAAATGAACTCAAAAAGTGCTAGAACATTCTTCCATCACAACCTGATAAAAGATATCAGTATAAGCAGCAGTTAATCAGAATGTATGGACAGGGCGTTTGATCTGTCTGCAAAGGTTCTATAATATGACTGTATTTAAAATGCTGAAGTCCTATATCATTGAGCAAATCAAAAACTCACAGCCACACCTGCAGAGTGCAGAAAAGAAATTTTCAGCTGATTACTTAATCTCAAAATAACATCACTACTTGCTTGCCCACCTTTACTCACAGATTCATAGCACACGGTGTTACATCTTCGTTTCCTGCATGCCACCCACAAGTTGCTAAGCTCACCAGAGAAATAAATTAAAGAAGTCATACTGTGAGAAGCATCTCTTGCATTTTTTATGGAATTCTCCTGAGCAGAACAGTTTCACGAATCTTTTTATAGAAAAGCTGTCTGTATTGCACAGGTTTTGCTTCTATGTAAAGACACTTTCTCTCTCATTTATTTTCTGCTTTGACAGAACATCTAGTGGCTTAATCACTATTTTTGTTTTGTATTTAGTAACAAACTCCTGAATTTTTATGTGGTATTCAATGTATCCTTCCAAGTTTTTGTCTTTTTTTATTCAAACTTCTTTTACACTACAGGTGACTATTGAAAAAAATAGGAAAAAAAAAGACCTTGAAGTGATTTCCGGGAAATCCCTGAAAAAGGTTACCTCCTGATTCAGCTCCTAGGAAATTCCCCTTGCCCCTTCATCCATGTTTCTCCCTGTTTCATTCACAACCGCTTGACCTTCAGGATGGAAGTCAGCAGCTGCATTATCCTCTGTTTAACCTTCTGGATTGAAGGCACAGACTAAGACTGATTAAACAGACAAAAACAAGGAGCCCATGACACGATAGAGTGGCTATGCTAACCTGGAAATCTACTTCTATGCTTCATTGAAGTGAGAGAGAACAAACTCTTTTGTTTTTCTGTTTTTTTTTTTTTTAACCTAGCCAAAAGAAGATTCTTACTGATATATTGGCTTATTTCCATGGATAACATGAGATTGTCCTACAATGAGACACAAAATAAACCATTAAATCATAAAAATAAGAATAAATAATAGTTAAATAATAAAAATGAAATCATAGTGATGGTCACAGATATTTATGCAAGATACCATGGATGTTTTTTAAAAAGGCAATCAAAATTGAAACGTATTTTGCTTTTGAGACTTGTAAAAATTAAGGAATCATAAAAGATTGTATTATTTAATTTAAAAATTTTTGTGGTTAAAAAGAGCATACTATGAAAAATGATACAAATAGTACTGATAATGTTAATGAGAAAATCTATTTTATTGACTGCTAAAATACTGTGCTCATTATTTTATATTTTATTTAATCTTCACAGTAAGCCCATGTGGTAGACTGATTTTTTATTTCTACTTTACAGTTGATAAATGGAGGATCAGAAAGATTAAAGAGTTATAGAAGAGGAAAAATAATTTTCCAAACATGAAATAAAAGCACTCATTTTAGTGTAAGGTTATTATTATTAATATTATGTTTTGCTTGTTTGTTTCTTAGTTTCCACCTGAATAAGCGGAAAATTTAGTTCCTACTTCTCTATATATTTTATAAAAATGAAAATATTTAATATAAATGAGAGGCATATAGTTAGCTATGCTATTTTAGTAATTATTGTCTTTATTATAATTATAATTTGTATTATCAGAGCTTATTTTATCAGAGTTTATAGTCTTGTTTTTTAATAGTCCCTCAACAAATGCCTCAAAATTTGAGCAAAGAAGCAGAATTTTATCATCATAAAATTATTAATTATAAATATTTATAAATCTCAGTTTATTTTTTACTCAACACATATTAATTTTTTGCTATACTTAAGTGTTCTTCTGAATATATATAGGTGCATATATATATATGCATATGTACATATACATATACATATATACATACATATATACATATGTATATGTACATATATGCACCTATATAGTTATACATTTTATACTATGTAAAGAATTGAGTGCTTAGTATTAAAGATATTTAATGTGCTAGTGCTTAGTATTAAAGATAATTTTGCTATACTTAAGTGTTCTTCTGAGTATATATAGGTGCATATATGTACATATATGCACCTATATATACATATACACATATACATATACATATATGCACCTGTATAGATATAAATTGTATACTATGCAAAGATTGAGTACTTAGTATTAAAGATATTTTAGAAAGATATGTAAATTATTAATGAAATTATTGATATCTTAAGCAGAATAGTCACAAATAGTTAAGTTTATTATCTTTCTTCTGCTATTGAGACAGTGAAAATACATGTCACTGTAATCATAAAAAGACTGAATAAACCTGTAATGCTGACAAGGGGGCCATTTTGTATTTACAAATCCTAAGTATGTTTCTTATCCTCTTAGATGCCTGAGTTTTTGAAGAAACACTCTAGCTGGTCTCATGTGACTGTGGTACTGGTCCTTTCCAGTGTTTTGATCTCTACCTTTTTTAATACATCATTTATCAAAATACGATGCCAAAAGACATGCTTTTGAACATAAAAGTGTTCTCCTAAAGTTCATGAACTGATCATAAGCATAGTAGTTCATAAAATTGAATGAACACTTTTTGGAAATGATTCTTGATTGCATCTGTGTTTATGAACAAAGACAACCTATAAAATTGAATAGATTGTATTCTTTACCTAGCTGATGAATTGAAGCTGACATTTTTGCATGTGTGTGCTTTGATGATCACTATGCCAAGATTTTTGCACTCAGCCTTAAGAATATATTAGGTTAATCTATTTAGCCACTGGAAAAGTTGGTAACAACCCTGCAGTGTCAGTTAAGGTTATCCTGACATATTCCATACTTGTGTGTACTTGTAGTTAAGTTAAAATTATGTTTTACCTATAACTGCTGAAAAATATTCTGGTGATTATTTTCTTTTTTATTAAAAGAAAAGAAGGCCTAGGAAAGGTGACAAAAAATAAAGAGAAAATTTTCATTGTTTTGTAAGATCTTGCATGTTGTTTTTTTTAATCTAAAGCAATATTTAATATCAGTAGCAAGAGTGAAACTTACTGACAGTCTAAAAATAAAATAAACCATGTTCCAATTTACATGTCTTTTTATAAAAAATAATTTTTCAAATAAAAATTTCAAAAGATATGGTATTGCTTTTGTGAGGAATTCTTGAGAACACAAAACCAAAGATACAAAGTTATTTACTATCTCCAACAATATCTTACTGCCAATTTATCTAGTTTTTGATCAGGTAAAGTTTTTAGGCTTTTTTGACAGGCAGATATGAGAAGCAAAATGTGGAGGAAGGGGATAGTGAGTGTTGAGAGAGAAGATACATTTTTACTAGTTTCTATGAATTTTTAAATGCTCCACTAAATACTAAGTGTACTACCCTCCTTTCTGTGTTACCCAAACATACATAGACGAAATTTTCTTGCTTTCAGTTGCTTTTGGCATTTGAATTGGTGTTCATTCAAATGAGATCTGACTGAAACCGGATTATATACAAATACAAAATATCTTTCAGTTTACTTTTATATTTATTCAACAAATATTCATTTATAATTTATCAGTCTTGGTATTACCATTCTCGGTATTATTTATTGTGCTGTTCTCTAAAACACAATGACTTCAAACAATAACTCTGTTATTTATTAAATCAAATAAACCCAGAGTAGACTGGACAAATGGGAGCTGGGATGGACAGAGCTATTTTGGCTGGTTTCATGGGTCAGTGGTCGGCTGTCAGATCAACTGGGGGCTGATTGTCAGTTAGTTGGGAAGACTCATTGCTGTTCCACACAGCTGCTTTGCCTGCAGGAGGGAGCCTCACCATTTTACTGGCTGGTTTCAAGATTCCGGTGGTATGAGAGTAAGGACGTAATGCTCTAGAAGCCAAATCTTCAAATTGACATGCTGTCACTTTTATCGCACTCTATTGAACAATCAGTGCAGGTCCACACACCATCCATGAAACATGAGGAAACACTCCACTTATTTATGGGAGGAGTTTCAAAGTGACGTTTCAAAGCACATTATTATAGGTAGCTGAAAATGGGACACAATTTTTTTTCCAATGAAATGAGGCCTGTTTGTAAAGTCTTAAAGCAAGTATTAAAATATTAAAATAACTTTATTAACTTGTGCTTTATTAACTTTATTATTTATTAACTTGCCCTTTAACAAAAGACCTCTGGTATTTTCTCTTGAGACAGAATGTTTCTGACTGACAACTTTAAACTTAATTTGATGAAAAGAAAGTCTTAACTAATTAATTCATAATATCTAAATATTTAGAGAAATCTAAACGTTTACTGTGTTTCAGGTAATGTGCTAAGAGTGTCAGACAAATGATGGAGAGAAAACACACAGTCACACGTAATAGTGTTGCCTTCACTTGGCATGCAGAATTGTTGTAGATACTATAAATCAAATAACCATAAAACAGAATATACAACTGTAAATGTGATAAGGTCAATGAAGGAAAAGGCTAGTGTTCTAGGAGAATATGATGAAAGACGTTTAATATACTCAGTGTGGTACGAAGAGAAGCGCCCCAAGGGTATGGCAGTTAATTTCAGAGGTTAGGAAAGAGGTGTGGACTGGAGTTAAAACCTTTGTAATTCAGCAGCAAAAAATTAAAAACAAAAGTTGTGTATATTTCAAGAGATTGCTCTAGAATGAGAGGAAAATAAAATTGAAGACAAAGACATTAAGACCCACTATGGAAGAAACAGGAATTTTCAAGTTTGTACAAAAATTTCCTCATAGGTGGGTTAAAAACAAAGACGTGCAAATATGTTATATTCTCTATTTATTCTTAATTTTCTAAACACAATTACAAAACTGGTAATTCTGAAATAGTTGATAGGTATTCCTTGACAATTCAGTGCGACAGTGTTCTTGAACTTTAGAGAATAAGAAAATATGAAGGGAAGCAGTTTTGGGTGGTTCCAGATTGTGTGTGTGTGTGTGTGTGTGTGTGTGTGTGTGTGTACGTGTGTGTGTGTGTATATACACATGCTGTGTGTGCAGGTGTTCCAATAAGTTGACTGCCACTTTTTATTTATGGTTCTTTAGCTACCATTTCTGGCTATTCTCTGGATTAGGTTAGCTTTACAAATACCTACTTCACATTGTAAAATTTATAACAGTTTTCCAATTATTAAGATTCATACTTTACTGTCATCGGCTGTCATCTACAAATATTTGCTATATAGAGAGAGATGCTTCTTTTGAGTATTACTGGTCTATAATTTCCTTTCTCCATTGTGCTCAAATAATAAAATTTCTAACAAAGGAGTGTTCAGATAAAATACATGCTCTTATTATTAGAAAAATTCATGTAATACAAAAGTTACATATGTCAATGACACACTTTCATAATAGGACATTCACTTTGAAAAGAGCAACATTTTATGTGACTTTTAAAAGACTTTTAATCATCATTTTTTGTTAAAGATCAATACATATTATAAAACATAAAACAGAATGAACCAAAGATTTTCAAAAAAAACCTAATTCATTTACAGCACATTATATTTCCATAAACTAAACTAATTTAGTGAAAAAGTTTTATACTACTGGTTTATTTAATTCTTTACCATGTCAAAACTATGTTGTCTACCCTTCATTTTTTCTGCATTTTCACGTTTTTATATTTACATATTCATATTAATTTATATTTTATTTATATAAATATATATCATATATATCTTTTTTTATAGAAAATACAAGTGTCATATATGCAAGGTATATTAGACCTTGATGAGTAAAGGTTAGCTCTCTAAACATTTTCTTTTAAAAATAGTCTTTTTAAAAAAAACTGTTATAGTTCATTGTATTTTCATACCTGCTACAGAATGAGTTTTTTAAATTCTGAAAAAAACTCTACTGGGACGTTTATCAGGATTGCTTTGCTTCTATATATATATCAATTTGGGGAGATTTGAGATCTTAACTACATGGAGTCCTCTGCTCCATTACCAGGGCATATCTCTCTGTTAATTGCAGCTCCTTTAATTTTTTTAAACAATGTAGTTTTCAGGGCACAGGTCTTGCACATATGATACCTTTGAATTGGTGTGCATTGGGTAGGTTTGCCTAATACGAGTTGAATTTCAGCTCCATGTGTCATTTTCCAATTTTCTAGTGGTTAGATTTTAAAAAATAAAAAAAGAAAAAAGGCAATAAATGTGATAAATATTAAATAAATTATCAATAAGATCATTTTCATTTTATGTTTAATACTAAGTCTTCAAAATCTTATGTCTATTTTATGCTTACAGAACATCTCAGTTGGAACTTGATAATGTTCAAGGGCTCAATAGCCACATATGACTACTGGGTATGAATTAGATACTGCAGGTACAGACCACTTATCTTTAACATTGTTTTATTCAGAAATAAGCCTATTAACTTGCTGCTTGATTTCTAGTTGCCTATCTCTTTGTTATCTCTTCTTTTGTTTATTCTTGCTGATTTTTAGACTAATTTCAGTATTTTTATGATCCTAATTTAGCTCTGTTATTGACATTTTAGCAATATCATTTACGGGTCTGTTTTAGGGGTTTCTGTAAGGTTTACAATATACATCTTTAATTTTTCACAATCTACTACAAATAGCATCGTGCCATTTCATGTATATTTTAAACTTTATGCAGTATTCTCAATATCCTTCTATATCCCCCTTGTTCTTTGTTCTCCTGTCCTACAATTTAACTCTACATATGTTTTAAACTCCATAATGCACTGTTTATTTTGCTTAGGACAGTAAATTATTTTTTAAATCATTTATTTTAAATAAAAATGTATTTTACATTCATTCACATATTTGCCATTCATGGTGATGTTCATTCTTCTTTCTTGGTAGATTATTTGATCTCAGACTATGTCCCTAGTGCAAGTATACTAGTGATGAAATGTCTCAGCTTTTTCCTCTGAAAATGTCTTTTTTTTAACATTTTCTTAAAATAAATTTGGGCGGTTTGAATGTTGTTGTTTTCTCTTTAGTACTTTAATGGGGCCTCTCCATCATTCCATTTCACTCCATTGTTTTCTTGTTTACATGGTTTCAGATTAGGAGTCAGCTGCTATTCTTAGCATTGTGGCACAAACATTATGTATTGTTTTAACTTTTTCTAGCATTTAACATTTTTTAAATCCCTTGTTTTCAACAATTATGATGGGCCTTGTGTGGTTTTCCTTACACTATTCTGCTTGTGTTATTTAATCTTCTTGTGTGGGTTTTTAATTGGTATCATATTTGAAAATTTTTCAGCCGTTATGATTTCCACTATGTTTTTTTATTTTTTTCTTCTTTCTCTTCTTGTTTCAGGATTCCAGTTTGAAATACATTAAACTGAATGAGGTCTTCCATTAGTCACGAGATTCTGTGATTTCTTTTTGTTCTTCAATATTTTTCAGCCATATTTTGGATGATTACTATAGTTATATCTTTCAATTCACTGATGTTATTTTTTCCTGTAGTATATAATTTGCTGTTATTCTCTTTCAGTCAATTTTTTGTTTTAGATATTTTATGTTTCTCATCCAGAAATTTGATTTTAGATTTTTGAGCACTTTTCATTTTTTTCTCATCAGGTTCATGCTTTTATCTACCTACAGAAGCATAACCATTATATTTACAGCAGATGCTTTAACATATTTATTTGTTAATTTTATTATACTCATATTTTTGAGAAGACCCTGCTGTAAATTGTTGGATCTCCTCTCTTTTTGGCTTCCACTTGATTCACTTCCTCCATTCTTTTGTTTTACCCAAAACTTCTGGTCACCTTGATCTCTCTTATCTGTGATCCTGTCTTCTCAACTTAGCAAGAACTCTAATCTTGATGTTATCTCTCCCTGCACAGATGGATAGACACTCCTTCCAGAAAGTAAATTGGAGTAATCATAAGATTTCCTTTGTTTTATCAATTTCTCTTAGGAATTACTTTTTTGCATTGATTACCATCCAGCATTGAGAAATCCCTGTTTCATATATTTTGTCTGATTATTATTATTATTTTTTTTTTGAGACGTAGTCTTGCTCTGTCCACCAGGCTGGAGTGCAATGGTGCAATCTTGGCTCACTACAACCTCCATCTCCTGGGTTCAAGCATTTCTCCTGCCTTGGCCTCTGGAGTAGCTGGGACTATAGGCACACACCACCACACCCATCTAACTTTTGTATTTTTAGTAGAGACACAGTTTCACCATGTTGGCCAGGCTGGTCTCGAACTCCTGACCTCATGATCTGCCCACCTCATCTGCTTTATAGTTGTTCGATTCAGGAGAGTAAATTGGTCCCTGTTCCTTCACCATAGTGGAAAGTGAAAGCTTATGAATTTAATTTTAATCAAAGTTCTATTTTAAATAATTTAGTTTATGAAGCTAGTTTTAATTATAACTTTTGCACAAGTTAAAACTTAATTTCTTATTTTATTTTATACCAGATATCATTTCTTGACACTCACCCTAATTTAACAATGTTTTCCTACATAATTTTTCTTCAATGTCTGGATGAAAAAGTTCTCAATGAACAATTTCTAAAACTGTTTATATTAGGTATGTACTTCTTTAAAAAATGAATATTTTCTGTCATCATGTATATTTAATGGTAGAAATTAGTGTGACTATAAAATTGAATTAAATGTATCTCAGCCAATTTCCTAATTATAATATTAAATTCCCAATCTATGGATTAAGTTCAAGAGCTGCTTTGCTGTGAATATGACCATAAATCTAATGCCAAATACTTCATTTGAGTTTTTTAAAAATTATTTGTTTATTCTATCCAAAATCTCTTTTTAAAAATGAAAAAGGAAAGATGCCACTATTCATTTTTAAATTTGACATAAATGTTTCTTTTATACACAGTCCACAAAACGGCCTCATTGCTACAATTTCAGCTATTCTAGATTTAATAGTAATTCTTAGCATGAATTTACCCTTGATTACATTCACTTTCCTTCATGATTTCATTGCCAAGGATGAGGTAAAGTTAGCATTTTTAAGCTACACAAGATAAAATACGTCATATTCTGATGTCCACTTAAAATGAACAAGTGCAAAATTTATGACTCATATGAGAAAATGTAATATTCTTTTATCCTTCATCAGTTAATGAAAAAGGATCATAGAAAACAGTTTTACAACATGCAGTTTAATGAGTAGAAAATATTCTCTTATCGTTTTCATGCCTTCAAACATTTCATCCTCACCTCATGGTGCAGAGAGGAGTCATTTATATAAAAATCAAATTCTTCCGTGGCGTAATTGTTTTTAAAAATTTCAAGATTTTATGGTAATATTAATAAATAAGTGCTACTATTCTAACTTTTAATTACATGAAATATACTAAAATGCTTGCTCTTCTCATGTAATTAAAATTTTAACATAATTGCTATATAAAATAAAGGCTGAATAAACAATGAACCATGATTCAATGAATATAAGTTGTCAGAAGAGACATCAACATGACCATAGTGCTATTTGCTTAAGTAAACATAGCATTTTTTACACCCTATATATCAATGTAGTGGACTTGAATGTCTCCAGACTACTCCTGAATAAATTGTAACATTTTTGTTAAAATTGCAGTTCTTCAGCTATATGATATTCTATTTTATATATATCTATTAACCCGATTATCTTATAAAGCTCCGTATTATATATGGTCATATTAACCTCTGTTCACTAATTGGTTGATTATGATAAATAATAAATTTGTTTCTGTCTTTGCTTAGATAGGTGGGCAGGAAAGAGAAATTTTCTATCTGTATACTTCTCATACTTAATACCTACTATATAATTTGCCCTAGTGTATCACATTTAAAAACGTGTCTATTTTCCTGATTAAAACATTATAAAATATTTAATACTTTAATAACATTTATTTTAAAATATTGGTTCTATTTTTTAAATATTGACAACAAGGTATATAGAAGTGGCATTCATTTGTAAGGGTGACAGTATTAGGATGGGAAAGCAGATAAATAGAAAAAGGATAAAGAAAATAAATGCAATGGTAGAATTCCTTACCTGATATCAGTAAACCATGAAACTTAATCCCTTCACCAAAATCGTGTTTTAATTCATATTTCAGTTATTCCTGCAAACTCAGAAATGGGCTTATTTGAAGTACCATATTAGCCTGAATATAAAATGCTATAAGTCATCAGCTAAAAATCTAATCCCACCAAGTATTTTGTGATTTTCCAAAGTATTTTTGTGTTTTACCAAAGATATTGGAGGGTGAAGAGATTGTTCACTGCCATAGTCCAATAATAAATCCATGTAAGGCATTTCGGTTCTGTGAGGTTGTTGCTTAGCCAAAGAGCACCTGACACCCCTTCTTCACCACTGCTATTATGAGCTGAATTGTGTCACCCCAAATTCATCTATACTGAAATCCCAATGCCCAGTACTTCAGAATATGACTTTATTTGGAGAAAGGATATTTAAAGCGATAGGGTTAAATGAGTTCATTAGCATGGGCCCTAATCTAATATGGCCAGTATCATTGTAAGAAGAGGAAATTAGGAAAAAGACAAGCACAGAGGAAGACTGTGTGGAAAAACAGGAAGATTGCCATCTACAAGCCAAAGAAAGAGTTCCTAGAAGAAGCCAACCCTTCTTGACGTCTTGATCTTGGACTTTTAACCTCCAGTATTGTGAGAAAATAAATTTCTGTTTTTAAATCCACCAGTCTGTGGTGTTTTATTATGGAAGACTTCTATGGGTGGAACATTTGTTCCTTCTAATACTTGCACAAAAATTTAATCCACAGTATGGTAATATTGAGAGAAGTGGTGTTTAGAGGTGATTGGATCGTGAGGTCTCAGCCCTCATGAATAGATTAATTCATGGATTCACCCATTCATAGGTTAATGGATTTATGGATTAATGAAGTAGTGGGTTATCTTGGGAGGGAAACTGGAGGCTATATAAGAAGAGGAAGAGAGACCTGAGGTATCATGTTAGCCCACTCTACCCTTTCACCATGTGATGACCTGTGCTGCCTCCGGACTCTGAGTATACCCCAGGAAGAAGGCCCACACCAGATGCGCCCCCTCAGCCTTGGGCTTCTCAGTCTCCATGATTGTAATAAATAATTTCATTTCATTATGAATGATCCAGTTTCAGGTATTCTGATATAAGCAACAGAAAACAGACTAGGACAAAGCCCTAGCAATCCAGTAGAGCAACTCTGCCTCATTCAGTGCCTGTTGCTGCCGCTTCTTTCTCTTAAATATCGTGAGTACGTTACCCGAAGGATGAGAATATTGTCTTTCCTGGAGATCTATAAATTGTTACGGTTTTTAATTTTTCTGTCATAGCTTGGAAACAGAACTGATAGGAGCAGTGAAACTGATAATGAAGTCTGTTCAATTGTTCTCTTTGGTTCTGCAAATCTGTACATGACTGTGTGACTTCTAAAACGTAGTGTACTTGTATTACTTTTTACTTTCACTTTAAAATACAATCAAAGGTATTTTTAATAGAAAATTTCATGTTCATGTCCTTTTAACTTATAAAAAAATGTGCTAAAATTTATCTGACGCAATTTTAGAACAAAGTAGCTTGTGCTTACGGCCATTTTTTAAAATATCATCTAATAAACTTTACATACGTTAAAACGATAATGCCTCTCTCTGGATATATACTTCATTAGATATTTTCAGAGGTTTCACAATTTAGTAGTATTTTATAATAAACATGCAGAAATGCTATTGCTTGTTTAAAGATTGGTAAATCACATACTGTTACATTCTATTTTTTGTTTCATAAACAATCAAAATAGATACATAAAATAATGCACACATTTTAATAAATATAATAAATTCTTGGCATTATGCTCAAAACAAAAGAATATTTTTTCTTAGTGATGTGCATTCACATAGTTTCCAGAATATATATATTTTTTAATGCTTTTAGCCAGGTTTACTCCGTATGCTTTATTTGGGAACTTTGAATCGATCTTTATACTTTTGGTTTCAGTATTGTTCGTCTTTACACTAACACGTCAGTATTCACTGACATTATTTTACATTCATGTATGCACACGCACATACACACGCAGGATTTCAAGGCTTGTTACAGCTTAAAGTATTGAATATGTGGATTTAAAACACATATTGCTTATATATATAAATATAGTCTTAGGATTTCTTCAGAATTTACATCTGTAGAGTTTTGAACAGACATTCTGATGTTGGTTTAAGACATAAAAACTGAGTCAATTTGGGGCATATGATTTGAGAAGACTGGTCATGAGGAGATGAGAGAGTATACCTGTAATGCAGTCTAAATAATCTCAGTAATATAAACACTTATTGGCATCCAGTTTTTGGAATTAGGACCAGACACAGAACAAGTATGTATTTTATTATAGTTACAATATGTCATAAGTAATATTAAATTCACTGACTCCTTTAATGATGTGACTCCTTGAACCTCTCTTAGAAAAAATCATTAAAAAGAACATAATTTTATATTTCCAAAAAGGAAGGTGCATATTCTCTTCCATGTCCATTTTTCACCCTTGTAAAGGTGAAATTTCCTAATTAAGTCAATAGTCCAGCTTTTATTTCCTGGCATAAGGTTAGTTATTGATTCCCACTCTACTGAAGTTGAATTCTTCCTACACCAAGCCCTGGTTCTCTAATCTTTGAACCAGTGGCCAATGTTAATTTCCAGGAAAAATAGAGAGAAATCACTTTTTATTTTTATTTTCTTTACCTTGATTTTCTGTTGTTTATCTTTTTTGTTTTCTTTGCCTTGCCACTTGGGATGGAATGCTGCATTTCTGGGGGCTTCTTATTTATGAAGAATATATATTCATCCATATGCATACATATATATGGATGGATATATACATACATACATACAATGGATATATACACATACATGATATGTACATATATATAAAATGTAGTTCCATGAGAGATGCTCTGAAAGCTATTCATTTACCTTAATGAACACTATGTACAGGGAGAAAGCCATATTCCACTGAGGTTGGATAGTTATGTGATTTGATTAGAAAGGCTGAATATAGTCTACCTTGGCTGTCCTGCAATGTATCAACTTCTCAGGTTGCATATTCTGTTGAAATAATATAGAATGGTTCTTTAAAACTATATGCTACTTGATCTCTGATTTCTTGTCCATTAAGCCCTGGACTTATTGGTGATATTATGCACAGAGACGGGGAGCCCACATTTGCCCAGATTGGCATTCTCAAATGGCAGTGCTAAAGAGAGAAACAGACTGAAAAGTTTTGCTCAAGTTTTTCCTCTTTCACTCACAAGATTGTTTAGTATCTCAAAAGTTTCATATTAAGATAAGTTATATTCTTTGGAGGGAAAATCTGAAATATCTATGTCAAAATGTCTGCCAAATACATAATTCAGCACTAAAATTACTATAATATTTTACACATTTTATGTTTATTAATCACCTACGTCAGTGACAGAAGCGATATAAACTTTTATTTGGTTGTTTAATATTTTTCAAAACATGTGCATTTTCTTCTAAATATAACTGATACTTTGGTACAATCCAAACTGGAATTAGAAATTTTCTATTAGTAGTCACCTTACAGATCTTTATACTAGGCTTGACATAAGTAATAGGAAATGAACAGCATCATAAATCTATTTAGTGACATTTCCTGTGGGATAATATAGAAATCACAGTTCTACTCAGATATATTAAAAATATTAGAGCTGAGGAGAACCAAGTCAAAATCAGCAAATAATTATCAATGATATCTTTGTAGTTCCCTTAACATTGCTGACAGCTGAAAGCTAATAAAGCAGAAGCTGCAAAATATATGAGAATATATATATCATGTAGCCCGAGAAGGTTGCAAATGCAAAGCATCATTCTCGCCTAACCACGACACAGCTTGGAAGCTGGAGAGGGAATCAAGGACACTTGGCAAGCTAAAGATAAGGAAATGTAATTTTCCAGTTAAGTAGACGAGAAGAAATGAGAGGTATACTGCTATTTGGATTAGAGTGATATACACACTTTTTCTGTTCTTCACAGGATGATATGGGGGTCTGCACACTCTAGTTGGAGTCCTCTCTGAGGACTGCCATTAACTAGTCATACGACTGTGAACAACTCATTTCTCTAGGCCTTGACTTCATCTTCCATAAAATGAATCAGAGATTTTCAATAGGTAGTCTTCTTGTCCACCATGAATACCTAGATATATGTGATGATTGAATCATGATATAGAATGCTGTTTAAAATTAAAGGGCAGTAAGGAAATACATGTTTGCTGCTGCTAATGGCATACACAAATATTCTTCCTTGTTCTTGACAATCAGATGCCCTTTTTTTGTGCAGGAGACAAGAAAGCTCATATATTCATTTGTTTGCATATGTTTATGGCATAGTTACTACCTTCCAAAAACTACCATAGTCGTTGGGACGCCATGGTAAACAAGTTAAAGGCCATGACCTCATGGAGTTCACGTGACCTCTTCAGACTCTTTTGCAGCTTGGGTTATCAGATGGAGTTTTGGTTAGTAAGATGAAAGTTGGGCTTCAAGACATGTATTTTTGTCTTTATTTTAAAAAGTGCTACAAACTCAAAGTTTGTGTCTCCTCGTAATTCATATGTTGAAATCCTAACCCCCAATGAGACAATATGTATAAGTGGGGCCTTTGGGAAGTGATTACGGGGAGCCCTCATGAATGCGATCAGTGCCCTTATGAAAGAGACCTCAGAGAACACCCTCACCCTTCTGCCACATGAGGACTAAGCAAGAAGAAGTGGTGATCTATGAAGTAAGCCCTCACCAGTCACCAAATCTGCTTGTACTTTAATATAGTTCGTCCCCGCCTCCAGAGCTATGAGGAATAAATTGATGTTGTTTGCAAGCCACCTGGTCTATACTACTTTGTGATTAGCAGCCCAAACAGTGTAAGACAATAAGGAAAGACTCAGCTGGCATGGACAAAGGGAATATACCATTCTCTTTTTCCCTTCCTCCTAGCCTATTCCTATCCAGAATGTCAATCAAAGCCATAGAATTGTACAAGTCATATTGTCGCTTGAGTAGATTGGTGCATCTTAGAAATTATATAAACAGTATTATAGGATTTCTATAGAGAAAAAAAAAGAATGATCATGATAAATGTATTAGTCGTCAAAGGCTGCCATAACAAAATCCCAGACTGGGTGACTTAAACAACAGAAATGTATTTACTAACAGTTCTAGAGATGGGAAGACCAAGATCCAGGTGTGGGAAGGATTGATTTCTGGTGAAGCCTCTCTTCTTGGCTTGCAGATGGCTGCTCTGTTTCTGTGTCCTTACCTGGCTTTCCTCTACACTCGTGCACTCTTGGCATTTCTTCCTGCTTTTTTTTTTTTTTTTTTTTGAGACAGGGTCTCACTCTGTCACCCAGGCTGGAATGCAGTGGTGCGATCCCCACTCACTGCAACCTCTGCTTCCCAGGCTCAAGCTATCCTCCCACCTCAGCCTCCCAAGTAGCTGGGGCTATGGGCACATGCCACCATGCCTGGCTAATTGTTTGTATTTTTAGTAGAGACAGGTTTTCACCATGTTGACCAGCTGGTCTCAAACTCCTGAGCTCAACTGATCCACCTGCCTCAGGCTGCCAAAGTGCTGGGATTACAGGTGTGAGTCACCATGCCTGGTGCACCCTTCCTGTTCCTATAAGGATACCAGTACTATTGGATACGGGTCACATTCTTATGATACCATTTAACCTTATCTCCTTAAAAGCACTGTGTCCAAGTACAGTTACTATACATTGGAGGTAGGACTTCAACCTAGGAATCTGGAGGTGACAAAATTCAGTTCATAACAATGAGGACCCATGTTTCCCACTTTCTTTGTTTCATGCTTGCCTGCGTGTGTTCCCTAAGAGTACGGACAGGGAAACATCATTTTCTGTGTGGGTCCATCACTTCTGTCACTGACTTTGTTGGCCAAAATTGTAACGCTTTGCTCTTCATTTTCTTTGACCATATCCAGCCCACTATCCTCCAAGTTGCTGCTCATTTCTGCTCCTACATTCCTAAAAACCCTCAAAGTTTTACCCTCTGCTCTCATAGCCAGGAGCTTAATATTTCCAAAAAATACCATATGACCTAATACAATTTTGCTGTTTCCTTTATTAGGTTTGATAATTTTCAACTTCATACCCATTAAAATCTTATTCACATTATAAGAATAGTGCAAAAAAATTGACTACTATCACACATTTTCTAACTTTAGCCCCTAGGTTAAATACTTTAGTCTTTATACCACTACTATGCCTCGTAGGTAGTTCTGTTAAAGTACTTGTGATGCCAATGTGTTTATTTGTTTAAATTTTTGTGTCCTTTACTAGAGAATGTGCATTAAAAAAAATGTGGTCTGAATCCAGTGTAGTATTGGGTACATCTGAACTCTTAAAAAATGTTATATATTATGACTTGCTTTGCCATTCTCTATTCCGTGTGACACTCTTCTTCTGTGATACTGGAACACAATTCAACTCACTGAGTCTCAGTTTCTTTACCTTTAAAATGAGTATTATAATATGCTTGTTGTAGGACTAAACAAACAATTTGTGAAGGACTTTAGCGTATGTTTAGCACATAGTAGTTCCTTGGTTAATTACTTGGATCTAAATATACATTTATCCTTGTCTATTTAATTCTAAGCTAGAAAAGAAAGGATACAAAGATGTCATCTACTAGAGGGTACATAGGCATATCCAGGATTTATAGGACCTGAAGCTTATACACTTTGGCGTTCCACTTAAAAAAATACAAAATTAAGAATGCAAAACTAGATTAAAACATGAATATTTATCTTGAGAGAAAAAAATGATTAATTACGTAATTAATTACACATTTTTAAAAAAGATAAAAATTACCAGAAGCAGAAGCATATATTTTTATGTTTATTAAAGGACTGCTGGACACATAGCTGTAATAACATACTTTATATGTATTTTTGGCTATATTGCCCTTGATCTTTTTCATATGATAAAGATTTTGTAATAGCATCTTTATAGAGAAAGTAAAAATATCTTAGATTTGGCAAGATTTTTTATTGGCAGATTTATTTTCTCATCTATTATTGATAACGATGTAAGAGTTGGGGATTTTTGTCAACTTTAAGAAGATCTCTACTGTGCCTTCATCACATATAAAATAAATGATCTGAAATAATTTTTCACAGATTGACATCTGTGTCTGTGAACTTAAAACATTTTTTTTCACCTTAACTACTCACATAAGACACATTCTCACAAAACTTCTGACCTTGTAGCTCCATGTCAAAGTGGCAGAAGAGTCCACACCATGAGCAGTAATAGCATCTGGATAACTAGTCACAATTTAGCTAAAAATGTAAGTGAACAGTTTCATATTTAGAAACTATGAACAAAGTATGAACAATTATATGCCATCAAATTAGATAAACTAGAAGAAATGAATAAATTCCTAGAAACATGCAGCCTACCAAGAATAAGTTATGAAGAAACAGAAAATCTGAACAGACTGATAAAGAACAAGAAAATTGAACCAGTAATAAAAAGTCTCCCATCAAAGTAAAGCCCAGGACCTCATGGCTTCACTGCTAAATTCTACTAAACTTCTAAAGAAGAATTAACACTAATCCTTAAACTCTTCCAAAAAAAAAAAAAAGAGAAGAAAAAAGAAAAAAGTAAAGAGGAAGGAACACTTCCAGCCTCATTTTACAAGGCCAGCATTACCTATATACCAAAGCTGAATGTGGATATGGTTACAAAATAACTACAGGCCAATATCTCTGATGAACATAAATGCAAAAATCTTCAACAAAATACTAACAAGCCAAATTCAACAGCATATTAGAAGGATCATTCACCATGACTAGCTGGGATTTATTCTTGGGAGGCAAGGATGGTTGAACATATGTAAATCAATAAATATGATACACTACCTTAACAGAATGAAGGACAAAAACCATGTTGTCATCTCAATAGATGCAAAAAAAGTATTTGACAAAATTCAACATCCTTTCATAATAAAAACTCTAAAAAATTATACGTAGAAGAAATGTACCTCAGCACAATAAAGGCCATATGACAAGTCAACAGATAAAATTATCCTCAAGGCGAAAAGTTGAAAGATTTTCAAGTAACATCAAAAATAAGACAAAAGATGCCCACACTTGCTATGTCTACTCAGCATAGTTCTGAAAGTCCTAATAAGAAAAATTAAGTAAGAAAAAGAAATAAAAGGCATCCAAATTGAAAAGAAAGAGGCAAAATTCTCTCTTTTTTCAGACCCCCATGATCTTGTATATAGGACCCCCCAAAGACTCCAGAGAAAAAAATGTTAGGTCTAATAAATGAATTAAGTAAAGTCACAGGACACAAAATCAACATACAACAATTAGTAGTATTTTTGTACACTAACAGCAAACTATACAAAAGAGAAATTAAGAAAACAATCCCATTTATAATAGCTTGAAAACTACTTGGAAATAAACTTAACCAAAGTGGTGAAAGAACTCTGTCGAAATTTCAATGCCATTTCCATATAAATAAAAAATAATTCTGTCATTCATATGGAACAACAAAGGACACCCAGTAGCCAAGAAACTCTTGAGGAAAAAAAAAAAGCTGGAGGCATTACACTCTACCTAATTTTAAAATATAGGAGAAGTCTATAGTAACTTAAACAGCATAGTACTGACATAAAAACAGATGCATAGACCAATGAAACAGATTAGAGAGACCAGAAATAAATCCACACATTTACAAGCAGTAGATTTTTGACAAAGATGCCAAAACACACAACGGGGGAAGGAAAGTCTCTTCCATAAATGGTCTGAGGAAAACTAAATATTCCCATGAAGATGAATGAAGTTAGACTTTTATCTGACATCTTGTAGAAACAACTCAAAATAAATTAAAGACTTAAATGTAAAACCTAAACTTGTAAAACTAGTAGAAGAAAACAGGAGAAAAACTTCATAATATTAATCTGGGCAAAGATGTTTTCGGATATGACTCAAACAGAACAGGCAACAAAGGCAAAACTAAACAAATAACATTACGTCAAACTAAAAAGCTTCTGCACATCCAAGAAAACAATTAACACAGGGAAGAGACAACCTAAATATAAGAGAAAACATTTGCAAACCATACCTCTGATAAAGTGTTAATGTGCAAAATATAAAAGCAACTGAATTCGGTAGTAAGAAAACAACTTGATTTGTAGGAAAAAAAACAAAGGACAGGATTTGAATAGACACTTCTCAAAAGATGACATACAAATTACCAATAGGTGTATTTTAAAAAATGTTCAACATTACTAATCATCAGGAAAATGCAAATTAAAACTACAATCAGATGTCACGCTACACCTGATAGAATGGCTATTATCAAAAAACAAAATCAAATAAATGTTGATAAGAATGTGGAAAAAGAGAACTCCTCTATACTATTGGTGGAAGTGTAAATTAGTACAGCCATTATGGATGTTCCTCAAAAAATTCAAAATAGAACAACCGTATGATCCAGCAATCCCAGTCCTGGGTATATATACAAAGAAAAAGAAACCAGCATGTTCAAGATATGTCTGCACTCCATTGTTTATCGCAGCTCTATTCACAATACAATTCAATAAACTCCCATGTTTATTGCAGCACTATTCACAATACAATTCAAGTGTCCATCAATGGCTATATGGGAAAAGAAAATAGGGTATATATACAAAATAAAGTATAAACTATCCTTAAAAATAAGGAAATCATATCATTTGTGATAATATGGGTCAACTTGGAAGGCATTATGTTAAGTGAAAAAAGCTAGACTCAGGAAGAGAAATACCGCATGATCTCACTTATGTACAGAATCTAAAAAAGTCAAACTCATATAAGCAGAGAGTAGAACTGTGGTTTCCATGGGCTGGGGAGTTGCAGATTGGGACAATGTTGGTCAAAGGGTATAAATTTGCAGTTAAACAGGAGAAATAAATGTAAGAGATCTATTACATAACATGCCGAGTATGGTTATTATCATCTATATATCTCATCATGAGCTACACCTTAAGTCTGCACAATTTTTGTTTGACAATTTAGAGATACAAAGTAAATTCAATTGGAATTTAAAAAAATGACTACAACTACACTAAACCTGAACTAAATATACTAACTATACCCTCAATTCATGTTTCCCTTTTCTAATCCCAAAATTGCCCATGCTAAAGGTGGGAAAAGCAAAGGATGAAAGTTCCAGTGGAAAAGGCTGCAATGTTAAGAAATTCTGTTTATTATATTTAATTTTTGCAATGTGTACAAAGCATATGATCAGGTGAATATGTTGCTAAAGCCCTTCCCAGGGTTGGTGCAATGACTGCGACTTCTTATAGAGTTCCAACTCATTCTTGGCCTCATGGTAAATCCACTTCTGGTTATAGTGCCAATTTTTTGAATAAGAACAAAACAACACAAAGCAATGCTTTCCAAAGAATCTAAGACTTCAGTGTTCCTTAAAGTATGTTTGAAATTTGAAAAACAATTGGTAGAAAAATGTAAAGAAAATGGCACTAATAAAATAATAATTCAAGGAAATCATAAGAAATATCTGTTTATTATGAATAGAAGAGTTGTTAGAGATTGGAGAAATTTACAGACTTGGAATGAGAATTGAGGTCTAATTGTATGTTGTTCAGTGTTGTAAATTAAGGGATTTAGTCTTTATATGTCTATCAATGGTAAATTTTGAAGAGAAATATAGTAAAAGCACCTGGAACATATGAATAAACTAAGGCAAAGAGACATTATATGAACTGATGTTTAGGGATCAAGCCCACAGCCATGTCAATATATGAATTGAGTTTTGATATACATCATTTAGTTTCCAAAGACTATTCCGAGTGTTATAAAAATAGTCTGGGCCAGGCGTGGTGGCTCACGCCTGTAATCCCAGAACTTTGGGAGGCCAAGGCAGGTGGATCAGGAGGTCAAGAGATTGAGACCATCCTGGCCAACATGGTGAAACCCCATCTCTATTAGAAATACAAAAACATTAGCTGGGCATGGTGGCGCATGCCTGTAGTCCCAGCTACTCGGAGGCTGAGGCAGGAGAATTGCTTGAACCCGGGAGGCAGATGTTGCAGTGCGCCAATATCGCGCCACTGCACTCCAGCCTGGGCAATGGAGCAAGACTCTGTCTCAAAAAAAAAAAAAAGTCTGATAATCCCTGTGTGAATTTTCTCCATCTATAAAACATAAAAGTTGAACTGGATAACTGCTTTGTTTCAGTACAACTAAATAGCAAGGATTATGTTTTGGTTAGTTTGAGAAGATGTTAATGTATGTGTAGCAAATATTAGAAATGCTATTTTACTTTAATGTTTTAGCATTCTACATTTAATATAATATTAATACAAACCGCAAATTGCATCATATTAATCAAATGTTGAAAAGACTATAACTCTTAAGCAAGAATCATATTTAAAGATATTAAATGCATGATGTTTGCTATTATATGAATGACATAATGATATCTCTAAAGACAAAGGATTATCCTCTAATTTTTCTCATAGTTAGCTTATCAGGTGGGCCTAAAGCAAGGACTACTATAAGTACATGCCAAAACCAACAAGTACAAAAATACAGTTAGATAGAATAAATGTGATTTAGTGTTTGGTAGCAAAATTGGGCAACTATAGTTAACAAGAATTATGGTATATTTCAAAATAGCTAGAGGAGATTTGGAATTGTGCCAACAAAAATAAATGTTAAATGCTTGAGGTGATGGTTACTCCAGTTACCCTGATTTGATCATTACCCATTGTATGCTTGTTTCAAAACGTCACATATACCCCACAAGTATATACAACTATTAGGTACCCATAATAATTAAAAATTAAAAAATGAAAGAAAAACCCACAAAATTACAGCCCAGAAAAAGAAGTAGTAAAAAGAATATTAGTCTTACAAAAATGTTTAATTTTTGGGGGCCAGATTTTTGGGGGTATAATTTACACAGACGTCCATGGACTTTTTAAAGGTAGAGATGTCAATATATTCTGGTAAATGTATGCAATCATATAACCATCGCCCCATGTAAATATAACAAATTTCCGTCAGTAAAATACATTTTCTTATGCTGTTTGCAACCAGTCCAACCTTGCCTCCACCTTTAACCAGTTGCAACCGCTAAGTCACTCTTATTTTTAGTTTTGTCTTCTGCAAAATGTCTTACAAATGGAATCATCATACATATAAACAGTTTTTGTTTGTGCTTATCTGTTTTGTACATGTCTTATTTTACTTAGTATAAAGTTTCTGCATTCATCTATGTTGATGCATATATAAGTAATTTGCTTATTTTTATTTTTTTTAAATAATTTCAACCTCTATTTTAGATTCAGGGGATACATGTGCAGACTTCTTACATGGGTATACTGTGTGATGCTGAAGTTTCGGATACGACTGATCCAGTTACCAGGTAGTAAGCATAGCATCCGATAGTTAGTTTTCCAACCCATGTCCCTCTCCCTCCTTGTCCCTCTCCCTCCTTCTCCCTCTTTTTACTTGTTTAGCAGTATCTCATTGCGTATCCACAAATTGTTTATCAATTTTTCAGTTAATAATTACTTTATTATTACTGATTTGGGGATATGAATAATATTGCTATAAATATTTGACATAAAATATTTGTGTGGACAAAGATTGTCATTTCTCTTGGATTGATACCTATAGAAGTGAAATAGCTTAGTAAAATGTTGTTTAATTATATTTACAGGAGACAAACATATTACTTTCCAAAGTGGCTGTAACATTTTACTTTCCCACCAGCAATGTATGTGAGTGCCAGTTCACTCGTAACCACGCTGTTTTTGTTAAATTTAGTGTTCCAAAGTCTCTATCGTGATTTCTCCTTCAATTTCTATGAAATTTTAACTGCATATTTCAAAAGTCTATTATTATGTAGACAATTGAAAAACATAATTTCATAATCAAGTAGCCATTTTATAATAATAAAATATTTCCCTTTATCTGGACATTATTATTTTATTGGTAGCCTATTTTAATAATAATATAACTATACCAGTTTTTTAAAAATTAGTGTTCCTATCACCCATCTTTTTGAATCTTTCACTATAATATTAATTTTGCCTTTAAATGGTCTTTTCCTTGCAAATAGCATGTATTTGGATCTAGTTTCTTTTACCCATTCTGATAATATTGACCTTTAAATTGAAGTATTTAGCCCACTTACATTTAACGTAATTATTGATAGTATTGATTTTAATATAGCATCTTGCTATTTATTTTCTATTTGTCCCAGTATTAATTGTTCATTTCCCCTGCCATTCCTAATTCATTTGGGAATAGGTTAGCTTTTTAAAATGTACTGTTTTATAATTACTCTCTTATTAGCTATAGTGCTTGATTTTCCAATATGTATTTTTAATATTTAAAATCTATTCCCAAGAAACAAAATAGCACTCACTTAATGAAAAGACTTTTCCACAACATCCTTTCATATTCTTTCCTCTCATTTTTTTCCTGTTTGCTATTGTTATCATGTATTATAAATACATGAAATGGTATTACTATGCTGACAGAAAAAAATTATTTTAAAAATAAAAAAATACAAATTATATGTATGTATGTATGTATGTGTGTGTGTGTGTATATATATATATATATATATAAAATTTAGTGCAGTATTCATTCCATTATAAGGTTTCAAGTTTCCACCTAATTATTTAATTTCTGCCTGTAGAATTTCCTTTACTTTTTCTTGTACTGTAGGTATGCTGGTAGTAAATTCTCTTAGCTTTTCTTTTCTCTAAAACTGTCTTTACCTCACTTGTTTACCTACGTTGCATACATATATTTTTACACACACACATATAAACACATACATGATATAGAATTCTAGTTTGATAGTTCTTTTTCCAGCATTTAAAAAATATTCTCCAATGTTTTTTGCATGTACTATTTCTAATAAATCTGTTGTCATTATTATATTCATTCCCCCATATGCAGTGTTCTATTATTTTCTGAAGCATCTTTGAAAAAATTGTGTTTATCACATGTCTTTCAGAAAGATGATTGTAAAATTCCTGGCATTAGGTTTATTTTCTTCTATTTTTCAAAACAAATTATATTTATTTACTTTACTTTTTATTAATACTAATACCTATTTATGGATGATATAGTTTGGATATTTGTCCTCCAAATCTCATGTTGAAAATTGATTCCCAACATTGGAGATGGGGAGGTGTTTGGGTGATGAGGTTAGATTCCTCATTAATGGCTTTGTGCTGTCCCTGTAGTAATAATGATCTCTTGCTCTATTACTTAGCATGAGATCTGATTGTTAAAAAGTCTGGCCCCTCTTTCTCTCTCTCTTGCTCTCTCTCACCATGTGACACACTGACTCCCCCTTGCCTTTCTCTGTGAATAAAAGCTTCCTGAGGCCTCACCAGAAGCTGAGCAGATGCCGGCACCATGCTTCTTGTACAACCTGCAGAGCCATAAGCCAAATGACCTCTTTCTGTATAAACTATCCAGCCTCAGGTATTCCTTTATAGCAATGCAAAACATACTAACACAATGGGGTATAGGTAATATTTTTATGTACACAAATGATATGTAATGATCATATTATGGTAAGCAGAATATCCATCACCTCAAATGATTTCTTTGTGTTTGGAACATTGCTAATCTTCTCCTCTAGCTATTTTGAAATACTGTACATTCTTGTTAACTATAGTCACCCTATTGTACTATCAAACACTAGAACATATTCCATCTACTTGTATTTTTATACTCATTAACCAACCTCTTCTCATTTCTCCCTCTACACTCTCTTCCCAGTCTCTGGTAACCACCATTTCACTCAGTAATTTTGTGAGATCCACTTTTTAGCTTTAAATATAAGTAAAAGCATGTCGTGTTTGTCTTTCTGAGCCTGGCTTATTTCACTTAACATGACCTCCGATTCTATACATGTTGCTGTAAATCACAGAATTTCACTTTTTATGGTTGAATAATATCCCAGTGTGTACACATACCATATTTTCTTTATCCACTCATCCATTGAAGGACATTAAATTTGATTCCATATCTTGATTATTGTGAATAATGCTGCAGTAAACATGAGAATGCAGATATCTCTTCAATATACTAATTTCTTTTGTTTTGAATATGTATCCAGCAGTGAAATTACTGGATCGTATGGCGATTCTATTTTTAGTTTTTTGAAGAATCTTGTTACTGTTTTTCATAGTTGCTGTACTAATTTGCATTCCCAACAACAGTCAATGAGTATTCCTTTCTCCCTCTTTTTCCCGCATCCCTATTGGCATCTGTTATTTTCTGTGTATTTGACAATATTCATTTTTAACTGGGGTGAGATAATATCTCCTTGTGGGCCGGGCGCGGTGGCTCACGCCTGTAATCCCAGCACTTTGGGAGGCCGAGGCGGGTGGATCATGAGGTCAGGAGATCGAGACCATCCTGGCTAACAAGGTGAAACCCCGTCTCTACTAAAAATACAAAAAATTAGCCGGGCGCGGTGGCGGGCGCCTGTAGTCCCAGCTACTCGGGAGGCTGAGGCAGGAGAATGGCGTGAACCCGGGAAGCGGAGCTTGCAGTGAGCCGAGATTGCGCCACTGCAGTCCGCAGTCCGACCTGGGCGACAGAGCGAGATTCCGTCTCAAAAAAAAAAAAAAAAAAAAAAAAATATCTCCTTGTGGTTGTGATATGCATTTGCCTGATGATTAGCCATGTTCAACATATTTTCATATACCTGTTGGCCATTTGTATGTCTTCTTTTGAGAAATGTCTATTCTAGTATTTTGCTTATTTTAAACTTGATTATTTTTATTTATATTGCTATTGAGTTGTTTCACTGTCATTTATTCTGTTTATTAATCCCTTGAGAGATGAATAACTTAAGAATATTTTCTCCCTCTCTGTAGGTAGTTGCTTCACTCTATTGTTTCCGTTGCTGTACAGAAGCTTTTTAGGTTGATATAATAGCATTTGTCAAATTTTGCTCTTTTGCCTATGCTTTTGAGGTCTCACTCAAAAAAAATTTGCCCAAACAGAAAACATACAATTATTCCAATAGATATTTTAAAAGCATTTGATAAAATTTAACATTTTTTATCATAAAACTTCTCAACAAACTGGTACAGAAGAAATATACCTCAAAGCAATACAGGCCATCTATGACAAACCTATAGCTGACATCATACAAAATGGGAAAAAAAATGAAAGCCTCTTCTCTAATATTTGGAACAAGACAAAGATGTTCACTTCACCAACTTTTAGTCAATATGTTATTGGAAATCGTAGCCAGAGCAATTAGACAAAAGAAAAAAAAAAAGAACATCCAAATTAAACAAGAAGTCAAATTGCCCTTGTTTGCAGAATACATGAGATTCTATTCAGAAAATCCTAAAGAGTTCACCAAAAAAGTGTTAGAAATGATAAGCAAATTCAGTACAGTTGCAGGATTCCAAATTAACATGCAAAAATCACTAGTATGTCAACAGCAACCAATCTGATAAAGAAATCAAGAAAGCAATCCCATTTCAATAGGTACAAAAAATAAAATGCTTACTAATCAATTTAACCAAAGAAGCGAAAGATGTCTACAAGAAAAACTGTAAAATACTGATGAAAGAAATTTAAGAAAACACACAAAAAAGAGAAAGATGTCCATTTTCACTGATTGGAAGAATTAATATTGTTAAAATGTCCATACTACCCAAAATGATCTACAGATTTAATGGAAACTCTATCAAAAAATTGACATTCTTCACAGAAATAGAAAAAGAAATCCTAATATTTATATGGAGCTACAAAAGACCTCGAATAGCCAAAGCAATCCTGAGCAAAAATTACAAAGCTGGAGACATCACACTATCTAACTTCAAAATATACGACAAAGCAATAGTAATGAAAACAGCATGGTACTCTCATTAAAAAAGGCATGTAGATTAACGGAAGAAAATAGAGAACCTAGAAATAAATTCACACATTTATACCCAATTTGTTTTCAGCAAACATACCAAGAACATCTTGGGAAATGGATAGTCTCTTCAATAAATGGTGCTGGGAAACCTGGATATCGTTATTGTTGTGCTGGACCTCTATTGACTCCAATAGGGATGGCACTGAGTCTGAGAATTTGAAGAAGAGACCTAGAGCAAGGGAATGAGACATAGGTTTTATTGAAAATTTACATTTTGGAGCAGTCCAGTGCTGGCGGGCTTGACAGGAGAACCACTACTTTTTGTAAAAAGTATGCAGTTTATTTAGCAAATTTTATTTAGTACCCTCCTCCTAGCAATCCATTGAACTCAAAACAAAGGGCCCCAATCCCCTGTACAGCCTGCATTCCAAGGAATGGGCCAGGGCTTTGGATGTCCTTCATAAATAACGATTATCCCCAGGTTGGCTATTCCTGGGGTCCTTAATTCAGAGCTCTTCTTAGGTCATAGGGCCTTTCTCAGGGTATTCTTAAGTTGTTGCTGATAGGTGTGTCTGCTATACACATACGCAGAAGAATGAAACTAGACTCCATCATTCATTCACCATACCCAAAAATCAGTTCAAAACTGAAGACTTAAATGTAAAACTTGGAGAAAACTACTAGAAGGAAACATTGGAGAAACGCCTGACATTTGGTTTTTTTGGAGGCTTAATTGAGCTTTAGGTATCTCTAAATTTCTAGTTTTGACCAGGTGCAGTGGATGACACCTGTAATTCTAGCACTATGGGAGGCCGAGGTAGGAGGTTCGCTTGAGCCTAGGAGTTCAAGAGCAGCCTGGGCAACATGGTAAGACCTCTTGTCTACAAAAAATTTAAAACTTAGCTGAGTGTGGCGTACGCCTGCGGCTCCATCTACTTGGGAGGCTGAGGCAGGAAGATTGCTTGAGCCCAGGAGGTTGCAGCTGCACTGAGCTGTGTTTGTGCCACTGCACTCCCACCTGTGTGAAAGAGTGAGACTCTGTCTCAAAAAAAGATAAAACAATTTTTTAAAATAAACAAATGTATAGTTTTTATAAAATTTCAAGGGGAAATAAAAAGTTATTTTTTGCCTTATGCTTTCTTCTAGATCTTATATTACAAATATATTAAACCTGTTTGATATTTTCCTATGTACAGACTCCTTTGACTTTTCTTAGTCTTTTTTCCCTTCATATGCCTCACTTTGGAGTTTCAGCCTAATTCAATCACCCATTAAAGTAAATTATGTAGGATTTTGCTTTAAATACAACAAAAATACAAAAGTACTCTCTATCCTGATTTTTCAAATTACTTGATGAGTCACTTATAATAGGTTAACCATGCGAATTGACATATTAAAATATACATAAGTCATTCTGCATAAGGATGAAATTATTCTTTTGTTGCTGAAGTGAATCTTATATTTGTAAAGTTCATATACATAGCAAAATGTTCTTTTGGATCACTACTGGTGATGCTACTGTGTATATTTGGAAAATGTCTCTTGATTTGATCTATATCCCCAAGCATCCTAGAGCACGGAATAGCTCCCTAGTTGTTTTTAATGTCTTTTTAATCTTTGCTACACTATAATATACAATTAATGGAGTGAATGTAGATTTATTCTTATTCATTTCTCTTTATATATATTGTGATTTCGCAATATGTAGAATTATGTTTTTCACTAGTTCCAGAAAATTAGCAAGCACTTTCTTTGAGAATTTGCCTATTCTTTACTCCATCTCTTCTTTTCCTGTGAGACTCTAATTAAAGGTGTTTTCAATTTTATTTCGTTCTCTAAATCTATTAATATTTTATATTCCTCTTTATAATATCTCCTTTTTGCCATAAGTATAGTTTCTATATACTTCAGCTTACATCTTACTGATTCTCTCTTAAACTACTTCTAATACGCTCTGTATTTAACTGTTAAAAGTCCACACATAATTTTTATAATCTTTCTTATTGCCCATTTTTAACATCTCATTTTTCTGTAATCTGATCATAATAATTTCAAAATCTAGGTCATATAAATCCTTTGATATTTGTTTCTGCTATATCTCCTCTTAGGTAATAGATATTTTCAAGTACTTAGTAATATTTAATTATCAGCTCTATTTATTGACTTTAACCTAGGTAACCAAAATTGGCAATATTTCTTTCCAAATGTTTGTGTCTCCTCCTTTTATTGCATAATTCTAATGTAGTCAACAGGCTCTAGAACTTTAGTGTGCCCATCATCTGAATAAGGTACACTGTACCCATTAAATCATCATCTGCCCCTCTCCTCCACCTCCCACCTTCTAAGTCTCCAGGGTCTATATTTCATACTCTATGTTCAAGTGTACACATTTTTTAGCTTCCACTTATAAGTAAAAATATATTCTATTTTTCAAATGTAAAATAAAATAGTAAAAACAAGACTTTTGAATGGCAGCTGTGCTCAGACTTTAAGCAGTAATTAGGAAACAATACAAAATTAAAAAGACTCCAAAAGTCAACTTTTCAATTCCTTATGGTTGTGGTTACCCTTAATATGTTAAATATTAAATAATTTTAATCTGTATTTGCCTGTCCAGCCTCTGGAAAATTCTATATACCTATTCTAGCATGAGGACTTAAATATTTTGCATGGTAAATATGTATTGCTAATATATATCTTGAACCAAGACATCTTATTAGTTATCATTTTACCCTTCATATATTGACATGAAGCATTATATTCCCTGAACTTATTATGTAAATTCAAACTTCAAATAAAGTCTCCCTAAATCTCAAATCACTAAGTAGAGTTTGCACAGTGGTATTATTTCATCAAAAATTCACTATTAATATTCCTTAGCAAATAAATCTCATCAGAATTGTTCTTTTCTCTTTGAAATATGGAGTTCTGAAACAAAATATATAAAGTTACATAGAAATGTAATATCTACAAACCTACAATGAATTAAAAGTGTGTGGAATTTCAGAACTTTAAAAAGCTTATAAATATTGAATCTAACCTTAAACACGCCTCTCTTTCTCTCTCTCTCTCTCTCTGATAAAATAACATCTGTGGAAAAGAGATTTTCAGTACTATGAGCTAAAGGCAAAAGAATAGTATTATTCTGTTTATGCCTATTTACTTCCTTAACAAGTGACATGCTAAGCCTGGGATAGAACGTAGCTTTGTATTTTTGAATTATTTAAAGGAGAGCTCATAAAATCAAAATAAATAGATAATGCTGAGTTAGTTAAATTGAAGCATCTATCACCTAGATTAAATGACATATGAAATGACACATAAGAGTCATTTTGCATCAGAATGAAAATGTTTCCCCAGCTGCTGAAGTGAATCTTAAGCCACAAAGGGCCTGCACATTTAACAAATGACTCAGCTTGAGCAATACTGTCAAAAAGGACAGTAATGTCAACCTGAACTACATAGGATCCCTGATTAATAGAAGTCCCCCTATGATGGAGTAAGTTACAACCTTAATGTACAAATAATGAACCTCTATTAAAAGGAAGGGTATCATAAATCAAAATACTGTAGAAAAACCATAAACCTGTGGCAACATAATGGCCACCAGGGCCCAAGCTATATTAATCTTGTATGGTGCAATATCATTTCTCCAGGAGAGACAACTAAATATATCCCATGTGAAAGTGAATTATGAGTGTGATAAAAGTTCTGGACTGTTCATTTAAGTTAATGGCAAGGTTCATATTGAGATACCCCCTGGTTACCTCCTCCTCTCACTCTGCTTTGTACTCTTCTTCAGCTAACACAAACATCGACTTGCTCAACCTTCATTCTAAGCCTTCCATTTGTCTAAAATGCTATAGGAAAGAAAGGAAGAAAAGAGAGAACACTGTAAGCTAACATAAACTCTCTTTCCCTCAAAATATTTTTAGTTTTCTTTTTCTTCAGTGATTATACCTGCTAAAGCCTAAACTTATTTAAACCTTTGTTACATATGTATTCTGTCTCTGCTCATAGTTGCACATATAATTTGATACGGTTCCTGCATATTTTTCTTTTGCCAATTGCATATTGGAAATTAACCTTCCATTTGAATTAAATGTTAAAGAACCAAGGAAATATTCAATACAAATATCATAGTATTTGTTTGGAAGAGTTTTTCACTTATAATTTAATATAACAGAAGCAATTTTTTCTTAGTGTAGCCTGGTTGGTCATGATTTGTGACTATCTCATATGATCAAGAAAGATTCTAATAAGATGAAAAACCTTAGTCAATTGTTTACATGTTTTGTTCTTGTAAAAATATTTGTACTCAGTTCTATTCTATTAGAAACTCCTAACAGTGACCCATGTGCTTCAGTATCACCTGGATCAAGGACCAATAGCCTCTGCTGCTTTTAAAGGTACATGTCTTCTTAGTTAGTGACCATGTATTTTAATTATTTTGCTGTGCTATCAAACTGGAAGTTTATTTGTTTATAATGAATTTAGACTTAGTTCTGGAAATTCAAGTTTGTTTCTATAGTTGATACTATTACATAATCAATTCAAATATATCTCAGTCATTTCCAGATATTTTTTCCTCCCCAAGTCACTTATGGTAACTCAGTCAATTTAGGATGCTGCCTCTGTCTCCTTCCATTTTGGGCTCTGTTCTTCCATTTATCTAATCTCATGCTCATTGGCATTTATTCACACCGACATTCACAGTCATGTGGAAATCTGAAAGGCCTTTGGTTAACAAAAATCTGTTGTAATGCTATGGTGTGGGGTCCACTATCACCCCAGGATACCAAGTTTACATCACCTTGGTGCTTTATGTCTGAATCTTGAAGTCACTATAAAATCCCTAGTCCCCGAGCATGAGGCCAGGGGTCGTAGTTAACAGGTAAAGACACTGTACTGTCCTGCTTGGCTTTGTGATACAGGAGACACAAGAAGGTGGTGGGTATTTCATGACTTAAATTTGCCATAAACAAACCTTCGATCTCTAATCTACTATAAACAAACAAACGAATTGGATAACTTCATATAGTGATAAGAACAAAAAGAAAATGTAATATGATTAGGCATAATATGAAAGTGACTAGATGAGTCCCCTGCCTAGGATCATGAGAGAAATCCATAATGAAAAAGGGACATTTGAGATGGCATTTAAATGAAGAGAAATGTCAGGCATATGAACATTTGAGAGACTTTCCAATATGAAAACAAATAAACAAATAAATACCATAAATTTTTTTAAAAGTTGCAAATGTCCTGGAAGACATTTGTATTGTTTGTATTTTTAGGAGATACAGGAAATTGTGTGTTGGGCAAGGAATATATATACACATATTTGGTCATGTAAAATTAAGAAGACAAATATTTTCATACCTGCATTGTAGAAGATTATGAGAAATTTGGGATTGTTTTAATTGCCATCTGTCTTTCTTGACAGAATGGAATTAATTTACTATTTTATGCTTTAAAAATCTTACTATGATTGCTCTATGTAAAGAGACCTGGAAAACAAGAGTGGAGGTAGAGATATTAGTTTGGAGACTACAATTGGAGTGATCATAGATTACAAAAGCATTATAGTCCCAGACAGTATGAAACTACCAAAGAAACAGAGAATAATTCAGGCCTGCGCATATATCAGAAATAGTGTGGTCTATGATCCAGTAGTTTCACTTCTGTGCATATACCCAAAAGAATTAAAAGCAGGGTCTTGAGGAGTTATTTGTACAACCAATGTTCACAGCAGTATTACTTACAATAGCTAAAATGTGGAAGCAGCTCGTGTCTGTTGACAGATGATTGCATAACAAAGTATGAACTATAAATACAATGAAATAGTATTCAATCTTAAAAAGGAAGGCAATTCTAACACATTCAACAACAAAGATAAACATTGAGATCATTATGCTAAGTAGTATAAGCCAGTCACAAGAAGACAAATGCTATATAATTCCACTTGTGTGAGATAGCGTAGTCAAAATCATAGAGACGGAAATTAGAATGATGGGTGCCAAAGGCAAGGGTAGAAGAGGAGAGGGGCATGAGAAGTTATTGCTTAATGAAGACAGAGTTTTAGTTTTACAAGATGAAAAGTTACAGAGACGGATAGTGGTGATGGTTGCACAACATTACGGATGTCTTTGATACCACTGAACTGAGCACTTGAAACTGTTAAAATGGTAAATATTATGTTGTATGTATATAACCATGGTAAAAAAAGTAATTTAAAAATGTGTTCAAGGTATGAATGGTATAATAATTTATGTAAATAGGGAAGACTTTTAAAAAGAAAAAAAATTGTTGTGGGTAGGAGTACGAGTAATAAAAAACTTTGTTTTGGCTTATTCTTGTTAATTTTGAGTGATGATTTTCATGCTATCTTGAGGTAGGCGCTTAACAGCTCTTCTTGATTAAATAAATAATTAAATAAATAAGGTGCCTATAAGAACCCAATTGGAGTATATATGTGTGATTGTGTGTGTACGTGTGCATGTGCTTGTGTGTGCATGCATGCGTGCACGCATGTGTGTGTGTGTGTGTGTGTGTGTGTGTATTACTTTGAACAGAGTATTCTGGGTATGCTGGGGCTGGGAATATAGTTAAGGGAATCATCATATACAGACAGCTTGGAGAACAGAACCCTGGAGGAACACCAGAATTTAGAATTAAAATAGGCAAAGAGTTCCTATAAGAGTATGGAGGAAAAGCAGGTCTTAAAGTAGGAAAAAGATCAAGTGACTGTAGTGTTGGAAAGTTCTCCCATAATACAATGAGATCAAAAGAACAGATACTTAGATATATCTAAATATTCAGTAAAAAGAACTTATCTAATTATTATAGGCTCTGAGCCAGAGAAAATAAAAGATGTGCAGGACATAGATATTGTCTTTGAGACACTTGTTCTAATAGGAGATAAGGCGTAAGTAAATATATTACAAGATGATGTGTTGAGTGACATACTTTTAGTTATAATTTTTTTCTGAAACACATTTTCTGAAGACAGTATGTGAAACTGAATGTCTCCCAAAGATCTGAAATGTAGAGAACAAGGTGACAAGAGGGCCTAAATGGGCTTCTATTTCTCTCAAAAATAAAGAAAAACACAAAGCATTCTCAGAAACCTGGAAACTTTTCCCTTATTGTGTGTGGTAACATTATTACCATGGTCATTTTTTTCTTTAACGGTAGATTATAATTTAAAGTACTAAACCCATTTTAGAAGAAAGCAAAAACCAAATAAATACCAACCCATTGTCCATATGGTGTAATTATGACCAACTTAAATCTAGTCTGCAGGATTTGAGGAGTCTCTGGAGAATCTGTTGGTCAAATTGTGAAATCATTGCTGTAGATTATTTATATAATATTAAACGAGAAGTTTAAAATTATTTCATTTTATGTTATTGTTTAGAAGTTTGTCTTATAAACTTTAATTTTTAATGGTAAAATATAACAGGGGAATATGCAAAGTATAAATGGAATTATAATATTCTTTATACATAGGATTCAGTGACAAAAGTTAAATGTTAAAATGCACCTTTTCATACAATCTGAATGATTCTGTGAAAATTTTAATTATGTATAATGTGCTATATGAGAGTATCTAAGAAAAATAACCGTATGTATTTTGAATTCAAAGTGAAAACAAAGCAAATGCAAATAGATCATGCAAAACTTAAAGACATTTTAAATGATGATGCTATTATATGTATTTTATATAAAAGCATGATGGCAAAACATTTCTAGATAGAAATGAATATGTCATTTGTCAGGGTAGTAGGCTGAGCTTCTTGTTGAACACTCATCTGCCATACAAGAGTGATGACAAAGACAAAAATGCCAACTGACACTATTTTTTACTCGGGCTACTGACATTGCCTACTGCCAGAACACAACGGTTCAATTCAGGCGTTATGTTCTAAACAATTACAAATGCTCAATCATGACAAAGCTGAAAGGAGGAACATTCATTTTATCTTGAGTATTGAGTGAAAAAAATGGAAATTATTTATATTTGCAACTGAAAATTAGGTAAATATATTGCTACAATATTCTACATATTGCTACCATAAAACATTCAATATTTAAATATGCAGGTAGAGTTAAAAATTATTTATCTTGTTTATCAAAAACACTCACAGGTCTTATTTAATAAATCCCTGCTAAATATCACAAATTAAAACATAATGATCAATTAACACCTGATGATCCAATGTATGGATGGATAATCCTTATTGAATTACTCCCCTAATATGTATATTTAGGCTGTTTCTAATTTTTCTCTGTTACTTATTTTTTTAAAGTGCTTAAATTTTATTAAACTATGATAATGGGTTGCAAAAATTAAGCATGCTTTTCTATTTTAACTTCCTATGTTGTTTCTTTAATGATATTTTTCTAACATTATTTTAAGTCCAAGTTATTCTCCCAAATGAATTCTACATTAGCGAGCAGTTGTGGCATTAGCGGTTCAGGGACTTAAGAAAGGATCAGACTTTATTCCAGATCAGTGTAATTCCTGTTCCTCTCACATTCGATGTTGTATGTAATTTATAGTTTCACTTTAAGAGACATATAATTTGTAGACAAAATAAAACTACATCATTGAGGAACTGTAAAGCATAATGAAGTTAGGACTTTGAATTCTCTCTCCCTAGCTGCCAGAATGTAGGGACTCCCTGAGTCTCATTTTCTTAAGTATATCTATACTGCTCATTAGAGATGCCATTGAAAAAAATATATATAAAGGTAGGAAATTTTCTAGTATATAAAAGAAATTCAATAAATGGCAAAAATATTTTTATGAATGCACTTCATTCTCCTCAGAATTTGAAGAAGTTTAAACATCACCCTCGGGAATAAAAGACCATAATCTAAGGTAAACATGGTTATTCATCAATGAATGCTACCTTCCCTTTACAGACAATCAGCTGAAGTGACTAGAAATTTCCCAAAGTAAAAAGGCCATTTTTTTTCTTGCAAATCCAATCCAAATGAGTTAGACTGTTTTTTAAAAGTCTTGTCTTGAAAAACAGGAGTTTGACAATAGGTATTCAAGTGATAACAAATATTTCTATAATATATGACAAACACAAAAAGATAGCAAATGCATTTTAGATCAATGCTATTTTCTTAATTAACCCTTGGTGTACTCATAGGTGTGAGTTGAACAATGAGAACACATGGACACAGGGAGGAAAACATCACACACTAGGGCCTGTCAGGGGGTGGGGAGTTATGGGAGGAACAGCATTAGGAGAAATACCTAATGTAGATGACGGGTTGATGGGTGCAGCAAACCACCATGGCACGTGTATACCTATGTAACAAACCCGCACGTTCTGCACATGTATCCCTGAACTTAAAGTATAATAATAATAATAATAAGCAGATTAAAAAAGGTATACTTATCTGTACCCATTACTTTGCTCATCAACCCAGAATTAATATAAACTTTTAGGCAATAATGTCTAAAGTTTACCTATGAAAACTGAGACTAGATAAACAAATGGACAATGGCCGTAAATAAAACATAGAAATTTGACTCACAAATCTGCAGCCCAAGAAATCGACTTGTCATCTAGAATAACCAGCCTGGAAAGGCAAACTATTATCTACTAACCTGAACTATTTAATATCCACTAGTTAAACTTTCAGGAAGTAAAACAACTATCTCTAGCAAATATTTTAGGAAAAGAAACAATAACTCCTGTAACAATAAGCCTACAATTTCTAGGAATTGATTAATAACTGACAGCTTCCCTAATTTTTGTCTCTACTTCAAATATCAGACAGGACAGAGGAAGCCAAATATACACTCCTAATCAATCACATGGGATGCCCTGCTTCTAGTTAGACTGCCTACAGCTCCCCAACGCTAACAGCCTCCAATCAGGGCACGCTTGAAGCTTTCCGTTTTTCCACTATCAAGCTTTTCCACTCCTTTGTCTATCTTTGGGTCTCTGCCAAAGTGCAGATGAGGGTAATGACTCTCTTGCTATGACAAACTTTCAAAAATAGCTTTTGTCTGTTCTTATTTGGTTGTTCTTCAATTATTTCCACAAAAGATCAAAAGATAAAATTATTAGTGACCTTTAATAGGAACCAAACATCAAAAATGAGAATACAGAATCAGTATAAATAAAAAACAAAAGCTGACCACAAGTAAATCCTCCAATTTCACCAATTTGTCTTACCGAAATTGGCACCATCCAATAGCAAAATCTTCTTTATTATTTAAAGTCATGACCCAGCTATTTCAGCACATCTCTTATGTAAAGGGACTGGAGAAGTGAAATATTAACAATGTAATACTACATGGCTTGCTATAAACTAATGTAAACTAAATTCATAATTTTTTCTTTTATTTTTAAATCATCGAGTATAAAAGGCTGTCAGAAATAAATGTTATTTAATTTTTTTCTACAAAGCTCATATAAAACACACACATGTAAACTGATTTTATTTTTTTATTTTTTTATTTCAGACAGAGTCTTGCTCTGTCACCCAGTCTGGAGTGCAGTGGTACGATCTTGGCTCACTACTGCAAGCTCTGCCTCCCAGCTTCAAATGGTTCTTCTGCCTCAGCCTCCTCAGAAGCTGAGACTACAGGCGAGCACTACCACACCTGGCTAATTTTTGTATTTTAGTAGAGACAGGATTTTGCCATGTTGGCCAGCCTGGTCTCAAACTGCTGACCTCAGGTGATCCACATGCCTTGGCTTCCCAAAGTGCTGGGATTACAGGCGTGAGCCACTGCACCTGGCTAAATTGAATAATTATTCAGAGAAGTGGGTGACTACTAAATCAGGCCTTTTGGAAAATGATTGGCTACATGGGAAGACCTCATTAGGAAATCAGAAAAAAAATTTATTAAAGAGTCCAAAAGACCATTTTTTAATAAAGCTTAATAAAAGACCATTAAAGCACTCTTAACACAAAGCAACTAATCATCAAGGGCAGATTTTTCATTCAAAAATTATTTAAAACAGACATAAAGCAAAGAGAAAATTAATATATATTTCTTTTTTGTTCTCCCCTGGGTAACATTATCAAATTCTAAGTTACTAAGATTTTTAGACCAAGAAATGAATACTTAACATAAACAATTATAAACTATTAGCTAATCATTTGGAATACAAAATATGAAGGGCAATTGGAGAAAGAATACCATATGGTTAGCAAAAATTACATAGTTGTTGCTGGGCAAGTTTCTTGCATATCTTAGCTGCTCTGCATGACTATTTAGAAATCTATGATACATGCTTTCTATTTTGACAAGGACCTCACATTACATCCCAGATCCTGTTACATCGTCACTTAAAATAAGAACTTATCAAAAAATACAGAGGCTATCCAATTAAGACTACTAACCTACAATAATAAACCTAACTCCTTTTCTGGAATTCACTGTTAAAAAAATGCTACAGTAACCAAAACAGCATGGTACTGGTACCAAAACAGACATGTAGATAAATGGAACAGAACAGAGACCTCAGAAATACCACCACACATCTACAACCATCTGATCTTCAACAAGCCTGACAAGAATAAACAATGGGGAAATGATTCCCTATTTAATAAATGGCGCTGGGAAAACTGGCTAGTCATATGCAGAAAACTAAGACTGGACCCCTTCCTCACACCTTATACAAAAATTAACTCAAGATGGAGTAAAGACTTAAATGTAAAACTCCAAATCATAAAAACCATAGAAGAAAACCTAAGCAACAGCGGCCAATAAACATATGAAAAAAAGCTCATCATTACTGCTTATTAGAGAAATGGAAATCAAAGTAAACTTTTAATAATTATTCATGGAATTAATTTTTGGATATTGTACATGACTTGCAGCAGAGGATGTTGTGAGGTCTCTACCCTTAATTTTACATTCATATTGAAGTGTAGTTTCATTAAGTGGCATACAGAAGCATTTAATGCTGCCATTAAATGTACAAGTCTGGATATTTCCCAGTGTGTGAAATACACTCTAACAAATTACCTTGAAAAGCTAGTATTTATGTATACCTACAGGATTCATATAGCATATTTCACATGAAAAGTTTATGATTCTATATAGAAAAAAATCAAATTAAATAAATGAAAATACTAAAAATGTAAAACAAAACCTAGAAATGTAAATTGTAACGGGAAAAATAAAAGAAAGAAATCAAAGAGAGGAACAAATTTCAGTTAGGAGGAATAATATACAAACTATGTATTATTTAATAATGGATTCTCTAGCAGTATCATAGATTTAGCAGATCCAATTTCTCATTTTTTTCTGGCCATTTGAATTAATTTTTTATTTTACCAAGGATACGATGATTATGTTTTTGAGACTTTGTTCTGTTTGCTATGTTCTGCTTGTCTATTGAGTGGTGTATCAGTCAGGGTTCTCTAGAAGGACAGAACTAATAGGTTATATGTATATCTGAAAGGGAGTTTATTAAGGAGAATTGACTGACACGATCACAAGGTGAGGTCCCACGATAGGTCCTCTGCAAGTTGAGGAGCAAGGAAGCCAGTGGTGGATCAGTCCGCGTCCCAAAACCTCAAAAGTAGGGAAGCCAACAGTGCAGTCTTCAGTCTTGGCCAAAAACCTCAGAGGCCCTGGCAAACCACTGGTGTAAGTCCAATAGTCCAAAAGCTGAAGAACTTAGAGTTTGTTGTTCAGGGGCAGGAAGCATCTAGCACAGAAGAAAGACGAAAGCCAGAAGACTCAGCAAGTTTAATCCTTCCACGTTCTTCTGCCTGCTTTATTCTAGCCACACTGGCAGCTGATTAGATGGTGTCCACCTGGGTGGAGGGTGGGTCTGCCTCTCCCAGTCCACTGACTCAAATGTTAATCTCCTTTGGCAACACCCTCACAGACACACCAAGGAACACACTTTTTTTTTTTTTTTTTTTTTTGAGATAGAGTCTTTCTCTGTCGCCCAGGCTGGAGTGCAGTGGGGCGATCTTGGCTCACTGCAAGCTCCGCAAGGAACACATTTTGCATCTTTCAATCCAATCAAGTTGACACTCAATATTAATCATCACAAGTGGTCAAAAGTCTTTTATATACAGCCTCACCAAATTGTATGTGCACAAAAGCATATGTGACAAAACATAAGTACTTAATAAGATTATGCCAGAAGAGTATACATGAAGGTAGTTGTCTTTTACTTTTAACTAAAGCATTTACTGTGGTGAATGCTATAATTTTTGAAATGTGAAGTTCTTCTAGTGACAGGCTGAAAAATCAGAGTACCTAAATTGGATGTCATGTCAATGTATAAAGATTGTTCCTGTCAAGCTTGTTATTGAAAGTGACATCATCACAACCTTATATAAGTGTCTTTGATTGATGGCATAGCCAAATAAACGTAATAAAGAAGAATGTAACATTTATTCTCTAGTAACCTGCTATCAACCTGCTTTAAAATTTTAGTTTTTCAACTTTACTTCCTGGTGGTTCCAGTGTTAAAAAAAATTCACATGACAGACAATTATTATTTCACATTTTTTTATCTACGTATATAAATGCCACTAAAAAAATTTGAGATATTATAAAATATCTTTAATTGCTAATATTAATCTATTTAAACCATTCAATTTCCTTCCAGAATAAAAATAAACATAGAACATGTATTTCGCTTTTTATTTTAATTGTGAATACTACACCAAACACATACTATAATGAGTTTTGCCTAGAAAATATGCTATTTGAATTCTTACACTTTTTTTCAATAACTTCATTTCCAACACAGTCAAGCAATTTAGGTCTATTTTGTTTTTTTAAAAAAGATCCCATTTATCCTCTAACAATGTGCTTAGATTCTAGGATATACTCGAATTCCTCTTTCATTAGGGTAATTAACGAGATAAGTTAAATCATAATATTTAGAAGTCATGAAAGAAATCTTGAAATAATGTGGATAAGGGGCTTTTCTGATCTTCCCTCTGTTTCCTCTATGATAATATTTGTTGCTTCCATTAGAAGTAATGAAATTGTGTTTATGAAAGCATTTGGTGTCCTTTAAGCTCAAAGGTGTTATGCAAATAAAGTATTTTATTATCATTTCTATACACCTTTCATGTGTACATAACTCAAATGAAAGTCAAGAAAAGGTTATATACCCAAGAGTTCTGTTCAGTCAGAATTTATTTATATTAATCAATGATGGAAGGGAAACGGTGATATTACGTTAAAAGATTGTAGAATTTTGTCTGCCTATCTATATCTCTATCCATAATTCGGTCAAAATGCTTGTTGAAAATACTCACTTTCAAATGACAATCTACTTTAAAAGACAATACAGTAAATTTTTCAAATCACTTTATTTAAAAATTCATATTTACATCAACAAACAAAATAGTCTGTCTTCAACTAGGAAAAACAGACAGAAAGACAGACAGAAAGTAGGTTAGAAATGATACTTCTAATGATACATATTCTAAACTTTATATATATATATATATATATATATATATTTTTTTTTTTCCCCATGGATTTTGCTCAGACATATTCCAAGAATAATATTTTCCTTGAATAGACCCCCTATTCTCTTCTTTTCAGTTCCCAATGCAATTTTTTTAAATCGGAATATAATGTAGAGGAAAAATAATTGGACTAGTTTTCAAAACGCAATAATTCTTAACATAGCACTTATAGTAATAAGGTTGCTATTATGAATAGACATAAAAAGTCTTTAAGAAAATTTTTATATATCTATATAATTTAGCGAGTTTTCATGTACAACCAAATTTTATAATTAACATAAAAATTATTTGGTAAGAATATACTATGGCTTGCTTCTAAGGTATTAGAAGCATTTTACTTCTTCCTTTGTTTTCTAACAATACTGCACAGACCATTCTGCATGTCCTAAGAAGTCTGTGGAGCCCTGGTTATGGGGAGGCATAAAGGTAAGAATCAAATTAGACATACTGTGCAAAAATCTTTTTAAAGGTTAAGGTTTTCTAAAATACGAGAAATTTATGCTGTAATGTATAAGTAAACTAAATGAAACCATCTTCATTTGCTCCAGAAATGTTGGTCAGTTGTCCTAGTCCAATGGGCTTCTATAGCGAATTGCCATGCACTGAGTGGTTTATAAACAACATAAACCTATTTCTTTCGATTCTGGAGCCTGGGAAGCTCAAGATCCTGGCAAATTTTGTGTCTGCGGAGGGCCTACTTCTTGGTTCGTAGATGGCCAGATTTTGCTGCGTCCTTACATGGCAGACTGGGTGAGGAAGCTTATAATAGGGTGGGTCCCCTTTTATAAGGGTACCAATCCCATTCATGACCTAATCATCTCCCAAGGGCCACATCTCCTGATACTGTCACATTGGGAATTAGGTTTCAATGTATGAATTTTGAGATGTCTAAAACATTCAGTCTACAACAGCCATGTTTCACCATAACTTTTATATTTGTTTTCCTTCCTGTTTCAGAAGTGAGGGAATAGTATCTGTAAAAAGACAGAGGTGGAGACTCTACAAATGGGGAAATAGTTTACTATATCATTTACTCCTAAGTTTCCTCCGATACCATAGTATTAAAATGGAAAGAGATTTCTGAATATTCTTCATGGAGAAAAACTCATTAAACTTTAGACATGTAAATAAGAGTATCCTATTCACAAACTGACCTTTAATCATTTACCTAAATCTGTCTAAGCCTATCTCTTACAAACTTACTGGCATGGAAATCATGCCTCCATGAAATTTCCAAGGAAAAATTATTTCTTAAAACTCAGGGTAAAACATGAAATAAGGGAATAATAAAGTTGTATTATTAAATTTAAAACTACTTTTTAGGATATCAGTTGAAATATTCCTTAAATTAACATGGCACATGTGTTTAAAACCAAATAAGAAATACATGAAAAGCCTTTAAACCACCCTTTTCATACCTTGCAAAGCCTGAAAATATAAGTTTAGGAGTTTGAAAATCTGAGGAGTGTGTTCAGGTTAATATAATAACAGGTTCCCTAACATATTGTAAAACATCTACACTAAATTAATTCAATTCTTACATGGCTATTTTCCCCAGGTTACAGATGAGGAAACCAAGGTACAGAGAAATATACAATTTCCCCAGAGTTACAAGCTAACAAAAGATAGAGCTGGTCTTTGAACCCAAGCAGCCAAATTTCAGAGTTCTTACTTTTTACCATTAGACTACACAGCATAATCTCTTAAGAGATTTATGTTATAATGGAAAGTTCAGAAACCAAGTATTTCAGGAATAAGCACTGAGGAGTGTGGCTCTTGTTAGAAACCTATATGTGATCTTTTTAAGCCCGACCATAGAAAATTGGAAAGGCTTTTACCCAACAGACCTCACTGGGGAAGCTGTTTTTCCCACATCAGCGTTGTTGCCCAGCCAAGGCACTGTGGGCTGCAGGGAGTTGCAATCAAGGACTTGGACCCCTGTGCCGAAATTTGTCCTTACACGTGCATCCTAGCCCAGATGCTTTCGTCCAGAGGCCTTTTTATAGGGGGCCTTCAACAGAAACTAAAACCCCCTTATCAGAGGGAGGGTGGCCTTGATGCTTTTTCTTCCCTCGGACCCAGTATTTCACTCCCAGCCCTTCTCATTAATTTCTCCCCATCCTCTGGGTTCACAGAATTGCAGGAGTTTTTTTGTTCCATTCTCCCTTGACAGTGAGATGACCTCCATATATTTGCTGATCCACTTGATCCTCAACGTTTTATTCCTTGGGGTTCATCATGAACCAGAAAGGAGACAGACTGTTTAGCATCTTGCTTATACAATCGCAGTAAGTCACTAAAGCCTTGGCTGTTACTTTGATTTTGGCTTGTTATATTAATTGGCTATTCTGACACCTGGCAGTTCAGCTCTCTCCAACTTAGCTGAGCTCCTGACAACTGTATCAAATTCTCAGAAAATAAGAAAGATGATCTAAGATTACAGTAAAATGAAAAATATAATTCAAAGAAACAATGGCATTGCTAGGAGAGCACTCTGCCGATAGTGAAGATTAAACTCACATTAAGAAATCCTATGGTCAATGTTCATCTGGGAGGTGAAAAAACAAAAGGATTGAATGTTGATTGCACTTTGGAAAAAAAATAATGAAAGACAGATAAAAAGAGGTGTAAAATAATTTGTGGAATCAAGGAATTTTTTATTTTAATATATGGTGACATTGAGGTATTGTAATGTGAAATGAAGAGAGTAGGCTGAAAAACTCTCAAAATAAAGAAGAGACAGCATCAAGTAACACTAAGGTTCCAAAAAAGTGGAAGAGACTGACATTTAGAGTACAAGCACAAAGTTGGCCTGAGGGAGGAAGAGGGACAACGTCTTAATTGCAATAGAGGAAAAGTCATGAATTAATACAGATGTGACCAAACTTGGAGATTTGATGGTAGCAAATTTAAATAGTTCTTGTACTGTAACTTATAATTCATTACTGTAGAAGCAATGTAGATATTAGGAGAGCCAGATACTGTGGAGATCTCTAAAAATGATACAGATATTAGGAGGTGCAGATATTGGGGAGACTGTAAAAGTGTGAAATAAGCAAAGGCATATAACCTGATGTTGCAGAACATACATGCAAGGTGGGACACTCAACACAGCCAGGAGAGTGCAATAATTAGTATAAAAATCTTGTTCCCCAAGTTCTCTAAGACACTATTCAAAACCCTGCAATGTGGCATCTCGGTTTCATAAGCTTCACATAAGATCAACAGTTCATTACCTTTAGAAACTGAATAATAGGGGTTCTGGTCTCAGAAATAATAGTCAAAGAAGGGGTTGTGTGGTTCACATGGTTATATAAAAAATACGAGTATCATTTGAAAGTGTGACAAGTGAATACTGAAATCCATAGCTTTCTTCACTGGCTGATTTCCAGAATATCTAAAGTTAGACTTTGATTATCCAAACAGGGCATAAGAGGATCTTAAAGAACTTGAATTAACTCACAGTAAAGACCAATAGGGGAACCATGCAAAAACAAGATGAAATAAACAAACAAAAAGTAATTACTTATTCTGCAATGAAGCCCATCAGATAAGAAATGTTTCCTTTGAACAGAAAGCTTTAAATCAGCTTTGGTGGCTCATTAGTATGCATATATGGATTAGAATACATTTGAGGAAAACCTACAATTCGAAATATAGATGTGAAAAGCACAGACTCATGTATACAGGCACATACCCACATACATAAGGGATGCATATGAATTATAGCATTGAGCAAAATAATACTTCAGAGACATTTTATATCTTCTGAAATTTAAGACAAGATAATAAAAAATTGAGAAAAGAACCAGGTAACATCAACAGAACAAATAAATATGAAAGAATTTGGCATTTTTTTTAAACAAGTATACCAATAACTTTTTAAATCTCAGAAAAAAATAGAAAGCTGAATATATTTATTCTATGAGAAAAGTCTCAGAAAGATAGGCATAGTTTATAATGAAATAAACATTTATCGCAAATTAAAAAATAAGAAAATTAGATGTTCAATGATGTAGCAATAAAACAATAAGCGTAAAGAGAAATGTTGAAGAAATGATATATTAATTCATCAATTTTATAATAAAAGAATAGAAAATGTTGTAGTAGAGAAAAATATAACTTAGTAGGGAGGCTGTTACCAGTTTTTCAGAATCTTTATATTTCTATCCTTCCTGTCATTATCAGTCAGCTGATTTGTCAACTCTAGAGCAGCTTTCCTAACCCATCCAATCTAAAGTGAACTCCCTGACCTCTTTAAAAAAACACATTACAATTATCCATGTGCCATTTATCAGTACAGTTTTTTTCTTTCTTTTTTTTTTTTTTGAGACAGAATATTGCTCTTTTTTTCCTAGGCTGGAAGACAATGGCATGATCTCAGCTCAGTGAAACCTCCACCTCCCAGGATCAAGCGATACTCCTGCCTCAGCCTCCTGAGTAGCTGGGATTACAGGCGCCCACAACCACGCCCAGCTGATCTTTTGTATTTTTAGTAGAGACAGAGTTTCACTATGTTGGCCAGGCTGGTCTCAAACTCCTGACCTCAGGTGATCCACCTGCCTCGGCCTCCCAAAGTGCTGGGATTACAGGCGTGAGCCAACGTACCTGACAGTACTGTGTTTTTTATTTATTTTATATTACCTGCTTTCATGCACTAGAGCCTATGTTCTATGAGAACTAGAACCTCGTTTGTTCTGTTAAACCACTTATGAGAGTTCCAAGCATGTGACAGCTGCTTAATAATTCCTAGTTAAATTTTTTGTCATTGTTTAATTTTGTTTTGTTTCTTCTCTTGAGGTACTTCAGGCTTCTCTGTCAGCTATTTACATCTTTTAAAAAATACCTACCTATAAACAAATGACTTGTTTTCTATCTTACTATTGCAACATTATTTTTACCTATGCTGACAACTTTAGAAGAGTTAGGATTTATTATTTCAATGTTAATTTTTAGTGCTAAAAGGTGGCAAACATGAGAGTAGATAAAAGTCATAAATGAATTCCTACTTAAGCAAAAACCTACTAACAGTGTGAGGAATTTGGGCAAAATTTTGGATACGATTTCCTCCAAAATCTTGAAAAAAGGAAAAAATGAAAATTACATTAAAGTAGCAAAGACTGTATCATTATTTCACTTTTTAAAGAAGTTTGCTTTATTACTTTGGAAAATGAAATTAAATAAATTCTCCCTTTGGAACATTTTGAGTATCTTGGCATTCAATGCATTCTAAAAATTATTACCCACAATTAATTTATATGTAATCATTCTGAGAACAGATGGCAAAATTAAATAGCTTTTATATATTCAGAATCAAAAAAGCAAGTCGTTATTGAAAATTCGTAGTGAAATAACTTAACAGGATGGCCACTTTTCCAGATAAAATAATTTATTTGGACTCTTGTTCAGATATATATTTGTCCTCAATGATTAAAAAATTTAAAGTAATGTTTAACCTTGCTTTTCTTTATCATCATCTAATTATTCATTCAATCTGTCTTTTAGTGTGTCCCAATATTTCAATTATTCCACATGATTATAAATGACACAATTATTTGAAAGGACTCTGTTGCAGATGGTTAATTTCTTATTAATGGGTAGGAATGAACCAGCCATCAGTCTATATCTTGAGAAGAAAAACCAATCAGTTATTTTGCCTTAATAGTCAAAGTAACTCATTCATGTGTATTTCTATCCCCTTTCTTGCCCTAAATACAAAGTTTATAAAATCTTACTTATAAAATATTTTCAAACTAGTGTACTTACTTGTGGTTGGCAGAATAATGCCCTCTACCACCTCCAAAGATGTCCACATCTTTATTCTCCTAATTTCTGAACATTTTATGTTACATGAAAGGCAGAATTAAGATTCTAGATGGAATTACGGTTGCTAATCAGTTGACCTTGTTATGTGAAGATAATTCTGGATTATCTGGTGGGCACAACATAATTACAGGAGGCCTTAAAAGATAAAGAGGAAGACAGGAGAGTCTGGAAGGGGGCCATGAGCCAAGGTATGTGCACAGCCTATAGCAGCTGTGAATGGCAGGAAACAGATTCTCCCCAGAGCCTCAAGAATGAATGCGGACCAGTGAGACCATTTCAGAATTCTGACTTCTATAACAGTAAAATAATAAATCTGTGTTTTATAAGCCACTACACTAATGGTAATGCATTATAGCAACAATAAAAAAAGCTAGTATATCACCTATTTTCTGGTATTCCTTATTGATCTAATGCTTCTTTCCACTCTGTTATATATCTTGCTCAGAATACTTGACACATGTCCTGCTATGAGTTAAATACCCAAATCAGGTGCCAAATCTTATTGAGAGTTGCCTTGTCCCTTTCACTTACCCGATAGATTAATGCTTCTACCAACTACTACTCTACCATCATTTCTACCTCTGCCAATTCAACCAACATCAATATATAATAAGCATTTTCTATGTGCAGGCATTGTGCCAAACAAGTTGTAATCTTTATCTTTTTTGTTACCCACTCAAGAAATCTACAATACAACTAATGTTATTACCCCTATTTTTGTTACTGAGGAAACTGAAAATTAACAGCAAATAATTTGGCCATGACCACAGAACAATTGCAAAACACAGCATACACTTAAATGCAGATATACCTGGCTTCAAATCCCTTGTTACACACACCATGCTCTGCTGTCTCCTAATATAAATACAGATCCATCTGAAATACTTCAACCATCACTAAGTCTGCATTACCAAGATAATATTATTCAGAAGGGAAAAAGGGCCACAGGACTAGGCTTAGGGCTTATCTGTAATCCTTTCTATATGTGACAAGAATATTGAAAGTGTATTTGTAAGTCATCATGACCAACTCTAATTTAAAAAAAAAATCAATCTCAAAACCATATTATTGAGTTCTTAGTAGCTGTATTTCCAAATTATGAGGCTGTTCCCATTTTCTACATAGAGCAGTGTTAGTGCTGGCCACATGAATCAAGTACAACCAGAGCCTTTTCATCTCTTACAGCATTTGGAATTTAGAATGGCAGATCATGGGCTCACTCTGGGAGATTTTACACAAATGAATTGAAAACTGACCATGTGCATGGAAAAGGAGAGGAAATTTGATCTGTAAAGTACATACGCACACATACACTATGTGGAAAGAGTGATAAAGGGGTGTGTGTGTGTGTGTGTGTGTGTTGGGAACAAGCCCCCCAAAATCTGGCCATAAACTGGCCCCAAAACTGGCCATAAACAAAATCTCTGCAGCATTGTGACATGTTCATGATGGCCATAACGCCCACACTGGAAGGTTGTGGGTTTACCGGAATGAGGGCAAGAAACACTGGCCCGCCCAGAACAGGAAACCACTTATAGGCATTCTTAAGCCACAAACAATAACATGAGTGATCTGTGCCTTAAGGACATGCTCGTGCTGCAGTTAACTAGCCCAACCTATTCTTTTAATTCGGCCCATCCCTTCATTTCCCATAAGGGATACTTTTAGTTAATTTAATATCTATAGAAACAGTGGTAATGACTGGCTTGTTGTTAATAAATATGTGGGTAAATCTCTGTTCGGGACTCTCAGCTCTGAAGGCTGTGAGACCCCTGATTTCCCACTTCACACCTCTATATTTCTGTGTGTGTGTCTTTAATTCCTCTAGTGCCACTGGGTTAGGGTCTCCCCGACCGAGCTGGTCTCGGCATGTGTGCAGTAAGAGAGAGAGAATTGGCTTTTAATATCTTTTGTATATTTATTAAATTTCCTCTCCTTATTCCCTTCTTCTTTTGGTTCTATTTCTTGAGTGGGTAAAAGAAAGATAAAAAATGAAGAGTACAACTTGTTTGGAACAATGCCTGCACATAAAAAGTGCTTAGCATATATTGATGTTGGCAGTATTGGCACGGCCATAACTCGTATGTTTATAATGAGTTTACTACTAACACAAAATATTCTTTATTTACTGAGTCAGCAGTAAGTTCTATTCTTGGTATTTGGCCTCTAAGGCCTCTCTTTTTTCTATGAAGTTTGCCTTTACAAGCATCCTAAAATATTATAAACATGTTTTAACTTTTTTCAAGGTGTTTAAAACAAGTACTTGGCTATATTTCTCAATTTGCATCTGACTAAAGTGTATCGTTGTCAGATTGACCTTGGTCCATAATTGAGATTCAGAAATAGACAGATTTATCCAATAGAATCTTACTGAAACGTTTCAGTCTCATCTAGGGGGAAAAAATCCATGTCTTATTATTTAGCAAAAAGAAGGAGGAAAAAAGATTTAAAAAAAACCTACCCATGCTTTAATAAAATGACGTATGCAAATAAAAATGTTCCATGAATTATGTAAAACTTTGTATTTTCTTTTGAGAATACTTGGAATGACTCTTCAGAAATTAAAATTTTACATAAAAGCCTCCAGACATACAATACTAGTACCTACATAAAATTGATAATGCTACCCAGTGGTCAATTCTTCAAGCCAAAATGACAGAACACACATTTCTTTAAATTACATGTCATTAATTTCAGAAATTATTCATTTAAGAAAATGTAGTTCAGAAATCAGCAGCTAAACCTGATTTTTTTTAAAATTTCCTATATACGAAACTTACATTCTTCCTTGTATAGAATCCCTCCTTTTTAAGTACAGTTCAGTAGTTTGTTCAATTTATCCCTTTGTGTGTGTGTGTGTATTCTTTTTTTTCTTTTTTTTTTTTTTTTTTTTTTTTTTTTTTTTGAGACAGAGTATCACTCTGTTGCCCGGGCTGGAGTGCAATGGCATGATCTTGGCTCACTGCAACCTCCATCTCCTGGGTTTAAGCAATTCTCCTGCCTCAGCCTCCTGAGCAGCTGGGATTACAGGCACGTGCCACCATGCCTGGCTAATTTTTGTATTTTTAATAGAGACGGTGTTTCACCATGTTGGCCAGGCTGGTCTCGAAATCCTGAGCTCAGGTTATCCTCCCACCTTGGCCTCCCGAAGTGCTGGGATTGTGTGTATTCTACAAAGTTCAATCTACAGTAATTGGTTTGTTTTGTATACTTGAACTTGCAAAGTCTTCAGTCACGATACATTAATTGCCCCTTTCCTAGCTTTCACATGTGACTTGAAAAGAAACAAATGGAAGTTTAGATGAGAAATGCTGGTATTATTTTAGGAAGTAGTTGAGCCTGAGTCTTTTCTTTCAGTTTTTAATTTTCTTTTAATTGTCTTCCTAAAACTTTTCTTCACTCTCATTTAATTTTTTTAGTCAATTATTTTTGATATTATCAAAAACTTAAAAAGTAAAATGGATTTGCTGAAAGCAGGAATAACCAACTGATAGCTACAATATTGTTGGTTTTATATTTTATATTCTTTTTAGCCTGAAAGGAGAAAAAGTATACTTCTCAGTATTATTTAATCAATAAAATTCAATTTTTAACACACTAAGACAATTTGCTAATATTACTTCTAAATATAGTTCTCCTTTGTGGAAATAATAGCATGCTCTATAAAACATAGCAAAAGATGGAAGAAAGTAAACAAAAAAGCATAGCAACACTAACAATAAAAAAAAAAGAGACACCTTTGTTTTGAGATGCTTCTCTCAGTGTAGTTGGTAATTCTTCTGTGGAAACACTGGGCAGGACATCACTGTGATAAAATAAATTTCCCAGGATAGGTTTAAAATATGGACAGTTCCAATCTTCTTGATGACCTATAGAAAAGTCTACTCTATGAATAATGCTTGTAAGCTAATATACAGACATATGTGTGTGTGTGTGTGTGCATGTGTGTTTGTGTGTGTGGTATGTGTGTGTTCTGCATCCATTAATGACTAAGTAGTAATACTAAAATGGAATCAGATGGCACTTCAAAGGTTACACTATTATTTCCATTAATCCTAACTAGTTTTATTTAAACTATTAGGCAGTGGTAGAGACTGAATGTTTGTGATCCCTCAAATGTTATCTGTTGAAGCTGTGACACACTTTGTGATGGTATCTGAAGATGGGGCTCTTGGGAAGTTATAAGGGTTAGATCAGGTCATAAGGCTGGAGCTATCATAACGGGATTAATGCCCCTATAAAGAGAAATACCAGAGAGATTCCTCTCTCTACCATGTGAGGACACAGCAAAAAGAGAGCCTCCACCAGAAATCAACTATGCTGGCATCCTGCTCTTGAACTTCCAGACTCCAGAACCGAGAGGAAATACATTTCTGTTGTTAAGCCACCCCAGTCGGTGATATTTTGTTATGGCCAGCTTGAGCACACTACGACAGGCAGGAACTCAGAAAATACAGACATATCCACTTGCTATGTCGCTAAATAGCATCTTCAAATTAAATAAATTTGAAAATTTCTACTCTGGTATTGGAGTGTAAGGTTTAAGGCCGAAAGGAAACTCACTACAATTTAATTTATCTGTGTAAATATTTATTCATGCTTATAATACTTTAAACATTTATATAGAAATGCTCAAATAAAATGTCAATTTTTTAAAATTTTGAATGTTTATTTTTGTGAGTACATAGTAGGTATATTTATTTATGGAGTACATGAGATATTTTGATACAGGCACACCACGAACAATAATCACATCAAGGTAAATGGGTTCTCCATCACCTCAAGCATTTACCCTTACTGCGTGTTACAAACAATGCAATTAGACTCTTAGTTATTTTTCAATGTATAATAAACTATTGTTGATTATAGTTACCCTGTTGCACTATCAAATACTAGATTGTATATATTCTAGCTAACTATATTTTTATACCCATTTAACCAGTCCCCACTCCCCTGCCAAAGCCTGATTATGTTTCCTGGGAAGGTTGATTCTACTCTTTATCTTTAGATAGGGAATCTATAAAACTCATAGGTTCCTTTGTTTCAGTTTTTAGCAATCACAAATAAAAGAAAACATGTGAAGTTTGTTTCTCTGGGCCTGTTTCATTTCGTTTAATATAGTGACCTCCAGTTCCACCCACATTTGCAAATGACAGGATCTCATTCTTTTTTATGGCTGAATGGTATTCCACTGTGTATAGGTATCACATTTTCTTTATCCATTTGTCTGTTGATGGACACTTAGGTTGCTTCCCAATCTTGACCGCTGTGAATAGTGCTGCAATAAACAAACCACATTATCTTATTTGGATATAGCATATAATATATTATTTTCTATATTTAATCAACATATGATAGAAAAGTAATAAAATAATTTTGAACAATTTAAACTTTCTCTACATGGTTTTTTTTTTTCCTTCCATTTTATAAACTTTTTCAGGATAGGGGTTATGTATGAGAAAGTTTTGCCCCACAAAATGTTTAAATGGTAACTTTCCTGCAGCAGATAGTACATTTTTTGAAAGTTTTGAATTGAAATGTTGGAATATTTTACACTTTCCAATATATGACTTAATATAAATACTAGAGAACATACAGTTTAAGCAAATCTGAAGCATTGCATATCTAGGTATACTTCTCTCTCTCTCACTATATATATATATATAAATATATATTATACATACAAATTATATATTATATATAAAATATATATTACATATAAAATATAATATATAATATATTTTAGTATTATATAAATATTTATATATTATATATTAGTATATTATTATATATTAATATGTAATATCATATATAGTAATATATTATTATATATTAATATATAATACCATATATAGTAATATATTATTACATATTAATATATAATACAGTATATATTATTACATATTAATATATAATACAATATATATTATTATATATTAATATAAACACAGTATATATTATTATATATTAATATAAACACAGTATATGTTATTATATATTAATATATAATACAGTATATATTATTGTATGTTAATATATAATACAGTATATATTTTTATATGTTAATATATAATATAATATATAATGTGAATATTTTTTATATAATTACATTAATATAATATATACTGTAAATATTTATATATTATATAATACATATAAAATATAAAATATATAATATATAATATATAAGATATATATTGATATATAAATTTATATTATATCATATATTATATAAATATATTTTATATAATATATGATATATAATATACTATATATTTATATATATTATATAAAATATATATAATATATTTTATATATATTATATAATATATAATATATTTTATATATATTATATAATATATAATATATTTTATATATATTATATAATATATATAATATATTTTATATATATTATGTAATATATATAATATATTTTATATTTATTTATGAATATAAATATATAATTTTTAAATATATTTTATATATTTTATATATTATAATTATATATAATTTTATATATTACAAATATAAAGATATATTTATTTATAAATATAAATATACAAATATATAAAATATATTTATATATTTTACATATAATATATAATATAACAGATATTTATATATTTTACACATAATATATAATATAATATATATTTATATATTTTACATATAATATATGATATATTATATACTTATATATTTTACATATAATATTTAATATAATATATATTTATATATTTTACATATATTATATATTTTACATATAATGTATAATATATATTATATATTTTATATTTTACATATAATATACATTATATATTTTATATTAAATATTTATATTATATATTTTATATATATATATAATATATATATAAGAATATATAATGTATTATATAATATTTTACATATAATATATAATGTATTATATAATATTTTACATATAATATATAATGTATTATATAATATTTTATATATAATATATTATATAAAATATTATATAATACATTATATATAAAATATTATATAATATGTTATATATTATATAATATATAATATATATTATGTATAACATATATAAATATATTATATATTATATATATTATATTATATATAATATATATAATAAGTAATATATTTATATATGTTATATATAATGTGTAATATATATTTATATATGTTATATAATATGTAATATATATTTATATGTTTTGTATATAATATGTAATATAATACATATTTATATATTTTATATATAATATATAATATAATATACACACAAACGCACACATGCATTTTCCACAGTATGTGTGTGAGTTGTTGTGTGACTTTGTGTGTTACAAAACCTGGGACAAAAACAGATATTTTAGCTACTAACGTGTTTGATTTCAAGTTACAAAAAGTACAGCTAAAAGTGCTTAATCATGTAGGTGATTATTTTTCTCTTCTCACATAGCAAGAAGAGTTCCACTTTTCTCTAAAATATCTCTACCATTTGGAGACCTGAGAAGACCTAAGGGAGAAATCTAATAAAACGATTATTTCTTCAATGACCAAAAAAAGCCCAATTAACTGGAAACTAATAGCCTTCCTCAAGTCCATCCGAATGCTGATGTCACAGGTCAGACAAGTAGCCTGAAATCCAAGGACAGCTCATCTAAGGTAGTTAAGATGTGGCACTAAAGGAACTCAAGGCCAATGGCATAGTAACCTTGGTAAACTTCAAGGCAACTTTCATAACAATAAATCCAAACCCAGTCAATTGCTTCCTAGATTGGCATACTGTCACACATATTAGCGTTGTAGAATAAAAGGCAGTTTCATTTTTAATCGTAAATACTGTCTACTTCAATTTCTAATGTTCTTCATATGAGGGTTGGTATTCAATGTAAAATAGAAGACAGATAAAAAAGCAAGAGAATAGAGCCTAATGCTAAGAGGCAAAGTAACTAACAGAACCAGATTGCAAGATTACACAATTTTTGGAAACATTAAACATGAAATTTAAATAACTATGGTTAATGTGTTACATAATCTAGTAAAAAAATCAACATGCATGACCAGATAGAAAAATTCAGTAGAGAAATGAAAAATATATCAAGAATAAAACGCAAATGATATAAATAAAAAACACGAAGAGAAATGAAAACCTTTAGAGTTGTACTAGTTCCTAGGGCTTCCATACAAAGTACCAGAAACTGGGGAGCTTAAAATAACAGAAACATTGTTTCAGAATTCTGTGCTAGGCTGGGTATGTTGGCTCACGCCTGTAATCCCAGAACTTTAGGAGACTGAGGCAGGTGGATTACTTGAGGTCAGGAGTCTGAGACCAGTCTGGCCAACATGGTGAAACCCCATCTCTACTAAAAATGCAAAAATTAGCGGGACGTGGTGGTGCATGCCTGTAATTTCAGCTACTCATGAGGCTGAGACAGGAGAATAGCTTGAACCCAGGAGGCAGAGGTTGCAGTGACACGAGATTGTGTCACTACACTCCAGCCTGGGTGACAGAGCGAGACTCCATCTCTCCATCTAAAAAGAAAAAAAAAAAAAAAAATTCTGCATACTAAAAGTATGAAACCAAGATGTCATCAGGGTTACGTTCACTCTGAAGGCACTAGGGAAGGATGTACCCCATGCATCCTAACTTCTAGTAGCTTCAGGCATTCCCTGGCTCATAGATGTATCACTCCAATTGCCGATCTTCACATGGCCTTCTATGTCTTCACATCATCCTCTCTCTCTGCATGTCTGCCTCTGCATTCAAATTTCCATTTTATATAAGGAAACAAGCCACATTGGAGTAGGGTCCACCCCAATAACCTTGTTTTAACTCAGTTACCTCTGTAAAGATATATTTTCAAAGAAGGCCACATTCTGAAGTACTAGGTTTAAGAACTTCAACTTATCTTTTTTTAGGGCACAACTAAACCCACAGCAGGTGTCATCAGTAGACTTGATGGAGCTAAAGACATAATCAATGCCCTTGAAGCCATACAAATATAAATTACCCAAACTGAAACAAAATAAAAAAAAAAGTTACAAAAAGCATTTTAGAGCTGTGTAAGAATATTAATGTTCCACAATGAGAATTTGTGGAGAATTTAACACTCTTCTGCAATTGATGTAACAAGTAGACAGAAAATGAGTAAATATATGGAAAACTTGGAGAACATTATCAAGCAATTTGACAAAATTGACATTTACATTCACATTTCGTGGGATTCAGCCAAAGCAGTAAAGACAAATTAGAAAATAGAGTATAGAAATATAGAAAATAAATATAGACAATAGATGTCTCAAGCCAATGATCTGAATATCTGCCTTTAAAAAAAGCAGAAAAAAGAGCAAATTAAACTAAAAGCAAGCAACACAGCATTAGGAGAAAATATAGAAATAAAAGCAGAAATCAATGAGATCGAAAAGGGAAAAACAGTAGAAAAGGTCAATAATATCAAAACTGCTTTGACATGTCAGTAAAATTGATGACCATCCAGCTATAATAAACATGAACAATAGATACAAATTACCAAGATGGGACATAAGAGAGGGGCATCATTTTGAGCCTACAAACACTAAAATAATAATAAGAAAACATCACAAGATCTTTATGCTCATAAACCTCATAACTTGGATAAAGCAGGCATAACACTTTAAAAACAACCTCAGATGCTACCTTAAGAAGAAACAGATAACATATGTGGTTCCCTATCAATCAAAGGGACAAGGTAAATTGACACTAGGCTGTTGCTAGCATTTGCTTAACCGCTCAGTCATGCCATTGAGGGTACAAGATTCTTCTATATTTCTCTTCTACCATCCTAAGAATGTTAAATTTTAACTTCCATGCATGTAAATTACAGTAGCAAAATAGTTGCCCCAGTTCTAGTCATGATATTTCCAATCACAGTAGGAAAAAAGTTAGAAGGGGAGTTGACAGGTTTATCTGTCCCTTTCATTAGAAACTCAGAAGTTTTTCCTGTAGTCCCACAACCCGATAGATTTTCCCCATTGGCTAGAGCAGTGTTACAACAGTTACCATTAGCTACAAGAGGAAAATTGGAGGAGGATTCTAACTTTTGGATTAGTTCAATAACTATCTCTTGTTTGTGGCTGGGATCTTGGTTTCTTCAAACAAGAGCATTGCATCTTATTAGCCGGGAAGAGGGAAAAGATAGACATTTATAAGAAATCACAATGTCGCCACATCATTCTGTTGCAATCTGACTGCGCTACCAAATTTAGATAAATAATACCTGCACTAGCTAGACCTCACCAATTAAAAAAAAATACTTTGTGTACAGATGAAAATGGATATAAAACAATGCTGCCAGTACTCCACTACAATTTTATTTAATAAAAATTCTTTCTAACTCGATGTGAGATTTTAAGTTTGATGTAATTAATTTTTATTTTTAAAATAAGGTTTTCTTTTGCCTGTGGGTAGAATCCATCTGTCAGATCACAGATGAGCAAGCCAGATTGAAGAGGAACAGACTTTCTTAGGTGGGCAATATGTATGAAATGTGGTAATTTTGCAAATTTGGATGCTAAAAAATCTGTGAATCCCTATAAGCAAGTTATGAACCCAAGCCAAATTGTTAGGAAGAAAAAAACCAAATTGTTGCTCTGAAAATTCCTTTTTATATGCAGGGACCTCTGAGATAGCTCTGAACAAAACTGCAGGATTCAGAATGTGTTCTTCCTAAGACTTGCAGATAATTCATGAGGACTTTTTCCCCAGCTACTACCCACAATGATGGTATATAATGTTTGATCTCTTGTCAATATAAATACAGATCAATAGGAGTAAAATATAAATTAATCTAAAATAATAGCAGAATAATTTTAAGTTAAGTAGGATTAGAAACTTTGCTTCAAAATTTGGCAATACCTGAACATGTGCTTCACGCTATAGATCTTCAAAATATAAACATGAGCATTATGTTCTTATGAATGCATTTTTAGCTTTTGTAGCCTTTAGTTTGATGACTATTAAACAAAATCTCCATAGCAACAGTTCTGTTCTTCAAAGTTTTGTAAATGATCTGGAAATAACCAAATGAATTCTTAGCATACAAGTTACATGTTAAACTTTTGTATATATTTATAGCATATGCTCTTTAGCTTTTTGTCCATACGTAATCTCAAAAACATTTATTCATTTTTCCATATAATGTATTTCTTCTATACCTTTTTAACAATTTTTGTCATTTGTGGACCACTTTCAGTTTCTGTGTACTACCTCTGTGGAATATCTGTATCTATATACACACATATACATACACATGCACATACATATACACACATGTAGCTTTGTGCATTTTATTACCATAAACATACACATACGTGTAGATTTGTGCATTTTATTACCATAAATCTACATGTATGTATATGTAGTTTTTTGAAATAACATCACAGAACTAAAAACTATCAAAACTGTTCACTCTTCATTTTTAAGAGTGAATTACTAAATATTTATAAAATACAGGAAACAGTAAAGAATGGCATAATAATTAATTATGAACCAACAATACAACTTAAAAAATAAAATTTGCTGAGTAGGGTATAGGTACCACCCTCCACATCCTGGGTGTATTTACTTTACCCTTCCTTCCCCAGAGGTAAGTAACTACTGTATTTAGTTTTGATTATTCTTATGCAGTTTTGGGGTATTTTTACTACATATGTATTCATCATTAACACCACATATGCTAGTTTTTTATGAGTTTAAATTGTAGGTATCTGTCTGAAGCTTAAATTGTTTGACTCAATGTTATGTTTATAAGAATCTTGTATGGTAATATAAGGAATGAATGTATATACTTTTGAGGGAAGGGGAGTCTATTGTCAGTTAATGTTTTGGCAGACATGTCTTATCCAATGGTTTACTCTTATAAGAGATTCTACTATAAATATTTTAACATACTCTGTGTACGTGTGCAATAGAAACTGCAGTTTATAAACTTGACAGTGGAATTGCTTGTTTTTTTCTGATTTTTTAATGAAAATTTCTGGCTTTTTACCTTTATGATTCTAGCTATATTTTCTCTGGTGCACAACATTTAGCAGGCTAATAAAATTTCTTCCTAGTGCTAGAGTGACAAGAAATTTTATTATGGGAGAATATTGAATATTATCAAATATATTTCTCAAAGCCTAAACCTTAAATCTAATTATGTATAATATATTAAGAAATTTCCAATGATATCTTTGCTTTTCTATTCTGAAGTAAACTTATTTGTGTATTTTTTTATATACAACACTAGGTTTGACGTGATAAAATTTACTTAAAATATTTGTATTATTGGCCAGGTGCGGTGGCTCACTCCTGTAATCCCAGCACTTTGGGAGGCCAAGGTGGGTGGATCATGAGGTCAGGAGATCAAGATCATCCTGGCTAACACGGTGAAACGCTGTCTCTACTAAAAATACAAAAAAAATAGCCAGGCGTGGTGGCGGGCGCCTGTAGTCCCAGCTACTCGGGAGGCTGAGGCAGGAGAATGGCGTGAACCTGGGAGGCGGAGCTTGCAGTGAGCCAAGATTGTACCACTACACTCCAGCCTTGGCAACAGAGCGAGACTCCATCTCAAAAAAAAAGAAAAAAAATTACATTATTTTCTGTGTTCCTTTTTCACCCTCCTTCTATTTTTCATATTATGATTATAACTCAAATAAATTGAAGGAAAATTTTCTCACTGGCAGAATGTATGTTAGTTTGAAAATATCTAAGTATTTGTTTTAGATAATATGCTAACCCATCTAGGCCCAGATAGTTTTGTTTGCATGTGGAATTTGAGGAGGGGAGGTAAATATTTAATGTTGATTAATTTTATTTAATTATTTTAGATGATTTTAGATTTTCTATTACTACCTGAGTAAATTTTGATAAATTATATTTCTTTAGGAAATTGAAGATTTCATTATACTTTCCAAATTACTGGCAAAAGATTATAAACCATAAAATAAAATCGATATTTTTAAAGGTTCAAGTCTTAATTTGCAGATTTACCAGTCACAGACTTTCAAAGTGTAGACTTGTGGCTTTTTTGGCAATCCAACTCTTTCATCAACCTAATCAGATAATTATCAGCTGGCTTATTATAAATTCCAAGTTTAAGGAGCAACACTTATTCTATACTTAACATAATTTTTAAGTCTAAACATATATGGCCTTTGTCTACTAGCCAGGTCCCTCTCTTTCAGTGTAATAGATGTCCCTTGAGGACATCTGTAACAATGGATTTGAGCGGAAAAGCAATATCCTTAATATATCTTTACCGGAACATTACCAAAACTTGTTTAACCATGTGTATATTTTCCTAAGGATGCCAATTCAAAGTCTTCATTCTCTATTGCTATAAACTGGGGTCAAAAATATTTGGGATTCTAAACATTGTATGGCTTTTTTGTGGAAGCCTTTGGACTATGCTTTGAGAACCACTGCTCTAGATCTAGCTTGAGATAGTATTAGTAAATTAAAATGGAGACCAGGCCTGAGTAATCCCTGAGAGCAAACAAAACCAATTAGGCCTGATAAGTGACCTTAACCTTGCTGGATTTGAAAACATAAGCAAAACTTAACTTGAGTTATTTCTTGTAAATGTCTATATATATATATATAGACATTTTTATATATATATATAAACAAATGTCTATATATATATAGACATTTACAAGAAATAACTCAAGTTAAGTTTTGCTTATGTTTTCAAATCCAGCAAGGTTAAGGTCACTTATCAGGCCTAATTGGTTTATATATATATATATAAACACCTAAGTTCAGTAAATCAGAGGCAGCCAGCAAACTTCTAAATATATGACTAGATATTTCCAGCAGGATAGACCAAATAAGAAAACTTATAACTGTAACTAATCAAATACACTTTCTGTATTAGTCCCTTTTCATACTGCTATGAAGAAATACCTGAGCCTGGGTAATTTATAAAGAAAAAGAGGTTTAATGGACTTACAGTTCCGTATGGCTGGGAAGGCCTCAAAATCATGGCAGAAGTCAAAGAAAGAGCAAAGGCATGTCTTACATGGTGGCAGGCAAGAGAGAATGTGCAAGGGAACTGTTCTTTACAAAACCATCAGATCTCATGAAACTTATTCACTCTCACAAGAACAGCACATGAAAAACCCACCCCCATGATTAAATGATCTCCCACTGGGTCCCTCACATGACACGTGGAGATTATGGAAATCACAATTCAATATGAGATGTGGGTGGGGACACAGCCAAACCATATCCCTTTCTTTATACTACTTTCATATTCACTCTAGAAAAGCCTATACCTTATGCTTCCTCCAGGGAATCCCTGAACCACTTCTGTTCTGGAGCTGCTGGATTCATAAATTGTTGTTTGTTCAAATAAGCACTTTAAAATATTATTATGCTTCAGTTTACAATTTTAACAATAGCATATTGTATTGGCCCTGTAGGAGAGAAAAACTTTCCCTCTGTACCTCTTCTGTTCTCCTGCTGGATCTGAAAAATAAAGTGACAAGAGACAGACTGACAGGAGAAAAGGCATACAAACGTATAATTTTTAATTTTGTATGCATGGGAGCATGACAAGAGGAGGTGAATACCCAAAAGAGTAGCTTATACACCATTTTAATAGAGAAAAAGACAGGGAGAAAGGCCGCTTGTGGGACAATAAATAATTTTTAAAAATATAAATAGATTAGAGATATGATAGTTTGTGACACCAATGTCTATTTGGGTGTAAGACATAGATATAGATATAGATATGAGACATAATTTAAAAATATTTGGTCTCTGCCCCTAGTTTCTGTCACAAAGCTTCTAAAAACCTTATAATGTCCTGAGCAATGGGGGTACTAAATGTGTCATTTTTACTAATATTTGATCTTTGAGCCCCGTTCCTTGCACAGAGCTCCTAGTGTTTATAAATTCTCTAGGTGATAAGAGCATCTCTTCTTCTAATAGGGCAACTCATGGTGGGCTCCTGCATTGGAGCTGGTCATCAGAGGGGCCAAGTCATGATTAGAAGTTTGGAATGTTCAGCCCTATTTCTCATCCTCTGGGAAGGAAAGAGGGGCTGGAGATTGAGTGTACGTGAAGAAGCCTCCATTAAAAAAATCCCTAAACTATGGGGTTTGAAGATCTCCTAGTTTCGTGAACTTATCCACATATGGGGAGTGTGGCACCCCTCAACTTTGTGGTGAGAAAAGCTTTTGCACTCAAGAAACTTCTGGACCTCACCCGATGCCCCTCTCTTCATCTGGCTGTTCACCTGTAACCTCTATCATATCCTTTAATATATAATAAACTAGTAATATAGGTAAAATGTTTCCCTGAGTCATGTGAACCCTTTTGGAAAATGACTGAACTTGAGGAAAGGGGTCATGGAAATCCCAATTTATAGCCAGAAAGTCAGAAGTACAAGTAAAAACCTGGGACTTACGGTTGGCTTCGGATGTGTGGACAGTTTGTGCGACTGAGCCCTTAACCTGTGGGATTTGTGCTAATTACAGTGAACATCAGAATTCATTCAGTTGCAGGGCACCCAACTGGGGTCTGCAGAGAATTCGAGAATTAAATTGTTGTGAGGGAAAAAACAAACAACACACATTTGGTTATGGAAGAGTTCTGTGTTAAGTGTGAGTGCAAGAGTAGGGAGGAAAGAATTTTCATGCATATGCATTACATACCCATATTAGGAAATATTTGAGTAGGTATCCAGAGTGGACACTCAGTAAGCTTTATTGTCACTAAATTTTCCTCTACAACATTGGGAAGATCATCTAGGTTAGCATGAACTAGGTTAGATCTAGATTAGCATCAACTAGGTTAGCATGAATATATGGAAGTCTAACATATTTTGCACTATACATAATTAAAATGTAGAATTGGCACCGATGCTAATATTCTACCATTGTTTTTATTTTCTGTTTAAAATTTTATATAGTTACTGTTAGCAGTACTGTGTCCTTGTGCATAAAAACTGTAAGTCTCCAAAAAATTGTCATTTTTTGATATACATTAATTATATTATACCCTTGTTATTTTTGAACATTTTCTAAACATTATTTTGTCGTCAAATTTTGCTAAGAGCTATTGAATGCTAGCTTATCTTATGCATATATTTTGATTTTTCATTTAGAATATTTAGCTGAGTTTTCCTCCCAGTAGGCAAATCATATTTTTTCCTTCAGAGATGATAGTAAAGCTTAGAAGCCCATTTCCAGATTGTGTCTGGTAATAATTTATCAACTGTCATGGTCTAACACACCCTAGTAATTTCTGCAGGTGTCTGGGGACCTGTTTGGGCATCTATTATAAAGGATGAAATGCCAATAACCAGGTGTTCTCCTGTCACTGTGGTTGTTGTCACTCCCAGGAGTCTTAACAGTCTCCATTACACTACAGAGGTTAATCCAAGAAGTAGCTCAGAGATAATAGGCCCTGCCAAATTTCACATTGACTGGAGTTAGTTTTCAGAGGTTTTATCATATTTTAGATGAAACAGCAACTTCCTAGTCATCAAAATTTTTCAAAAAGATAAAGAAATGGAGAGAGATTTTAGACACTTTTTAAAATTGGAAAATTATTAGAAGCATTTTAAATGTGTTTTTTCTATCCTGTATTCCCTTCTACCATCTATACCTTTGCTTATGCATAGTTTTCTCTCAAATGCTGGGCCTGGCAAAAACAGTGTAATTATTATTATTATTGATCTACTAATATAGTCTAAGTACATTTTGTTCACTATCACACAATTTTTAAACACTTTATTCAATGATGCAAAGTAATAACGGACCCTTAAAATACTTTTGCAAGTTGGTAATTATGTTTTGTAAGGTAACCTTTAACTTTAACATTATAAAATAAGATCACAGCAAGGTATAAACATAATTTAGTTTTACTTAACAAAATATTGTCCTACTAAATTTACTTAACAAAATATTCTCCTACTACTGACGGTAATTAACCTTGGATAGTTACTTTTTCAACACCTTTGCACAGAAAAGAGTATAAAACCACTTCATATATTTTTAATGCACTATACCATTGAATTGCATAATTTTTTACTAACAGAGGCTCAATAAAAATTAATTTATTAAACTGATGCCTTTATGTGCTTATACAATGCAGTATAAAAGAGATTTGATTGCAATGCATAGGTGTTGAATCTTGGAAAGGAAACTCGTGTTACATATACTTAGCTCAGAAACTTTCTGTGTACAGAGATGCTACATTTCATTTGACAGAAGACACAGAATGTATGCGAAAGGAGAAACTGAAAGAATTAAGGGTTTCTGAAGAATAGCAGGTTCACAAAAACCCTCCAAATCTCTGATTAGTACTGAATTCATAGCTTTGTAACTATTGTTGGCCTATCTTGTTTTGACTGCCTAGGAACAAAAGCTCCTTTAGTTTTCTTGCTCCTGTTACCATGAATAATGAGGGTAATACTGAGTCACCTGCAGGGCTTTCAACAGGTAATAGTTAAATGACTTTCAAAGAGAGGAGAGAGGGAGAGAGAAAAAGCAAAGAAGAATGGTTTAAAAATAGTATATTATTGATTAAATATTCTCAAATATTTATTCAGCAACTTCATTTTAAATCTCTAATTAATTTGAATGAAATTATTTACTATCTAACTGTAAGAATCCTGGTAGATTCTAAGACATCAAAATTTCTGCTAAGAAAAATAAGTTGAAGAGAGAGATGGAAAAAAATGTAGGCCTTCTGGGTAAATGGCCAATGCAGGAAAATGTGTTATGTTCAGATTATTCCCGTGAGTATGAACAGCCACCAAATTTAATGACAATTTGTGTTTTTGTGAAAAAAAGTTTGAAATTGGTATTTCAATTTGCAGAAATTTTGGATATTTAACCTATTCTGATATTGTTGACAAAGAGTCAAATTCTGTAAAATATTTAAAGAGGTTTATTCTGAGTCATATGTGAGTGATCAAGGCCCAAGGCACACTCTTAAAAGGTCCTGAGAACTTTCCACCTCTTTCTGGAGAAGGAGAGACCTTTACAAATGGAAATTTCCTTTACAAAGGGAAAATTAGTGCCCTGTTTTTAGAGCTTTTCCTGAGTCTGCTGGTTCTCAGGAGTCCTAGCTCAAAATAATTCACAGGGCAAAAGGTCTATGTTGGGGTGGCATATTCTGGTAAGATTCACAACAATGCCTCTAACTCTTTCCAAGTAAGAGTCATATGATTTAGTCAAAGAAACTTACGATTTTAAGGAAATATTAATTAATTTATTAGTACATACTGTTATTTCTTAACTCGTTACAGAAAGTTTTCAGGGCCACTGAAATTTACAAATAATATTTACATCTTTCAGTTTATGTCAATTTCAAAGTAACATAAACCACCTCTGGTCATTGGGAGATTTTCATATATAAATTGGGTATCATTGTTTTTGAGGACAGCAAGAAGTTTGTAGCTTTTACTTTTTTGTTTTAGTTTAGGTGAAATTCATGTAACATAAGATTAACCATTTTAAGATCCATTTTAAAGTGAAAAAATCAGTGGCATTCAGTACACTTACAATCTTATATATGCCCACCTCTATTAAGCTCCAAAATATATTATCCCCTAAGAAAATTTTGTACCTATCAAGCAGTTACTCCTCATTCTCTCATCCTCCAGCCTCTGTCAATTACCAATCTGCTTTCTGTCTGTCTCTCTGGATTTACCTATTATGGATATTTCATACATGAAATCATACAATCTGTGACATTTTGTGTCTGGCTTCTTTGACTAGGTATAATTTTTTTTTTTTTCAGATTCATCCTTATTATTGTGTCAGTACTTGTCTTGGTTTGTTCTAGCTGCTCTAACAAAATATCTTAGACTAGAGAATTTGTAAACAACAGAAATTTATTGCTTATAGTTGTTGAGTTTGGGGAGTCCAAGATGAAGCCACCAACAAATTCAATATCTGGTGAGGCTTGTGCCTGTGCTTCAAAGAGGAAGGCTTCTTGCTGCATTCTTGCATGATGGAACTTGCAAGGCAGCTCACTTAAGCTTCCTTTATAAGGGCACTAAGCAGAGTCCTTATGACTTACTTATTCTCAGAGGCCCCAACTCAATGCTATCACATTGGGTTTATCACATTGGGTGTTAGGTTCTAACACGTAAATTAGATAGTGGTGGGGGCACCAACTGCTATGGTTTGAATATCTGTCCCCTCCAAAATTCATGTTGAAATTTAATCCCCAATGTGGCAGTGTTGAAAGATGGGACCTTTAATGGGTGATTGGATCATGAGGGCAGATACCATTCATGGATTAATGAGTTAAAGAATTAATGGGCTATCATTGGTGGAGGGACTGGTGGCTTTATGGTAAGAGCAAGAGATATCTGAGTAGCATGCGCATCCTCCTTGCCCTATCTTACCCTGTGAGGCTTCAGGACTCTTCAGAGAGTCCTCATCAGCAAGAAGGCTCTCGCCAAGTGCACCTCCTTAACCTTGAACTTCTCAGTCTCCATAATTGTAGGAAATACATTCCTTCTCTTTATAAATTAACCAGATTCAGGTATTATAAGCAACATAAAATGGCCTCAGACACCAATATTCACACTATAGCTTTACTCCATTTTTATATGGCTCAGTAATATTCCATTGTGTATGTGTGTGTGTGTGTGTGTGTGTGTGTGTATATATATAAATACACACCATAATTTGATATCTATTTATCTGTTTGTGAACATTTGGTTATTTCCACCTTGGCTATTGTGAATAGTCCTGCTATTAATGTTTATGTACACTGACTTGTTTGAGTACTAGTTTTTCAACACTGGAGGGTGTACCTCCAGAAATAGAATTAGAAGATCATATGATAATTCTATGTTTATGTTTTGAGGTGCTCCCAAACTCTTTTTCATAGCAGCTGAATTATTTTATATTCCTACAATGTATAAGTATTCTCATTTCTCTACATATTTACTGCCAACACTTGTCCTTCCTTCCTTCCTTCCTTCCTTCCTTCCTTCCTTCCTTCCTTCCTTCCCTCCTTCCGTCCTTCCTTCCCTCCTTCCCAGACACATGTACATGTATGTTCATTGCAGCACTATTCACAATAGCAAAGACATGGAATCAACCTAAATGTCCATCAGTGGTAGACTGGATAAATAAAATTTTGTACATATACACTGTGGAATACTATACAGGCATTAAAAAGAACAAGATCATTTCGGGAACATGGATGGAGCTGGAGGCCATTATCCTTAGCAAACTGATGCAGAAACAGAAAACCAAATACTGCATGCTCTCACTTGTAAGTGGGAGCTAAATAATAAGAACACATGGACACATAGAGGGGAATAACACACATTGGGGCCTATTGGAGGGTAGAGGGTGTCACGCACATCCATGTGAAGAGAGTCCACCAACAGGCTTCGTGTGAGCAACAAGGCTGTTTATTCACTTGGGTGCAAGTGGGCTGAGTCGGAGAAAGGATTCAGCAAAGGGAGATAGGAGTGGGGCAGTTTTATAGGATTTGGGTAGGTAATGGAAAATTACAGTTAAAGTTGGTTATCTCTTGCGGGCAGGGGCAGGGGTCACAAGGTGCAGGGTGGGGAGATCATGGGACTCATTGTCCAGGGGAGGAATGTCACAAGGTCGATTGATTAGTTGGGGTGGGGCAGGAACAAATCAAATGATGGAATGTCATCTTTTGTTGTTCTTCCATTGCTCCAGGCCGTCTGGATGTATACATGCAGGTCACAGGGGTTATGATGGCTTAGCTTCTGCTCAGAGGCCTGACAGAGGGTAGGAGGAGGAAGAAGATCAGGAAAAATAATTAATGAGCACTAGGTGTGATAGCTGGGTGATAAAATAATCTATACAACAAACACAAGTTTACCTATATAACAAGTTACCACGACACAAGTTTACCTATATAACAAACCTGCAATTGTACCGCTGAACTTAAAATATAAGTTAAATTTTTAAAAAAGCCATCCTAGTTGGTGAGAAGTGGTATCTCAATTGTGGTTTTGATTTGCATTTCCTTAATGACAAATGATATTGAGCATCATTTCAAGGGCTTTCTGCTTCTTGGTTCTTTGTATAATTCTTTGGGGAAATGTCTATACCCTTTGCCCACTTAATTTGGTCTTCTTTTTGTTGTTAAACTGTAGACCTGTAATTTTTGTAATATTTGGTCGCTGACGTAGCTTTTCCTTTAATTTTTGTCTAGCTAGAGTTTTGGCAGTTATTTCCTTGAATGTCAGGGGTAGACGGAGAGAGACACAGACAGAGAGAAGATAAGAAAGCGTAAATCAAAAACCTTCCCCAATCTTTGCAGTCTGGCTTTGTGATGAGGAAATCCTTCAATGCTCAGCCGGGCCATTTAAAACTCTGCCTTAGCCTGTACATCCTGTTTGCACTTGCATGGAGTTTAGCCAAAGGGGAAAATGTTGCATATTCACAGGTCTTTTCTTAGCATGAGTCTTACCCTGGGCATGCATGTGATTTTCTAAATTCCAAGTAGACTCAGAAACTTTTGGATGCCCTAATTTCCCAGTGAAACTCTCTCCCCAGTTTTCCCTCCTAGGCTTTTGGGACTCTATTGTTGCTTCCGTTGTAATCTTTTGCCCCAGGCGGCTGTGGGTTTTGCACTTGCCTTACAATGTTTATTAGTCAATTCTATAGATTTTCAGACCCAGTTCCCAGTTATGCTAAACAAAGACAAGTTCCTTGTGTCAACACTTTGGGAAGCCCCCAGGCAATTTAGAGCAGGCAAATGCAATTCTTTGCCTCCTCTGGAACCAGGGATTCCACTAGAAATGAAGGCTGCCATCTTCAAGATTACCCCTGAGCTGAGTGGGGGAGTGTGGCAAGGACAAGTGAAAATGTCAAAGCATTTCTATCATTTTTACATTGTCTTTTTCTTAATTCAGCATTTGCTTTGTTGCTATGAGCCTGTCACTGTTTCCTAGAATTCTGACAAAGTTGTTTCTAACAGGTTTTCTTTGAAGTTGGAATATTTCTGTGAGGGGTCTGCTTCTTTGAGCTATTCCACCGTTTTCACTGACATTACTAACTTTACTGCTGTTAAATCATAGAAGTGCCACACAAGTGTCATCTCAATATATGTTCTAGTGATTAAACATTGGAATAACAGCTTCTGCTTCTGTCCTTAGAGGCCAGAAAGGTGATCTCACTGGAAAGGTGACGATGTCCCCAGCAACTCAAATGCTTATTTCAACTTTTTTGTGATACATCAGAAGTTAACATTTTGAAAGCATATTTAAGCCATATATAATTAAACATAGTTCTGTATTATTTTGTCCTCAAAATGTAACAACCTATTTTTCTTCTGAAGCCCCATGGTTTTCCTAGTCATATTTTTCCCATGGAAATTTTATGTCCCAAGTTTAGTTCCAACAAAATTTATATACTCCTTAAAAAACTAAGATTAAAAGAGATGTCTTAATTTAATAAAATCCCAGATACAGCAATTTTGCAGATTTTCCTAATGACCCTAAACAGAATGACCTAAAACAGAATATTGAGGCATTTGAGATAAATGTAAACATTCTGTCTTTGATATACCCAATGTGATGTGCGAGGCATGCATCTGGGGTATCCTGCAGTGCAGGCGATGAGGTGTTGCACTGCAAGAAAGCTGCCTAAATATGAGAGCTCCGTTTTTGAAAATTATTCATGAACAGATAGAAGACAAAATCGCAGGAAAAGAAATCCCTCAACAGTAAAAATATGGTGACAATTAGAGTGATTTCAACCCAGTTATATGGTAATTTTTATTAAAATAAATGGAACAGGAAAAACACCAAAGTTGTACTTTGGAGGCCAATAGATTAAAATGTTTGAATTTTTTTTTCATTTTTAATTAAAAAAAAGTCAATACTAAATTTCAAAAACAAGCATATAAACAGTTATTTCTATTTATAGATATTTCCGTAAACACAATGTAAGTATGGTTTTATTTTATTCTATCCTAACAGCTTTTATCTACAGCCTTGTGCTCTGAGACAATTGAAAAGGGGCATAATGTAAACGACATTAATATCTGTTATATATCAAATATATTTCTCTTTTTTCCCTCTGATGACTCCTTAAGGAAAAAAATGTAACATAATATGCAGAGATAGCAAGAAAGAAAATAATTGGTGGCACAGAGATTTTAACACATGTTTGGGAAATCAGAGGCAGATGGCAAGTTAGGGCTCCATCAAAGGTAGTGTGTAGCAGGACGAGCCGCAGACAAAACCTCTCAGACACCGAGTTGTAGAAGGAAGGGCTTTATTCAGCTGGGAGCATCGGCCAGCTACTGTGTCAAAATCCGAGCTCCCCAAGTGCACAATTTCTGTCCCTTTTAAGGGCTCACAACACTAAAGATTTCACATGAAAGGGTCGTGATTGATTTGAGCAAGCAAGGGGTACCTGACAGGGGCTGCATGCACCGGTGGTCAGGGAGGAACAGAACAGGGCAGGGAGTTTCACAGTGTTCTTCTATATAATGTCTGGAATCGATGAATAATATTGGCTTCTAAATCATAGGTTGATTTTTAACTACTGGGTTTAGGTCAGGCAGGCCCAAGCCTGGTTTTGGGCCTGGCGCCGGGCTGCCTGTCTTTGGTTTTACTTCCTTGTTGTTTTTACTGAATATAAAACAATATAAAACAATATGAGAGAGTCTCTCTCTTCTCTCAAGTGAAGGGAGTCATGGTCCAATATATACATAGGAAACGGTTGCAGAAGCACGGTTCTCCCCAGTAGCAGCCTCGAGAAGCTCAAAGCTGGGAATAGAGAGGAAGTACACGTGGAGTTGAATAGCAGAGGATGGCATTAGCAGAGTATTAGCAGAAGGTTATGTCAACTGTTGAAATTTTTGCTAATTATTCTTTGTTACTGAGGAAAGAGGCTATTTCTCTTACTGTCCCCTGTCTCGGAAGAGAAGAAGGAAGTAAAAGCTGAAAAACAACAGACTGATCGGTGCCATTGGCCAGACCTGTAGGTTAAAGATAACCCCCACCCTAATCACTTGTGCTATCTATAGATCACAGACAATGGTATGCAGAAATACTTGCATTGCTTACCCCCACCACTAACGTATGTGGACATAGTCATGTACCCCCTGCTTGCTCAATCTATCACGACCCTTTCAAGTAGGCTTCTTAGGGTTGTAAGCCTTTAAAAGGGCCAGGAACTCTTTCTTCGGAGAGCTTGGTTCTTGAGACACAAGTTGGCCGATGCTCCCGGCTGAATAAAGCCTCTTCCTTCTTTAACCATCTGCGGCTCATCCTGCTACATTAGCTTTTATTAATAACTTCTCCCACTTGTGTAGAATTATTGGCACTTCAACACTGACTTCTAGAATAGGGATCTAAAAAACGGAATTATCTGCCTAGAAAACACAAGAATTCCTAGCATAATTTTAACTGGGCAAAAATAAACCTATCATCTGCACTTTACTAATTTTAAGTTGATTCTAGTAGTCAAGATTGTAAACATGGCGTTCCTATATGAAGAGGAATGTATGTATATTCCCAATAATGCTGTAATCATTTAGAGAATACTTAGAATGAGGTTGAGAGGCCGCTCCTTCATAGAATCTTATCTAGTTGGTCTGGCATCTGGCCCTGCTATCTATTAAAAGCTGCTCTGATGCCTGACTTTAGTGTGTAGCCACAATTAGGAACAATATTATACACTGAATGTTTGTGTCCCCCTGGAATTCACATACTGAAATCTTAACCCCCAGTGAGATGACTCTAGGAGGTAAGGCCTTTGAGAAGTGATTAGGTCATGAGGACAACTCTTACAAATGGGATAAGAGCCCTTATAAAAGGAACCCCAGAGAACTCCTTTGCCCCTTCCTTTCATGTAAGGACATAGAGAAAAAAAAAAAGGTCATCCATGAATCAAGAAACAGGTCCTCATCAGACCCTGAATCTGTGGATACCCAAATCTTGGTCTTCCCAGCCTCCAGGACTGTTAGAAATAAACATCTTTTCTTCATAAGCCACCTGGTTTGTGCTAGTTTTTAAAATAGCAGCCTGAGGCTGGGGCGTGGTGGCTCATGCCTGTAATCCCAGCACTTTGGGAGGCTGAGGAGGGTGGATCCAGAGGTCAGGAGTTCAAGATCAGCCTGCCCAAGATAGTGAAACCCTGTCTCTACTAAAAATATAAAAATTGGCTAGGCGTGCTGGCAGGTGCTTGTAATCCCAGCTACTCAGGAGGCTGAGGCAGAGAATTGCTTGAATCTGTGAGGCAGAGGTTAAAGTGAGCCAAGATCAGGCCACTGCACTCTAGCCTGGGCGACAGAGCGAGACTCCATCTCAGAAAAATAAATTAAAATAAATAAATAAATAAATATAAAAAAATAAAATAGCAGCCTGAGTTGACTAACATGAAGATAAACAATGTCTATAATTATGTAGATAACTAATAATCATTAGGTATTAATAATCATTCTTTAAAGATTTTTAGAATGCAAGACAGAAAAAAATGTGTATATATTATATATAGTTTGTATTAAAGTAACAATTTTTTCAATAACAAAGCGCTAGAAAACAATTGAATAATATTTAAGAGGAAGTAAAATAGAACATAGATTTGATACTCCGTAAAATGCCAATCAAATATAAGGTCAGAAAAAAACTAAACATTAAGCAAATATATAAAAATATTTGAAAAATATATTTATGGTTATATATTACCAACATAAAAATTTAAACTAATACATAGGTATGCATACACTGTGAACTAAAATCAGGAGTACACTAAAAAGAAAATATATGTTTTGAATCAAAATGCCCACCTCCACATTTAGCCTGAATATGGGGGGACCAAAACTACCTATCCATAATTTAACTGCATATGCTAATTTGCTAGGGCTGCTATAAAAAATACCGTAGATTGAATGGCTTAAACAAGAGAAACTCAAAGTGGGGAGGCAAGGTCAATATTTACTCAGAAATTCTTGAAGCTGGAAGACTGAAATCAAGGTGCTGGCATGATTAGTTTCATTTTGTGGCTTCTCTCCTTGATTCGTAGATGACTGTCTTCTCCCTTGGCCTTAGTGTGGTTGTTCCTTTGTGCATATGCATATCCATGTCCAAATTTCTCCCTCTTATAAGAACACCAGTGAGATTGTTTTCAGGCCCACACACATGACTTTATTTTACCCTAATTACCTCTTTAAAGAACCTATGTTCAAATATAGTCACATTCTAAAATACTGGTGGTTAGAATTTCAATATATAAATTTTGGAGGGACATATTTCAGCCCATAACACTACAATAACATGATTTTGCTATTCCACTGTCTTCATTCACATTACTGTACTTTCCCAAGTGTTTGTAGTCCAGGCAAATTGTTTAATTGTTCATTATGAAACTTCCTGAAGACCCACAGCTCTTCAATTCAATAAAAATTAACAGGGTGTGACTTAAGATTCATTGAATTCTCTGCTTCAAAATCTTCATCCTGTTTTTCACTAATCTAAGACTACTGTATCGTGCATTATTCTTAACCTAATATTAAGCCCATCAACATTGAAATTCTTGCCTTAAACAAAATCTCCAATTCTCAATAAATTCTAATGTCTCCTCCCTACTTCAAGACATTGCCCAAGCTTCATAGAAACATTGCTGTCCTTTACCTTGGTCAGCTTTCTCTTAGAAACAGGTTGTGTTGTTATTTGTGGAATCCAACATTCTGCAACATGTAGCAGGCCTAAAAAGCAACCAATTTGTATTTGAAAAGAAATTCAGGGCACTGAGATGGATGCATCCAAGTATAAGTAAGATTCATTTTAACATGTAATATGGCATAAGGTGCTTGGTGTATAAAAGTGCAAAAAGTCTATTGCCTACTCTAGGTAAAACAATCTATTAAAAGAAATCATGTTTTAATTATGATATAATTTGTGACATACATTTTTGAAATTAATTCTGTGCTATGTAAAACGATACCATTTTACATTGGTGTCTAACATTCTTATTCAAATAAGACAAGTTTCATGACTTCAGTATAAATCATCCATCCTTTCCTATCAATCTTCTTGGTGGACAAAATTATACAATCATAAATTTGCAAGCAATCTACATTGGAGTTTAATTATTAGAACCAACAAAAAGGCAACAATGAAAGAAATAAAAAATCCTACCACACAAAGAGACCTCCATACTCTTAAGGAAGGAAAGAGCCAATGTATTATTGAGTATGAATCAGATTATACAAATGCGAGTACTGAGAAAGATAAAACAGTCTGGATAAAATTTCACACAAAATTATACACTAATGTAAAATTTTCCTATCTCCCTGAGAACAATTAGTTCTACTTCGAGATAGTTTCTTGTACACTTCCTGAGAGATTTTCAAGTTAATTTTAGAGGTATGTATTCACAATTCCCAGGGTGAGAAGAGCTGAGATTTTATAGTTTAAAATCAAAAGATGGGCCCTATTATATCAAACATCCTAAAGAGGTACAGAGTAGCTGCCTCCCTGTTAGTAGACAAAAAATGAAAAATAAAAAAATTATCCTCACACAACTCATCAAAACTTATATTTTCTAAATATGTTGTAGACTTTGAAAACCTAACACAAGTTTTGAAACTGACAGAAACTTATAGAAACGTATAGTTTCTAAACATGTTATAGAATTGGAAAATCAAATTATAGTTCCTGGAAGTTGGAAGATGAAACTATTTAGAAAGAGATGAGAGAGGGTTGAAGAATATATTTTCTTTTCCTACATAGTGGTAATGAGATATTATCTAAAATTAATGGATTGAGAAACATGAAACTAACAAAAATATATAAAATATTTGGTAAAGGGGAGGTATATTAAGTAAGGCAAGTTCAATAAAGCAATTTTACTGGCTATTGTTTGTTTGAGAAACTGAGGTATGAGCATATTGTCAAGATTGCACAGGTGACTACCAACAGAATTAAGAAGAAGCTGTACAATGTGCATATATCTGGTAGCAGCATTGGATAGGTGGGTAATGAAATGGCTCATTAGACTTCACAGAGCATGCTTATGAAGGACATTGTTGAGGCAACGTATACAGTACGGCCAGAGAAAGAAAGCACAGATAAGCCCTGGGTGTCAGCAAATCTTCTAGGAACAGCTCACCAGGATCCTTTCTTTGGTTATTCAGGATTCTCTTTGTCTCTGGAAAATAACCACCAGTACATATGTAAAGAAACCTGATTAAGAGAGATTGACCCGTTTCCAGTTACGACTTTTATATCCCTAGTCATGTAGTCAAACCGTATCTCTAATTAGTTATATCACCAACAAGTTAGATATAAGGTACCAGCAAGTATGTTTTTCCCAGGTTTACAAGAGGGGTAATTTTGAACTTTAAACAGTATACTATAAATCATTATGACTTCTTTTTATCATAGACAAGCGTCAAGAGCAATTGTCTAGGCTTACCAAGAGAAAAGTAATCAGAGAACTGCTCAGTCAAGCTGTAAAGTAAAAAATAACTCTGTGTTACACAGAGATAGAGTAAGATGTCAAGTGAAATATTTATCTAAATTTTCATCTACCTCTTTGAATTTAACCAATAACAATGTTCAAAAATTAATTTTTGAAAGACACGCACTCTTATTAAAGCATGTTAGCCTATTTCTTGCTCTCACACATGAATATGAAAAAGCTAACAAAACTCCATTAAAATATGCTGACCAATGAAATATGGTAATGAAATTAAATATACATGAAATTTCAGTAATATCTGTCAATGAGATTATTTTTGCTGTTATCATAATGATACAGTATCAAATTTGCTGTCATTGGATGTTTAAATTCAACTGCTTGCTCTTTGAGAAAAAATGAGAGTTTAAAAATCAATAGACATCTGATTTAGTTTTTCTATAAAAAACTAACAGATAATTATGCACATGTTCAAGTGGAATTGTATAAATTCTATTTTGTGCAAAGTTCAACAAACATGAAATGTATATTTCTAATTTACTTGGTCATGTATAATTCTAAATTATTTAAAAATTTTATTAATGAAATTTAGGCAGCTGAACTCATTGGATAAGAAAAAAAGATCACTCTTGCACTTTTTACATAGGAAACTAAACTATTTTTCCAGTAGTGTGTTCAGGTTTGTTTCTTTATTTCTTTTCTGTTTTCTGATTTTAGCTTAACATATATTTGTTGTATTCTGTTGACCTTGCTAAGTTCAGAATAAGTAACCATCTTAGACATTCTTATATCATTTTTTACTTCTCTCATATAAGTACTTACTAGTGCTTATTAAATATGTACATTGTTAGGATATGATTTTTAAAAAAAGATTTGCCTATAGTTTTCTTCCTAAGTAATAGACTTTTACCGCTGCCACCATTTGCCAAGTTCATAAAGTCGTGAAACTAAAATAAAGAAGAAAGTAATAGATTCTCACTAGACAGAAATAGGAATTAAAAGGACTTTTGGTAATGGGTAGATCAGAAAAGGACAAAGGAATAAAGTTGGGGGAATAAATGTATTGACTGCTCCATATCATTCCCTCCTGCAAACACATACACGATCACACACAGATTTCTATCAAAACTCTCATTTTAAGTGATGGGGGTGTTTTCAGAAATATCCAGGAAACTTTGGGTAAATCCCACAGTAGAAGCTCTTGTTCCTTGTCTTCCAGAGCATAGCCTTTGAAATTGTTCAGTGTCTTAGCGGCATTTGGTATCCAGCATCCTACTCCTGTCCTGCTTAAACTCTGGATTAGGAAAAAGAAAGACTGCTGGGCGCGGTGGCTCGTGCCTGTAATCCCAGCACTTTGGGAGGCCGAGATGGGTGGGTCACCTGAGGTGGGGAGGTCGAGACCAGCCTGACCAACATGGAGAAACCCCGTCTCTACTAAAAATACAAAATTAGCCAGACATGGTGGCGCATGCCTGTAATCCCAGCTACTCGGTAGGCTGAGGCAGGAGAATTGTTTGAACTCCGGAGGCGGAGGTTGCGGTGAGCCGAGATCACGCCATTGTACTCCAGCCTGGGCGACAAGAGCGAAACTCTATCTAAAACAAAACAAAACAAAAAACAAAACACAACCAAAAAAAGAAAGACGATAATGAGAATATTTAGGCAAGCGGTCCAGAGAAAAACACATCGAATCTGGGGAAGCAGAAGCAGTCAAGAAGCTCCAGAACTCCGATAGTTCAAACATGTCCTCAGAGAATTGATATATGAGTAGGTGTCTGGTGTATGAAAAAAGACTACAGAGAATAGAGACCTCGAGCATCGCATCCAAGGTAGAGAACACACACACACAGGGTGAATGAAGTACCCCTGGTTGAATACTAGCACAAGAACCATAAATAGGCACCTTAAATAGGTACCTTTTATCTTCTCTCTGACACTAGCATGTTTTAAGAACATCCTTTAGAGAAAGAGTAGGTGGGAACCGAGAGTACCCTGAGTTTAAGCCTTGAAATGATTATTTGCACTTAAAATGTGTGTATTTTAAAATTAAATTAAAATTCAATCAGTTTTATTTAAATGCCTCAGTACAAGTATGCAAGAATATCCATAGTATGCTTCTTTTCTTTTTTTCTTTTTAGACGGAGTCTTGCTCTGTTGCCCAGGCTGGAGTGCAGTGGCACCATCTTGGCTCACGGCAACCTCCGCCTTCCCAAGTTAAAGTAAGGCTTCTATTTATTGTATAACAAAATTTTATTTGGGACTAAACATTTTCAAGAAGCATGGCTTTATTTTTTATCTGCAAGCAGCGTAGTTAAAACAGTAACTCACATTTTGACTTATCTGACATATTTACTTGTTATTGGAATTTAGAGAATGAACACTAATTAGGTTGAGCTATATGAAGTGTGACATTCAACCATTCTGACCTTCAGAAATAACTTCTTATGGGTCAATCTAACTATTTAGTAAAAAGAGATCCTTTTCTACTTTTAATGGACATTGTTAGGATATGATTTAAGGAATAATTTTATTTAAAAAAGATATTAAAGATTCGTTGCTTAAACATTAGATATGTTCATGCCTCCATTTTCACAAAAATAGTACGATTCCGGCCAAGAAGAATTTGGTTGGGAAAAGCAACATATAATATTTAACTTTGAAAAGTAATAAATTAAAATTTGCTTTGAGTCAGTTTTCCCTCTTCTAAAGAGAAGAGTCAAAGTTTTTAGCATCTCAAGGAAGTAACATTTTAAATTTAAAGGAGCTTATATTTATTGAGGAAATACTAGATATAAGGTTGCATTCTAAATTATTCACAGTCAACATTTCACTTAAAGCTCAGTTTGTGGAAAGAAAATTACTATGCTCCACATTTTTTTTTTCCGAGACGGAGTCTTGCTCTGTCGCGCGGGCTGGAGTGCAGTGGCGCAGGGATGCGATCTCGGCTCACTGCAACCTCTGCCTCCCAGGTTCAAGCAATTCTCCTGCCTCAGCCTCCCAAGTAGCTGGGATGACAGACACGCACTAGTACGCCCAGCTAATTTTTGTATTTTGAGTAGAGAAGGAGTTTCACCATGTTGGCCAGGCTGGTCTCAAACTCCTAACCTCGCGCTTCACCTGCTTCGGCCTCCCAAAATGTTGGGATTACAGGCCTGGGCCACAGCGCCGGCCTATGCTCCACATTTTAAAGATAAGAGGTGATGCTCAGGTAGTTTGTTCTGCACTTGGTGTCAGCATTCCACTATTTGTGCAACACTGTGTGGTGATTTCAAACTCGGAGATGTATCTCCGCGTATCTCTCAGATGTATCTCTGCGTATCTCTCAGATGTATCTCTGCGTAATTTGAAATAGATTTTATATCACAAGTTTGGCATCTCCACACATTCATATGTAGCAATAACTAGCATGCAAATGTCAAATTTTAATATTAGACAGCTTTAATCATATTTTAACACCAAATACTTTGTACATTATTATTATTATTATTATTATTATTATTATTATTATTATTATTAAGATGGAGTTTTGCTCTTCCTGCCCAGGCTGGAGTGCAATGGCGAGATCTCGGCTAACTGCAACCTCTGCCTCCTGGGTACAAGCGATTCTCCTGCTTCAGCCTCCTGAGTAGCTGGGATTACAGGCGCCTGCCATTATGCCTAATTTTTTGTGTGTTTTTAGTAGAGACGGGGTTTCACCATGTTGGTCAGGCTGGTCTCGAACTCTTGACCTCAGGTGATCCACCCGCCTCGGCCTCCTAAAGTGCTGGGATTACAGGTGTGAGTCACCACACTGGACCAATAAAATTATTTTTATCTTTATATAAGAGTGATTAGTGTATACATCCAAACGCTAAATCATTTACAGTTTTGGTATGTTAATATTATAATGTTATTGACTTGGAAAAAATCAATATGTCTTGATTTTACTAACATATGGTCAGTTATTAACATGGGCAAAAAAATACTGAAAGATCTAGAAAGAACTTGCTCCCTAATTATGAAGAAATAAACATAGCAATATGCAATGATGTAATTACAATATATTTTATTAATAATGTTGCATTTCTGTGAGAATTTTTTACATACAGTTGGCCCTTGAACAACACAAGTTTGAAATGCACAAGTCTACTTATACACGTCTACCCTTCTACCTTGTCCGCCTTTCTAGCATCTGCCACCTGTGAGACAGCAAGAGAAACCTTTCTTCTTCCTCCTAGTCCTCAGCCTCCTCAAGGTGAAGACACGAAGATGAAGACCTTTATGATGATCTGTTTCCACTTAATGAACAGTAAGAATATTTTTGCTTCCTTATAATGCTCTTAATAACATTTTCTTTTCTCTCACTTACTTCGTTGTAAGAATATAGTATATAATACATATCACCTACAACATATGTGTTAATTGACTTTTATGCTATCGGTAAGGCTTCCAGTGTACAGTGAGCTATTAGTAGTTAAGACTTTGGAGTCAAAAGTTATATGCAGATTTTTTCCTGCATGCGAGTTGGCGCCCCAACCCCCATGTTACTCACGGGTCAGCTGCATTAGGTTATAAGATAAAAGTTCATACCCTTTTTTTACATATGAGAAGCTGAATTCAGAAAGCCAAAATGATTTGCCACACTCAAACCAGGTCTAATTTATTATGTCAGGATGTGAAGTTTATTCGTTCCCATGGAAACTACTATTTACTTTGAATCTCTTCCATACTCAGGGCATATACACTTCCCCAAGGAAGCTAAGATCAGGAAATTATTCAAAAAAAAATTTAACCACTAAAAAAGTTAAGTAAAATTACAGTTGATTTAAGATAGATATATGTTTTTATCAGAATAAAGTACATACATGTATGCATAAAACACATATATACACATAATTATATGTGTGTGTCTACACATACTTATAGTAGTATACATATGAATATATATTTGAAAAATTTTAATGAAGCAGACAGCTTTCAGGATAAAACAGGTATTCTAGAGAGGTATGTCAAATTTCTAGAGAATCCTAGACACTGAGTATAGAATAAGTTAAAGATCATACATGCATATATCTGAACTTAGATGTTATGTTCTTGAAACAGTGAGAATTACTATGACTGGAGAGATTTATTGCTGTATTGCTAAAGAGTATAAATTAAATTCCATATGTTTATTAAACTCTCACTGTATTTTAATACTTAACTTTGGCTTTTTCCAAAAGTAACATATACCTAACAAAGTTACATACACATACAATTATACATTTGTCTACATTATTAATATTTTTATAATTTTATTTTACATAGGCAGTGTAGATGTGTGTCTGGGTATACATTTAGTTGATGTAAGGATCAGAGTGTAGTGTTAGCACCGTAACAATTAAATTCCAGCTGTAAGAGAAAATAAATATCCAAACAGCCCATGTTTTTAAAAGATTCTTTGACTTTTGAAAGCGAAGTAACACAAGTCGAGAATCTTTGCTTCAAGGACATTTGTAAAGGGAGTCACCATTTCCTGTTGTTATAATTTTACCAGCGTTTCTGCTTGCTAATCACTGTGTTGTATCCATATAATCAGTGTTTGTATATTTTCTCTCATTATTTTCATCATTTGATGTGTCCCGTGCATTAGGGCCTTGACTTGATGCCCGTATTCATTCTTAGGGATATTAAATCAATTATGAAATTCTCTCCAAATCATTTATTTCCTTCCTATTTTCATTTTGTCTGCAGATGTGTTAGTTGCCCTTATTCTTAAAGGATCTTCCAATGATTCTGCTACTTCTCTGAAGATCATATTCTTGGCTGTATTTCCTCGGTTATATTTCTCAGAATATTATGTCATTTTTGGCTTTCTCTTCCTCAGGCTAATTCATTAATCACTGAGAGTTATGTCTGCCTCTTCTAACAGTCTATACAACTAGGTCCTCCAAGGTTTCTAATGACTTCTTAATCATAAAGACATTTCCTTTACCATTATACTGCTTAACCTGTCTTGTTTCATGAAGTTAAAAAAAAACAGCATAAGTTCTTAAATGGCTCATACAGATACATGAATCCATATTTTGGCATTGCCTATGTCAGTTTCAACAAGTCCTTTTCCTCTTTATACACCGAATTTAGATAAGGTGTTTTGAAAGGCTATTTAGCTGCATGTGATTTATGAGAAATCATCCCAAATACCCAACACAATTCAAGGCTGAAAAAAATAGATTATATTCCTTTTACTAATCTACGTTTTGTTTGATTATGTTACATGAGAGTAACTTTTGTTTTAAGCCCTCTATCTTTAATACATTCGTAGCACCTTACATACAGCTGTAATTAATAAATGCTATTTAAAGTATATAATTATTTTCCTTTAATTTTGGTGGAACTAAATACAACTGGGAGCTCTACTTTTCAACTTTCTACAGCATATTATCTTGGAATGGTCAGACACTCCCATGATTTCAGACATCACGTCCATAACTTTGGTCACTAATCTGCATTCCTTCCTCACTTTGACCTCTATTGAGTTCAAGTTGCACATGTTTAGTTGATAGGTTGCTGGTCCACTTGCTCCTCAAACTAAAAATAAGCTCTTTTTAAATGTTTCAACATAGTTTGTGTAAAGTGTGTGATATAAAAAATTATCAGCAATACGATTCCGCTCATTGGTATTACAACACCATTTAGATAAATAGTGTTCCCATTCTCTCAGACACTGTTTGCCCAGACACATATTATCCCTGACCAAGTTCGGACAATTAAATTGCAAATTGCATCTCTCACAAATAATTCTTCTTTTGTTCTTTTCTTGGACAACATTCTAACCCCTGCCCTGTTTTCTTTTGCCTCAAAATGCTGGAAGAGAATTTGTATGATTACGCATTTTCTACTGAATATAACTAAAGACCTCCATGACCTCACCCCTGGCCTGTCTTCTCACCACCATTCCAAGTTCTTTATCATCCCACTATTTCCTCTTATGAATCTCATTTCTCACTCACACTGAACTGGTCAGTATGATCCATGTAGCCTTCGTAAATTTCCATGTTCATTTCCATTCTTGCCTTATGGCTGGAATTCATCGGCTGTCATTTTTATCTATCTTTGTTTAAAGCTGCACATTCTGCAAGGATTAGCTCCAATGACCTATGTGTATCAAATCTTTCTTAGCTTAAACATTTAAAATAAATATTGGCTTATTTGTCCATCTACACCATTCTGGGAATTTTTATTTTCTGCAGTGGTGGTGAGGGATGTGGTGCATTTTTATAATTTTATGTTGGCTTGGCCTCTATTTTGAGCACAGGTTTAACTTTCTAACGCCAGAAGCAGGGCTCAGTCATCCCTGACATAGTTTTCAGTTCTATACCACATCCAAATGGCTCAAGCCGGTGGCTAGAGATAAGAACTTAGCAGCATTTTTCTCACCTAGCTGACTGGTTCCCCTTTCTTTAAACAGACACTCCAGGCACTTGTTTGTGAACTTAAAGTGCCCCACATCCTATTTCCTTATGCATACTGCTAACTGCCAAAATATTCTCTCTCTGTCCACCTGACCCTCCATTCCTGCTTCCTGTGACCTGGGAATGGAGAATTACCCTCTGGACTCCTTGTGCCCTCCCTGCTCAGGATATGTAAGTAAAAGTCATTGCGCTTTTTTCTATAGTGGTGGTGTACTGAATTTATACCTTCCATCTGAAAAATTAGGGACATCTGTAGGTCCTGGAACCAGAGTGATGGTAAGGTAGGTATAAGCTGGGCATGGATCAGACAAGAGCCACAAGGGCACTGTCAGTACAAACAAGTTTCCCGTGTGAAAAGCCCCCTGGTCATGGGTCAAATAACTAGGTATTAGGTCACCCACCAGCTAAAATAATGTCCTGTGAGAGGCACACTGTAAACACTCACATCCAACTCCCTGTATATCCTCTTAGGGCAGGGTTGCCAGCTACTTTGGTACTGGAACCCCTATTTAGTTGCAGGAGGGGGCTCTCAAAACAGGAGAATTTATTATTATGTATCTTACCCTATACATTGTCTATATTTTTTCTCCATTACAATTTTGCTAATACCGGGGAATCATTGATTCAATCATAGATGTTTGTATTTCTGAAATTTTTAGGAACGTATCTTGTATATCCTTCTGTTACATCTGTGTATATCTTTATAACATAAAAAATATTCCTGCATATATTATACTGTTTTATTGCTCTAAAAGCTTCATGAGGAAGAGAGAGAGATAAAAATGGGATAAAATACTATATGACAGGGCAATTGAGGTGAGCTCATAACACATTTTATTCTCATTTAATCAATACCAAAACAGTGGCTTTGAAATATTTGGAGGTTTGTAAATGTTACAGCCATATAATAGAGGCTCAAAAACTTCTTCATAATGATTTTAACTCTAGGATCTGGGAATTTGGAATGCAAAATAAATGTTTAACATTTTATAAAGATAGATCTTTGTTTTTATATTAATGTGTGAACATAATTGCTGTTACGGGTTGAATGCATCCTCTACAAAATTCATGTTGAAACTTAATCTCCATTGTGATGAGATTAAGAGGTGAGGGCCTTCTGGGAAGTGATGAAGTCATGGTGCTCTGTCCTCATGAATGGATTAATAAAAAAGAGGCTTCAGCAAGAGTTTGCCCCTTTTTGCACTTGTGTCTTCTGCCATGGGAGGATGTCACTGTGAGAGGATGCCATCGATGGAACAAGCCCTTACCAGACACTAATGCTTGCACCTTGATATTGAACTTCTCAGCCTCCAGAACTGTGAGAAAATAAATTTCTCTTTTTTATAATTTACTCAGTCTGTGCTATTCTGTTATAGCAGCACAGAGGGACGAAGGCAATTGCCTACCCTGCTTGAGAGATGCAGAGGCCTGGTGTGGAGTTAGCAGTATTATGAGATTGGATCAGCCTGGATCACTGAATCACTGCATGTAGGACACACTATGGAGAGTTTCTTGTGCCAAGATCAGACATGGTATATGCAAGAATAAATGTGTGCGTGAATCAAACCAGAGGTTGTGTTTATTTTTTAATTACTATATTGTATTCTTGCTAACCTGACTAATCCAGCCAGCAACCTTACAATTCTAATTATCTGACTGTAGATCCTCCCAGGTTGTCTATGTACATAAACTTGTCCTCACTTTGCAAAAGCTAACTATCTTGTTTCTTTTTTTTCCAATCATGTCAACTTAATTTTGGCTTATTTGTTTATTTATGCACTGAATGTTGAATTGAAGAGATATGGTGAAAATATTTTACTTGCTTTTGATTTCGAAGGAAAAGCTCTTAAAATTTACTATTAAATGGAATTATTATTGCAAGTTTTTATAAACTAAGGAAATTACTTGTGTCATTCTATTTAAGATTCTTTTCAATTGGATCATGCACTGGTATTGAACATAATCTAATAATTATTTTAAATCCATTGAAATAAACATGCTGATTTTCTTTAATCTTCTAATCCAGACACTTACATCGGTGGATTTTCAAATGTTCATTCGATTTTGAATTTTGGGGGAGGATTATATTTTTAAACCACTGTTGGATTTAGTATTTTAATATTAATGTTAAATTTCATTTATAGTTATGAGTGCATTAATTTGTAGTTTCTCATTCTCCTACAGTTTTTGTATCAAATTTATATAAGATTCATAAATTTGAAGAGATTTGTTGTTCTTGTTTAATCTTGTTTTAAGGCTAGAATTATTTACTCCACAAATGTTGCAAAGAATTCAAATTAAAATGATTCGGGAATGATGATAACTGTTTGGTTATTATTTAAGTATTGATTTTGTTATTTGATAATGTGAGACTACTCATATTACCTATTTTTAGTTAGGCATGGAAATTTTTTTCTAGTTAAATTTCAATTTAAAAGAACATTTTCTTATTTGAGAGTATAATTTTCTATCACATTTTAATATTTTTACTACATATTGAATTTTATCTTCTTTTCAACTCCTAATTGTATCTATTCATCAATTTTGTCACAAGTTGATCAATTTTATTAGATTTGAAATTACAAGAATTTACATTTGTTGATTCTCTGTGTGTGTGTGTGTGTGTGTGTGTGTGTGTGTGTGTGTGTGTGTTTGTTTTAAATGAGCTATCCACCGCCGTTATTCTGTTATTCCTTTTATAAACTCCTAAGTTAGAACCTGGGCATGGATTTCCTTTCCTCTCAAATAAACATTTAAAGATAAAATTATCCTGTTAAGTATATTTTCAAAAGTTTTTACCTATGTTATGATGGCAAACAATTCAATGTAAATAAATTCTAATTTCTATTGTGACTGATTCTTTTACCTGTGTTTGGCTTCAGTGCAGCTTATTATACTTTCTAAATTGTTTCTTTTAGTTATGTTTTTGGTTGATTTCCAAATTACATTATGGTCAGTAAAAGATATATATAATATCATTTTTTAATTACTGAAGTTTACTTTGCTAATTATTTTAAGGTCAATTTTTAAATTTACCATGAATTCTAGAAAGCAATGTGCATTCTCCAGGTATTGAGTGAGTTTTTCATATCTACTAATTAGGTCAAGTTCCTTGTGTTGTTCAAATCCTCAATTATCTATTTTTTTCTGATTTATCAGATTATTTTGTCTGATTTATCTTCCAGGAAGTGTGTGCTAAAATCCCTCAATATGATTCTGAATTCTGTTTCATTTCTTCTTGGAATTTTGTCAAGTTTTTGTTCCATCTACTTTCAAGCTATGTTACTGGGCAATTTCACATGAGATGGCTATATCTTCTTGCTGAATCAAATATTTTACCATTATGCAGTGATTTATTAAAAATTAATGTCTAATTTGTTTAGTGTGTCTCATATCAATTAATTTATACCTGTCTTATTTGGCTTAGTATTTATATGTCTGGAGTTTTTTTTTTTTTGTTAATAATCCCAGAGATTTTTTAAAGTTAACAATTTTTCTTTGAATATATGAAACAGATTTACTTCACATTCTATTTCTGTTAAGTTTAATATTTGCTGCCTCAGGGTTTTGTTTAATGTTTCTATTATCTTTCTTATCGTGATTACGGAGTCCACTATCTGGGAACACTTTTGAGGGAGATTTTTTGAGATTTGTTTTACTTAAGTTTTACTTTTGTTTTTCCCAGGGAAATAAAGTAACAACCTAACTTAGGTGTATTCAAACTGAATTATTTACGCGTGTTTTTCTGGAAGCAGGTGTGGTATAAATTCTAACCCCAAACCTGTTTGAGGACAGTCATGAAACTCGAAATTTGGTAAGGCGGACTTTCTTCTCAGTATCTATCCTTGTCAAATGGATAATGTTATTTCCAGTAAAAAGGGCCACATGTTTTTCTCCTGTATCCAAAGTTCTAACTCATAAAGGATTGTATGTACCCTACCTGCTGGGTTTGGTAGTGCTATCTTCTCTGTTATTGTATTATTTCTCTTTTTTTAAAGAATTTTTTTTCTCACTTTCTTGACACCTCTGGAATGTGTGTATATATATATATCTGTATTGCATGCTATTATCTTATATTTAGTTAAAAGGCATACATTTTTCTGAGAAAGTATTCTCTTTCCTGTGCTGAATAACTTTTCAGATGTATGCATTTTAATCAGCAAATTATTAGAGCAATTTTTTCTTTTTTTTTTCTTTTCTTTTTTCTTTTTCTTTCTTTCTTTTTTTTCTTTTTTGAGACGGAGTTTCACTCTTGTTGCCCAGACTGGAGTGCAATGACGCGATCCCAGTTCACCGCAACCTCTGCCTCCTGGGTTCAAGCGATTCTCCTGCTTCAGCCTCCCGAGTAGCTGGGATTACAGGCATGTGCCACCAAGCCCGGCTAATTTGTATTTTTAGTAGAGACGGTTTCTCCATGTTGGTCAGGCTGGTCTTGAACTCCCGACCTCAGGTGATCCACCCACCTCCGCCTCCCAAAGTGCTGGGATTACAGGTGTGAGCCACCGCGCCTGGCAGGGCAACTTTTCTTGCTCTCATTCTGCAATATACTGGTATGTGTTTGTCATATTACGTATGTATTTTTTCATCCAGTTTTTGCCTCATAACTCCCATATCCTTTTTCATAATGTTGGGGGACTTTGGGCCTCAGAAAACAGAATCTCTCTCTTCAACCTTGTCCTGCCTTCCTTTCACTTGCCTAAGGCAGAACTCTAATCTGACTGTGGGTCCTAAGACCTTCATTCCAGAGGGGGTCCTGCCGCACACACTGAAGAAAGGAATACTGCATGCGAGGCCAAGAAGAATCTGAACAGACAAGCGTTGCTGGGTTAAGATTATACTCCTTTTGTCCAGTCACATTTCCACACACTTGTCAATCATGCCTATCCAGTGAAGTTTCCATAAAAGGCCCATGAGGACAAGATTCAGAGAGTTTACAGATACCTGAACAAGTGGCGATTCCCAGAAGGCAACACGTTCAGAGAGGGCACGGAAGCTCTGTGCCCTTTCTCACATACCTGATCCTAGGCATTGCTTCATCTGTATCCTTTGTAATATCCTTTATAATAAACTGGCACATTTAGTTTTTCCCTGAATACTGTGAGCTGCTGTAGAAAATTACTGGTTCTGGAAAACCCAACTCGAAGCTGCTTGTTCAGAATTTTCAGAGACCTACTTTCGTGACTAGTGTCCGGAGGGAGGGTAGTTTTGAAAACTGAGCTCCCCACCTGTGGAATCTGACACTTATCTCCATGTAGATAGAGTCAGAATTGAATTGGAGGACACCCTATTGTTGTCTGATGCAGAAATCAACCCCCACCATACACCACCAATTTGGCCACAGAAGTCCTTTTGTGTGTTGTTGATTGTTGTGGTGTGAGAGCAGAGAAAAATACAGTTTGAATTTTTCTTAAACAATACCCCTTTTGTTTTTTATTTTTTGTGTAATAAGAAATGTGTAGCCATAGAAAGTCAATTACTTTCCCATTAGCCACTTGCTTCCTGCTAGTTTCCCGCCCCCCCCCAGATTTAATGCTAGAAGACAGAATCTTATTCACAACAGTCAGTTTAAATTCACATAATTAGAATTCATCTAGCTTTTCAGTGGTGTGTGAAAAGATATGCAACTACCCGTATAGGCTTGAAGAGTAAATACAAATATTGTCAGAGTATCCTATCTAAAGCCTTACATTCAGTATCTTCACATGTGTGGTCTAACCCACTTTATTTTCTAGCAGAGAATTGATGTATTTACATTGATTTTAAAATGACTCATTATCCAATGTGGAGGCAGAAGGATTTCTGATTGGCACATATCTTTGTCGTTGAGCTATGTTTGAAATTTTGGACAGGAATGTAGAATTGTACTCTGGTTTTCAGAATATGGGAATGCAGAATTGTACTATGGTTTTCAGAATACAGGAATGTAGAATTGTACTATGGTTTTCAGAATATGGTATGTAAACTCAAAATCATAATTTTAGAAATATATTTGCATGACTATGTTTAAATATTATTGAGGTGATCTTGCAATGCCATTACAGTGACAATGAGCATTGCTACAAACAGCTATGCCAATGTTTTCACCATCACTGGAACAGCCATTGCCCCCTTACATTTCCCTTGGCCTTTCCTGCTCGGCTGAGCCCTACAGCTGAGAAAATGTGGCAATGTGGTAAGGTGGTTCGAAAATATTAATTCACTGGAGCATTATCCCTCCTGCAGTTCTTCCATTTCTCATAGACATAAATTTACTGAACTAAGAAAGATTAAACAGTTACATTTTAGCTTTAAATTATGCCCTGCAAGTCACAGAGCAGTAAAATATACTTAAAACTGTGAAGGCACGATGGGAGTCATCAGAATTTGATGTTGCTAAGAGCATCTAAGACATTTAAAGAGGAGAATTAAGGGTAATATACCTAATGTGAATAAAAATTAAGATCGCAGTGAAAGAGATAAAAGTGTTGCAAAGAAGGGATGAAGACATCTTGGTGGGACTGCCTACCTTTTAGACGGTTAAATTATTTATCTATTTATTAATGTAGGGACATTTATCTCTTGACTCTGATATAATGATCTTGGTAGTATATATGCACATCTGAGAAAAATTTTAACTTCTTCTCTGCAAAGTTTGCATCTTCAACCATGCTCATAAAAGTCCAAGATAGTAAAAACTGTTTGAAATTTGGTAAAATTCATCTCTTCACAAAGATTTTATAGCACTTTTGGCTGTAATATCTGAATAAGATAACCTAGACATGTGAATGACTTCAGAAATGTTAGTACTAAATTCTTTGTAGTTGCTTTATCATGTCTTTCCATATTAGTACAGAAAGGAAATCAATTTTAAGTTAAAAAGGCCCACAGTTTGAAACAATTACCACGGTTACACACTCTACACTACGCTGACTCCATCCAACTTAGTTCTCTCTCAACGCATAAACCAAGATGTCCCGTGTGAAAATGAGTTCATTTAATGACTAGTCTCTGTCACAAGCTAAATTTAGGCATAGAAACATGTTTTTCTACTGAACTTAGGTCTGTTTTTACTTTTTCTGAAAATAAATAATGTTTTCTACATTCCTCCTTTTTGTAGAGGTGTCCAGCTTGTATTAAAAAATGCAAGATCATTGTAGTTGAAAAGATACGTATTTTGGACTCAGACAAATTTGGAATTTCATGTTTATTCTTCAGCCAATGCACTGCAAGGTCTTGGGCCATTTCGTTAATCTCACTGACCCTCAGTTTAGTAGGTCTCATTATTGTTTTGAAATGAAGTACATAAAATGCCTAGCATAAAGGGGGTATCTTACACAGACAGGTACAAGGATGACTATGAGCATCTTTATTTTCTATTTTTCTAAAGCTATGTGCAGTGGCTACATTATTTATAAATTGCTGTAAATATATATATCTCTCTCTCTAGATAATACTTAGCTTTATATATATAAACAATTAGGTAATGCTTAGCTTTATATATATATGAAATTAGATAATACTTAGCTATGCTTTCTGCATCTTCATTTGGGAGCCTGGTTCATTCCCTGACTTTATTATTAAAAATTTTAAGTATTGGCCGGGTGCAGTGGCTCATGCCTGTAATCCCAGCACTTTGGGAGTCCGAGACGGGTGGATCACCTGAGTTCAGGAGTTTGAGACCAGCCTCACCAACCCGGTGAAACCCCGTCTTTACTAAAAATACAAAAAAAAAAAAAATCAGCCTGGCATGGTGGCGGGCACCTGTAATCCCAGTTACTTGGGCGGCTGAGGCAGGAGAATCATTTGAACCCAGGAGGCAGAGGTTGCAGTGAGCCGAAATCACACCATTGCACTCCAGCCTGGGAAACAAGAGTGAAACTCGATCTCAAAAAATAAATAAATAATCTTAAGTATTTATGAGCTAATTAAATATTATCACATAAAGATAAAACCACTTTAAATTCAATATTTTATTTTAAAATATAAATTGCACTTTTCTTAATTACCAAAGATATTGTTTTGGTCTCTGGATAGATATTATAAGTACTATTTTGAAACAAAAAATTTTAACAACTAATTGTATTATACTATTAGTTTTCAAGAAAAAGGGTTACTAATGTTATTGTAAATAATGACCACTTTAAAGATTTATGTCGGCATTTCGAGATTCAAGGATTTCTCAGCAATTTCTAAGCAGTTATCATAGTGTACCACATTCTCATAAGACCTGGAACTGGTCCAGGATGGGCCTAAGGTTCTCAGCAACAAGAAGATGTAACTTCCATTCTAACGCACCACTGTTAATATGACAGTATCTGTTCCAGTTTCAGGAGCATTGTCTTTTTCCCATGAAACATTTTATAATATATTTTTACAAAATACAGATTTTGTTTTGTATTTCATTGCTTCCACTCAATCGATAGTTTTCCAGGTGCTAGTGTAAATCTTAACCCTGCCATTTGCCAACTGAGTGAGCTTTGGCAAATTACATAAATTCTGTGTATTTCAATTATATCACTGCACTAATTGGGATAATAATAGTAACACCTTCATGGGGATGTTGGGAGGATTACATGACTTAGTGTGTATAAAGTACTTATAACATTAATATAAGTGAAATAAAAATAAGAAATGAAGATAGTAGAGAGAATATTGGGGTAGCTTATACATCAAAATGATAAGCTCCTGGAAGTAGAATATGTTCACTGCATTTCAAACATTTTTGAACAACTACTTAAAGTAAGAAATATATTTTACATCACAATCCTAGAAAATCACACATGTACACATATACTGCACAAATAAATAAAAGTGTAATAAAACAATAGTTTTTACTCTATATGATGCACATTGATGATTTTAATACTTCTATTTTCCATCCTATTTAATTCTACTTTATTGTTTCTTTAAAAAAATAAGTTATTGACCATCAACCAGTGGATTAATTTTATAACTCACAAATATTTTGCAACATCCAGATTGAAAACAATAGTCTATAGGTTCATTTTCTTTTAGAGTACTTTATTTTTTTTTTCTTTCTCCTCTTCTTCCTGAATCCTTTTTTCTCTCTCATATCTCCTTCTGCCAGTGAATATGAAACCTGTAAACTCTGGAGCCATAAGCTTTTATCTTGGTTAAGCACCGTGGCTCATGTCTGTACTCCAAGCACTTTGAGAGGCCAAGGCAGGAGGATCATTTGAGCCCAGGAGATTGAGACCAGCCTGGGCAACATGAGGGAAGCCTGTCTCAACAAAAACAAAAATTATCCTGGTGTGGTGGTGCATGCCTGCTGTCCTAGCCAGTCAGGGGGCTGAGACAGGAAGATCACCTGAGCCCAGGAGGCCTAAGCTATAGTAAGTCATAATCTTACCACTGCACTCCAGCCTGGGTGACAGAGTGAGATCCTGTCTAAAAAATAAAAAAAGTGATAATTGTTTGAAGTTTGGTGATTCTGATGTGAAACAAGTAGTCAATTGGCTATTTATAACCCAATCCCTGGTGAAAAGGGTGCTCCTCCTTGGTTACTATAATCACATAAAGAAATCAGATAATGAACTCAGATAAACAATAAATCCTGTAGTCTTTTACTCAAGATCCAATGCCTCACATGCTCAAAGTATGTAGATAGCTATCTTCACTTAAATATACACATTCAATAATTTCTAATCCAATGCAACACTCTCATATACCAATTATATGAATGCAGAGGTAGCCATTATGCCTTTATTTATAGGTACTATCATATTGCAGAATATGAACATGAGGTACATATAAACCTAAAATATCTAGATGTTTCTTTTTAAAACTTGCAACCTTTGAACTATCTGATAATTTAAACATGACTCCACACAGAAAATGTAACAGTGAATGGAAAAACAAGGCAACCAAATAAATTCTATTTTTTTAAGTTTCCATTTAAAAAAATTTTTAATTTCAATTATTTATTTATTTGTTTGTTTGTTTTTGTAGAAATGGGGTCTTGTTTTGCTGCCCAGGTTGGTTTCGAACTCCTGGATTTAAGCCATCCTCCTACCTTGGCCTCCCAAAGTGCTGGAATTGTGGTCATAAGCCACAGTTCCCAGCCACAATTTTAATTTAGAAAAGGCTGTAAATTGAAAAAATATACAGTGATCACTGGTACAGGATTTACATCACCTCCGATAAAGCAGGAATACTAAAGTAACTTGATCCTTGACATGTTTTCAAGGCTGCTGATCTGTAGTCTGCCCATTCACTGTTGATATGAGCCTCCTAGAAGGAAAAATCATACATTCTCCATGCAGCTTGATGCCAGAGCTCTAATTTTCTTAAAACTTTAGACTGCTGCCCAAAGCTTTAATGGGGAGGAGAGGCCTTTCTTAATCTCCAGCAGCAGAAATCTATTAAATCATGAAAGTTGAATGTGGAGCCTACGCTTGAATTTTCTGTATTTTATCCATAGATTTGTAGGCCTCAATTTGTGACTTCATTACTTGATATTTGACTCTAATTAATGAGAAATAATGGACAAAACAAATCACACCACCCCCTATCTGCCATCTTTTAAATTGTGTCTATGGGTAAGGATACTATTATCTCTGCCAAACGCAGCATCCATTGATGTATTTTAGCAAGCAATAAATAAAAAGATCCCTTTTTGATTTTTGTTTTGTTTTAATTTCCCCTTAGATGTCAAGCTAAATTGTGACATTTCTGACCTTCATTTTTTGGCTGGCCACAACTTTAGCTTGGGGCAGGCAAGTCACTTTTGGCAGTTGCAAATTATAGATCCTTAGCACTGTTGGATTTTTAGCAAGAAGCAGGAAGGCTTTCTTTTCTCACAACTATATATGTATCTGTTCCCCTTCTTTCAAGCAGGTAAGCTTAAATTGAAGTTCCTCTCTTTAGTAACATTGACAACTGTCTCCTTTAACACCTTACTGAAGAGTGAATGTAAGTCTTTGACACACACCAATAGCTTGATATTTTTTAGAGAATCCTATTTTTCTACAATGTCCCATATTCTCCCAGAGCCTTGGTATTGAATTATAAGCTAAAAAATTCAATATTTTATCCAAGTTTTTTAATATCATATGTAATTACATCTTATCAGCCTAGGTTTGCTAAAGTACAAGATGATTAGTCAAATTTAAATTTCAGAAAAAAAACAAATTATTTTTAGTATACATTTATTTCACGCAATATTTAGAATGTAATTACATTATGAAATTATTTGTTTATCAGAAATTTAAATTTAGCTGAGTGTTTGTGTGTGTGTTTATTTGTTGAAACTAAGAAACTTGTTCAAGCACAAAATGGAGAAATCTTATTAGTTATATACCATCTTATTTAAGCAGTTCCATATATAGAATTTATCATTTGAAATCCTTAATATCATGCACTAATTATTGGTCTGCCTGTATTTGACAGTCTGTATATATTCTGAGAGCTCAAGCAGTGGAACCAATGAATTACAAGGATTGTAAGGGCTAACATTTAGTGATGAAATTGGTGATCTTAATTCATCGTTTCTCAGCGCTTTACTCTAAATGTTGGCATCATTCTTTCCTATTTTTCACATTATTAGTTGGAATATGATAAACCTACAATAGAATTCACTAGAAGTTACCTTCCTTTTTGGATCTAAAATTTGATTTTTTTGTACTTAATATTAATTAAATGTACCATCACATTAATGAATCAGATATCTCTTTGATATTCTGGTAATCTTATATCATATCCCTGTATTTTGTATTTTCAGACCAATTATTTCTTCCTGAAGTCATTTTGTTCACTTATTTGTCTACCTGTCAATGGCCTGTTTATCTGATTACAATGTAAGTGACATAACAGTTAAAAAATGTATTCTCATAGGGGTGAAATCTATCAACACATGTAAAACACAACCAAACATTTTTTTCTCTCTTAGATTATCCATCATGATTATGTTCTTTACATGAGTCAGCTTCTAGTTTGATTTATTTTGGGTTACAAATTGATCTGTTTTTCTCTTCAGAAATATGTTATTTTAATACAATATTACATCATATTTGAAAAAATCTGATGTCCCAGTTAATTGATATTCTCAGAAATTCATAGGATAACCAAGCTTCAAAATATTCCTACACATTTAAGTACTAGATTTATTAATGTGTTCTTAGTTATAGAAATAATTTACAAATGCCACCAAAATACTCCTTTGATGGGTATCCCACCTTCCATATGTGTTGCTTCCAATTACTCTGGTTGAGGTAAATAAGGTAGTATAGGAAGGCATTTCTACAACCTATAATAGGATATTTATCTGTGTGTGACTTTCAGATACAGACGTGTTTATAGTCATAATTCTTATATTTTAGCCCTAATCGTTTTCAACTGTATGCAAACTAACATATGTAAAAATAATACTATTTTGCTTTTAACCAAACTCTTGTCATGTATTAAGTTGACCTTGGCAATCACAAAGACTAGGTTCTCTGTCATTTTCAGGTGACTTCTAATCTCACTTAGGGCATCACCAAATTCTTCTAACCCTTTGTTTGTACATTTTCTTCTGTATAACAGTTTCTTTTAATCATTCTATCAGAATTTAGTTAAATTATTTTCAATAACTATAAATGATGCCATAGCTTCTTTACAAGGTTTCCTGACTTATAGTCTATTTAATGTATATTAAATAAGAGGTAATAGTCAGCTAAGGCAAGTGTCCTTTTGATCCCAATACTCAGCTTCTTACAGCACTACCGTGTTGCCAAATGGCCACTTATATCAAATGAAAATTACTGATCATGTCTTCTAAAATATTACACCAATTAACGCACACAGACCCTGAAATACACAGATATACTTTACTGAAATGAGCTCATCCCATTTCATCTCAGCCCATGTTCTCTTGCAGTATCAAATACTGTTTTATAGCTCAGTATGTGAACTATTAGCCTTGGAAAAATGTACAAGTAGATTTTCTTTTTCATTTCTGCAATGTGTGTATAATATGGGCCTTAAAATCAGACTTATGTTAAAGTCCTAGTTTTTACCACTTTTAACTGGCTAGTGACAAAAAATGCTTTTAAACATTTGCTTCTTACTAAAAGTATTTTGAAATATGGATAATATTACCTATCTCAAGTGTAGAAAGCTAATAATTAAAGTGATATATACTTTTGCTAAAATCAATGCTGGAGGAAAAAGTCAGAGGATAAGCAGTGTATAGAGCATGCATAGTAAATCAAGAAAACAGCAACCACCACCACCACAATATAACAGGAAAACTTACGAAAGTCAGCAAAGGATTAATTTGGAATATAAAAATAAACTAGTTTAAAACCTCTTTGCTAAAAATATAATTCTCATGTGCAGTTACAAAGAAACAACAAAAACAAATCAATCACAAAGAAAATTCAGAAAGCATTCTCTTTACTGTGTATTTTCTAAAGAGTATAAACAGCAAAACTAAAACATATTTTACAAATTATCTTCATAGTGAAATGATTCAGTCTAATCAATAGCAATAACATCAGTATAACTACATATCACAATGATTACATTAAAATGTAGAAATCAGAAAAAATATTATTAAATAAATGAAGTTATCCAAAAAGATAAGCTAACATTCGTGGACCTTAATGCAACATAAAAATGACATGAATATATTTTAAAAAATATTTTACAATGCAACAAAAATGCACCGGAACAGCTATTTTAGAAATCATTTAACCCTTGAGCAATCGAGTGGGCAAAAGTGAATGATAGGAGAAAATGGAATGTGCTGAATGCTGTAGAATTATTAAATAATTACAACTATAAACAATAGAGAAGACATATGTCATTTTTAAGGACCTATGAAATAGTCTGAAACAATAATCATTGGTTAGGGGTTAAATAACACACACATACACACGCGTATTCAAATACACACACAGAGATAAAAATTATTTTCAAAAGTCATCAAAGGAGAAATTTTACAGGCTTCCTTTTTTAATGATGTTGCAAAATTGTAGAAATAAAAGAAAATCTGCAACAAACTCATACTCTGCTTTAGTTGCTTCATGGCAAAATCAAGCTAAATGATAGAATCAAAATAATTTATAAGTTAATTAAAGTTAAAAAGCTATATATGAGAAAGAATTGGGCCAAAAACTTGGAACCCAAATAAAATTTTACTGAATTTAATTAAATAAAATCAATCAATTAGCAGAATTATTATTAAAGTGAGCCTCAAGAAACATGGGAAACACAGATGAGAGAAGAAAAAATAATGAAGAGAAATAGAGCACTAACCAAACTCAAGAACTATCATTTTAGGAGAAAAATACTAACAGAAAAGACAACAGTTAAACTACTCAAATAAGGGGAGAGAGCGATAAAGATGGCCGGGCGCGGTGGCTCACGCTTGTAATCCCAGCACTTTGGGAGGCCGAGGACGGCGGATCAAGAGGTCAGGAGACGAAGACCAACCTGGCTAACATGGGGAAACCCCGTCTCTGCTAAAAAAATACAAAAAAATTAGCCAGGCGTGGTGGCAGGCACCTGTAGTCCCAGCTACTCGGGAGGCTGAGGCAGGAGAATGGCGTGAACCCGGGAGGCAGAGCTTGCAGTGAGCCAAGATCCAGCCATTGCACTCCAGCCTGGGCGACAGACTCTGTCTCAAAAAAAAAAAAAAAAGAGAGAGCCAGATAAAGATAGTTTTATGAAGTTGAAATGTAAAAAAAAAAAACCCAAAATTTAATTTTTAGAAAGCCAATATGTATAAAATCTTATTATTACATAAAATCTCATAGTATAGGTCAAAAGTAATGCACGAAGACAAGCAGATTAAATTTCAAAAGTGCGCTGTAAAATATTTTTAAAAATCATTTCAATATTCAAAGTTAAATTAATATTAAGCAACACAGTTAGTTGTAAAATAAACAAATCATTTAATCAAAATATATAGCAAGAGGTAATTTGGTTGAAATTAGTATTCAATCCTGTTAAACTTTCTTAAACAAAAAGCAAATATCACCATAATCAAAACAGTTCCTTAAAATTTAAGAATAGCATGTAAATATGTATTACTATTTGCCTTTTTTCAAAAGAGAGACAAAATTAATAGTATTTGTATTCTATATTAACAATTTCTGAAAATCCCAAGTCATTATAAAAAAACGCCTATTTAAAGATCTAATTAGCTACAAAATTGACATATACAATTCAATAGTATTGTCACATATTTCAGTGACAGTGCATTTGTAAGTATATTGGGAATATATTTCATTATCGCTAGATAGCAAAAAATGCTAACTTAAAATTTATGGTGCAAATGCAAATTTGAAAAAATCTATACTGGGAGAGCTATATGGTATATCAAAAGGCAATAAAGAATTTAATAAATGGAACAATGTATCATGTACTTTGATAAGAAGACAGTATTTAAAACATTCAAATTTATCCTAAATTAATTATTAGTTGTAACAAATTCTGATTGCAATTGTTAGATGTCATAAAAGTTTTATAGCTTCAACAAATAATTTTAGAGTCAATTTAGATGAATTACTGCTTCAGATTTCTATAACTTCTGAGGGAAAAATATTGCCAGTTAAGGGTTTACATATTTTCCTCTGATATTAAAACCTATTTGTAAATCACAATAATATGATATGATATGATATTAAAACAATAATAGGATAATAGTTGATTGAAATATAATATGTATCTCTAGATATGATAAAACATACACAACAAAATGATATATGACAAGTACACCATTGGAAATTATAAAATAAAAATCAATTACCTAATATATGTAGAAAATTATTAATTTTAAAAGGTAAACTGAGGCATAATAAAATTTTTGAAGATTTTATTTGAACAAACAGTGACTTATCAATCTGGCAGCTCCATACCAGAAGTGGATTGGGGGCTTTGCCTAGGGAATATAAGCAGAGGGCTTATGAACATGAAAGTAAAGCAGAAAAAAATTTGATTGTTTGCAGTTATACGTTGCTTTATATGATCTATTCTGCTGCAAAGTTTCTAGTTATAAAGCTATATATTAGTTGACAAAGTCTGCCTGGTTAGCCTTAAGTTTTTTTCTTTAATATAGGCAATAACAATAAGTAGCTCAAATTAAGTTTTGCTTATGTTTGTAAATTAAACAATGTTAAGGTTCCTTATGTCTAGGTGGCTTTGTCTGCTTAGAGATTCCTCAGGCCTGGTCTCTACTTTAATTTGCTTTAACATGAAATATTAGATAAAATATATTATAACTTACATCATAATACAGCAAAATTAAATGCAGATAGTTTATGGAGTGTAATATGAAGAAAATAATGTTTGTTACAATAGCATAAATGGATATATTTATCCAATTAATAAATTTTACCTGGGATGTCATTAAGATGGTGGACTAAAGGTACCTAGCACTTCCCTTCTCCACACTAAAAAGGACCAAAACAACAAATAGATAAGAACACATCAAATAGAGTGCCTAAGGAAGAACATTAGCATTCAGCAAGGAATTACAAAGACTCGCTCAGCACTAAAACTTAAAATGACAGCATAGAAAGCTAAGCAAATCCAGCTGGGATTGGCTTAGAGCCAATACAACTCCCCAGCACAGGGAACGGGTAAGAAAAAACCCAGGGTTCATGTTTTCACGACAAACACCTGCAATTCTAGCTACAAAAGAGCCCCTCAGCCCTCACAGGCCCTAAGCCTAGTATATAGGGAGTTGCTTGAAGTCCACGCAACTGCATTATTCCACAAAGGGAATTCATGTTGGGTTCTCCCCACTCCCCAGGACACTGTCTGCTGCAGCACAGCACCATTTTGAAAGAAGAGCCAACACCAGAGTATTGCCCTGGGGCCCAATACCTCCTGCAGAAGCACAATCAAGAAACCTGTTAACATTCCTCTTCATCCACCAGGAGGGCCACTGCATCATGACCTTAGCTCTACACAGTGGTGCACCTGTGCACTCTGAAACTGAACTCATGCAGTGCCCCATATCCTAGGGAACAGGGGCTTTGACACTTCAGGAGACGTCCCCCAAGACACAAGGAGCTGAAGCTCATGCCCTGCAGAGCCTGATAACTACTTGCCTGGGGCCACCACCATTGACAGTGACCCTGCACCTCCAGCAGTGGTGTCACTTGCACCCATATGCACTTCCCAGGGACACAAAAACTGGCCTATGTAGAGCTAACCACCACCACTACAAGAATGTACATGCCACCCAGGGGCCTGAAAACCAGTCTGACTAAGGACCACTGCTGACACCCATACATGCTGCCAGAAACCTGAGGACTAGCCTGCCTGTTGTATTCATACTCAGAAAAACCATGCCACAGCCTAGGCTACTGAGAAATTTGCAGACACTGCTGTCATTGATTACAGCAAAATAAATCATATAGGAACTAGATACTGAACCCACCAAAGCCAAACCACCTTGCCCAACTGACATTATAAATATATTTACAGGAAGAAGTCTTTATCCACAAAATATACTTCCTAAAATTGAAAGAAGCAACTGTTACATGAGATGTTCAGATATCAATGTAGGGGCACAAGTAACATGAAAAAACAAAACATGAACCTCCAAAGGTACACAATAATTCTGCAATAACAAACCCCAAGGAAAAAGAAACTTATGGAATGCCTGAGAAGAAATTCAAAATAATTGTAAAGACAACTCAGCAAAAAAAAAATAGAACAAGTGTAATGAAAATAAATCAGAAAAACAATTTATGATCTAAATGAGAAATTCAACAAGAATATAGATATGATATAGTTTGGATGTATGCTCATGCACAAATGTCATATTAAAATGTAATCTCCAATGTTGGAGGTGGGGCCTGGTGGATGGTGATTGGATCATGGAGGTGAATTTCTCATGAATTGTTTAGCACCATTCTCCTTGGTACTGTCCTCATGATAGTGAGTGAGTTCTCATGATATCTTGTCATTTAAAAGTGTGTAGCACCTCCCCTTTTGCTCTCTTGATCCTGCTTTTGCCATGGGGCGTACCAGCTCCTCCATTGTCTTCTGTCATTATTAGAAGCTTCTTGAGGCATCCCCATAAGCAGATTCTGCTATGCTTCCTGTACAGCCTGCAGAACCATGAGCCAATTAAACCTCTTTTTAAATAAATTTCTTGGGAAATTTAAGTATTTCTTTATAGGAATGTTAGAATGAACCAATGCAAAATATCATTTAAATAGAACAAAACAGAAATCTTGGAACTGAAGAATTAATGAATGAAATTTAAAAATAAAATCAAAATATTCAACAATAGAATTGATCAAGCAGATGAAAGAATTTCTTAACTTGAAAACAGGTTTGAAATAACCAAGTCAGATAAAAAAGAAAAAAAGAATAATGAACATTTATGTGATATATGGGACATTAAACAAACACATTTTCACAATTTAGGACATTCAGAAGGAGAAGAGATTTCAAAAGGCATAGAAAATGTATTTAATAAAATAATAGCTGAAAAATTCCTAAGTCTTGGAAGAGATGTAGATATTCAGATACAGGAAGCTCAAAAATCCCCAAATAGATTTAACCCATAAAGGTCATCTCCAAGGATTATTATATTCAAACTGTCAACAATCAAAGACAATGAGAGAATTCTAAAAACACCAAGAGAAAAGAGTTAAGTTACATATAAGGAAATTCCAATCACAGTAACAAACAGCAGATTTCTCAACAGAAACCTTATGGGACAAGAGAGAGAATGTGATGTTATACTCAAAGTGCTGGGGGAAAAAAAAGCAACAACACCATGCCAGTCAAGAATGCAAAACTCAGTAAAGCTATTCTTTAGAAATGGAAAAATGGTCTTTCCAAGACAAGTGAAACTTAAGGGAATTCATCACCACTAGACCAGCACTATAAGAATTGCCTAAAGGAGTCCTATATCTGGAGGTGAAATGACAATATATGCCATGGTGTGAAAATACACAAAAGTGAAAAACTCACTGGCAGATCAGATACACAAATGAGGAAAAAGAAAAGCATCAAACAATATCACTACAGAAAACCACCAAATTACAAAGATAAAAAAATAAAAGAGAAAGAAAACAACAAAGAGTATACAAAAAATCAGAAAAACATCAACAAAATGACACTAGGAAGACCACACATCTCAATAAAAAACTTAAATGTAACTGGCTTAAATTCCACAATTTATTTATTTATTTATTTATTTTCAGATGGAGTCTCACTGTCGCCTAGGCTGGAGTGCAGTGGTGCCATCTTGGCTCACCGCAACCTCCCACTCCTAGGTTCAAGTGGTTCACCTGCCTCAGCCTCCTGAGTAGTTTGAACTACAGGTACCCGCCACCACACTTAGCTAGTTGTTGTATTTTTAGAAGAGACAGGGTTTCACCATGTTGGCCAGCCTGATCTTGAACTCCTGACCTCAGGTGATCCACCCGCCTTGGCCTCCCAAAGTGTTTGGATTACAGGCATGAGCCACCATGCCTGCCTAAATTCCACAATTTAGAATATAGGCTAGCTGAATAGATTTTTTTTTAAAAATAGACTCAATTTCACATTGCCAACAAGAAACTCACTTCACCTGTTAAGACACATATAGACTGAAAATTGAGAAATAGAAACCATAACTGTGCAAAAGTAGCAATAGTTATATCAGACTGTAACCCCAACATTTCGGGAAGCCAAGGCAGGTAGATCACTTGAGGTCAGAAGTTTGAGACCATCCTGGCCAACATGGCAAAACCTGTCTTTACTAAAAATACAAAAGTTAGCTGGGCATGGTGGTGCACACCTGTAATTCCAGCTTGGGAGGCTAAGGCATGAGAATCGCCTGAACCTGTGAGGCAGAAGTTACAGTGAGCTGAGATCATGCCACTACACTCCAGCCTGGGTGACAGAGTGAGACTGTCTCAAAAAAGAAAAAAAAAAGATATACCCACTACAATAATAGTTGAGGACTTCAACACCCCACTTTCTGCATTGGACAGCTCATGAGACAGAAATTCAACAAATAAATATTGGAGTTAATCTGCACTACAGACCCAACGGATATTAAGAACACATTTTATTTGACAGCTGCAGAATATACATTCTTCTCATCAGCCCACCAAACATTCTCCAGGATAGACCATACGGTAGATGATGAAACAAGTTTCAACATTTTTTTAAAAAATTGAAGTTATATTAAGTGTCTTCTCAGACTGCAATGGAATAAAACTAGCATAGAAACAAGAGAGAAACGTTCCAAGAAAGTTCTATAGAAAGTTCCAAGAGGAACTTTGGAAACTCTACAAATAGATATTAAAAAACATTCTCCTGAATGACCAATAGATTAATGAAGAAAATAAAAAAAAGTTTTTTTTAAAGTTCTCAATGAGGATAGAAATTGAAACACAACATACTAAAACCTATGGGTCTAGCTAGTGGTCTATCTATTTTGTTAATCTTTTCAAAAAACCAGCTCCTGGATTCTTTGAATTTTAAAGGGTTTTTCATGTCCGTATCACTTTCAATTCTGCTCTGATATTAGTTATTTCTTACCTTCTGCTAGTTTTTGGATTAGTTTGCTCTTGCCTCTCTAGCTCTTAATTGTGATGTTAGGGTGTCGATTTGAGATCTTTCTAGCTTTCTGATGTGGGCATTTGGTGTTATAAATTTCTCTCTTAACACTACTTTAGCTGTGCCCCAGAGATTCTGATACATTGTCTCTTTGTTCTCATTGGTTTCAAAGAACTTTTTGATTTGTGCCTTAATTTCATTATTTACCCAGGAGTCATTCAGGAGCAGGTTGTTCAATTTCCATTTAATTGTGTGGTTTTGAGTGAGTTTCTTAATCCTGAGTTGTAATTTGATTACAGTGTAGTCTAAGAGACTGTTATGATTTCAGGATTTCAGTTATTTTGCATTTGCTGTGGAGTGTTTAACTTCCAGTTATGTGGGTGATTTCAGAGTAAGTGCCATGTGGCACTGAGAAGAAAGTATGTCAAATAGACACAATAAAAAATGATAAAGGAGATATCACCATTGACCCCACAGAAATACAAACTACCATCAGATAATAATATAAACACCTCTACACAAATAAACTAGAAAATCTAGAAGAAATGGATAAATTCCTGGACACATACACCCTCCCAAGACTAAAACAGGAGGAAGTTGAATCCCTGAATAGACCAGTAACAAGTTCTGTAATTGAGGCAGTAATTAATAGACTGCCAACCAAAAAAAAAAGCCCAGGAGCAGATGGATTCACAGCTGAATTTTACCAGTACAAAATGGAGCTGGTACTATTCCTTCTGAAACTATTCAAAACAGTGGAAAAAGGAGGAACTCCTCCCTAACTCATTTGATGAAGCCAGCATCATCCTGATAACAAAACTGAGAAGAGACACAACAAAAACAAGAAAAATTCAGGCCAATATCCCTGATGAACATTGATGAAAAAATCCTCAATAAAATGCTGGCAAAACAAATCCAGCAGCACATCAAAATCTTATCCACCATGATCAAGTTGGCTTTATACCTGGGATACACGGCTGGTTCAACATATTCAAATCAATAAACATAAACTATCACATAAACAGAACCAAAGACAAAAACCACATGATTATCTCAATAGACGCAGAAAAGGCCTTTGATAAAATTCAACATCTTCATGTTAAAAACTCTCAAATAACTAGGTATTGATGGAACATATCTCAAAATAATAAGAGCTATTTATGACAAACTCACAGCCAATATCATACTGAATGGGCAAAAGCTGGAAGCATTCCCTTTGAAAACCAGCACAAGACAAGGATGCTCTCTGTCACCACTCCTACTCTACATAGTATTGGAAGTTCTGGCCAGGGCAATCAGGCAAGAGAAAGAAATAAAGGGTATTCAGTTAGGAAGAGAGGAAGTCAAATTGTCTCTGCAGACAACATGATTCTATATTTAGAAAACCCCATTGTCTCAGCCCAAAAACACCATAAGCTGATAAGCAACTTCAGCAAAGTCTCAGGTTACAAAACCAGTGTGCAAAAATCAAAAACATTCGTTTACACAAACAATAGAAAAACAGAGAGCCAAATCATGAATGAACTTCCATTCACAATTGCTACAAAGACAGTGGTATACCTAGGAATACAGCTAACAAGGCATGTGAAGAACCTCTTCAAGGACAACTACAATCCACTGTTCAGGGAAATAAGAGAGGACACAAATAAATGGAAAAACATTCCATCCTCATGCATAGGAATAATTAATGTTATGAAAATGGCCATATAGCCCAAAGTCATTTATAGATTCAATGTTATTTCCATCAAACTACCATTGACATTCTTCACAGAATTCGAGAAAACTATGTTAGATTTTATATGAAATAAAAAAAGAGCCCATATAGTTAAGACAATCTTAAGCAAAAAGAACAAAACTGGAGGCATCATGCTACCTGACTTCAAACTATACTACAGGGCTACAGTAACCGAAACAGAATGGTGCTGGTACCAAAACAGACATATAGACCAGTGGAACAGGACAGAGTCCTCAGAAATAATACCACACATCTACAACCATCTGATTTTCAACAAACCTGACAAAACAAGCAATGGATAAATGATTCTATATTTAATAAATGGTGTTGGGAAAACTGGTTAGCCATATGCAGAAAACTGAAACTGGACCTCTTCCTTACACTTCATACAAAAATTAACTCAAGATGGAGTAAAGACTTAAATGTGAAACCCAAGACCGTAAAAACCCTAGAAGAAAACCTAGGCAAAACCATTCAGGACATAGGCATGGACAAAGACTTCATGATGATAATGCCAAAATCAATTGCAACAAAAGCAAAAGCTGACAAATGGGATCTAATTAAACTAAAGAGCTCCTGCACAGCAAAAGAAGCTATCATCAGAACAAGCAACCTACAGAGTGGGAGAAAATTTTTGCAACCTACCTATCTGAAAAAGGTCTAATATCCAGAATTTATGAGGAACTTAAACAAATTTATAAGAAAAAACAACCACATCAAAAAGTGGGCAAAGGATATGAACAGACACTTCTCAAAAGAAGACATTTACATGATCAACAAACATATGAGAAAAAGCTCAACCTCACTGATCATTACAGAAATGCAAACCAAAACCACAATGAGATACCATCTCATGCTAGTCAGAATGGCAATTATTAAAAAGTCAAGAAACAACAGATGCTGGCAAGGCTGTGAAGAAAGAGGAACGCCTTTACACTTTTGGTGGGAATATAAATTAATTCAACCAGTGAGGAAGACACTATGGCAATTCCTCAAGGATCTAGAACCAGAAATACCATTTGACTCCTCAATCCCATTACTGAGTATATACCCAAAGGAATATAAATCATTCTGCTATAAAGAGACATGTACATGTATGCTTATTGTAGCACTATTTACAATAGCAAAGACATGGAACCAACCCAAATGCCCATCAATGATAGACTGGATAAAGAAAATGTGGTACATATACACCATGAAATACTATGCAGCCATAAAAATGAATGAGATCATGTCTTTTGCAGGATGAGACTGGAAGCCATCATCCTCAGCAAACTCACACAGGAACAGAAAACCAAACACTGCATGTTCTCACTCATAAGTGGAATTTGAACAATGAGAATACTTGGAAACAGAGAGGGCACAACACACATCAGGGCCTGTTGGGGGGTGGGGGGCAAGGGGACAGAACTTAGAGGATGGGTCAATAGGTGCAGCAAACCACTATGGCACATGTATACCTGTGTAACAAACCTTCATGTTCTGCACATTATCCCATTTTTTTTAAAAAAGAAAAAAAAATAAATAAACAAATAAAACCTATTGGATATGGCAAAAGCAATTCTCAGAGGAAAGTTTACAGCATCATATGCCTACATCAAAAAAGGTAGAAAGATTTCAAATAAAGAACCTAATGATGCACCATAAGGAACTGGAAAAGCACATAGAAACCAAATCTAAAATTAGTAGAAAGAAATAATAAAGATCAGAGCAAAAGTAAATAAAACAGAAACAAAAAATAACAATTTAAAAAAACAAAAAGTTGGTTTTTTGAAAAGATAAATAAAACAAACCATTAACCAAGCTAAGAAAAAATTATGTCTCAAGTAATAAAAAAAAATCCAGAAATGGAAACTTTACAACTGATAGCAAGAAATAAAAAGGATAATTAAAGATTATTTCAAACAACTATATGCCAACAAATTAGAAAACCAAGAGGAAATCACTAAATTCCTGGACACATATAACCTACCAAGATTGAACTAGAAAAAAAAAAAGGAAACCTGAACATATTAGTAATAAGTAACAAGATTAAATCATAATAAAAAGGCTCCCAGAAAGGAAATTCCAGGGCCAGGTGGTTTAACTGCTGAATTCTACAACACTTTAAAAGAACAAGAATTAGTCTTGAATTCTTCCAGAAAATTTAAGAGGAGGTAATTCTAATTCATTCTACGACACCAGCATTACCCTTATACCAAAACCAGACAAAGGCACAACAATTAAAGAAAACTATTAGGCCAATGTCACTGGTGAACTTAGAAGAAAACATTTAAAAATAAATAAATAAATAAAATACTAGCAAACAGAATCTAATAGCACATCAAAAGATAATACCCTATAATTAAGTGTGATTTATCTCAGGGTTGTACAGATGGTTCAACACACACAAATCAAGAAATGTGATACACTACATCAGCAGAATGAAGAAAAATATTATGTCAATGAATATAGAAAAAGCATTTGATAAAATTCAGCATTTCTTCATGATTAAAACACTCATCAGACTAGGTATAGAAGGGGCATGCCTTAAAACAATAAAGGCCATATATGACAAACCCATACCTAACATCGTACTGAATGGGGAAAAGCTGAAAACTTTTCTTCTAAGAATTGATACAAGACAAAGACTCTCATTTTCATCACTCTTACTCAACATAGTACTAATAGTCTTGGGCAGAGTGATTAATCAAGGAAAATAAATTAAGGGAATTTAAATTAGAAAATAATTAAAATTGTATCCCTTTTCAGACAACATTATCTTATATGTAGAAAAGTCTAAAGACTCCACCAAAAATTTCTCAGAAGGGAAAAGCAAATTCGGTAAAGCTGCAGGACACAAAATTAACACACAAAATCAGTAAACATTCTATAACCCAGTAACAAACTAGCTGCAAACAAATCAAGAAAGGAATTTCATTTACAATAATTACAAAAAATAGAATATGTTTAAATGATTTAACTAAGGAGGTAAAATATCTCTGTAATAAAATCTACCACATACTGATGAAATAATTTAAAAAAGACACACAGATTTGAAAGACATATCATGCTCATAGGCTGGAAGAATTAGTATTGTTTAAATGATTGTACTACCCAGAGCGAACTACAGATTAAATGAAATCTTTATCAAAATATCAAGAACATTCTTCATGGAAATAGAAAAAAAATCCAAAAAATGGTGTGGAACCACAAAAGACCTTGCAAAGCCGAAGCATTACTCAGCAAAAAGAACAAAGCTGGATGCATCACACTACCTGACTAAAATATACTGTAGAGCTATAGTACCCCAAACCACATGGTCTTGGTATAAAAGCCAACACATAGATCAATGGGACAGACTGCAGAACCCAAAATAAATTCACATACTTATAGCCAACTAGTTTTTGACAAAAGTGACAAGAACATACATTGAGGAAAGGACAGTCTCTTCAATAATTGGTGCTTGGAAAACTGGATATTCATAGGCAGAGGAATGAAACTAGACTCCTATCTCTCACCATGTACAAAAATCACCTGAAAATGGATTGAACACTTAAATGTAAGTCCTAAAACTATAGAATTATTAAAAGGAAACACAGGGGGAAATACTTCATGACAGTGATCTAGGCACAAGTTTTATGGGTAAGACTTCAACAGCACAGTGAGCAAAAAAAAATAGAAAAATGGGATTATGTCAAACCAAGAAGCTTTTACACAGCAAAAGAAAAAAATCAACAGTGAAGAGACAACCTGTAGAATTGGAGCAAATATTTACACACTAATCATCCAACAAAGGAATAATATCCAGATATATGTATGAGGAACTAGAACAACTCAACAGCCATAAAACAAATTAAAAATAGGCACAGGATCTGAAGAAACATTTCTTGAAAGAAGACATACAGATGACTAATAGGTACATGAAGAAATGCTCAACATCACTAATAATTAGGGACATGCAGATCAAAACCACAATGGATATCATCTCACCCTAGTTAGAATGGCTATTATTGAAAAGTGAAAAGATAGCAAATGCTTGAGAGGATGCAGAGAAAAGAAACTCTTATATAGTGTTAGTGGGAACATTAATTAGTACAGCCATTATAGATAACAGCATGGAGACTTCTCAAAAGAGTAAAAATAGAACTATCATGTGATCCAGTTATTCCACTGCTGGATACATATCTAAAAGAAAGAAAATCAGTATGTCGAAGAGATCTCAGCAACCACCAATTTATTGTAATAGTAAATTGGTAGGGAATTAACCAATTTACTGTTACATGGTAGGGAATTAACCTCAATGTCCATCAACAGACGAATTAATAAAGAAAAATCGTACACATACACAATGGAATACTATTCAACCATAAAAGATAATGAAATGCCATCATTTGCAGTGACACGGATGGGCCTAGAGGACATTATGTTAAACAAAATAAGTCAGGCACAGAGAGATAAATACCACATGTTCTCACTCATATGTGGGAGGTAAAAAAAATGAGCTCATAGAAGTAGAGAGTAGAATAGTGGTTACTAGAGGCTGGAAAGGGTAGACGGAGAGAATAGGGAGAGGCAGGTTAATAGCTGCAAAATTGTAGCTAGATAAGAGGACTAAGTTCTAGTGTTATATAGCACTGGACTAGGGGGAAGACAGTTAACAATAACTTATTGCATATTTTCCAAAAGCTACATGAGAGAATTATGAATGTGCCCATCACAAATAAATGCTAAATATTTGATGTGATAGGAAATGCTAATTACTCTGATATGATTATGACATATTTTATACATGTATCAAAATATCACTTGTATCCCATAAACATATACAATTTTTGTGTGCCAACTAAAATTAACATAAAAAAGCAAAAATAATATAATTTTTAAAATGAGACTCACTACTATAGTTAAAGCACTCTTTTACAATGCGGACAGTAACGTTGTTTCCAAAAGAAAATTTAACGTTGTAGCAAAGTCCTTGAAATTGCTCACACACTCCCAGCCAGAATCTCCCTTGTAGAAACTCATTAAAGATCAGAGAGGATCACTTGAGGCCAGGAGTTTGAGACCAGCCTGGGTAACATAGCGGACCCCATCTCAACAACAACAACAAAAAAATTAAAAATTAGTTGGTCATGGTGGCTCACACCTGTAATCCCAACTCCTGAGGTAGGAGGATAGCTTCAGCCTAGGAGTTCGAGTGGTGAACTTGGTCTATGATCACACTAATGACCTCCAGCCTAGGGAAGAGAGCAAGACCATGTCTCAAAAAATACACATACAAAAGTTCACAGGTGGACACTAACGTGTATTTTACCAGTGCTCGCTACACAGCCATTGCTGATTTCACTACTGATCGGGGAAAACTTACTGTTCAAGGCATTCATTCATCATGCAGTGAGAACTGATAGATCATTAAACTTATGCCACTTTTCTAGGTTTTAGAGATAGATACAAAATGTAACAGATGAAAAGTCTAGCCCTTTTAGAGTATATATTTTAGTAATGTATATTACTAAGAAGAGAAAAGTTTCTTGAAAGCAGGAAATTATATGAATCATATTCTTAAACTGAAGAATGTTATAAATCTGTATTTTTTGCTTTAAGTAATATAAAAACTAAATTTATATCTGAGACTACAAATCTTGAAACATAAATTAGCAATTGTTCCAGAGAAATGGGTGGATAAGTGAGGAGAATAAGCTCAATTATTGCTAAATAAAAACAAAGGCTTGAAATATTCTCAGAATGTTTTTCTTCCAGATATTAAAATACAAATATTAATCTAATTATCTAACAGAACACATCTTCCTCCAAAATTATACCTATTCTGGTCCTAGTGATTGTTAACATTTCTTAGCTGGTTTGTTTGAAGGTAGTGACCTTTGTATAATCTCCATTTAAAAATCACTAAACTGATTTTTGCCATGGGGAAAAAAATTCAGTCTTTGCAGTTTTTCTGTTTCATGTCTGTGTGTGTGTGTGTGTGTGTGTGTGTGTGTGTGTGTGTGTGTGTAAACCCTCTTGATTATGTCTTTTCTGAAAAGTTTCCGGAATAGTTCTACCATTCTTTCCTTGCTGTCATATTTTTCAAACTTCAAATACTCAGCATGCATTACAAGTGTCATTTCTGAGCTTCATCTTAATAATCTGCACTGTCATATATTTAAACAGTATATTGATTTCAAGGTCACCATCTAAATATGCCCATATTATCTCTTTATATAGATTAAATAAGGTATAAGTGTTTAATTACATATTTAGTGGGTGTGAAATAATATGGCTTTTCAGATTCCTTTTCTATTTAGAGACCAGTTTGAGGATGCTGAAATAAAATAAGCTAAATTTAAAGAACTAAGGGATAAGAATACAATAAAAGTTATTTTTTAAATGACTTGCATTTTACCAGTTTACCAGATGAAACAATGCTTTCCACTCCTTCTGTTAAGCATATTTACTGAAGTCTATCCTTGTTGAACGCCTTTGGCTGGCAGACTATTCTGTCCCCGCACTTCTGTTCTCTATGTTTCGGTAGTATGTACACCAAGTGTCAGATGTGTTTATCCCTAAATCTCTTTATACCAGTTGTTTTTTGTTTTTACTTACAAAATTTATTTAAATATTACTTAAGCTTATGAAAATAAGCGTATGAAAATAAAGAGGGTTGTTTCTATGAAAACTAAGTTGTATGCCTTGAAAACAACTCTACAAAGGTGAATCACTTGAAAGATGCTTTCAAAAAGTAAGTGTGGGCTGGACAACTATAACAAAAACTGGGGAAAAAATCAGACTTCTAAAATGATTCTCCACATAAATTGATTTACAAGTGTTTGTAATTGCTTGATGTGCTTTAAAGAGATGGAAACAGAAAATTGCAGAGGATGCATTATGAGTGTGGTTTGTGTAAAAAAGAAAAGAAAAGAAAAGAAAAGAAAAGAAAAGAAAAGAAAAGAAAAGAAAAGAAAGTATATAGGTCTGTCCATCAGCTAACTTTTAAGCAGAGCTCTTGGTCTTGAACCCCAAAGTTTTAAAATATATTCACACTTATACATTTACAGTTAAAATTAAATGCATACATTATATCCTATTTTTATTTTTAACAGATATTTTGCCAAATTAAACTATTTGAATAATATGGCTTCTTTCATATTTTACATGTGTTAATCACAGACACTGACTTGCCCACCCTTTGGTTTGATGGGAAATGCCTCAGCAAGGCCATTAATGCTTCTCTGAGTGTGATACCATGTGACCCTCTCTCACCCATAGACACAGCTGGCTGGAACAATATTGGGCAGCTGAGTCACATGAAGTCAATATACTGAGGCCAATGATTGCTGTCCTGCTCTAAAAACATGAGATGAAAAAAAAATCAAATTTCTTTTTTTGGGCGTACTTGCATTTCACATGATGAAAAGACAGCTGTTGACAGTGGGTATGGATCATAACCAAATTTCCCTTGAGAAATATTCAGGTCAAGATACTTTAAAATTTTGCGTATACCAAAGTTTTGAGGGTAGAGGAACCATGAATCGGTATTCAAGTGAGAGAAATTTGTGTTATTTAGTGCAAAGTAAAAATGGCGTGAAACAGAAATGATGTATTTTAGTGCCTCTGGCAGCACCTCTCCCCTGTCTTTTAAATAAGGGGCTCTCTGTATTTTCATTTTGATAAAGAGTGTCATGAGTCTAATCACAGAGATTTTTATGAGACCTTAATGATTACAGTAATTTTTTAAAAAACAATAATGTGTTAATTATTACAATAGAAACTTCCTTTAAATAGATCTAACTGTGGAATATAAAACTTTCCAAAGGTGGAAAAATAAAACAGCCTTTAATTGACAACTTATTATTCAAGTTTTACAAAATGTGATTTTCTTAAATTAACTATGGCTTCTACAAACTAGTTCCCATCCAAATTTCCCTTTTATATCCATTAACACTTATACTGCTTGAGGTGAAAAAGCATTTATTAGAATAATAATAGAAAATTGTTCAATATAGTCTGGTTTAGAAATATTTCAAATATTACAGTAAGCAATTTCTAATACAAATATTGACAGCAAAATGGAAGACATAACCAAACCCTGCACAAGAATGAGTTCTACCTCAATGCTAAAAGCAGATGTAATTGTTTTCAGGAGGCATTTTCATATGTTGATATTCAACCAGTTGTCTTCCTGAACATTGCATTTAACCAGTTACTTGTTATTTGTGTTGCTGCTGTTAGAGACATAATGCTATGCCTAAATGTTGAATACGATTTTATGTGTGTATGTGTGTGTATGCATGTGTGTGTGTGTGTTTTAGGAAAATAAATGCGAAATTCAATTTCAAAGGAAAAATTTCCTGTAAGACTTTGCCAGCTGAAAATTTTGCTTCATACAAGAGTAATTCTAGTAGCAGCAGTAGAGAAGATCGAGCCTGATGAAATGTTTTCTTTTTGAAAAATATAGTGAGGTAGAATTATTTTAATAGAGAAAAATCCAAAATGTATATTCCAAGAAATAAAATTATATTAACTAAAAATATGCAAACATGTTTTCACTATTCTGAACACTGGTATTTAAATAATTATTGAGTTGATCACTATGGTGTCATAATCTGGGCAAAACTTTGATAAATGAAAATGTCATAATACATAAAAATATTTAAATACAATAGTTTCCTATATTTAATTGTTTGCTTGTTTTCCATTATATAAAAATAATACCAATTCACTTGAAAAATTGATTACAATGATTATTTATCCTCCTGGAGATGAACCAATTGGATATTTTTTCATTGCTCCCTAATTCTACTTTCTTTTTTTAAACTAGTTTTATTTTTCATTATTACTAATAGCAAATAAAATGTATTTTTTAAATGGGCTGGTATGCTGTACATCTAGATGTCTTTTGCAGAGAATAGTATTGGAGTTTAGCCTTCTCTGCTTCAGTTTCCTCTTATGTAAAATAATAAGGATGAAAAAATGTAGACTATTTCTTTTTTAGAATCATTGTAAGCATTAATAGCAATGATACAAATAAATAAGTGAGCATATCACAGTTAATAAGCATTTGATAGTGGCTTATATGAGTATACAGCAATATATGCTTAATCACATCAGAAAATACAGTAAGGGATATGTATTGTAGTACCATATCACTGGAAGAGGTTATAGAAGAAGGTGAATGGGTTCTTGATTCTAGAACTTAACTAGCCATGTGATCTTGAAAAGAACTTTTAAATTGCACTGACTATTTGAGAAGCTGATGATAAAACGTACCCAACAATACGTATAGAGTTATAAAAAGTCAAATAACTTATGGATGTGTACATGTGAAAGCACTTTATTGTGAAGTGCTATATGATTCCAACTTTCCTATATTTATCGATTTAATCAATATGCATTTAGTACATTTAGTATGTACCTGCTGGGCACAATACTTGTGCTGAATAGAAAGACATAAACAGATATTCTCCCTACTGTACTAATGCTCAAATTTTATCAATATAAGCAATTATTGCAATAGAAACTTTATTCTTTCTGATTTAAGACTCCAAATTCTGTTTAAAGATTGAATAAACTACCTTTAAAAGTATGTGTACCATTTGAGCTTAGATGTTCAAGCTGTCCATATTCGTGCATTGTTTGAATGAAAAGGTATACTTTAGATGAAAAGTCACCTCAAGTCATTTCATGAACATGTAATTTAAAAAGAGAAAATCCTCTTTACTCTTCAAAAACTAAATGATGCTTACAGCTTTTATGTATTTAACTTCTCCAGGGTCATTTACTGCTGTTTTGCATTTGCTGAGCCCAACTAGGCAAAAGTGAGAGAATAAGCCCATCTGATCCTGTCCAAAGATTCAGGCTCCAAGGGCACAGAGACGGTAGGAAAAGGAGGTATATATAGATGAGTATGAAGGCAAATGAGGTATAAATAACACATATCTGATGTAGTTCACTAGGATGTAGGGTTTTCTTTCTTTCTTTCTTTCTTTCTTTCTTTCTTTCTTTCTTTCTTTCTTTCTTTCTTTCTTTCTCTTTCTTTCTTTCTTTCTTTCTTTCTTTCTTTCTTTCTTTCTTTCTTTCTCTTTCTTTCTTTCTTTCGTTTTTAGACAGAGTCTCGCTCTTGTGTCTCAGGCTGGAGTGCAGTGGCTCGAACTTGGCTCACTGCAACCTCCGCCTCCCGGGTTCAAGCGATTCTTCTGACTCAGCCTTCTGAGTAGCTGGGATTACAGGTGCCCACCACCACACCCGGCTAATTTTTGTACTTTTAGTAGAGACAGGGTTTTGCCATTTTGGCCAGGCTGGTCTCGAACTCCTGGCCTCATGTGATCCGCCTGCCTCGGCCTCCCAAAATGCTGGGATTACAGGCGTGAACCACCGCGCCCGACAGGATATAGGGTTTTAAAAAAGCTATTAATGAATATCCTTTGATTATACTATATTTATGAACTCAAGAGCATCACAATTTAGACTAGGTTAGATGATTTAGTGAAAATTTCGTTAATATTCTCTGTACGCAAAAGATTGCTTAGAAATACCAATTTATCTATTGATTTATAATTGGCCTATTAAAATTTTTACCATATATATTTTGGGTCTTCTTTATAATAAAGGCATTTATATAACATTATGTAGCCATAAAATTTATAATACAATGTAAGTCATGTGAAAACTAAATTATAAAGGCTAAGTCTTGTTTTCTGCACTATTAGAAATTTTTTACTGTAATAATTAAAATATTTCTAAACCAGACTATATTACATTGAACAAGAATTTTCTATTATTGCTTTAATAAATTTTTTTTTCACCTCATACCTCACACAGTAAAGGTGTTAATAGATATGAATGGGAAATTTGGATGGGGACTATATTGAAGAAGTCAAAGTTAATATAAGAATATCACATTCTGCAAAACTTGAATAATAAGTTATCAATGAAACACTTTTATTTTTCCACATTTGGAAGCTTTTATATTCCACAGTTAGAGCTCTTTAAAAAAGGAAGTTTATTGTAATAATTAATACATGATTACTTTTTCTAAATTATTGTAATTATTAAGGTCTCATAAAAATCTTTTCAATCAGACTCATGATCTCTTTATCAAAATGTTTGAGAAATATTTTGGTCTGTCATTTGCTCTAAATTATAAGGTATTTGTTAAAGAGTTATTATTTTCTGTTTTATTATAATTGGTTTTCATTTCATATTTTTATGTGAATATTCTTAATATCATTGAAGTGATTTAAATTTTTATTACTGTTGTAAATAATCAAAATGCATACTTGAATGACTCAAACATGTTTTTATAATAATCTTAAATATATTACATATAATATTAATATATTAAGATAACCTAATGATTATATCAAACATATGTAAATATATGTTAAATATACTTGTACTTTTTATTTATCGACTTTCTATGAAGTGTTTGGTACACAGATCCATAATGAAATACTCAATAAACATGCATTTACAATATAACATTTTGTGCTGCTTATAAGTTGGATTGAATATCAAGAGAGAATATAGTAAATTATTTCAGTGCCATATCAGTAGAAAAAATATACATGTATACATACATATACACATATATACTATCCTTACTTCAAATACTTTAACATGCTGATTTAGAAGTCATGCATGCAATAAGACATTAAGGACATTCAAAATATTATAATGCTAAAATTTTCACAACTGGCAATACTTTCTTGTTATTGTTCTATTTTGCATGACATGTACAAGCTGTGTTCATAGATAGCTTTATCATGAGTCTAGAGGGATAAAATGTGAATGAAGGAAATATAGTCATGATATATTTTATTTACATTTTGCTTGTGTAGTCATTATGTACAATTCCATAAAAAAGAAACTAATCAAATTTGAATTGGTCTATGTATAATATATTTTAACTATTTAATTAGTTCTGACTTGATTACTCTTCACTGGTTATATCTTGTCAGTCCTATAATACTGCGTTTTCACAAATGTCTCTGCTTTTGTGAAGATGTATTGGTCAATTTCTGTACCACATGGATGCAAGTGTTTGGTGCTATAGATGATGCCACAACATTTTTAGCTTTTAAAGGCTTTTACAAAGAACACAAAGATTAACAAAGTAATAAAAGTAAGAAAGCATCTAACAGATTAACTTGATAGCAGAAGATGGCAGCCACTCTTTTCATGTCTGCTTATATTTTTTCTTGACTCTTGACTCTTTGTTATAGACATCGACTTACACAGTGGTTGGTCTGAAAAGCAGCCTTTAGCTGGATACTTTTCATCTTTCCTGTGTACGGTTATGCTCCTAAAAATTTCTTGAGTTGGTAATACAAGGAGGGCTTAAGCAAGTCAAAAAATTATCGGGTGTCCCTGAGGTTAGAGGAAAGCTTAAAGAACTATTAACCTTTTATTTCCAGGGAAATTATAGAGGGAGACAAGGATTATAATTTTACCCACAGAATGGAGAAGTCATTTCAAAGGAGTCCACAATGAAATTACCGCAGATTTACAGGAAACCTTAATTTCTGAAAGGTGTACTTTTTCTTTAGTTGTAAGTGAGACATTAAAGCATTATTGAAACACTTTGAGGTCCTGTGAACCATGTTTGTATAATCTTAAGAATGCAAATATCAAACATTTATTTATTCATCCAGTGTAATTCTATTAGAACATAGAAAAACTAATTGTGTGTGTGTGAACAAATGTATACTTTTGGCTGAGAAGTATAAGAGGGTTATTTATCTATAATTTTGTATTTAAAATGTATGTACTAAATATATTACATATAATATTAATATATGACATATAATGATTACACCAAATATATTATACGTAAGTATATGTATTTATTATTTATTGACTTTCTATGAAGTGTTTGGTACACAGATCCATAATGACATACCCAAAAAACATACAACAATAGTAGAAAGCTAACAAATTATTTTTAAGTGGTAGTGCAAGCATGCAGCTTTATAATATGCATATAAATTCTAGGATAAAATAAAAAAGAACATTCAGTGATGGCATCTGGCAAGATAGCTATGGGGTGGAGAGGCAAGAATTGGCCACTGCCATAGTACCATTTTATCCTTTCAAATATAGAAAAATATACAAGCTGAATTATTTTTTAAGGTAACAGTTGCTGTAAGAGATAAATCCCAAAATTTCAGTAGCTCATGTTACTGTCCAGTGATGACAGGGTGTGATGTCTAGTGGATACAAAAGGAAGCACTTCTATGAAAGAGTGAAGAAAGCACTTAGTTTCTTCCATTTCAGATGTCTATTTATAACTTAGGAGTTATTAACATTCAAAATGGACCAGGAGGGCCAGGCGCGGTGGCTCATGCCTGTAATCCCAGCACTTTGGGAGGCCGAGGCAGGTGGATCACCTGACGTTGGGAGTTCAAGACCAGCCTGACCAATATGGAGAAATCTTGTCTCTACTAAAAAGTACAAAATTAGCTGGGTGTGGTGGCGCACGCCTGTAGTCCCAGCTACTCGCGAGGCTGAGGCAGGCAAATGGCTTGAACCCGGGAGGCGGAGGTTGCAGTGAGCTGAGATCGCACCACTGCACTCCAGCCTAGGTGAAAGAGCAAGACTCTGTCAAAAAAAAAAAAAAAAGAAAAAAAAAAAGAAAAGAAAAAGACACACCTTTTTTTTCCTAAGCCTCATTTATACTCACTCTCCATTGTTAAGTACAAATCACACAGCCCCGCTTAGCTGCAAACAGACTGAAAACTGAAAAATGAAGTTACTGGAAAATTAGTCCTATCACTTCAACTAGTATACATTAGAGAAAGAGAGCAAACAGTTATGGTGGTTGGTTGTCTTTCTTTGCTACTCCATTGACCATTGAATACCTCATCCTGCACCTTCTTTCAGACACTGGGCATATTCACACATTCTCCAAGGGCGACAAATCCAATACCCATTCAGTTACTTAAGACAGCTGAAGGTCCTGGTGATCCTCTACCTTCTCCTTCAGGTCCACATGTGACTAGCTGTGGTTTAGCAAACTGTTCTCTAAAAGGATACAAATTATCTTCACTCCACGTAATGATACACCCAGCGCACAGTTTTGGAATAGAAACAAGACAACTACACATAAACTCCCACTTAAAATCAAATTTTGATAGGACTTAACAGTTTTTTGTGTGTGAGGGTGTGGTTGTTGTTTCTAACGGGCAGTTTTGTTGGGGCCCTTTCCCTCTCAGGAAAATTTCTTTCTTTAAGTAAACCTAGATCAAATTACAGGATATTCCTTACCCAGGTTTTCTGTGACTCATACTTTTTCCTCAGATAGAATATTTAGCCGGGCGCAGTGGCTCACACCTGTAATCCCAGCACTTTGCGAGGCTGAGACGGGCGGGTCACCTGAGGTCGGGAGTTCCAGACCAGCCTGACCAACATGGAGAAACCCCGTCTCTACTAAAAATACAAAATTAGCCGGGTGTGGTGGCGCATGCCTGTTATCCCAGCAACTCGGGAGGCTGAGGCAGTAGAATCACTTGAACCCGGGAGGTGGAGGTTGTGGTGAGCCAAGATCGCGCCATTGCACTCCAGCCTGGACGACAAGAGTGAACGTCAGTCTCAAAAAAAAAAGAATATTTACTGTCTGTTAACCTCTAGGCCACTTCTGAAGTATCTAAGTGCTGAGCCTTATGTCATTTGCTGCCCCAACTTTTTCTCTATTTTATCTGTTACTCTTTGGAGTCTAGAAGCCGTTCACTTTTCCACCTTTGAGCCTCCATATGTTTGAACTTTCTTCCTTGTAATTTTTGTCGCATATTCAGACATTTTTTTCTAAGTCTATTTCTTTCTTCTAATGCCTCACTGTATGTAAGTAGTAACACCCCAAATTACTAATATCAATGTATTTTCTATCCTTCTCTTTTAGAGTTAAGGGCACAATTTTCATGAGGCCTGAATTCCCAATTCTTGCAGAAAATAGTGTATGTATCTTGTCGTTTTATGGCATAGATTTTCAGGTTACAAATATAAATATCAGATCATTTGACCTGCCACCTGACTACTTAACCAATTCCATATATTTTACTTTTTCTTACAGCATAATATCACTTCAAGGGAACAGTTTTGGTATCAGTGAAACTAATGCTAGTTGTTATAACACTATAAGAGATCAATTAGAGTATCAGTGCTTAAAAATGACAAAAAATACTGTATTTCTTGTTCACATCACCATCTCATTGGTGGCAAGGAAGAGACTATGATTAACTGGTTGTTTCAAAGACTTAGGCACTTTTCATCATACAAATTTGCATCTCTGAGTCTTCTCTTTGCTATAGATAGATAGGGAAAGTTAAATTACAGTCCAATACTTTTATCATTTTGATTAAAATGTAAGAATAGAAAATAGTGGAGGGTTTTTAGTTGAGAATTAAAGATTGAATATGCAAGATAAATAAGGGAAAATCAATAACATAGTTTGCTTTAGCAAAAATATGTGAATTTCAAAGTACAGGTAAGGGGGAATTAACCTTAGAAGAGATGAGCGTGCAAATGCGTGTCTATATATTTTAGTACTAAAATGTATTTGTGATCTAATCTTATGACTTTTATTTTCTTTGAAAGGTAGATGGCAAAAACATCTGTTGGAGTGAGAGAAAGGTGTAGTAATCAAAATCTGAGGAGAGGAGAGAGGATCAAATATTTTTTTGAAGAGTGAGGTAGATGGGCAGTAGCAAAGGCTTGTGAGTGATGATAATGCATTTTTAGGAGGCTGATATGACCTCATGTGTGAAATTATCTTGTATTGGTGAGCTGCTGGGGTAAGGGCATGCTGTGTTATTATAGTTCAGGTCATCCAAGGTTGCTGTTTTGCTTGGTAGGATAAATAGGAATAACAGAAGAACAAGAGAGTTAGAATATTTGCAGGAATGTCCTTGAAATCATGGATGATGGAGCAAACTGGATAATGAAAAAGTGAAAAAAAGAGGTAGATAGGGAGAAATTTATAGAGGCTTCAATTTCTGAGCAAGAGTTTTTGACCAAGTATCTGGGCAATAAATTAGATTGTAGAATCACTGAATTGGTGATATTTAGAAACATATTAAAGAGATTTTATTATAGATAATCAAAAGGTCAAATTTGGAATTAGGAAAATGAATTGCCAAGTGAGGGGCTAAAAGCTCACCAGACATTTTCAATTATGAAACTGATAATTTAGTTGTTTACTGTGTCTATGTGGACATTTATATTCACTAAGGATGATGACAATGACATCTAGGTATGAAGAAAATTATGCAAACAAGGTATCAAAGTGTTTAAGGAAAAGGAGTTGGGGAATAAGCAGTAATATATGTTTCCCAGAGAGAGAACCAGAGTTCAATTAGTGCAGTTACTAGTGAAGATGAGAAAAGTTGTGAATGCAGAGAATTCTGCAGTAGTGGAGCTCTGTATTAGAGGATGTAGAGCAGGGAAAGGGCTACAGGCTGAGACAGGGACAGTAAAGTAAAACTCATGGTGAGGAAAATAATGTGTTAGAAAGTTCTTGGGGTAATATAGTTGTATTTTGTATGTTGATAGATAAAAGTTGACAAACATAGAATTAGTGGATTTTTGTCTTAAAAATATCACTAATTTGAATGGATATTGCAACTCTGGATACAATATGTGGCTGAGTCTACTGGGTGACAGCTGGTCCAGAAAGAAGATGAAGGTCTGCAGTCTGCTTGGTTTGGATAATAGTAGTTCCAGAAAATACACTCTCCTGTGCTATTCAGTTTCTACATAATTATGTTTACATATACAACTCTCTATATGCCTAATTTTATATTGATGTTCTATAATTACAAACATATAGTATATAAAATGATGACAAAATGAGAATAATTTTTGTTTTGTTTTCAGTTGAGGCTCTGGAGGCCAAGAAAAATAAAATATTGTGATAAAGAACCCAAAATCTTAAAGAGGTGTGTCTTAGTTCATTTGTGCTGCTGTAACAAAATACCACAGATTAGGTAGGGTATAAAACCCAGAAATTTATTTCTTACAGTTCTGGAGGTTGGTAAGTCCCAAATGGAGGCAGCAGTATCTTGTGAGGGCTTTCTTAATACAGTCTCGCAAGGCAGAAAGCAGAAGCGCAAAAGAGGACAAAATGCTATGTGAAGCCTCTTTTCTAAGTGCCTTAATCCCACTCTCAAGGGAGGAGCCCTTATGACCTAAAATTGTTTAAAAATTCCACTTCTTAATACTATTTCATCAGCCATTAAGTTTCAGCATATACATTTAGGAAGGGACGCATTCAAGCCACAACATTCTGCCACTGGTCCTCCTAAATTTATGTCATTCTCACATGCAAAATATATTCATCCCATCTCAATAGCCCCCAGAAGTCTTAACTCATTCCAGCCACAACTCAAAAGTCTAAAGTCTAAAGTCTCATACATATTAGATATGAGTGAAACTCAAGGTATGATTCATCTGGAAAAAAAATTTCTCTCTAGCCATGAGCTTGAGAAAGCAAACCAATTATGTGCTCCTAACATGTAATATTAGAAGAGGCATAAGATAAACATTTCCATTCCAAATGAGAACAGGCAAGAAGAAAGCGATAACAGATCCAACTGTGTCCAAAATGGATTAGGGCAAACATTAAATTTTAAGGCTTGAGAACAATCTTTAGTTACATGCCCCACCTTCTAGACACACTGGGATGGGTGTTGAATCCCCAAGGTTCCAAGGGACCCTACTCCCCTGGCTTTGCTGGGCACAGCCCATGCTGCAGCTCTCACAGGTTGGAGTCAGGTGCCTGTAGCTCTTCCAGGATGCCATTGCATATTGATGGATCTACAGTTATGGCTCACGGTAGTGGTCCTGCCTCCATGGCTCTACTAGGCATTATCCCATGGGGACTTGGTGGTGACCCTGCTTCTACAGCGGATCCCTGCCTGGACCCCAAGGGTCCCCTTGGCCTCCTTTGAAGTTTAGGTGGAGGAAGCTTGTTCCCACAGCTCTTGTACTCAGCATAGCTGCAGAGTTAGCACCATGTAGATGTCACCAATGCTTACCACTTGTGCCCACAGGAAAGTGCCCATTAGACTTCACCTAGGTCCCTTTGAGCCTCAGGTGAAGTGACCAAGAATGCTACACTAGAATGTGGGGAGCAGAGTCTTGAGGTGGCACTGGGCAGCAAGCCTCCAGGACCCATGGGTGACTTGCAACCCACTGATAACCTGGACCTCTCCATTGAAACCCTTCTGACCTCAAGGCCTTAACACTCTGCATCTTTGTTGGGCATGACAGCCTTGAACATCTCTGAAATGTTTTTCAGCCATTCTCTCATGGCCTTGATGAATAGCATTTGTCTTCTGCATGTTTATAAGAAGAGCTATCATGAAGCTAGTTTCTATCATTCCTAGGCAAGGGCAAAGATGCCAGAAATACCTACTCAAGAGAGCCTGCCAGGGGTTGTATTTTAAAACAATTCTTTTCAGGTGAATTGACAACAGGAATAAAATGGTATCAGCAAAGAGAATAGCTGTGAGTGGATAGACCCAACACCAGGGGTGTAAGGAAATTCATAAGGAGCCTGGCAGGTCCCAGACAAGGCAAGCTTCAGAGGCGCTGACAGCAATGATCTCAGCAGGAGAACAACCATGAACTCACACATGCATCACATTTTTGAAAAACAGTCATTTAGTTTATGCCTGTACCTTGGTTTGGGGGTTCTGGGTGCCTGCACTGGGCTCCAGTTTTAAGCTGGGCAAGGGGAGTACAGGAAGCATTGAACTTGCCTCCTCTTTTCTAAATATTATGAAAATTTAAGTTAAAATTTAGATGTTTAATGTTCCCCCAAAATGTCTGATACAAGATCAACCTCCTTCCAAGATTGGATAAATCTGGAGAATTCTTGTTGACTTTATGTATGTTTTCTTTTGAAAATGTTTTTTTCATGTCCTTTGCCCACTTTTTAATGGGGTTGTTTGTTTTTAGCTTGTTAATTTGTTTAAGTTCTTTATAGATTCTGGCTATTAGACCTTTTTTGGATGCATAGTTTGCGAATATTTTCTCCCATTCTATAGGTTGTCTGTTAACTCTGTTGATAGTTTCTTTTGCTGGGCAGAAGCTCTGTAGTTTAATTAGATCCCATTTGTCAATTTTTGATGAAATAATATCTACAACAAATCCCTGTTACATGCAGTTTACTTATGTAACAAACCTGAACATGTACCCCGTGCATAAATATTTTTTTAATTGGAGGATTTTTTAAACAAATGATGTTGCTCAAAATTTGCATTGTTTCAGAGATTCCCTGGTTTTACATACATGTCACATTTGATGCATCATTCTTCTAATGTGGAATCTTTAGGGTGTTTTCGGGTTTCTGTGACCATATATTATAATTTTTGTTACATTTAATTACTTAGGTTAGATTTCTAGACATGTAATGAGTGGAATGTCTTAACTAATTTCTAATTGTGATTTGTTTTCCAGAAATATTATATTAATTAACATTTCTGTCAATCTATCAATGCCAATTTCAGCTATCCTTGTGCATTATTATATTTAAGAAATTTACCAGTTTGAAAGGTATGAAAATATTTTCTTCCTTTCTCCCCTCTTCTTTTTCTCTCTCCTCTTTCTTCTCTCTTCTTTTTCTCTCTCCTCTTTCTTCCTTCTATTTATCTTTCTTTTTTTTATGATTAGTAAAGTTGAGTGGATCATCACAACATTTTCAGACATTTATTTACATTATTCTGTGTGTTTACTACTCATTGTTTCTGTGCTCTATATAGTTTGTATGCATTTATTTTAATTTTTATTGTTTTATTATTATTTATGATTCCTCTATATCTAAGATACGTGAGTTTATGATGTATTTATTACACTTACTTTTACAGTTCATCTTGTCTTTTAACCCTTTTATGTATGATTTTGCAAAGTTTAAAATTTTCATAGAGTTAAAAATATAGATTTTCCATTTTAATGTTGGACACATTACATACCTATTGAGCAATGTAGTATCTTATCATAACTAAAAAAATTAAGATGAGATAAATATTTAATAAAAGATAAAATACCTACTTAGAAAAATGTAGGCAGCAGTGAGTCCACATAATAAATTAGGATTTTGATCTCTTTGTTCCAAATGAAGAAAGAATGCAAATTTAAAACAAGTGAACAATTTTGGGTAATGGGGTTATAAGGAATCCGGATGTACACTGAATATGAAGTAAAATAGTTAGACAGCCCCATCTTGTGACCCAAGCAAAGGGACCTCATTCTTGAATTAGGGCTTTAGAGATTCCAGCCTTGACCCATCTGCCAAGCAGCCATTCGCACTGAGGGGATATGCCCGCACGCAGCCTGCATCCTCTTCCAAAATATGATCTTGGACCTTGGAATTCCCCATCCAACGGGCCAGACCTTCTCCTTGGCCCTCTGTCTTCTTTTCCTGAGAGCCTCATTTGTGCACACCCTTAAGCAAAGAAATTATGAAAGAGGATGACGATGGAGGGTGTAGGCCTTTTAAAGGTTGTAGATAAAGTCTGGCTATGTGGATTTTATTATCTAAACTCATGGTCCAGACACCAGTCAAAGATCAAAAGGAATCAAGTGTAAGAAGCATGGAATGGGCAGATTGTGAACTGGTGCAAGCCATTTTCTGGGTGGACTTGAACAAATTCAATTGTCACTCTTTTCTTGCTTGTAGTCTTCAGAATGTGCTGGGAATGTAACATTCTGAGATAGAGTGAAACTAGCCAGAAAAGCCTGGGCCTTGTTCCTGCCCAGCCTAGAAGAAGGTGTCCTACAATATTTTACTCAGTTATTCAAGTTTGCCCCTGGGATAAAAACCCACGACAGCCTGCTTTCTGGGGCCCCTCAGCTGCGATACAATTACGACACATGCAGACAAAACTATCTACCCTGCGTGGCTGTCCTGAACTTTGCAGATTAGCTTGTCATGAATTCTTGTTTTCTGTTGTCCCTTGCTCCCTATTTGTAAGTAACAAGTATGCTTCATGTAACTTGTGTGACTCTTCTGTCTCGTAGGACTTGTGCAAGCAGTAGAAATTGCAGTCTAAGATGCAGTGGGCTGAAGTGGTAACCAGTGTACACTGAATTTGCTTCACAACTGGGAACCTTCCCTCATACTTTGTCAAGTCTTAAAAATAATAGCAGTGGGCTTGCACCTAACTTCTAGATTTTCTATGCCTTTATCTGGAATCTGAATAGAAAAGTCTTACACCTCTGGATCACAGTATCTTCTCCTGAAAAACCGATGGGGTTTAATTTGTGCTAGTATTCTTTGCTTACTTTTGGTTTCTCTTAGTGAACTAAGGTTCTTAAAACAGAAAATAAAAATGAACAAATATACATACAGTAATTGACTTTGTCACCTTAAAGGGATTTATATACTTTAATAATGTGTTGAGGAATTTTATATTAATTAATTTTCCCCTCTTGTGCAGAAAATTGATTTGTATAAACCCACTGAATGAAGCATTGTGTGTGTGTGTGTGTGCGTGTGTGTGTGTTTGTGTCAGCAAGGACAGCCGCTAAATTTCAACGTTTTGATTTTGTTATGTAGTCTCTGAATATGGCATTCCTTGCAGTGGAAAAATCGCCTCTGGTATATCTAGGTTTCTTGCATAATCCCATCTGTCCTTTCCAAAGAAAAACGGCATAAATCCACAGTCTATTGTCTGTTTTCTAGATTTATTTTTAATGCCCAAGATGGTTCCTATAATCTGCTTCTTCAATCTTGGTTCTTATTTGTCATTACTGTGGAGGGTGAGTTTAATTTTCTCAACATAATTAGGTTAACATTGTAAAAGTTGCTATGTTTGTGTCAACAGAAACTGTTAACTAGAGGACATTTCTTCATACTTTTACACTAGTCCATTAGAAGCATTCCTGTAACAGAAGAAAGAGCAAGCTTCTCTGTGAGTTCAATGTTAATGAATTAACTATGTACATTAAATATGGTGTCTTAAAACAGAAACACACGTAAACCTAAGTTATGTATTAATAGGTTGATGAAAATGTGGCCAGAGGCTCACAGGAACATAACCCTGTATTTTCCCTGGGAGTGATGGTTCCATATTTGCTAATTCAGGGTTTATCTGTTCAAATAAATTAGAATCTTCTATATTTATTAATAAAATATTATCAAATATGCACAGCTAAAACACCACATGTCCCAACTTCTATTGAAGTTGTATTCTAGGTTATATTATTCTTCTAGGTTATATTATATTCTTCTAGGTCATATTATATTCTTCTGGGTTATATTATATTCTTCTATATTATATTATATTCTATATTATATTCTTCTAGGTTATATTATTAAGTTTTAATCATAGAATTTAAGTGAAACATTGTGTTACAATTCCAAGAAGCATTTCCTAAAATGAGGGGGCAGCCTTTCTTATAGTTCTCATGCATTGAGCCTAGAGTACATAGATAAAGTTAGAGGGCCAGCAGACCTGTTGTATGATGTGGTGACTTGCAACGCAAACAGTGAGCTGAGGATGGTAGAACAGTAGCTAGGACCTTAGGACCTAATGACACTCCCATAGTCCCTTTCATATCAACCATGAAATGCTACTATTTCACACATATATACAGTAGGTATATATATATATATATATATATATATATATATATATATATATATATATATACACACTTATATATATACACATATATATTTCAGAGATATAAGTTTCTATTTTATTTAATTCACTTTTAAAAATCAGCTTTTGTTTAATCATAACTGGTGATATGGCATAGGAATTAGTCTGTGGATAACAAAATATCATTGTCTCTACTTGATCTTATTTTCACACTACTGTTATTATACATCATTTTCAGCAAGACCCTAGCTCTAGTACTCTCATTATATCACTACTCAATATAACTCATACTGACAGAGGAGGAAGAAACCTGTCAGGCAGGTAGTTAGGACAGGTCCTTGGTATAACTCCTTCAAACCAAGAACAGCTTGATAATCAAACTTCAGGTCCCAGATAAGAAAGACCCTGCATCCTTGAATGGAAACACTTACTCTATGAACCCAGATGAACAAATTCCACCCCTTTTTGGACACATTTCTTTCCCCTTGGCATGTCTTAGTCTCTTACTTTTCACCTATTGGTCTTTTACTTTTCACCTATTTTACGTATGCCTACCTTTCTATAATTGGCTGTGGGCTAAGTCTTCATTAACAGAGTAAATCATCACTTCAGCCCCTGATTGGTCCCAGCCAAGCCTTCACTTCTACCTTCAATTGGTCCCAGGCCAAGCCTTCACTTCTACTTCCAGTTGGTTCTTTACACTATTATACCTCTTTCTAAGTGGTGCCTTCTCCAAGATAGCCTACAGACCGGTCAGCCCATTCCTCCCCTTCCGGTCCATAAAAACCCCAGACTCAGCTTCACAGCTGGCAACCCTCTTTCAGGCCTTCTGTCCACTGTGGAGAGATTTTCTCTTTAGCTTATTAAGCCTTTGTTCCCACCTCACCCTTGGTGTCCACATTCCTTATTCTCAAATAACTCCAGGTAATACCTCAGAAAATGAGGCTGTTTCAATATTGTTCTAGAATTTTTTTTAAATAAAGAATTATATGCATCTAGTATGTTTTCATATATTCAGCTTGTCTCTAAATGCCTGAATCAGTATATAATGCTGCTATTTTCAACTGTTTTATGTACTTTTATTGGTGGAAATACATCTTATGCTTTTTTTGTACTCCATAATAATAGTAATACATGTGTAGGTGCTGAATAAATACCAGTTGTTATTTAAATTACTAGAGAAAAGTAGTAATTATATATGTTATTTAAATATTTAATTTATATCTAACCCTTTCAAATTGTCACCTAATGTGCCATATATATAATACTTGAATGTCTTTATCTGTTTTTATACAATGATTAACATCGTTGTAAAAACTAAAAATGTAACTGGTTAGGTTTTTCAATCGATAATACTTCAGTGAAATTAATATGCTGTTTATTTTAAATACATATTTTAAGTATTTGTGTATATTATTACTTTTTTGTTATTTTAAATATATATATTTAAAAATATTTTTGAGAATACCCTCTAAGTCTCGATTAATATTGGAATCTACCTTTTTCCAACATTTTTACTTTCTTCTTGTGAGATCATGGCATTGTAATTCTTAACTTTGTATTCAAGTGGAAAATTTTTGCTAAAAAAAGTGTCACAACCTATGCATAAGCTTGATAGAAACTTATGATTTTGTAGAGTATTAAAGCATGAAAAGCATTTTTCATCAGTTTAGATTTTACTTCTCTCATCTGATTTCATTTCAGCACACATAGGTAGTAAAGTGGAAAAAATTAGTGAATCAAATAAACCTAATGCACAATTACTTTGTACATTATTTTCGTCAGTAGAATCCAGTCCTTAACTGTATTTATCACATGCCCTCAGCTATATAATTTTGTCTTTCATAGGCACTGTGTATCCTTAATCTAGAATTTCAACCAGAGAAATATAATAAAATATAATAAATAAAATATAATAAAATCATTTGTTCATTGGCACTCTTGCTTAGGAGCCTGCTATTTCTTTATTTTGTCATCATTGTCTAGCAAATTGCTTTCTTGGCTCCCCCAAAATGCTTGCCATAAGAAATAAACATTTGGTAAGTTTTATAATTATGTCAAAGATGGGAAATGTAAGTTTTCTTAGAAGGACAATTCTGGCCTGGACTAGCTAAAATATTACACAGGGACCCTTATACAATTCTTTCTCATCGGGAAGTAGTAATACTATTCATAAGTGTTAGCAGCATTTGTTACGTTAATTAATTATTCATTTTTATTTCCTTCCAAAAGAAATAAGCATATGATATATAGCTATAAAATATTTTGCTTAAATAAATGATTGTATAGCTTTAAAGAGTTTGTCTTTAATTTTACACAAGCTGAGATAAAAAAGTAGACATTTTCTAGAATCATTGAAACAATTATTTTCACAACATGATGTTAGTCAGGAACACAAAAGTGTTGACCATCAAAAAAAATTACATCCCAGTCCAAGATTCACATTGGTAATAAAGTGCTATTTCTTTATAAGCAGATATTGTAAGGAGATCCCATACTCTTCCTAAATATTTTACTTGATATCTCACATTACAGAAATAGGGATTATGGGTATAGGAGAGAAAGAATAAAGGCATGACCATGAGGTAGCACTACATATCTTCATTCTTTGAGAAGCTTGTGAATTTTTTTTAACGTTATAAAAATAAAATATTGAAAAAAATGATTGGCCATCCTGGCAGTTGTTTAAAATTGCTCTTCGTGGTTTGTTTTCCTTTAACCAGGTGATGACTGTTTCTCACACCAATTCAGGAATTGTGAGGCTGTGGATGAAAATTTATACACACACATACACCCCACCCCGACTCCCCGGCATGTACAAATGTGTTGCTTGACTGACTTCTGAAGGTTGCAATTAGGGATTAAGTAAGAGCTCTATGTTCTGTTTGTTTGTTTGTTTGTGGAAGGAAACAGCAGACACTTCTTCTGGAAGGTGATCAATTAGAAATTACTTAAATTTAGAAAAAGAGACTGTATCAGCCTAGAACAGCTTTGGACTCTCTCTGCCACCTGCAATTGTACCTGCTTCTTCGTTGCCCCACATTCCAGTCGGTGGGAGTGCCTCGTATCCTACCCATCTAATCATTTATCTGGATTAAACTCAGTTATGATTGTTGAAAGAATTTGTTCCTTTGTAGATTTGACTTTTTTTCTTGATTCCTTAGTTTTCCTCCACATTGGTTTATGTCTTTCCCACAGTGTTTATACATCTCCAATACTAAAGCCAATTATCAAGTGAACAAACTAATTTTCTCTTAGTTCTTCTTTCAATCTCCGTATTTTTCTGTCTGCTAATATACATGCCCCTCAAACTCAATAAAACTATATTTATCAAAATTTTCAAAAAGCGGCCGGGCGTTGTGGCTCACGCCTGTAATCCCGGCACTTAGGGAGGTTGAGGCGGGTGGATCATGAGGTCAGGAGTTTCAGACCATTCTGGCCAAGGTGGTGAAACCCCGTCTCTACTAAAAATAAAGAAAATTAGCCAGGCATGGTGGCAGGTGCCTGTAATCCTAGCTACTCAGGAGGCTGAGGCAGGAGAATCCCTTGAACCCAGGAGGTGGAGGTTGGAGTGAGCTGAGATCGCGCCACTGCACTCCAGCCTGGGCAAGAGAGTGAGAACCTGGCTCAAAAAAAAAAAAAATTTTTTTTCAAACAGCAACCTCCCTTTTTATGTTGTATATATGGATTAATGGTAAAATTATTTATCCCATCCTCAAAGCCAGAATGGTAAAGGTTTTTCTAGTTAATGTTATGAATCCTCTTCCATAGTCAAGTTCCATGTTTTTTTGTTTGTTTGTTTGTTTGTTTGCATATTTGCCACTAATCTAAAAAAAAAAAAAACCTGGTATGCTTTCTTGTTTTGACTACCACTAAAGCTTATTATCTCAAATTTACTCAATTTTCTAGATGAAATTTGAAAGTACAGATAAATATTGAAAAATTAACCTCTGAGAACAGAAGAGGTAGTTGACATAGAGGAAAAGGCGATGATTTTAATTTAACAGACATTTCCAATGTGAGACTGAATGTTGGAAACATGTGGTCATATAACTTATTCCCTCCAAAACATCTTAGTATAGTAGCTCCATTTTTTAGAAAATTTTGCCAGTGGAGATATAGTCATTTCTGCTATAATATAGTACATGCTTTCTTACAAATCGCTATGTAATTGTATTATGTAAATTCAAATAATAGAAGCCACAGGGCTTACAAAAAGTTGGAAGTAAGGGCACAACACTCCAAAGCTTTGTTAGGGACATATTTAAAAATAATAATAAAGACAGTAGCACAGGATTACATATGTCAAATGGTAAGAAAGGCATCAACACTACAAGAAATATGTCACATTATCTCAGAAAAGACCTGAAGTTTCCTTGTAGAAGTGGACATTGAAATGGTTGCAGCTTTTGATTTACTGTGAAATGGTGGGTGGAAGGTTATATGCAATTTGATGGAAAGTTATATGCCAAACATGGAAAATATGTTTCATAAGACAGGTGGTAAACTCAAGTACTTGGTAGTGTTTAAAGGGTGTTTTGCATATTTGTCCAGATTTGATTCATGAAATGTTGTGTGCTCACGTAGTGTTTTTGCAGACAAATTTGTTCATAAATAGTTGGAAAATTGAGAGCTGTTTTAGTGGGCATTGAGAATGAATCGAGATTGATCTCACTTTTAAGCATCTTGACAGTTAAAAGAGATTAGGAAAAGTAGATAGACATGGGTAAAGCAAGAAATATGAGCCTCAGAAGATACGACAGATTTTTTTAATCCTTAGAAAGAAGGAAAATCAAATATAACAATGATGCCTTCTCTCATGCTGCATATGGGTTATTTTATAGTTTGCATTTTAATAAGCTGTAATGGGAGCTGTGACCTCAGGAGAAAGTAACATTATACTTAAGGCAAGAATTTGCAAACATTTAATTAAATATAAAAGTATCCAGGGCGTAGCTTTTAGAAGGAAGGGAAGACTGGTTTATGGAAGCAGAAGAACAAAGCAGTCAAGAAGATGAGAATATGGGAGAGGAAAAGTAAATACATGTAACATTTCTTGAGTTAATAAGCTGGTTTAACAGAAATATATATATTAGATTGCAGAGCAGTCTCAAATTATATATAATAGATTGCATGGCAGAGCAATCTATTAATAGGGATTCTGATGGAATTAATTCTAGATAGCTCTTGCTCTAATGGAGGCAGGGGTGGTCACCTGTGATCTATGGTAATCTGCTTTTAAGGTAATATTTGTGCATCTGGGTTGGTTATTTTTTAAATTAGTTCTTCACTGTTTTAGAATTTATGAGTACAGTATACGGGTGTGTTTTGATGTGAGTGCTTATTTATGGAGCCATGAATTAGTACGCTTCTGAGAAACCATCGTATTCCATTAACCACATTACCTAAATATAATCACCATTTAATTAATGGGAAATTAAGAACTCATGTCAGACACTCGAAAATTAAGAACTCACCTTCCATGAGTGAGAAGTAAGACAGTGTTTGAGTATTCTCCACATTCCTTCTGGTATCTTTACAAAGTGATGTATGTATCCACTATTTGATGGAGTCCAAATATTGGTGTCCTGTAGTAGCAATTTCCTGACTTTCTGTTTATCAATTAATGTATCCGTTTGTAACTCCTGAGCCTAGTGGATCATATTAATTACTTTTGTAACCCTAAGACTAAAGTGCTAACAGCTACTATAGATGCTTAGAAAATATATACGGAATTAACTAACCTAGGAATATGATACTGGAGTCTATCAATGGTATATCTTGGCCATATAGCAGATAACATTTCTTGGGGCATGATGTTGAAAAGTATGATTTGCCAATTTTGTCCAAGATCTGAAAGTAAAAGTCTACCTGGCATACCAGGAAATACCAGAAAACAATCTGAGGAGAATCTGCCACATGACGGCTACCGTACCTGGAAGTACGTTTCAGTTAGGAACTCCTTAAGCATGGACAAATGTGGCACCAACATAATAAAGGATAAGAACTTAAAAAATTAGGAGATACCCGCAAGTCACTATAATGAGAGCTATATATAGCTTACTATATATCATGTTACTAATCAGAGTAGTTACAGCTACGTTCAAAAAACAAATACTGGAAGGTCAGGTCACTAGCCATCTCTCTCATTCCAGAGCTGGATAGAAAATAAAAAGAATGGAATTCAAATTCAGAACACTTTTAAGAAACTGAGACAAGAACTTATGGCCCTATCCTTCGGCATTTATGACTAAAAACACACAAAATGCTCCTTCAGGGAAGAGATTTTCCCTCAACTCTCCAAATACTTCAGTTATATTTACCTTTCCATGAGATTAGAGTTTGGCCAGTACACCCTAGAGAATAAACTGAGAAATGCTTAACAAGATCTTGACTCACACAAACAGTGTTATATAAAGGCTACCATAAATGTCGTGTTTTGACATGTTTAAAAACTTGAGTGTTTCCTTACTATTACTATAATGGTTAGGGAGCCAAAGTCTATTTTGAAAAAGATTTTTTACGATGAAAGCTTTTGTAAATCTTGAAAGATAATTTTATAAGTAACATCAGCAACACTAAAGGCTTTTTGATTTCTTAAAATATGTAATTCCTTTCGTTTTACATAAAGGAGCTAAAACTGATTGACAAGTGCTTTTGTTTTGCTTGCTTGTTTGTTTTGAGGAGACCAAATCAATGGACTGTGACTTAGTCAAGATTTTTGGTGGCCTAATGAGGCATGTCTTTTTATTTCTTTTTTCTCATAAATGCAAAATTAGTTCCCAGCTGCTTATCTTTAAAAGCTTAAGTTAAATTTATCTGGAGGAGCACCCTTGTGCAGTAATGGTTACATAAAATGCTCATCTTCCTATTGTTGAACCTTAAAATAATTTAATAAAAAGTCTATGGCAAGTGTGGCGGGTTTGTGTGTTTTCTGTGGATGGGTGATGGTGGTGATGAGGCAGGAGGCTGCTAAGTGAAGCCTCCCCCTGACTAAGCAGGAGCCAGAAACCTTCTGTGAGAGAATGGATGAACACCACTGCTCACTAAGGAAGAAATAAATGGATAAGTGACATGCCCTGATCACTGAGTAGATAAAGTATAATATGTTTTCCAAGTTTGTGAGGTAGTGACCCTAACTGGTGTCAAAAACCAAAATTGCAACAAATTGTGTTTAAAGATCTAATTGGCTTTTATTAGTGATTCACGATTTGGGCATCATCCCATCTATGAAATAGAAAGGAGTTTCATTGAGCTGAGCTGACTTTGTAGGCAGAAAAGAGCTGAAGAAAACAGAAATAAGTAACGAAAAGTGAATTGGCCATTTTAAAGTTATTTTCCTATAGAGTTAAGGCAGGCGGAACTTCTTTCTCATGCTGGCTCAAGTTAACTGGGCCCCTTTAGATCAGTTGCTATGAATCTCCTGTTTTTTGGAAAACTGGTCTGTTTTAAAGCTCAGTTTGATTACGTGGCACCTAGCACAAATGACTTTCTTCTGGTTTAGTTTCATCTGTTAGGGCCTAGTTCAAAAAAATGGCCTCCCATAAATTTTATTTAAAACTGGTTAATTACCCTAACCAGTTCACCTGGTAACATATTTGTAACATGAGAAAGAAGATATTTGAGTAAACCAAAAAATTATAAACTTAGAAACTCTCACCAGTTTAGCACGAGGCTTTCCCTTACTACATCCTTGGGGAGTGGAATGGCTCTTCCTTAAAGGATCACTAGAATTGTAGCAGTACTCGCTGTCATGAAGGTTAAGGCAACATTGAGATGGGACTTTCTACTCACTACAGCTGCCAAGGTTTTGGTGTTTTCTGAGATTCATGAATATGTGGTTTACTGTCTGTCATTAATTTTGCAAAGTTCTTGGCCATTATTACTTCAAATATGTTTTCTCCATCCTCTCTTCTTCTGATATTTAAATTATGCATATACTTACATCTTTTGATATTGTCTTACAGTTTTTGAATGGTCCTTTTTTATCTTTTATTATCATCACATTTCAGTTTGTAAAGTTTCTAATGACTTATACTCAAGCTCACTAATTTTTTCCTTGGTTTGTTAGGTCTATTGATGAAACAGTTGAAGGAATTTTGGACTTGCAGTATATTTTTTAAACTTCTAGCATTTCCTGTTTATTCTTTGTTAATGTTTTCAGGTATCTGCTTCAATTAATAATCTTTTCTTATCAGTGGTCCAACTTTTCATGTTCACCCTTAACATCAATCATAGTGATTTTAAATTCTCTGTCTAATAACTCCAACTTCTGTACCATATTCGAGTCTGATTCTGGTGCTTCCTTTGTATCTTCATACCATGATTTTTCTTGCACTCTGATAAGCCTTGTTGTGTCTGGAATTGGTTCCTTCCAGTGGGTTCTTGGTCTCGCTGACTTCAAGAATGAAGCTGTGGACCCTCGCGGTGAGTGTTACAGTTCTTAAAGATGGTGTGTCTGGGGTTTGTTCTTTCAGATGTTCAGATGTGTCCGGAGTTTCTTCCTTCCGGTGGGTTCATGGTCTTGCTGATTTCAAGAGTGAAGCTGCAGACATTCGCACTGTTACGGCTCTTAAAGGTAGTGTGCACCCAAAGAGTGAGCAGTAGCAAGATTTACTGTGAAGAGCGAAAGAACAATGCTTCCACAGTGTGGAAGGGGACCCAAGCGGGTTGACTCTGCTGACTGGGGTGGCCAGCTTTTATTCCCTTATTTGGCCCCATCCACATCCTGCTGATTGGTCCATTTTACAGAGTGCTGAGTGTTCCGTTTTTACAGAGTGCTAATTGGTGCGTTTACAAACCTTTAGCTAGACACAGAGCGCTGATTGGTGCATTTTTACAGAGTACTGATTGGTGCCTTTACAAACCTTTAGCTAGACACAGAGCGCTGATTGGTGTGTTTAGAATCCTTTAGCTAGACATAAAAGTTCTCCAAGTCCCTACCTACCCAGAAGTCCAGCCAGCTTCACCTCTCATTGTAATCCACACTCAGGCTACAGAAAATCATCAACATTTCTATTTAAATACTTCTCCCAGTTCATGCCCCCAGTGGTTTTTCCTGCAGTTAGGCAGTGCTTGGTTGCCTGTCTCTCCAGATTGCAGAGTAGTGGTTTATGCTACAACTGAAGGCCACTGACGAATGAAAGAAAAGTTGTTGGTTTTTAGCTTGCCTACTTTATTTTTTTTGGTCTTAAGGATGAGAGTAAGAACCTCCAAGCTCTCTATATGACAGAGTGAAATTGGAAATAGCTGTTGTGATTTATCTCTTAACTACTATGGCTGCTATATTGGCTAACAGTCTGTAATGGCAATTGTGGTAATCTGAAGCCCAAAGGGTCAAGTGTCTAATTTTTTCTAAATACAGTGATACAGAAACCTTACTAGCAAGATACTAGTAAGTGCATGAAAACTCATAAATATGTAAGGGATAGATTGGACTTCCTAGAACTATCAGTGTTTATTTTTTCCCCTCACTGTTTGAAATTCATTAGTGATAGAATTGGTGTATATTTCATTTATCCTCAAAAGTATAAGATCACGAGTCATGTGATTTAAAATTTTTTTTTTTTGATTTCTAAAGAGCATATCTAACTAGTCAGTACAAGTAGTTAGGGCCTATAAATGTTTAAAGAAGTATGAAGGAAAATTATTTTATAAATATAAAATGAAAGATTTGTTAGCATTTTACCCTAAGAGAGAAGCATAGCACTAATTGAAAATAAGGCCAAGGTCATAATATTCTTTGACTTCTCTATGTAGCCTAGCATGGAATCTTACATAGAAGCTACCGAGATAACCCAGATAATGCTCCAGTAGCAAATAATCTCCAAATCTCAGTGGCTGGAACAAGAAAGATTTTTTTCGGTGCTACATTTTTATTCACAATTTTGGCACTCTATTTGCTTCTTGCCAGCTGCATTCAGGAACGCAGGCAGCCAGAGATCCACGATTTGGGATCTATCAGTCTCCATGTTGGAAGAAATGAAAAGTGATTAACACAATGTTGAATATTAAAATTTCTTCCCAGAAGTGATACACTTTATGTCTGCTCACATTTCATTATCCTGAAGGAGAAAAACTTTAAAGACTATCTCATATCCTATAACGCATATATAGTATATTCATATGGAAATAGATAAGCAGAAAAGAGTTTCAGTAGAATATCTGACTAAAAAATGTTTATTCAAATTTTTTTCTCCTATGTGATATGTATATAGACCAGAAAACTTGGCAAGTTTATTTCCAGAAATGTCTGAATATCTATGTGACAAATGAAGCAAAGTAAGAAACTAACATGTCTGTTCACCTCCAGCATCTCTTCCCACCAACTGTGATAGGTAATTCATCACAGTATGACCTTCCATCACTGTTACTATGGTGACACAAAACTTATCATTAGTTTATAGCTTTTAAGCAACTTTCCAAAATTTACAAAGCATTTAAGAAAAGGAGACACAATGAGAATCCAGAATCCTCTTTTTCAAATACCACATGCTTTCATTTATAAGTGGGAGTTAAACAACAAGAACACCCGGACACAAGAGGGGAACATTTTTTAAAATTTACTTTTATTTATTTTTTATTTGTTTATTTATTTATTTATTTATTTATTGTTTTAGCACCTACCAATGGTGCTAAAATATGATGGGATATATATTCCTAAAGCAATTAAGTATTACTTAGATTTTTTAATCTTTTTTTTTGTCATTCAGTCGGGAATACAGGAAGACCTGGTATATAATAAATATGCTTTCTTTTTCAAAACAAGGGTGGTATTACAGAATATTGAAGATTATCCAATTATATTTCCAAGTTTATGAGATTAGAGAAAATCCTGAAAAGATTTAAGATGTAATTTTTCATACCAAATCCACTACAAGTTAGCTTCAAGTACATGTAGAAAAAAACTGCTTTAGGAAAGAGTCAGGGAAGAATTCTCTAAAGTATTATCTTCCCTATTTTCAAAATAGTTTGACTAATATTTTCAGTACATAAATTATATGTGTATGCATATATATGTGTATGTATAATACAGAGAGTTATTAAAGTTATTGAAATTAAAACCTACTCTCATTCACTAAACTTCAACCGTTTTTATAAATTTAATGAATTTGTAGGCTGTTAACAGAGTCAATTTTATTATATATATTGATGCACTATGTTTTAACATTGCAAATCATAGACAAATTGTCTTCAAATAAGTGATTTTTGAAACAAGGAATACTTTCTTCATTATATTACCAAAAGAAGGTTATCCAACTTTTTTTTAACTTTTATTTTAGGTTCAGAGGTACATGTGCAGGTTTGTTATATAGGTCAACTGCATGTCATGGAGTTTGGTGTGCAGGTTATTTTGTAACCTAGGTAATACGCATGGTACCCAAAGGGTGGTTTTTTGATCCTCACCCTCTTCCCACCCTCTACCATCAAGTAGGCCCCGGTGTCTGCAATCCCATTATTGGGTATGTACCCAAAGGAATATAAATCATTCTACCATAAGGACACGTTCATGCAAATGTTCATTGTAGCACTATTCACAATAGCAAAGACATAGAATCAACCTAAATGTACATCAGTGGTAGACTGGATATAGAAAATGTGGTACAGATATACATGAAATATGCAGCCATAAAGAGAATGAGATCATGTCCTTTGCAGCAACATGGATAGAGCTGGAGGCCATTAACCTAAGCAAACTAACCCAGGAGCAGCCAACCAAATACCACATGCTTTCGCTTATAAGTGGGAGTTAAACAAGAACACCCGGACAGAAGAGGGGAATTTTTTTTTTTATTTGATGATGTAAACTAGAAGCACACTCAGTTCTAGATAACTGAATTATTTACACAAACTGATTTAATGAAAACGTGGTTATTCTGCCCAATTTTAGTGGTTGTTCTTTATTCCCAACAGCTCAAGGCCCCTATTCAAAATTTATGCCAAAAAGACTTTGAATGAACCTTAATGTGAGCAAATGTTAAATAAAAAGTCAGCAAAAATTAAAGAAATGCACACATTGAAATATCTGAAATTTGGGAGCAGGATACTCACAGATCTAGATAACACACAAATGTACATTTGGAGAAGTTGATGACTTGTCAACTTGTCACATTTAATTGAGAATTTAAATTGAGAATATGCTAAATAAATTAATAAAAATAAAAATGCAATATCTCTTTCAAAATATTGCATTTAATTTGGAAATACTATTGAAATAGATATGAGAATGCAATTGATCTTACAAGGATAATCACATAAACACATCAATCTGACCTAAACTTTCTGCATTTAATTAAATGATAGGAGCAACAGAATCTATATATTATAGGAGTACAAAATATGATAGGATAAACCACAATAGTGACCATCATTTAGAAAGAAAACATGACGTCAGGTAGTGTGATGCCTCCAGCTTTGTTCTTTTGGCTTAGGATTGACTTGGCGATGCGGGCTCTTTTTTGGTTCCATATGAACTTTAAAGTAGTTTTTTCCAATTCTGTGAAGACAGTCATTGGTAGCTTGATGGGGATGGCATTGAATCTGTAAATTACCTTGGGCAGTATGGCCATTTTCACGATATTGATTCTTCCTACCCATGAGCATGGAATGTTCTTCCATTTGTTTGTGTCCTCTTTTATTTCCTTGAGCAGTGGTTTGTAGTTCTCCTTGAAGAGGTCCTTCACATCCCTTGTAAGTTGGATTCCTAGGTATTTTATTCTCTTTGAAGCAATTGTGAATGGGAGTTCACTCATGATTTGGCTCTCTGTTTGTCTGTTGTTGGTGTATAAGAATGCTTGTGATTTTTGTACATTGATTTTGTATCCTGAGACTTTGCTGAAGTTGCTTATCAGCTTAAGGAGATTTTGGGCTGAGACGATGGGGTTTTCTAGATAAACAATCATGTCGTCTGCAAACAGGGACAATTTGACTTCCTCTTTTCCTAAGCCAAAAGAACAAAGCTGGAGGCATCACACTACCTGACTTCAAACTATACTACAAGGCTACAGTAACCAAAACAGCATGGTACTGGTACCAAAACAGAGATATAGATCAATGGAACAGAACAGAGCCCCCAGAAATAATGCCGCATATCTACAACTATCTGATCTTTGACAAACCTGAGAAAAACAAGCAATGGGGAAAGGATTCCCTATTTAACAAATGGTGCTGGGAAAACTGGCTAGCCATATGTAGAAAGCTGAAACTGGATCCCTTCCTTACACCTTATACAAAAATCAATTCAAGATGGATTAAAGATTTAAACGTTAGACCTAAAACCATAAAAACCCTAGAAGAAAACCTAGGCATTACCATTCAGGACATAGGCGTGGGCAAGGACTTCATGTCCAAAACACCAAAAGCAATGGCAACAAAAGCCAAAATTAACAAATGGGATCTAATTAAACTAAAGAGCTTCTGCACAGCAAAAGAAACTACCATCAGAGTGAACAGGCAACCTACAACATGGGAGAAAATTTTCGCAACCTACTCATCTGACAAAGGGCTAATATCCAGAATCTACAATGAACTCAAACAAATTTACAAGAAAAAAACAAACAACCCCATCAAAAAGTGGGCGAAGGACATGAACAGACACTTCTCAAAAGAAGACATTTATGCGGCCAAAAAACACATGAAGAAATGCTCATCATCACTGGCCATCAGAGAAATGCAAATCAAAACCACTATGAGATATCATCTCACACCAGTTAGAATGGCAATCATTAAAAAGTCAGGAAACAACAGGTGCTGGAGAGGATGTGGAGAAATAGGAACACTTTTACACTGTTGGTGGGACTGTAAACTAGTTCAACCATTGTGGAAGTCAGTGTGGCGATTCCTCAGGGATCTAGAACTAGAAATACCATTTGATCCAGCCATCCCATTACTAGGTATATACCCAAAGGACTATAAATCATGCTGCTATAAAGACACATGCACACGTATGTTTATTGCGGCACTATTCACAATAGCAAAGACTTGGAACCAACCCAAATGTCCAACAATGATAGACTGGATTAAGAAAATGTGGCACATATACACCATGGAATACTATGCAGCCATATAAAATGATGAGTTCATGTCCTTTGTAGGGACATGGATGAAATTGGAAACCATCATTCTCAGTAAACTATCGCAAGAACAAAAAACCAAACACCGCATATTCTCACTCATAGGTGGGAATTGAACAATGAGATCACATGGACACAGGAAGGGGAATATCACACTCTGGGGACTGTGGTGGGGTCGGGGGAGGGGGGAGGGATAGCATTGGGAGATATACCTAATGCTAGATGACACGTTAGTGGGTGCAGCACACCAGCATGGCACATGTATACATATGTAACTAACCTGCACAATGTGCACATGTACCCTAAAACTTAGAGTATAATAAAAAAAAAAACATTAAAAAAAAAAAGAAAGAAAACATGACATCTAGAGAATGAGCACACTTAAAAGCTTGAAAAAAGTGATAATAATTTCTAGAAAATTTTGAAATTATGTGCATTCATTATTTTGAAATGTTTAGTTCCAGATAATTGAGGCGTAAGTGTATTTCGAGATAATTGTAGATTCACGCACTTGTAAGAATAAATACCAAAGACATCTTTTACCCTTACCTAGTTTTCCCTAATAGTAACATCTTGCAAAATTTTCATGCCATATCAGAGTCAGGGTATTGACCCTAATGCAATCAAGATAGAGAACAATTCCATTAAAATCACTCTTCCTTCCCATTCCTCATTAATCTGTCACCCCCTAATCAGTTCTTATATGATTTTGTCATTTCAAGAATGTTATACATATATATGGAATTACATATTATATAACCTTTTGGGATTGGTTTTTCTACCTAGTATAGTTCCCTGGAGATCAAAGCCAAGTTTTCTGTATCAACAGTTGGCTCATTTTTATTGGTGAATAATATTCCCTGGCATAGATGAACCATAGTTTGTTAAGCCATTTATCAAATAAAGGACATCTGGGTGGTTTCCAGTTTTTGACTATTATGAATAAAGATGCATGTGCGTGCAAGTGATCATTTCTGTACAGGTTTTTGTGGGAACACGGGTTTTATTTGTCATGGATTAATATCCTTGAGTGTAATTACTGGGTCATATGACAATTGCATATTAAGTTTCATAAAATACTGCCAAGATGTTTTCTCTTAGAGATTTGTTTTAGGATTTTCTGTGTACAATTAAGATATTTGCCGAGAGAGATTGACTTTTCAGTTAAAATCAATATGGTTTATATTTTGCTCTTGTCTTATTACACTGCCCAACATTTCCAGTACAATGGTGTATGAGAAACTAGTGAGAAAGGTCATATTTGTCTTGTCCCTTATATTGATCCATGAAAAAAAAAATGATGCTTCATAGCTTTTTTGTAAATACCCATTAAAAATTAAGAATTTTTTGTTTCTCTCACCTCCCCCCATTTTCCAGTATTTTGAGATTTTAAAAATAAGATGGTCACTGTATTTCTCAAATGATTTCTCTGCATCTATTATTATTATTTTTTGAGATGGAGTCTTGCTCTATCGCCCAGGCTGGAGTACAGTGGCACAATCTCTGCTGCAGCCTCTGCCTCCAGTGTTCAGGCAATTCTCCCTCCTCAGCCTCCCAAGTAGCTGGGATTACAGGTATGTGCCACCATCCTCGGATAATTTTTATATTTTTAGTAGAGATGGGATTTCACCAAGTTAGCCAGTCTGGTCTCAAAGTCCTGACCTCATGTGATCCACCCACCTCAACCTTCCAAAGTGCTGGGATTACAGGCATGTGCCACCGCGCCCAGCCTCTCTCTGCACCTATTTTAAGAATCAAATTATTTTACACTTAATCTGTTGATGTGATTAATTACATTAATTATCATACATAAACCAATCATGCATGCCTGGATAATGCTAACTTGATAATGGAATATTATTCTTTTAAATATTGTTGGATTACATTTGCTAATATCATTTTATAGATTTCTGTCTACATGAGAGATAATGTTCTGTAGTTTTTTCGTGTGTGTGTGTGTGTGTGTGTGTGTGTGTGTGTGTGTGTCTGTGTTTCCTGTGGCAGGCTCATAATTTGGGTAGGGGAGTTGTTCAATTCTCCTTGTCTAGCCTTCATCTTAGGCAGCACTTGCATCCCCAAACTTGTGTGTGGAACTTTCTCAGCTGTTTGGAGCCTCCTTGTAGGGAAGTCACTCTTTTCCTCCTACTCAACTCAGTGCAAAGCCTATGGCTAGGCGTTTCCTGCCTCTCCCCCACCAAGGCAGAGGTGTTCTGCCTTAAGTCAGTGCAGAATCTTTGATGTGAACAGGTTTCCTGTCCCTCCTTCAGCAGTGCTCTGTACCTTGTATCAGAGCAGTGCTTGATATTATATCCCTGTGGCAGTCAGCCATGACCATGAACTTATTCTACAGTGGACAGAGAGTTTTCTCTAGGTTCAGCTCCTCTGCCCTGGGAATCCCTGCATGCCTGCATTATGGAGGGGTTTTCCTCTCAGGCTTCTTCCCCTACCACAAAACTTCCTTGTGAATGCTTGTCAGAGGACTATGGTAATGAGTTGTGTAATACTTCCAGACTTCCCTTGTTTTAGAGGCTTCCTGGGATTCTAAACATGATGCTAGCCTACATCTTTAAGAATTGGTTAACATTTCCACTGTTTTTTAACCTGCTTTTACCATGAACATCTCTTCTTCCTGCAGAACTGCCTTAAGTAAGACAGTTCATTTGTCCTGTCTCTCCACCCTATTTCATAGACTCATTACTCTCACTCTGAAGAATTTCATTTCACTAGAGGGCCTTGCAATCTCAGTCATCTGGTAGACTTTTTAAAAAACGCCTAGACAACCGAGCTTATTTTTGTTAGAGAGGATGTAATGTTCCCTTGTTGCTTTTGTAACAGTGAAAAAGGAGGCCTAGCATGACTAACTCCATTTTGCTCCTAATGGTCCCTGTCCATGGTGATATCTTTTAGGTTAATTGCTTTTGCTTATCTCTGCAGGTACGCCAGGCTAACAATGGGAGGAAGTTAGTTTATAATTTAACTTTAAAGCAAGAATCATAATAGTCACTTCCCAAAACTAATCCCAGAGGAAATAACAGAGGTAAACATACAAGTAGCAATGTTGTGGTAAGGATTTGCAGAGGCGTTGTGACCTGACCAAGGACAGAGAGGTTTCACAGCCTCCTCAGACCCCCACTGGCACCCAGATGACTGTGGTCATCAATCACTCTTTGGTCTCAATCCCTTTCTCTTCCCCCTACCCTGAACATAAAAAAGAGCTTGAAATTTGTACTGACTAAAGATGGTTCTTTAGGACATTAGTCTGCCATCTTTTCGGTTTGCTGGCTTTCAGAAATAAAGTCATTTTCTTTGCTCCAAATCATTCTCTCTTGACTTATTGGCTGTCGTGCGGTGAGCAGACTGAATTGGGACTTGGTTACACTTCCTACATGCTAATAGGAAGTGGAAGGCCAAGTATGCATGCTATGATTTTTATTACGAGTATTTTCAGACACAACGAACAGCATTTCCATAGGAAAGAATATGATTAACCATTTATGTGGGATAGTAAAACATACTCTTGTTTAAAAATTATATATATAGATAGATATTCATTTTTGTATTTTCAGCTTACTGAACAAGCTGGGACTTTCCATGGTCACTAATTGTCAAGTAACAGCTTCAGTGTAAATTCTACAATATTATACTAAATGCAGTAGAGAATAGGCTTCATTGAGGAAGACATAAGAACAGGTTTAGTAGAATTCACTGGCCCTTCATCCTGTCATTGTCCCCGGAGATAATCGTGTGACTAAGACATTCCACTGGCTAGGCCATATGTGCTCACATTTCTGTTGAGCTACTGTTCCCTCCAGTTGTCCTTATTTTATTAAAAAATGATGGGAAAGCAGCAATTTAGTGAAAGAATACCATGCAGTTTAGTTCCAAGCAAATCTAGGTTTGCCATCTTGTAGGAATTCACTAACCACAAATTCCTATTAATTAGCTTTGAAAACATTTCCTCTCCTAATACTACCTATTCTCCCCTCTGAACAATAATAGGCAGTCAATAATAAGCCTTCTGTCTTATATAAAGTTAACTACTAACGAGCACATGCATATGTAATTGTAAGTGTAGCCTGTAAACAAATGTTACTTAAAATATAGCAAAAACACACACTCACAAGCACACATACCTGAAAGGTCAGAGACTCATTTAGGATATTAAAAAAACATGAAAGCTTTGGTAACAACCTTAAATAAGATAATTATCTACACCACATAGCTGTAAATGAGATCTTCATGTAAAGAAACTCTGAATTGTATCAAGATAACCCTAGTGGTTCTTTAGCTGCTTAAATGAACTGTTTGGGCAAATTTCTTGCTTTTTATTCTATACCCCTGCTTTATTTCTCCATTACCATGATTTTATAGTGAACATGCCTGCTTGTAAAGTAATTTTAGCAAATGTTTAAAAGTATCTTCCGGGCTGAGTGTATTAAGTTTTATATAAGCTGTGTTTTCAATGTTCTGCTTTATTGCAACTATGTTCACGGACCCTATAGGGTTTATGTAAGCTGCGGGCTACTGCCATCGTCTTTAGAATATCTAGCCAACTGCTTTTATGTCTTTAAGATGCTCTAACAGTTAAAATAACATTGGCAATAAGCACATCAGGAAATAAAGATACATTTCAGGAATGGACTTCCCTAAAATTCTGCCAATCTGATGGTTGAATAGGCCCATAAGAGCTTTTGTAGCTTTTGCAGATAATCAAGAATGGAATTTCTTTTCAGATTTTTATTCTCAGAAGGAGGTTATTTTTAGTTAGGAAAGAGAATATGCTCTGATAAAACCATGTGTGTGATGGTTTCAGTGTATCAGTCTTTATGGATGTATTTGGACTTTTTAAATTCATTCTGGAAATAGTGGGAAATGCCTGGTTAATTTGAACCGCTTCTAATTTGGCTGACAGTTTGGATTGATTCCTGCTAGAATTCACATAAAGTCAAAGTAATATGCATATTTTCCATATATTTTCTTCCTTCACCCCCAAACTTTCAAAATCAATAGTATAGGTGCAATTATCAAAATTGTAAGCAATAAAAATATTCTGATTTATAAAAAATTTTTGGAATCTTAAAAGGGTGAACACAATGGAATTATGGAAATATCCTAGGTACCTAATTAAAATTTAAAAGACTGAGTAGGACATTGTAACTTTTTATTATTTTTAATCCTCTACATTTTATGTGCATTTATTTTGCATTTCATGTGTATTTCTGTATATTTAACTCTATAATTGGAATAGAATTACATAGTAAGAACTATATAGTAGGAACTTTCATTACTTACCATTTAGATTTTATCTAGAGCAATCAAAAGTTGGAAGAGCATTTTTATAAATGAGAGATCGCCAGATACAGACAACAACTTACTCTAATGTCATTGGCCCTGAGTAGCAAAAACAATGAAATGAACAAATAATTAGCCTGAGAAAAGAAAAGTTCATAAATAACTGGGTATTATATTGTTCATAATTATGTAGCCATCTGTAATTAAAAATGTATTTTTGAATATTTATAAATTTTAATATGTAATATTCTAGGTTTAAAATCCTGCTACACTGTAAATATTATTTCTATAATTTGGGGGACTGGGAATGAGCACACATATATTACATAAAATTAATGATATAAGAAAATATAAATTTTTATGCATGGTTAATAAATTAATATTTCTAACATAAATGTTATATACACAGAATACAGTTCTTATTGAAGAATTTCAATATAATTGTTTAATGGTAAAAACTATATGTTGACTAGGCCAAAATACTTATATTAAAATTATTTTCTCATGAATTAAGATAAAGTTAAAAACAACAAAAATGCAAAATATTTTCTAAATGATGTATTTGTATTTAGCTCTGTATACCATGATTTCTCATAATATTTATGGAGGACACAAAATATAAGAGGTCATTAACTCTCAAATCAGATGCTAAAAAATAAATTTTATAACTTTCCAATCAGATGCACCAAAATATAGCATGGAAGATAATTCAAGGAAAGAAAATGATGAAACAAACACAAAAAGAGAGAGAACATTTAGTTTTTGACTTGGTCTTGTTAAGAGAAGAAGGTGTAAATATGGGAACATGGCACAATTTCCCTAACACTTTGGTAAGTATTACTGCATATTCAAGACAGCATTGCTTCAAATTCAATTGAAATTTTCTCTGGCTATCAGTTTTCTTCAGTCTTAGAAGTGAATAAAGAGAAAGTCAACTTATGACCTTAACCTGTGTGGTTAGTTCTTTAAAGAAATAGATATTGAATAGCTAGTATTTGCCACTCATTGTATTAGCCATTGGAAATACAGCTATGATTACTTAAAGCCTAGGACTTCAACACATTCAAAGTCTAGAACAGAGAATAATAATAATGACAATAACAACACTACAAGGTAACATTTTTGAATGCTAGGGAATATACATGCACATTACATAAATTATATCAGTTATCTATATAATAATCCTCCTGTGCAAAGATGCCATCAGTGTATCTGTTTTACAGGTGAGAACTCATTGTTGAAAGCTAGTAATCTATAGAGCTGAAATGGGTAACTAGGGGCCTTCTTCTCTTAAATTTGTCTCCCTAGAGAATCAGAATAATACACAGAATACCCTAGTTTTCTGAGCTATAATATTTATGTATATTTTACCTGGAAATCTCTTTATGAAATCTCAAAGACCATTCAGTTTCCCCATTTGAAAATGTAAAGTCAGCTTATCTAAATCTCAAGATTTCTTTTTAATCACTGCAATCAAAATAAGGGAGAGTGAACACCACATAAAAACTGGAAACCTTGGCGCAGAAAAAAGACTGAAATTCACCATGTGCAAAGAAAAGTTGAAGACATGTGCAAAAAAGTAGGAGAGACACACAAAAGATGAAGGTTTATGGAGAACTTAGTTTAAATTAAGGGAACTAGTAGAGTGACAACAATCTTCTTGAGTGACATTGTCCCGCAGCTTGAACCAGTTATGGGTGGTCTGATTTCACCATGGCCAATATTTTGTTAGAGCATGGTTTTCACCTTCATAATAATCAAAGTATTTATAAGGCTGGGGGTATTGGAAACATCTATGCAGCTTCATACCAATAAGACTACTGGTCTTGTTAGATACGGGAAGCCTCCAGAGACCAGAAGCAAGCTTCATCTAAAAAAAAAAAAAGTAATTATGCTGCCTTGAACCTACTGAGCCAGCTACCAAACTCATTTACAGACAGAGAAAATGACCCTCCAGGAATGTATATTTGTCTATCTTCAGCCCCATGAGCTGCCTGTAATTTCTCAAGCCAGACAGTCTGTTGAAGTGCAGAGATATACAGAAAGATTAGCTCTACTCTTTTAATCTCTTTGGTATTTATCCTCAATATCATTTGTTGTCATGATAATTCATCCAGTTGCTCAAACAAACTTCTAAATCATGCCAATTTTTTTTTTCATATTCCCCTTACAGAGCTGGTCAGATACTTTCTAAATGCATCAAAGTCTATGATCCTCTGTTACAATTATTTTCGCTTTAGTTCATATAAATTTACTCCTATATTTGCAATAATACCCTAAATGATCTCCCCCTGCCCTATCTTACTTTTTGTTTACAAATTTTTTAAACCAGCACCGCTGTTATAGTTCTGAGATAAAAACATAAGCACTTGATTTGCTTAACTAAATATTGTCATCCCACCACCCATAATGAAAAGGTTTAAATAAAGCCTTGCAAACATTCTGAGGTGAACATATTCTGGCATGATGTGCCTTAATGGGAATAAACAGATAAGGAAGGTAGTTAAGGGGACTGTCAAGGAGGTAATGGGGGCCAGCCCCTTGGTATGGTACGGCCTTGAGATTTACTATGGGTGTTTGAAGCAGAAAAGTGGAATAACGAAATTTGTTTCACAGAGATCATTCTGGCTGCTCTTTTTGCAAATAGAAAATAGTGGACCTGGTGTACAAGTAGAAAAAAAATGAAGAGGTGATTGCAGATAAGGGATCCAGATAAGGGAAGTTGGTAGATTGGCCAAAATGATAATACTGGAGCTTAGGAAAGAGATGATTCTCTTCTGATTCTAAATGAATATTAAAAAAATTAAAAGGACGAATTTACATCTTTCTTAAGGTCATGAAAAATGTGGGATCCCATATGTCTGTGGTATACATGAATAACAGAATTGAGCAGACTATTTGTCATTATCAATACTGCTGAGAATGGAGTTATGCGGTCAAGTTTGCATTATTAATTTAATGTCTACAGAATCATTACATAAATAATACATCATCTAAAATTTCTATAGACAATTTTAATTCCCCATGGTTCTCTTTCTCAGGAACAATGAGTGCGTTGATTAACACAGGAATGAAAGAGGAATTGATATCACTCCCAGAATTTCTTACATAATAAGTTTTAATTCAGATATTGTGGAATAGGTCAGAATATACCATTTGTAATGCCACTTTTCCACTTTAATAGGGTGTATATGAGTGTGTGCCTATGTGTGTAAAAATGCAAAATCAGTCCTACCATGGATTTGTGATGTTTTGAATAAAAGAGTCCTCACAAACATCAGTGTTTTGAATTGTTCCTTTGCTTGGCACACTTCAGACTTTTTACTCAAGAGTAAAGAAACAGTGAAGTTTCTATTTCACAGTGGGTAAAAGATATGGATTTCTTTTCTAAATAAAGAGTGATAATTATGAAAGGAAGGATTAGAAGAAAGACTAGCAGCATGCATTGAGGCAGGTGCATTCTTAGGCATAATGATACAGAAAAAAATAAAAATGAAACTTAAGTTTCTGGAGTATGCTTTTTTCCACTAATATTCTAAATGCCCACCTAATCCATGAAATTTTTTAGGGACAAAAAGGAATACATGTATCTCTGGGTGCTGCTGGTCTGGAAAGTCTGAAGATCACCTTTTTGCTCGGCAACAAATGCTCTTTCACGGAGGGAACAGAGAGAAGTGTATTTAAAAATTCAAGGAGTGAATTGTTAAGAGATTACAGTTTAATCACCTGGAAGAAAACCTAGATGCATTTCTGGATAGGCAGATCGAGAAGTGGAAAATATATCTTCAGTTCTTCTATCATAAACTATAAACTATCAATTTCAGGAACCAATATATAGGGAAAGCAAAAATCAAACTTTGAAAAAAGCATCACATGATTGAAAAATATTTCTACAATTCAACTTAGGAAAACTTTGGTCATTTCCTGAACCAGTGCAGTTATTACAGAGACACAGACTTAGAAAAAAATATGTACATATAGGTATAAATAATGAAACATTATTTTAGGAAAAACTAGCTTTTCACTGAAATAGAGTTACCTTTCTATTGACCCTAGCTTGGAAAAAATATGCAACTCACTATAATAAAATAAGTGTTAGTTTATTTGTATTGATATGTATTTCTTTATGGACTTTCACTTGAAAGCTATTCAACAGTCTATGTGTGCAGAAATCAAATGCACCATTAATACTCTCTATAATGTATTTGGTAGCAATTTGTTGTTCTTTTTACTAAAGCTTATTCATAGAAGATGCTTTTAAAATGGATTTTAAAAGTTTAGTTGTACAGAACAAATGTGGTATTATTTTTGCCTCATTAATTAACTAATATTACTATTCACTAGTATTAAATGTTTCAAGTATATATCAAAACTCATGTTTTACTTATAAACTAAAACAAATTGATTAGTTATAATCTTAGTCTGTTAATTTTTAATCTGTTAGTTTTATAGTAATTATCCATAACGTCCTCTTTCTAATTTACTTAACCTATATCTATTTCATCATTGTCACTTTGATTACCTGGGTAACTCATATTTTGAGAGAATGAGGTAGATAATTTTGATTCTCCAAGCATTATTATTGTTTTTTGAATTGCCAATCCCAAATGACAAGTTTGGAAAAAGATGCACATTTTTCATTGAATATTTTTATAGTAATAAATCACATGACAGTACTAGCGTTTCAAGTCTGACTCTTCATTGCAGAGTTAGGAGAAATATCAATTCATTTGCATTCTCCAGGATGTCAGAGGATCACATATTACCTTTACTTAATAATTATGGCTGATGTCAGTTTTGTGAGTTGAGACAGAGTAGAACTAGAGGGACAAGGACTCCAGGAGTCTGAACAGGAGGTTGAGTAGTAGAGCACAGGAGTCAAAACAGAAGGCTGGATTAATATAAGGGGAAGGCTAAGTGGAAAAACCAATTGACTTGGATAAAGTGTCCAAATCTCCAGATTTGGTTAAAGGACAAACCTATGCACTTCGTAGTGGAGTTTACTTATAGAGGGCCAAATTGATTTGGTTCCAAGATAATATGACAATGAAAACCCAATGGCTTGATTCTAAGCATGTAAAGAGGACCATATTCCCACAGGGACACCCATGAACCTGAAGTGGAACATAAAATCTGATCAAGAAACACGCAGCCAGTATGACTTCTCTGTCAGGTACCAAACACAAAAGAGGTTTGTTGTACATATGCTAACAAATATGCACAGAGTCTGCTGACAAAGACAGAGAGGAAAGATGTATACATAATTAGAAGACACATTATTTAAGTTTTGATAATTAGGTATTAGAGCCTGGCGTGGAAGACCGAAGAAGAGGAATTCCATCTTATTTAGAATAAAGTCAATGGCTTTCAAAGACCTACAGACTTTACATCCCCAGCCTCAACTTCTACAATTTTCTCCCTCTGTACCAAGAGCACTGGCGTCCCAGACGCTCGTCAATTAGCCAAAAATCATCTCACACTGGACCTCTGAACTTCCTGTACCTTTCCCAGGATGCTCTTTCACATGACATGCACAGCTTACACTTACTTCCTTGAAGACTCAGCTTTACTGTCACCATTACAGTCAAACCATAATGGTATCTTTTGCTTAAATTAAAACCCAAAGTCAAAGAAAGCTACTAATTCACATTGGATTTTGTGTAAATGAGAAATATATATATTATATATTTATTTATATATATATAATACAAAACAATATATTTTATATATATATATATATTGTTTGTTTGTTTGTTTGAGACGGCGTCTTGCTCTGTCGCCCAGGCTGGAGTGCAGTGGCGCGATCTCGGCTCACTGCAAGCTCTGCCTCCGGGTTCACGCCATTCTCCTGCCTCAGCCTCCCTGGTAGCTGGGACTACAGGCGCCCGCCACCACGCCCGGCTAATTTTTTTTTATTTTTAGTAGAGACGGGTTTTCACTGTGTTAGCCAGGATGGTCTCCATCTCCTGACCTCGTGGATCTGACCGCCTCGGCCTCCCAAAGTGCTGGGATTACAGGCGTGAGCCACCGCGCCTGGCCGAGAAATACATTTTTATGTGGTTAAACTACTCAAATTTCAGAGTTGCAGCAATAGCCCTACATGTCCTAATATGGTCTCTCTCCTCCTTTTTTTTCTGTCATGCTATATAGCACAAAATGGCTAAGCCCAACAATTAAAAGAACTGGTTTTAAGCCCAATCTCTATATTATAATGAATGTAAATCTTGTCAAAATATTTAATTCTTTGAGAAACACTTTCCTTGTTTGGGAAATGAAAGATGATATGTTTCAAAGAATGTGTTTTCACAGGCATACGAAGTGAGGTTTGATTTGTGGATCATATTTTTACTATTTGCCTCTCTTTGGGTAAGTAGTAAGATATCTTTATAGCTCAGCTTTCACTTTTGTATAATCAGACTAATAACCCTTATGTCAAAAGCTTTTAGTAAAAATAAAGTCAGATAACATTTTCAGAACTCTTAACATAGTGTCTGTCACATATAGTCATAAAATTATACGTTTTCAGTTCTTATTGTGGAATGATAAAGTAGTTGCAGTACTAAAATGACAATAATTATATATGCCGCACTTAGCTAATTATACAATATATTTAATATATTGTAAAGCAGCCTTAAATATATTTAAAGTAATGTGCATTTTTTAGATGTCCTTTGGAGTTTGGCTTGAAGATTGTGATAAACCGATGGTCAATTTTTCTGGTCACGTATGTGAATATATTCTGAATGGTATATGTTTCCCCTCATAAGTACTCATTATGTGATATAGATAAATTATTTTGAAACTATCTATGAAAACCTAGAATTATTATGGAGTATATCTGGGTAATTTTGTGACATATGTGTTTGTCCGGAAAAAGGACAGGATTCTACCTCTATTTCTTTATTTAACCAGAGCAATTCTACTTCTATCTTAAGTAGTTAGAGTTAGTGTAAATTTTAATTTTAGAAAATCTGCAAAATTGAAAACAAATTTGATGTTCCAGCTTGGAATAATGTGAGAGAAATTTGTATAAGACAAATCTCCCACAGATAACAACTATAATACTTGTATACAGTATTTTTTAAATGCTGTAATTATATATGGATCTGAAATAAGAAGAATCTGGAAAAGGGTGGCTCCTGTAAGATAGGAATTGCTCCAGGTGAGATTGGCATGCTTTCAGGGTTTTGTTGGAGCGTACTCTCTAATCTCTGTGGTGCAGAGGCATGAGGTCAGACACAGACTTTGGGGCTGGTATATTAGCTGGGAAATTAAAGGAAAAAAATTCCTGGAAAGAGAGTTTCACAAAGAATGAGACCAACGTTGACACATATACAGTAAATTCATGACTAGTCACTGATCTGTTTAAGCATAAAGGAGACATGTAGGTGTTTGTCAAATAAAGTAGCTAGAGTCTGGAAGGATGCAGATTTCCAGTTACTACCCATCATAAAGGAGAGAGAATTTGAAGTTTGGGTCTAGGCAATTGAAATTTACTTCTTGGACAAATATCATTTGCAGATAAATATTATTGGAACCAGAATCTCTACAATATATTTGGATTGCCTAACATGCGATACAAAGAAATTACTAGATATGTGAAGAATCAAAAAAGTATGACTCATGCTCTTATAATTCATGCTCTTATATTCCCTGAATGGGCAAACCAGAAAGTTATAGATAGAACAAAAGGAGTCAGTTAAGTTGAAGATAATTTTATAGCATTTATACAATATATAAAATAATATATAAAAATAATATAAAAAAATAAAAATAATAGAAACTCAATGGTTTGTAGGACAATGTCAAGATAAATAAATAGAATTTAAGTAACAAATAGGAGAGAGAAAAATTTTTAAAGTCAGTATTTTTTGGGAGAATATTAAATGTTATATGTGTATTTACATTCCCATGGGTGAGAAGAAAGAGAATTGGGAAAAGTTATGTTGAAGAAATAATGACTAACCATTTTTTTAAATGTGATGAAAAACCTAAACTTAAATATTCAAGAACAGTGAACTACAAGCAGGAGAAATACAGCCACACCAAGGTACATAAGACAGAAAATGGTGACATCCCAAAATGAATAGAAAACATTGAAAGAAGTCATGGGAAATTTTCGTATTAAATACAAGAAAATGATAGAAATAAAAGCTGACATCATCAGAAACAAGAGAGGCCATTCTCTACTAAAAAAAATACCAAGATTTTTTGACAAACTGTCGATCCCTAGATTGGAGCATGTAAAACACGAGATGATATTTTTACATCTTGTTTGGATCAAAAATATGGAAAAAGCTCAAACAATTATGGGGAATCCTCAAAATGATCCAAAAGGCAGCTGGAAGATCTTTCACTAACCATACTAAGAAAAATTTAATGTACCATTGAATAAAATATGAATGCCTGAATTGATATAACATACATACATACTTGCATGCATTTATACGAAAGGAATTAAAATATCTTCCTTATAGTTGAATTTTAAGTAAAAAATAAAGTTATACATATAATACAAAAAGTTGTAAGTATAGTAACAAATGAATTAGAAAATTGTCAGTGGTTGCTAGTACAGGAATCAAATTTGGACTATGAACAAGACATAGTTGCTAAGGATATTCCACAAATTATTTCATGATTATAAAGAGAAAAATAGTAATGTTATAGTGTGATAAACATGGTAGATACCACTTTAATCAGGCCACCAAACTTAACCTGACCTAATGTCATCAATAGTGGAACAAAGCAATATCATGTCCTTTCTAATATGTGGAAAAAGCCACATCACCTCAGTGATACTCCTGCCATAACACACACACACCGTAACATGAATCAAACACGAAAAATAGAAAATAAATCCAAATTGACAGACATTCTACAAAATAACTGGCCTGTACCCTTCAAAACATCAAGATTAAGAAACGAAAGAAAGGTTGAAAATAGCTCCAGAATAAGAGATAAACAAAGAAGTGCTATCGTGATCCTAATAGGAGTCTGTATAGAAGAAAATTGTTATTGAGGGTATTGGAAAAATTGATAAAATTTAGATATGGCCTGTAGATCAAGACTGGGATATTGTGAAGTGAGGGTGTCATTTGTCTTGGGCACAAAACTTATGGTGGCACAAAAACTTAGCAATCACAATAAATAATATTTGAATGTAATATTTTAAACAATGCAAAAATTCATGATAAACTGAACAAACTGCATGTATCCCTCCAAAATGAAAAGGTGAACTTGTAATCCCCAGTGTGATGGTATTATTAGAAGGTGAGTCTTTGGGAAATAATAAGGTTATAAAATGAAGTCCTCACAAACAGGATTGTGCCCTTACAAATGGGATCCAGAGAGTTCTCTCTTTCCCTTTCTGCTTTGTGAGGAAACAGCATGAAATTCGTCTCTATGAACCAGGACGTGGGACTCCACCAGACACTGAATCTGCCAGCACCTTGATCTTAGACTTCACAGCCTCTAGGACTGTCAGAAGTATATGTTTAAGCCACCCAGTCAATAGTATTTTTGTTGTAGCAGCTCGAAAGGACTAAGATAAATAAGATATAAAAATTTTAAATACTTACAGGATCAACATTACTGATTTTTATTGTTTCTTAGGCTTTAATATGGCTAGGGAAACACTAATTATTATTAATGTTGAATTGTCTGATTTTTGTCATCTGTTGCATGGTTGAGAGAATACCCTTCTTCTTAGGAAATATATACTGAAGAAAATTAAGGTTAAAGGATCACTGTATCTCTTATTGTGGTTGGATTAGAAAAGACCCCTAAAGATGTAAAATTCTTAATCCACAACACATGTCAATATTACATTATATGGCAAAAGATGCAATTAAGTTAAGGATCTAGAGAGAAAGAGAATATCTTTGATTACCAAGGTGGGTCCTAAATGCAATTGCTTGTATCCCCATACAAGTGATCAAAATGAATTTTGGGGAGAAAAAAAGAGGAAATCGTGATTAAGGAAGTAGAGATTAGAGTGATGTGGCCACAAGCCAAAGAAAGCTGGCAGCTTTCAGAAGCTGGAAGAGGCATGGAATGGATTTTATTCCTATAGCTTCTATGGGAAACATGACATTTCCAAAAACTTGACTTTGGAATTCTGGTCTCCAGGTCTGTGAGAGAACAAATTTCTATTTTTTCAAACCACAAAGTTATCTATTAAACCACTAAGTGATGATTTGTCATTGAAGTCACAGGAAGTGAACACACTCTTAAATGGTATGGTGAGGACATGGGAAAAACGACTGATGATAGATGGATAGGTAGATAGATGGTATAAAGGTAGAGAAGAAGAAGGAAAGAGTAGGGAGAAGGATAGAGAATATGACTAAAATGGGATGAAATACAAGTAATTGTTGAATATGGGTAGAAAGAATATAAAAATTTCTTGACGCCTTTGTAACGTATCTGTATGCTTGACAAATCAAAATCTAAATTTACAAAGATTAAATGGAAAATCTGATATCTATATATATACATTTTCTATAAGTAATCATGAAATATGTTTGTTTCATATTTCATAAAATATATGTTTAAGGACATATATTTAAATATGTCTTTAAAACATATTTTTCTTCAGTTAGGTGTAATATTTTAATGATATTTATGAGCATATTTTTATAGTACACAAAGCAGGGATTAGTTTACTAGGTGATAATGCTTCTCCTAGGAAGACAAGGGTAACCTACCTCCAATATTTCTCCCAGTTCTACTCTAAACTCTACACAGTAATAAGAGGGGAAAACCTTTTTTTCAATCTAGCTTGATTCCATGCACAATTTAGAAGTTCATGATTTATTTCTTGAAAATAACCAGTGAATGAATAAACATTACATATACATTACCAAAGAAAGATAATGTTTATTTCTTTTGAAAAGATTGGTAATATTTCGTGTTATTTTTCTATTAGGTAGAACTATTTCTATTTTCTACCTATATTTCTATTAGGTAGAACTATTTTTCTGCTATTTTTATTGTTCCTAATGTGTGTGCCTATAAATTTATTTTTCCAACCTTTCATAATATGCACATCAAGAAAGTGGAATGACTGACATCAGGATTTCATAAAGCATCACAATATTAAGATGCTTTGGGAATACTGGTAGAGCCAAAATTTCACACACACACAGGATAATCCACGGCTCAATCATTTAATGTAAAAGGAGTAATAGGACCAAGAATGAGGCATCAAGAAGAGGGTCTGCCATTTTCTGTATGTGACTCTTTATCAGAATAGCTTATTTATCAGAATAATATCTATTATATCCTGAGCAAATATTCTGTAGCAAGTTCTGCAGTAGATTGAGTTATTTCATTTAATCATTTTAATTACACTATAAGGTGCAGCACACCAACATGGCACATGTATACATATGTAACAAACCTGCACATTGTGCCCATGTACCCTAAAACTGAAAGTATAATAATAATAAAAAAATTATAATACAAAATTTTAAGATGACAAAATTAATACTCAAGAAGTTATATCACCCAGTGACAAAGAGGTCACGTGTGGCAACCAGATTTGACCTACGCTATCTGTACTAAGATGATGCCTCTACATTGTGTTATTTCTGACTTCAAAATGCATAAATTATGTTCTCTATTTCCTAAACTGTAAAAGAGGTTAGAGTAGGTATTTTCGCAGGTCACCTTTCATATTGAGTGACTATGAGGTTTACTAAAGGTCACATTTATAATAGAAAAGTGTAGTACCCAAAGTTTTGGATATAAGTTTGATGTTTTAAAAAATTATATTTAAAGTTAGTTTTTATATAGTGTAGTGGTTTGAATTGAGACCCTGTTCCCCCTAAAAAGATATGCCCAGTTCTAATGCTCATTATCTAAGGATGTGACCTTATTTGGAAATAATATCTTTGCTGATGTAATTAAGTTAAGGATCTCCAAAAAATATTATACTGAAGTGCTTTGTCCTGTAAAGTGGAAGGCACAAGAGATTTAAGACACACAAACAGGAAGGTGCTATGGTTTGCATGCATCCCCTTAAAAATTCAGGTGTTGCCAATGTGATAGTATGAGGAAGTGGATCCTTACACACAGATAGGAAGTAAGGGACAGTAGAAAACCAGGATTCATAACAAGCTGGTCCCCCAAGGTTCAGGACAGTTGTGCAGGGTAGTTGGAGTATTTTCGGAGTATGCCCCTCCTGCACCACAGCTGAGGGGCCACAGAAAGCAGCCTGTCCTGGATTTATACCCTGAGAGCAAATTTGAATCACTGGTTGAAGAATTGTAGAATATCTTGTTCTGTCAGAGACAGGAACATAGCTATTCTGACTAGCTACTCTTTATTTTAAGATATTACATTCCCAGCAAATTCCACAGTTATTCTGAAGACTACAAGGAAGAAAGGAAGGATAACTGAACTGGCTCAAAGACATCCAGAAAACTGTCCTGCACCAGTTCACATCCTGTGCATTCTTTACTTCTCATGCTTGACTGCATCTGTCTTTTGCCCTTGTGACCAAACATTTAGACAACAAAATCCACATAGCTGGCTCCACCTACACCCCCTTCCATCATTCCTTTGGCCTCTGAATGTGCACACCAATGAGGCTCTCAGAAAGACAAGGCAGAGGGCCAGGGAGAAGGCTTGGCCAATTGGGTGGGGAATGCCAAGGTCCCAGATCATATTTTGGGAAAGAGGTTCAGGCTCTATGTGAGGGTATCCCCTCAGTGCTACAGTTGCTGGGCAGATGGTTCATGGTTAGGATCACTAAAGCCCTGATCTAAGAATTGAGCCTCTCTTGCTTAGATCACAGGATGGTACTGTCTAAGTATCCTGCTTCGTGTCTAGTGCACTTTGAGGTCCCTTCTAACCTCATTGCTCAAAATTATTCACCTGTTTTAAATTTGCATTCTTTTTCCATTTGAAGCTATGGAATATAAATCTTATTTTATTGTGTGTACTCACTGCTTCTTAGTTTTTTTGGAAGTAGGTACTTCATTTTTTATTGAATGCTTGTCTTCTTTTAATATTCATTTTTCTTTTAATTAAGATGATATTACATTGATCCATAAATATGTAAAGTGTTTTCAACATTAAAGGTAACAAATGATAAATTTGATGCCATGAAAATTTGAAACATTGCACAGTAATACATAAAAATGTTAAAAGATAAGAGCAACTGTAGAAATAGGTGCAACAAATAAACATGAGTTTATATATCTTAGATATAGAGGACTCATAAATGAATAATAAAACATTAAAGTTAAAAAACATATAAAACCAAAATAGAGCACAGAGAAAATAAATGAATAGTAAAAATACAGAATAATATATACAAATCTCTGAAAATGTTGTGATAATCCATTCAGGCTTACTAGTCTTAATAAAAACAAATTGGAAGGGTGGATTAGGAGGAAAAAAGAAGAGAGGAAGAAAGAAAAGAGATAAAAGAGGGAACAGAGGGAAGGAGAAAGGGAAGAAGAGAAGGAAGGAGGAATGGAGAAAGTAAGAGTTAAAAGAGAAAGGAAGAAAGAAAAAAAAGCATATCTTCATATCTCTGACACCAAAACTTTGTTAAATATGGTAATTCACAATGATAGTGGAAATTGGCATTAATAGGTTGCTAGAAATGTTAATTACCATAACATTTCTGGAAATCAACTCAAAAATAGGACTTAAGCCATTCCACTCATTTCATGCCTAGAAATCTAACTCATGTAATTAAATATTATCAAAAGTATAATGGATGAACAAGAAAAAAAATGAAAACACCTTAAAGATTCCACATTAGGGAGGATGATGAATCAAATATGGCCTCTGCATAAAACCAGGCCATCTCCAAAGCAATGTAGATTTTTAGCAACTTCCTTTGTTAATGGAGTCATCCAAATTTATCCAACCTTGAAAAGTCGTTAATCTTTTATCAGACATTTTAGGGGATAATTAAACATCAAAAATTTAACTTAAAATTTTATGATACACAGAAAAGAGGAGTGAGATGCAATGTTTTCTGTACTCCCCTTGCCCAGGTGAAACCCAGAGCCCAGGGCAGCCATCCAGCATCCCCCACCCAAGGTAGTGACCTCAACTAAACTACAGTTTTTCAAAACTGCAATGGATGTGTGTGTTTCTGGTTGCTGTTCTCCCACGGAGGTCATTGCCCTCAGCAAGTCTGAAGCTCATCTTGCCTAGGACCTGCCCGGCCCCTTTTGAGTTGTCTTTCACCCCCGGTGTTCTGGCTGTCCACTCACTGTTCTCTCTGTTGAAGCTATTTTACTCCTGTCAATTCTCCTGGAAAGAATTGAAATACAACCCCTGGCAGGCTCTCTTGTGCAGGTACATTTGGCATCTTTGCCCTTACCTCAGTGTAATTGAAGTTTACTTTAGGGCAGCTCTTATTGTGAACATAAAAAAGCCAAGAGCTGGCCGGGCGCGGTGGCTCACGCCTGTAATCTCAGCACTTTGGGAGGCCGAGGCGGGAGGATCATGAGGTCAGGAGATGGAGACCATCCTGGCTAACACGGTGAAACCCCGTCTCTACTAAAAATACAAAAAAATTAGCCGGGCGTGGTGGCGGGTGCCTGTAGTTCCAGCTACTCGGGAGGCTGAGGCAGGAGAATGGTATGAACCGGGGAGGCGGAGCTTGCAGGGAGCCGAGATCGCGCCACTGCACTCCAGCCTGGGCGACAGAGCGTGAGACCCCATCAAAAAAAAAAAGAAAAAAAGAAGCCAAGAGCTATTCATCAACACCATGAGAGAATGACTGCAAAGGCATTTCAGAGATACTCAAGGCTGTCATGCCCAGTACAGACCCAGAGTGCCAGGGCTTTGAGAGCAGAAGGGTTCAAGGTGACTGTGGGCCCTCAGGACTTGCTGCCCAGGGCCATCTCCAGTCTTTCTTTGACCCCACATTCCCGTGTTGCACTTCTTGGCTGCCCTAGTTGTGACTCAAGACGGTCTAAGTATGGCAGAGGGTGCAGCTCTGGAGGGCACAAGCAGTAGGTCTTGGTGGCTGTGGCTCAGCTGGCTTTTCATGATTCAGGCCAGTCTTATTTCAACTTCCACATCTCTGTCTCTCGTCTTCCAGTCTTCCAACAGTCTAGTCCTGCCACAATCACATGGCAATCACAGAAGCATAAAAGAGCAAGCATAACCACTGAAATCTTCTTAAGGCCTCAAGCTTGAATAGACAGTCATTTCCACCTCATTGTGCTGACAAATCAAGTACCATGATCAAGCCCAGAGTCAGAAAAGAGAGTACAGCAAAAGAAACAAGGCCAAGGGGTTACATACAGCGAGGGGTGAAGAACTGGTGTATTCAATACAATTCATTATGGTTGGTAAGAAAAGAGATGTCGTTCTTGATTTTGTCTTTGTTCTTATCAGATAAATGAACTTTATTCATGCCTGTGTATCTCCAAAATATATCCCACACTATAAGCAGTAGGAAATTTTTATCAATGTTAATATTTCTGTGACTGCAGGTGTACGCAGATTCCTTTAAAAAACTTAAATTCTTCCTGTGTTCAATTCCCCTTCTTTTTACCTGTTCATTTCTAAGAATCATACCGAGTCATGATATAAATAATACATGTGGTTGTCAAAAATGATTTAGAAGGCTTAGTCAAGCACCTTGGTCACCAGGAGAAAAATAATTAAAAATGTTATTATGGATCCAATGTTTATTCCAACATTTTTTCTTTTTTTACTTCACATGGCAATTAAAGGTTACATCACAGTATTTTATAAGTTGCACAGCTGTGAAATTAGAACACCATGCCTTTCAGGAAGCAACTGACAAAATGACAGTAACAATCTTACATTAAACCTCAAGTGTCTATGGCAGAAACTGAGCACTAGAGTTAGAAAAGGAAATAGGAAAGAAGCCTATAAAGTGATAGTTCTTAAAACAAAAGGCGATAAACATTCTCCTTTCCAACAAAAGATAGAGTGAAATTATAAGGATAGTTATTTTTACCATTATTTTTACTGAAGTCTTACATTGTATAATATAAACAATCTAATTATTTTTGGAAGATTACAATAAAAACCAGCCCCTAGGCCATTGCAGTGAAATGAGCCATGACCTGAAGTTCGAAGAGCAACCAATTGAAACCTCTTGAGATTTGCCCCCGTTTTTCTCAATATACCTTTGTATTTGGAAATGGCCTGATTATAATTTGTTTTCTTCATTTTTAAATTTATATTTTCTCTACATCCTAAAGTAAAAAGGCACACTTGCATTTGTTAGATTCCTCATTCTCCCTTTCACATGCATGTCTTTCTACCTACTTTCCAATATAGCTCCAGTACTGCTTTAGTTAAAACAATCAATGTTCAAGTTTTCCACTGTTATGAGCACATGTTTATGAGCATGAAAAGTTTTTAGAGCTAGGTTATGGTAATTTTCCTTTCCTATACAACTTTTGTTATTTCCTGGAGTAAATACTTTTGTTACTTAATTTATTAGTGTTCTATATACTTTTCATGAATCCATCCCTCATTATTGGAAGATAGCTCTCTATTTGATAGACCACAAGAATGATATCAATTTAATTTCCTTTTGTCTTCCCCTTAGAAGCAAATTTGTTTAGAATTTTGAATGCATTGTTTTATGATCTTGAAATTTGGTCTCTCTGTTCGGAAGCTCCATGCTGTTTTACTTTCTAGTCCTTTGCAAGTAATCTTCCATTGCCTTTATATTCTCTCTAAAAATATGAAATCCCTCTTTGTCTACTTTATTCTGAAATTTCACAACGTATTGGCTTGTCTTCAAGATATTCTTCTGAATTATTAGTTTCATAGTATTTCTACTCTCATTTTCACAATATGAGTTGAAGATCTAAATTTTTATTATTAAAGTGTTGGACATCAATGAATCAAATCATTGAATTCTTAATTGTTTTATAATGTGTATCAAATTCCCTGTGTTTTATAGATTTCTTTAACTTGACCTAATCCTTACATTGAATTATTTTACTACATTCTTACTTTAATTTCCATAAGCTCTTTTTATTCTCTGAATGTTTCTTCTTATCTTGGTTTCATGGATAAAATTTTCTCCCTAAATTTCACAGAAGAATATTTTCTTATTTTTTTAAATTTGTTTTTCAGTGTTTTTCAAACTCTGACTTTTATTCAAATGGATAGTGAAGCCTGCATAACTAATCATATTTTTGTATCACTAGTATACTGCAAGCTTCATAGACACAAAATTTTTCAATTAGTCTCTGAGGAGGTGAATTAGGTTGGACATTTTCAACTATTAGTAGGCAACTACAACTATTAGTAGATTTAGTTTTATCTTTTTGGCTGAATGGCTTCACCTGAGAGAAATCTTTCCATTTCTTGTCTTAAGAGAATGTGTTTGCTTACAATAATTTTGAATTTCTATCTTCCGAAGTCTGTGTAGATATGCTTGGTTATACTGAGTGGGAACAGGGATTTCAATTGCATTGTTAACCTGTCATCCCGTTTCCACCTCCTTTTATAAGCCCATGTTTTAAAGTTTTACATGGACCTTTTACTTCCTGTACATGTCTGGAGTTCTTAGGAGATAAATATGATTGCATTCATGTTAAGCATCGATTTTCTTTATTCACCAGTTCAGGAAAAGCTCACCTGTTTTCCAAATTCTGAATATTGGTGCTAATATCTACTTTAGCGTCTCTCCATCCATAGGGCTCAAATCCCTTTCATTTTTTAATCTCTTTATTCTCTCTTTTGTTTAGTTGAATCAAAAGAACTATTAGAATACAATAAGCACTTAGTGTATTTTTAATTGAAAGCATAACTGATTGATAAATTAAATATATATTTTGTTAAATTTTTAATTCTTTAATCAATAGATGTATTCAAAAATATCTGAGGCATATTATGTTCTAGGTGCCCTTCTAGGTGATTGAATATTAAAGAACAAAATAAAGTTCTCAATTATATACAGCTTATATAAAGGGGGCAATGTAAAGTAGAAAATAAAAACCATTATAACATAATTACACGTTAATAGAAGATGTGCTACAAAATATAGAAAACAATCTAAGAGCATTTAGGATTGCCAGGAATGAAGCATTAATGGGACGTATTGGGAATAGACAATTTTCAGTATCAAATAGAACTGTCAGAGCTGGCCATATTAAAAACATGAATTTTGAAGGTTTACCTGGGTATAAAAGCATTCCAAGAGAAGAATAAGCCAATGGTTAAACCATAGGGTGGAAGTATACCTAGTATTTATTTATTTATTTTTTGAGATGGAGTCTCCCTCTGTCGCCCAGGCTGGAGTGTAGTGGTGGTCTCGGCTCACTGCTACCTCCACCTGCTGGGTTCAAGCGATTCTCCTGCCTCACCCTCCTGAGTAGCTGGGAATACAGACATGCCTCACCATGCCCAGCTAATTTTTTTATATTTTTGGTAGAGACGGGTTTCACCATCGTGGCCAGTCTCGTCTCGAACTCCTGACCTCGTGATCCACTTTCCTCAGCCTCCCAGAATGCTGGGATTACGGTGTGAGCCACTACACCCGGCAGGAAGTATACCTAGTATTTTTTTTTTTAGATAAAACAATGGATTCAGAGGGGCTGAAACATCTTATAAAAGAAAATAGTAAAATATAAAATCAGAAATGAGATCTTTTTTTTTGCGGGGGGGGGCAGAGTCTTGCTCTGTCGCGAGGCTCGAGTGCAGTGGCGCGATCTCGGCTCGCTGCAACCTCCACCTCCTGGATTCAAGCGATTCTCCTGCCTCAGCCTCCCGAGTAGCTGGGACTACAGTGGCATGCCACCACATCCAGCTAATTTTTGTATTTTTAGTAGAGACGGGGTTTCACCATGTTGGCCAGGATGGTCTCAATCTCTTGGTCTTGTGATCTGCCCACCTTGGCCTCCCAAAGTTCTGGAATTACAGGCGTGAGTCACTGCACCCAGCCTAGAAATGAGATTATTTTGACCAATAGGCTTACACGTTGAAAAAATGAGAAACCATTGCAGAATTTTGATCACAATCATTTCATACTCTCATTTGCAATTTCACTAAATATTGTTATTACAACTCTGGCAGTGAGAGATGTTGGTGGCTCAGATGAGGAAAGCAATCATTAAAGTGGTAAGAAGTGTTTGGATTCTGTATATATTTTTTAAAAAATGGTTAAATGAAACAATTTTCTCTAAGTATGAATTGTGGTTATTGTATTTCTAAGCAGATGCCTGGTCTTAAATTATAGTGACTGAATTGATAAATCTTTTTATTCCCAATTAACTTCCATGGGATAGAGTAAAGGTGAAAGAAACCTTAAACACATTCTTAAGATTTATAAGAAGGATGGAAGACCTTGTTGTAGTTGAATACAGCAGTCATTCTATTAAACCATGAAAGTTCTTCATTTTAATAGATAAGTCATACGTAGTAAGACTGTTCAATCTAAAACACTTATCGATCATTTTCCCACCAGGTTTCAGGCCTGTGGGGTTAGAGTTACATTTTCAGACTACAATACAAAAGTACAAACTATTACTGACCATGGGGCTAATCTAGCAAATTTACGTCTAACTTTGGCAGTGAAAACATTTAAAATTGTAGGAGAAACAGAATAAATCTGCTATATGAAAAAACATAGTACTATTCTTTTAGGATGCATGTACTTTTCCCAAAACTTGATAGATTGTTATTTTTATATATTTTTTCTGGCCACTTGGCTTTTAACTGATTTACATGAAAAAAGACACCTGTGCCTGTTTCACTTGAATCGTATTTTAAAACTTTTTAAAAAGCTGCTACAGTCATAGTTTATGAAAGAAAGAAAAGAAAGGTGAATTGAAATAGAGGGAAATTTCTGTTAACTGTGTCAAATATGTGACTGATTCTTTTAGTCAAATAATCTGCTGCCTGTCAATATTTGTAATAACAGAATTTTTTGTTAAGAGTACTCTCAGTTTCATCTTTATTTTGCTGCTCACTTATTTTTTACACTAAGATGATCTCATTTTTGTCGGCTCACTGTTTTTGCTTCATATTTGTCTGTGTACTTGTGCTCTGAATAAAAATATAGCTTCATGTCTAGTTTATCCCATTGTGTGTATAATGTTTGCCTCTAATGTAATTTTCTATTGTTTTTGATATTTGTTGGTACAGCCTAAAACTTATGGAAATAAGAAAGCAATTCAATAAAGTCAGCTAGAGGGTCAAAAAAAATGGTTAAGTGAGAATTTACTGATACATTGAAAGTAGGATTTGAGGGGGAAAAACCTCAGCAGTGTAGAAGTTATAGATTTTTGACTGAGAGGTTAAGATGAAATAAATTCTTATCAATGAAAGGAGAATTTTTAAGTAATGTAATAAAGAAGTCTATATATAAAACTGTTTGCTGGGGAAGATCAGAGTTCTGTTTTGGATTCTGAGATTGAGGTGTCTGACGTGTGTACAAGAGGCAGCTAGATGTAGGAGTCTGGTGTTTGGAAGACAGTTCTGAGATGGAGAGTTGTACAGGGGAGTTACCAGAAGCTATGCAGTATTAAAAGCCATGAGCCTGATTAAGATGACGAGAAAAGTGATACTCCCATCTTTACATATAGAGGAGAACTAGAGAATTCCAATGCTAATTAAAAAAAGGGAAAAGTCAACAAAAGAGACTGAGGACAAAAAATTCAGTATGTGTAAAAGCAAGGAAATATGCTGCCCTGCAAGCCTTTTAAAAAGCTATCAAGTCTGGGCGCGGTGGCTCACGCCTGCAATCCCAGCACTTTGGGATCCGCCCAAGACGGGCAGATTAAGAGGTCAAGGAGATTGGGACCATCCTGGCCAACATGGTGAAACCCCGTCTCTACTAAAAATAAAAAAATTAGCTGGATGTGGTGGTGCGTGCCTGTAATCCCAGCTACTCGGGAGGCTGGGCCAGGAGAATTGCTTGAACCCGGGAGGTGGAAGTTGCAGTGAGCCAAGATCACGCTACTGCACTCCAGCCTGGTGACAGAGTGAGACTCCATCTCAAAAAAAAAAAAAAAAATGCTATCAAGAAGGAAGAATCAATTATCTGTTTCAAGTAAGATGAGGAGTGAAAATTAAGTGTAGAGGTCATTTTTTATCTGGAAAGGATAAGGGTAAGTAAATTGTTAGGGACAAAAGCCTATGTGGGATAGGTTTAAGAAAAAGGATTTTTGAGGAACTGATGACAATGAGCACAAATTTTCCAGAATTTTTATAAAAATTATATTTTGAAATAATTGTAGATTCACATTAATTTTTAAAAATACAGGACAAGTTTTTCAATAAGTGGTGCTGGGAAAATTGGATTGACATATGCAGAAGTGTCAAACTGTACCTGTATCTCTCACGATATACCAAAATCAATTCAAAATGGGTTAAAGACTGAAATGTAACACCTGAAACTATAAATATACCAGCAGAAAACCTAGGGAAATATTTTCTAGACATTAGTCTAGACAAGAATTTATGACTAAGTCCTCAAAAGTACAGGCAATAAAAATGAAACAAATAGGACTTACTTAAACTGAAAAAGCTCCTGCATAACAAAGGAAATAATCAACAGAGTGAACAGACAACCCGCAGAAAGCGAGAAAATATTTACTAACTATATAGTCAACAGGGAGCTAATATTCAGAATCTACATGGAACTTAACAACCCAACAACAATGAGGAAAGAAATAATCTCATTAAAATGCGGGCAAAAGACATGAGCAGACATTTTTCAAAAGACATACAAATGGCCAACAAGCAAATGAAGAAAAATGCTCCATATCACTAATTATCAGAGGCATGCAAATTAAAGCCACAATGAGATGTCATCTTACATTCATTAGAATGGCTATTACTAAAAAGAAAAAAATAGATGTTGGCTAGGATGCAGAAAAAAAGGGAATGCTTACACATTGTTGGTAAAACGTCAATTACTAGAATCTCTATAGTATGAAGATTTCTCAATGAACTAAAAATAGAACTACCATTCAATTCAGCAATCCCTCTGCTGGGTATCTATTAAAAGAAAAAAAATTAATATATCAAAAGAACACCAGTACTCATAAGTTTATCACAGTACTATTCACAATAGCAAAGATATGGAATCAATCTAAGTGTCCATTAATGGATGATTCGATAAAGAAAATATGGTATATGTACATAATGGAATACTATTCATTCATTACAAAGAATGAATCATATCTTTTGCAGCAACATGGATAAAACTGGAGGTCATTATTGTGAGTGAAACTCTGACACAGAAAGACAAATCCACATGTTCTCACTTATAAGTGGGAGCCAAAACCTGGGTACACGTGGATTTAGAGTGTGGAATGATAGACAACGGAGATTTGGAAGGATGGGAAGGCGGGGGGTGGTTGGTGATGAGAAATTATGAAATAGGTACAATGTATGTTATTTGGGTGATTGATATCCTGAAAGCTGTGACTTCATGACTATGCAATTTATTCGTGTAATAAAACCACACTTGTGCCCCATAAATTTATACAAAAAGATTAAAAAGCAAAAAAGGAAGATTCTATAGATACTTTCAACTTTTCCCAATAATAACAGGTTTCATAGCTATAGTATAATTTCACAAAAAGATATTGACATTGATATAGTCAAGATATGGAATGATTCCCTATGATCCATTCTAATCTTTGTAAATTTTTATGTTTTGTCAGTTAATTGCAATAGATTACCATAAGAATTGCTACAATTATCACCTCAAATCTGATGGGCACATTTGTAATGATATTTTGAAAAAAATAATTAAAGATGCATTTATTAAAAATCCCCAAATTGTTAAAGTTGGGTAAAATAATAAAACAGAAGATAAAAACAGTGTACCCCATATGGCCTAATTTTTGCCAGAAATAAGATATTAAGTTTAAAATATTCTTTAGGAAAATAACATTTAAAAGTTGTACAAAATAATTACAAACTGAAATGTTCACTTACAAAATATTGAAGTGATGTTTGTTATGTATTAATTAAATTTAGTAAATATTGTTAGGAAACCAAACCATGCTGTAATTCTTAGTTTTGATGCAGCAGTGGTTTAAAAAATGCTTTTAGAAAATAAATAAAACCAAATAAAATTTTAAAAGTATTTTTAGGCACCCTAAAAACTGTTATATCCCAGTCCATACAAAACTTTATAAACTCTATAAACACAAGGAACATTATTTTTAATTCATGTATTAGAAAACTTGATGAATGAACCATTAACAAATTAGCTATTAAGCAAATTGTTTTTTCTTTTGCAAATTGACCTATAGCCATTATACATAATTGCAAGAAATGCCTGTGTGTGATTGTAATAGTAATTTTATATTTGCTTATTCATGCAAACAATATTTACTAAGTATTTATGATGTGTTTACCACAGTGCAAATGTTGTAATACAAAGATATCTCCTTTGTTCTTGAGGGTTATATTTCATAAGGAGAAAGAGCCATGTTAACACATATTTTGCAATAAGCATGACATATACAATAAAATAAATACAGAACTGGGGAAGAGTGGGTAATTCTGCCCCAACAGTAACTTCTTGCCTGGATATTCTAATTGGGAACTTGGTAGGTAGAGAATCATGAACAAGTTTGCCCGTATTTATAAGAGGGTCTGATATTTTAGAAGAACATTATTTTATGTGTATGTGATCTCATGCTTTAAATATCTCAGAGGGCAATTTCTTTGGCAGGGAAGCCTCTTCAGACAAGGAATAGGGGCCAACTTGTGGCAGGATAGGAGAGATAACTAGGAAGAACTCAAGAAATGTTTGAGGTAGTAGCCAGGTATATACTCACAGATACCATCAGGAGTGATAGAGTGGACATGTTAATTAAAGCAAAAATATAAGGATAGATACAATCCAGGTCATTTATTTAGTTGTTTGATTGAGTCTGTATTTCTAAATTGGCTGGTTGGTTTGGTATTGTTAACTAAAGATAACATTCAAAGGACAAGAACAACAGGTCAAAATTGAGTTGGGAAAGTTTGACATGACAGGGAGATTAATGGTAGGGATGTCTGTAGCCATTTGGAAATATCTGTAAGGAGTTCAGGAAGGAGGTTAGTTCTAAAAATGTAAATGCAGTGGTTGTATTTGTTTTCTATTGCTGCACAAAAAAAGTTAACCATAAACTTAGTGTGATGGCCAATTTCGTGTGTCAACATAACTGGGTTAATGAATGCCCGGATAGCTGTTAAAACATTTTTGGATGTGTCAGTGTGTTTCTGGAAGGGAGTAGCATGTGAAATAACAGGCTGAGTAAAGGGAAGCCATGCTCATCAATGTGTGCAGGCATCATCCAATCCACTGAGGGGCCAAATAGAACAAAAAGCAGAGGAAGGGAAATGGTTTATCTGTTTGAGCAGGAACATGGAACTTCTCCTGACACCAAACCTTATCGCTTCTGGTTCTTAGGCCTTTGGGACTGTACTGGGACTGTTTGTTTCTCTGGTTCTCAAGCCTTTTGATTTGAACTGAATTATACCACTGGCTTTCCCCATTCTCCACCTTAATAATGGCATACTGCAGGACTTCTCAGCCTCTGTAATCTCATGGGTCAATTACTGTATAAATAGTTTGTGTGTGTGTGTGTGTGTGTGTGTCTGTCTATGTGTATCTTATTGATTCTATTTCTCTGGAGAACATTGACTAATGCACTCAGTGACTTAAAGCAATGCCCATTTATTACCTTAAAAACTAAGTTATTACAACTTAGTTTTTATTGGTCAGAAGTCTGGGCAGGACCTAGCTGGTTTCTCTGAAAGGTCTCACCAAGATAAAAATCAAGGTGTCAACTAGGTTGCATTTGAATAGGGAAGGATTCCATTACAAGCTCTCTCAGGTTTTTTGCAGAATTTATTTTCTTGGAGCTGTAGGTTCATGGATGCTTGGTGCTTTAAATCAAACAATATTGATAGAGAGTCTATTGCTTTGAGTCTGTAATCTCCAAGATAGCCTACGCACTCTTTAAAAAGTTCACTTGTTAAGGTTAGGCCTAAATAACTGGTTAGGAACCTTAATTACATCTGCAATATCACTTCAACTTTGCCATATTCATTTGCTTAGAAGAAAGTCAGAGATTTTGTCCATATTTAGTGGGAGAAGATTATATGACATTTTTTTTACTCCCTAAGTTCACCTTAACTAGTGTCTTTTACAATAGTTATCTACTGTAATTTATCAGGGGTAATTAGTGAGGATCCAAGTTAAATAGGAGAAGAGTAGCTAGAAAAACATCAATAAAAAAGTGTTCTTCATAAATGCCCATTACAAATATTAGATATTCATATGCAACTTTATAATGTTATATATTAATGCATATATTAACGGAGTTATACATTTTAGAACTGGAAATAGCCACATAGATATCCACATTTAATCTCATTTTTAAATTCAGTTTAGGCTGAAATTACCATGGAGTAAGGTAATAAAATTGTATCCATTTTATCTGCTAACTAAACTAAGTAACAAGGAGGGTGAGCAAATTGCCACAGGCTATACAATTATTTAGAAGTACAAACATAGGATATAAAATTTATTTTCTTGACAACATTACATTATTATTTCTATTAAAATCTTCAACAAATAGACGTATTTTAGGAAAACCTTTAATTTTGCAATTTTATAGAATTCTTACCCAGGTAGAAAAAGGCCTAAGATGAGGAAGGAAGCTGTAGTTTTTTGGTCTTTGATTCTGAGTGTTGTGTTAACTCATTATTAAAATTTTAGAAAAGCAGAAGTATATTATTCTTATTCTGAAAGTAAAGACTCAGAAGACACCTAGGACGATTCATTCTACTTTATTGAATAGAAATGAAAACTCACACATTTACTTGAAGTATGTATGGAATACTTATACTCAAGAGATTACACAAGTAACTTTGTAAAAATTTTTGAGAAGTGGAAAATATCTACCTCCAAACTTAGTAATCATTTTTGGCAAATATAAAAATCACCAGTCACTGCCACTGTAGTCCAAATAATCAGTCTACACTTGGATTTTCCATGCAGCGTTACAAAGTCAGGGAGTTGAAGATTTCAAAAAAACAGGTGATACAAATACACTGAAGTACCTGATCCAAGATATAGCAAAGCATAAGATCAATAATCTAACTTATTACTATGGTACTATTTATTACTAAAGGGTTAGATACTACTACTGTATAGAGTAGGATATGCTGATCTGAAACTATTTCTTTGAGCTCACAATTTTCTCTATCTTCTTTTAACTTTCCTCTTTAAATTATATGCAAATTGTATTGGTTTTCTATTTCTACCTGACAAATCACTGCAAATGTATAGTTAAAACAACACTCTTTAAATTTTTTCACAGTTTTGTGGGTCAGGAGTGTGGATATGGCTTAACTGTGCACTCCGCTCCTGATCTCACAAGGATATCATCACAATTTCTGTTTGTTGCATATTTCTCTGCAGCTTGGGTCACCTCTTCCAAATTCACCTGGTTGCTGGCAGAATTCACTTCCTTGTGGTTGTAGATTGTAGGCAGAAGTTCCTATTTTCTCACTGGCTGTCAGCCAGAGCCTACTCTCAGCTTTACAGGTTGCTCCCTGGTCTTTACTCCAAAGCCCCTTCACTGGTCCTCTCACAGTCCCCCTGAGAACATGAAACCTGCTTCTTCAAGGGCAGTGCTATGGTTCAGCTGTTTTTCCTGTACAAACCTCATACTAAGTTTTGATTTCCAATGTTGGAGGAGGGGCCAAATGGGAGATATTTGAGTCACAGGAGTGAATCCCTCATAAATAGATGAATGTCCTCCTTTAAGACTAAGTTCTCATTCTATTAGTTTCTGAGAGAACTGGTTACTAAAAAAAGAGCCTGGCACCTTCCCCTGCTTCTCTTTTCTCTTCTCCCACCATGTGATCTCTGTTCTTGTTTGCCTTCTGCCATGAGTGGAAGCATTCTGAGGCCCTCAACAGATGCAGAAGCCCAATCTTGAACTTTCCAGTCATCAGAATCATGAACCAAGTAAATGCCTTTTTTTCTTTATAAATTACCAAGCCTCAGGTATTCTTTTATAGCAACAAAAGAAAAAGTGGACTAAGCCAATCAATCAGACAAACTTGCTGTTCTTTGGAGTCTCATTTCAGGAAAGCTCTGATCTCTTTTTAAAGGGCTCATCTGATTAAATAGGGCCTACTCTGTATAATCTTCCTCTTTATTAAGTTAAAGTCAGTTTATTAAAGATCCTAATGACATCTGCAAAAATATTGCCAGAGTCTGTCGGCTCAAAGCTATGAGTTCCTACCTGCACTCAAGTGGAAAGGATTACACAAGAGTGTTCACAGCAGTGAGTGGTACTTGGGAGTCATCTTAGAATTCCACCTATCACTCAGCTCCAATCCATTTCAAAGTTGTGCCCAAAGTAATCTTTTAAAAAATTCCAGTTAAACAATATAAGGCTACTGCATAAAGTCTTTTAGTGATCCAACCTTGACTTAAAAATCAAGTCAAATTAGTAATATGGAAAGCCTCTTGATCTCTTACATGTATGTCTCTAAATCCTCTGTCTTCCCAGCCTCTCCTGCTGTTGACTAATCCTTCCACCATGTTGAAGTCCTTACATTTGGGCATATTAATATTCATATTTCTTCAATCAGAGCAGGTTATATCTACTCCCACATTTTATGTATGGCAAAGATTCATAGGGGAGTTTATTTCTGAATCAGTATTTAAAACCTGGTAACTGAACATACGTTTGAGGCAAGTCCAAGTCTCCCTTGATCAATGGTATAATCTATACACCAAAAATATTTATTCCATTTTATCCACTCAATTAACATATTCTGAAGAAATAATGGAATATTTGATTTTTTTTTGTTAACGGTCCATTATGGGGCCTTTTTGTCCCCTTGATATAAATGTCTCTTTTGTTCCAATCTGCTTTATCTCCTACTTTGTTCTTATCTATACCAGTTCTTTCCTAATTCCCTGTTTCTCTCCTCCTACCTTTACCTCTCTAATCTCTACCACCCCAAATAAATATTTAATTAATATACCTATAATAACAATTATAATAATATTAGGAAATTTTAACCTCACCAATCTTTTAAATTAATCCACATTAATGCCAATATTTTACATACAGAATAAACTCCAACTTTATTTTTTTTAATGTTGTGAGAGCTGCAAAAAAGTTATGAGCAATCCTCATAGAGCAAACTGGTTTTTTCTTGTTTTTTTTTTTTTGTTTTTTGTTTTTTTGAGAAGACAAAACCAAGACAGTAACCAAAAATATCTGTCTTTTCTTTCCATTGTATTACACTGCAGAAATTATGTTTGCCATTTCAACAACACAGCATATATTCCCCGACTTGTCTGTAAAATGAAGTAATGGCTAATTTTCTTTTAGTTGTGAATAATTGATTTTAATTCGTAAAAGTTTTTTAAGTGTTGAAATGTTTGTTTCTACATGACTTCAGATAATAATTTGAGAAACCCCAGCTCCAGATTTTCTAGAAGAATGTTGAAAATAAATTTAGATGAACTAAGTAGCAATTTTAAGAGTCAATTATGTGATGTTTGGAAAAATGAATGAATGCTAACTGGGTCCGCTCTGAAGGAAACAACCTAGTGTCCAATGCACATTACATGACATATAAATACTAAACATTTTCAAAGCTTTAGAAGCTCTTGGACCATGCATTTTTTATTTGATAATTCTTAGTTTTGTAAAACTGTATAAAATTTAAACTTAAATTTTTAGAATTTGGGGCTTATTTACTTTTAAAATTCAAACTGATAGAATTTATTGATGATAAATATCTAGTAATCACTACTCAAAATAAATGAACTATTTAGTAAATTGCCAAAGATCTTTTATTTTTTTAAACTGAGGAGACAGATTCAAGTTGCCCTAAATGCATTCTCCCTAAAGATCTACTTTTTTATAAAATAAAAATATTACATACTTCCTCCTAAAATACAGATCTTGACAATATTGTCATCAAAATCAATGTCCTTGACTTTCCGTTCATTCTTTATTTCAACAACAAAGTAACAATTTTAGGTCTCAAATGCCAATGTGTCTTTAAGTGAGCAGATAGAGAGTTGCATGAACAAAAGAGCAGAATGGTCTGCTTCTTCTTTACACATTTAAATATACATAGTCTCTCTCTATCTCTCTCTCACTCTCTCTCTCTCTCCACACTAGATGTATTTATGAAACAATGTAGCCAATTTAATTTAGCTATATAGTATCACAAAATAATAAAACTATTTTACTAACTTCATGGGCTTTACTCTCTGTGGATATTTTCTCACTAATGTTTACACTGAAATAGATTTTTGTCATATGCCCTGAAGAACATGAGTTATTTTGTTAAAAGCAGACTTAGATGCTTCATTTTCTTTCATAAAGTTAAAACAAATCCTATAATTAGGATATCAACAAATTAAGTGTTAGAAATCTGCTATTAATATAATTATGGTTTTTACTTGCTACTAAAATGGTATTATGCTCGGATATAGCTAATTAACTAAGCATCCATTTTTAAATTAACCATTATCACCTGTTGTTTAATTAGATTCAGGGTTAAGAATTTAGACTTTGACAATTTAGTCAATTTGGAGTTAATTCTTCACTCTGCTTCTCCAGTTCCAATTGTATTCACCATCTTTTCACTATTCAATATCTAAGTTTATTTGTGACTTGTGTCTGTGGCCCTTGAGAGTGGGTGTGATAACTTTTATACCACCAAGCTCACCTTAATTAGTATTATCCAAACATTCTCGTTAGAATTTCTATTTCTCTTCACTAAAAATGTCAAGTGGCCCTTTGATTATCAGAATTGACCAAGCCTGTCCATCTTACTTGTTTCTTCTTCAGAATTCAGGAGGGAACTCAAAGGTCATCTTGGCTGTCTCATAGCAAAAAGCAATCCCTGTCAGTCTTCTTATAAAGTAGACAAAACTTACTGAAAATACTCGGGTAAACAGATTGCCAATTTAGCACTTTGAGTTTGTCAGGTCACTTGATTCGTGCTAAATAATTAAGGTCTTGTAGTTCTAATATTATGCTTTTAGAATGTTATAATAGTAATTTTCCAATCTAATTTCTTAAGATCCTTTTATAGACAGACGGTCTCTTAAAAATTGTAATGCACTGACAAAATTAATTATATAACTAATTCCAAATTATCAGTTATGTCTCAATTTACTCACAGTGATTGAAAAAATTAATTTACTATGAAGATAATGTAACATGACTTGAAGACATATTTGCTTAAATTTTATAACACATAGGAAAGTATGGTGGAGAATAATGGAATTTTATACCTAATTCCTCTTTCTTTTTAATTTAGTCACTACATACATTATGCGTGACCTAATATTATTTCTATCTTTGTACAAATATTTTTAGAACGATATATTTGAATATATAAATTACAGCCTTGCTAGACATTTGAAATATTTATATTAGTTGATAATGTTATTTAAATAATCTTTTATAAATGTAATTTGATTGGTTATAAAGAAGTAAGAAGCCAAAAAATATCACTTATGGGCATTTAGAATACATAAGCTAAGCCAATTCATAAAAGGGCAATGCCATAAAAGATTTAAGTTTATTTCAGCCTTTTGAATATAGAAATACACTTATTAAACAATTTATTTGAGATCCCAACTGATGGCTATACCATCATCTTCATATTTAAACTCTTCTCTAAGAACACATGCATGATACTGCATGTCAATATCTGCTTTTGTGTCCTCAAAAAGGACATCATCAAACGTTGCACAGCTCATAGAAGTAAACAACTCATGTTGTGTAACACAATTTTTAATTTTATATAATTATGAAAGACAATGTATTCCTTCTAAAAGAAAAACATATTATAATTGCACAAGTGATATTTGGAAAGATATGATGGGTTTAAATACTATTTGTACTGTTCATGATGGAGTATGAAAGAATATTTTATGTAATATATCAAGTGAGTGTTTGCAATCTCAGTAGAGAAACTAAGGATCAGAATCAGACAGATCTATAACTGCCCTCTGACTTCAAAGCTGCTCCTTCCAGGTTAAGGTTTATATGCTAGACAGAGAAGGTCAAGAAAGTCTGAACTATTTTTGGCACTGTTACTAAACTACATGACTAACAAGGCAGTTCCTGAGAGTATAAATATGACATTCTTTCAAGAACATAGGATTTATTGTAAGTGGAGCAGATAAAATACACCAATGACATATCTTATGAATGGCTTCGTGCATCCCTAGTGGCTGTGTCAGTGATTTCTGTCATACTCTTTACATTGCCTCAATAATACTCCTCTGATACCCGGTGTGTTCACGTTGGAAAACCACTGTCTTTGATTGCTTTATATTTTAAAATCAGAAGTGTTAATTTAAAACGTTTCTTTGACAATTTTTTATTTATTCTGAGCCACGTTTAAGTAGCATCTCAAAATGGTATTTTGCTAGACTTAACAGTATCTTATAAAAGACACAATAAAGGAATTTAGCCTTGTGATAGCACCACAGATGTTGTCACTTACTGGGGCAATGTCATATTTCTCACCTTTCAGGTAAGTGTGCTACCGGGTTTAGAATTTTATATGAAAGGTGAAACCATATTTTTGTCAAAATTATAATGTTTCTTCTCTACGCTAGACAAAAATTAAATATCCTATTTGTCATTTATAGAAAAAAACTGGAAACAAATTGTCAACCAGTATATTTGGATGCTGTTTTTTTGAAAAACACAAAACAACATTAAGTGCTAAAGAAACACAATTTGTAAGCAAGCATTCTTTTTTTTATTATTATTATACTTTAAGTTTTAGGGTACATGTGCACAATGTGTAGGTTAGTTATATATGTATGCATGTGCCATGCTGGTGTGCTGCACCCATTAACTCGTCATTTAGCATTAGGTATATCTCCTAAAGCTATCCCTCCCCCCTCCCCCCACCCCACAACAGTCCCCAGAGTGTGATGTTCCCCTTCCTGTGTCCATGTGTTCTCATTGTTCAATTCCCACCTATGAGTGAGAATATGCGGTGTTTGCATTCTTATACTTTTCTGAGACTGGATCTGCACATGCACATGCACACATAAACAGACAGGGATAAAAGGCACAGAATTCTCTTCTTTTTTTTTTTTTTTTTTTTTTTTGAGATAGAGTCTCGCTCTGTTGCCCAGACTGGAGTGCAGTGGTGCAATCTCGGCTCACTGCAACATCCGCTTCCTGGGTTCAAGTGATTCTCTTGCCTCAGCCTCCTAAGTAGCTGGGACTACAGGCGCACGCCAGCAAGCCCAGCTAATTTTTGTATTTTTAGTAAAGACAGGGTTTCACCATGTTAGCCAGGCTTGTCTCAAACTCCTGACCTCAGGTGATCTGCCCACCTTGGCCTCCCAAAGTGCTGGGATTACAGGTGTGAGCCACTGTGCCCGGCCAGGCACAGAATTCTTTCAGGTAATCAAAGACTGTGAGTTTAACAATTGGCTGATATTTTTACAATTTCTTATCTATTTCTAAAATGCACCTATATTTAGCTAGACCAAATTCATTATTTTTTAATTATTGGAATAAATTATTCATATATATGTGTATGTGTATATATATATATATATATATAGATGTGTGTATATATAGATGTGTGTACGTAACTTAAACATTTTTAAAGCTGAAAACATTACTTCATGGCAAGCCATACATTATAAATGCTCAGTTTTTAAAATTTTTTTAACTTTTTGATTATTATCCTTATTTTGATATACAATGACTACAATATTATTTACACGTGAGTGTTTTGTCACATATAAAAAACTGTATAATTATTGAGGTTACAAACCATGTAGCCTATTTCACACTTTATTTATAATCTATCATCTGTCTATCATCTGTCTATATTTGAATGATTAGATTATTGTTATTTTGATAATATTGTTCTGACAGGTAACAAAGAAAATTTAGAAGACAAGTAAATTTTGGAATACTAAGGATATTGTGCATGCAATTAATATGATTATTTTTTAAGTGATGTGATCAGTCCACTTCAAGAAAAGACAAATGATTGAATTCAAAATATTTATGCAGATTGGAAATACTTGTATCAGCTGTCAGATTCAATGGTTCCCAAATTTTTGCATGAATCATAATTACTTGGAGAATTTGCTAAAAACCCAAATTGCTGCAGAGTTTTTGATTCAGTAAGAGCTGCCTGGGACCCAGAAATTTGTTTCTGACAAGTTCCCAGGATGCTAATGCTACTGCTCTGGAGGTCACACTTTGACAGCCTCTGTTCTTAACCTCACTTCTATCAATGGCGAAACTTCTCTCTAAGCTAATGAAAAATAGTCTAATAATTATATTATAGCTAATATTTACTGAGAAATTTTAATACTCACTGTACTGTTTGTCAGGATTATGTAATATAATCTTAATTATAATCTGTTGAAGTAGGTAACATTATTTTTTAATTAATATATTTTCAGATTTCAATTGTTTTGGGAGTACTAGTGGTATTTGGTTACATGGGTCAATTATATAGTGCTGAATTCTGAGATTTCAATGCACCTATCATCTGAGTAGTGTACATTGCACCCAATATGTAGTTCTTTTTTTTATCGCATATACTCCCTCTCACCCTTCTCCCTTGGAGACTCCAAGGTCCATTATATCACTCTATATGCCTTTGTATACTCATAACTTGGCTCCCACTTATAAGTGAGAACATATGGTGTTTGATTTTCCATTCGTGAGTTACTTCACTTAGAATAATGACCTCCAGCTCCAACCAAGTTGCTGCAAATTAACATTATTTTATTCCATTTATGGCTGAGTAATATGCCACCGTGTATATATACCACATTTTCTTTATCCAATCATTGACTGATGGACACTTCGGCTGGTTCCATGTTTTTGTAATTGTGAATTAGGCTGTAGTAAACATACATGTGCATGTGTCTTTTTCACATAACCACTTATTTTCCTTTGGGTAGATGCCCAGTACTGGAATTGCTGAATTGAATGGTAGATCTACTTTTAGCTCTTCAAAGAATCTTCATACCGTTTTCCATAGAGGTTGTACTAATTTATATTCCCACCAGTAGTGTATAAGTGTTCCCCTTTCACCACATCCATGCCAACATCTATTGTTTTTTGACTTTTCAATAACGACCATTCTTGCAGGAGTAAGGTGGAATCTCATTATGGTTTTAATTAGCATTTCCCTGATGATTACTGATGTTGAGCATTTTTTCATATGATTGTTGGCCATTTGTATATCTTCTTTCAGGCTATTTATGTCATTTGCCCACTTTTTGATGGAAAGATTTATTTTTTTTATTGCTGATTTGTTTGAGTTCCTTGTATATTCTGGATAGTAGTCCTTTGTCGGATGTATAGGTTTCAAATATTTTATTCCATGCTGTGAGTTGTTTGTTTACTTTGATGATTATTTCTTTTGCTGTGCAGAAGATTTTTAATTTAATCAGATCTCATATATTTTTTTTATTTTCGTTGCATTTGCTTTTGTGGTTTTAGTCATAAATTCTTTGCCGAAGCCAATGTCCAGAGGAGTTTTTCCTAGGTTTTCTTCTAGAAATTTTATGGTTTCAGGTCTTACATTTAAGTCTCTGATACATCTTGAGTAGATTTTAGTATGAGGTGAGAGACAGGGATCCAGTTTCATTCTCCTGCATGTGACTTGCCAGTTTTCCCATCATCACTTATTAAATAAAGCGTACTTTCCTCAATTTACGTTTTTGAATTCTTTGTTGAAGATCAGTTGGTTCTAAGTATTTAGCTTTATTTCTGGGTTCTCTAATCTGTTCCAGTTCTCTATGTGCCTACTTTTATGCCAGTACCATGCTGTTTTGCTAAATATAGCCTTGAAGTAAAACTTGAAGTCCAGTAACTTGATGCCTCCAGAGTTGTTCTTTTTGCTCAGGATTTCTTTGTCTATCCAGGCTCCTTTTTGGTTCCATATGAACTTTAAGAATGTCTTTTCTAATTCTTGAAAAAATAATGTGGTTTTTAAAACGGGAATTGCATTGAATCTTTAGATTGCTTTGGGCAGTGTGGTCACTTTTACAATACTGATTCTTCCAATCCATGGGCATGAGATGTGTTTTTATTTGTTTGTGTCATCTATAATTTACTTCAGCAGTGTTTTGTAGTTCTCCTTGTAGAGATCTTTCACTGTCTTGGTTAAATATATTCCTATGTATTTAATATTTTTTGCAATTGTTGTAAAGCAAATTCAGTTATTGATTTGATTCTCAGCTTGGTTGTTGGTGATGTACAGCAATGCTACTGATTTGTATGCATTGATCTTGGAACCTTAGACATTGCTGAATTTGTTTATCAGATCTTGGAGTCTTTTGGATGAGTCCTTAGTTCTTTATAGGTATACAATTATATCAGCAGTGAACCATGATAGTTTGATTTCCACTTTTCCTATTTGGATGTCCTTTCTTTCTTTCTCTTGCCTGATTGTTCAGAATAGGACTTCCAGTACTATGTTGAATAGAAGTGGTGTCCTTTCTTTCTGTCTCTTGCCTGATTGTTCAGAATAGGACTTCCAGTACCTGACTTCAAACTATAGTACAAGGCAACAGTAACCAAAACAGCATGGTATTGGTACCAAAACAGAGATATAGAGAATGGAACAGAAGAGAGCCCGCAGAAATAATACCACACATCTACAACCATCTGATCTTTGACAAACCTGACAGAAACAAGAAATGTGGAAAGGATTCCTTATTTAATAAATGGTGCTGGGAAAACTGGCTAGCCATATGTAGAAAGCTGAAACTAGATCCCTTACTTACACCTTATACAAAAATTAATTCAAGATGGATTAAAGACTTAAATGTTAGACCTAAAACCATAAAAACCCTAGAAGAAAACCTAGGCAATACCATTAAGGACATAGGCATGGGCAACGACTTCATGTCTAAAACACCAAAAGCAATGGCAACAAAAGACAAAATTGATAAATGGAATCTAATTAAACTAAAGAGCTTCTGCGCAGCAAAAGAAACTATGATCAGAGTGAACAGACAACCTACAGAATGGGAGAAAATTTTTGCAATCTACTCATCTGACAAAGGGCTAATATCCAGAATCTACAATGAACTCAAACAAATTTACAAGAAAAAAACAAACGACCCCATCAAAAAGTGGGTGAAGGATATGAACAGACACTTCTCAAAAGAAGACATTTATGCAGCCAAAAAACACATGAAAAAATGCTTATCATCACTGGCCATCAGAGAAATGCAAATCAAAACCACAATGAGATACCATCTCACACAGTTAGAATGGCGATCATTAAAAAGTCAGGAAACAACAGGTGCTGGAGAGGATGTGGAGAAATAGGAACACTTTTACTCTGTTGGTGGGACTATAACCTAGTTCAATCATTGTGGAAGACAGTGTGGCAATTCCTCAAGGGTCTAGAACTAGAAATACCATTTGACCCAGCCATCCCATTACTGGGTATATACCCAAAGGATTATAAATCATGCTGCTATAAAGACACATGCACACGTATGTTTATTGCAGCACTGTTCACGATAGCAAAGACTTGGAACCAACCCAAATGTCCATCAATGATACACTGGATTAAGAAAATGTGGCACATATACACCATGGAAAACTATGCAGCCATAAAAAATGATGAGTTCATGTCCTCTGTAGGGAAATGGATGAAGCTGGAAACTACCATTCTCAGCAAACTATCGCAAGGACAAAAAACCAAACACCGCATGTTCTCACTCATAGGCGGTAACTGAACAATGAGACACTTGGACACAGGAAGGGGACCATCCCACATCGGGGTCTGTTGTGGGGTGAGGGGATGGGGGAGGGATAGCATTAGGAGATATACCAAATGTAAATGACGAGTTAATGGGTGCAGCACACCAACATGGCACATGTATACCTATTTAACAAACCTGCACATTGTGCATATATACCCTAGAGCTTAAAGTATAATTTAAAAAAAAAGAAAAAAAAAGAAGTGGTGAAAGTGGGCATCCCTGTCTTCTTCCAGTTCTCAGGGAGAATGCTTTCAACTTTTATCTATCCAGTAATAATGTTGGCTGTGGGTTTGTCATATATGTCTTTCAATAATTTGAGGTAAGTCCCTTCTAGGCCCAGTTTGTTGAGCATTTTTATCTTAAAGCGATCCTGGATCTTATCAAATGTTTTTTCTGCATCTATTGAGATGATCATACGGTTTCTGTTTTTCATTCTGTTTATATAATATATCACATTGATTGACTTGCATATATTAAACTATCCCTGTATCCCTGAGATGAAACCCACTTGATCATTGTATATATCTTCTTGATGTGTTATTGGATTTGGTAAGTTAGTACTTTGTTGAGGATTTTGCATCTATGTTCATCAGGAATATTAGTCTATAGTTTTCCTTTTTGGTTAGGTCCTTTCCTAGTTTTGGTGTCAGGGTGATACTGGCTTAATAGAAAGATTTAAAGAGGATTCCCTCTTTGTCTACCTTTTGGAATAATTTCACTAGGGTTGGTATCAAATCTTCTTTGAATGCCTGGTAGAAATGATCCGTGATGCCACCTGGCCTTGGGCATTTTTGTTGTTGACAATTTTTCCTTATTACTGATTCAACCTTGCTGCTTACCTTTGGTCTGTTCAGGATTTCTATTTCTTCCTGGTTTAATGCACACAAATAGAAAACCTAGAATAAATGGATAAATTCCTGGAAACTTATAACCCTCCTAATCTAGGTTGTCCTCAAGGTTTTCTAGTTTGCATGCATACAGGTGTTTATAATAATCTCAAATGTTATTTTGTACTTCTGTAGGGTCAGTTGTAATGTCCCCAGTTTCATTACTTTTTTTTCAGAGCCAGAGTGCAAGTTTATTAAAAAGCTTTAGAATAATAAGGAAAAGAGAGAAAAGAAGGAAAGTACAACTTGGAAGAGGGTCAAGCAGGTGACTTTAGAAACCATGTGCTTCCAGTTTCATTTCTAATTGAGCTTATTTGAATCTTCTCTCTTCTCTTCTTGGTTAATCTAGCTAATAACGTATAATTTTTTTATTCTCTCAACCAACTTTTTGTTTCATCGGTATTTTGAATTTGCTCATTTCTTTGTATTCATCTTTCTTTCTTTTTTTCTGATTGGGTTAATTCAAAACCCTTGTCTCTGAGTGTATTAGTCTGTTCTTATGCTTCTGTGAACTTCCCAAGACTGGGTAATTTATAAAGGAAAGAGATCTAATTGGCTTACAGTTTTGCATGGCTGGGAAGGCCTCAAGAAATTAACAATCATGGTGGAAGGTGAAGGGGAAGAAAGGCAACTTCTTCACAGGGCAGCAGGAAGGAGAAATGCCAAGCAAAGGAGAAATAGCCCCTTATAAAACCATCACGTCTTGTGAAAACTCACTCAGTATCACGAGAACAGCATAAGGGTAACAGCCCCCATGATTTAGTTTTTTCCCACTGGTCCTTGCCATACTTGTGGGGATTACAGAAACTACAATTCAAGATGAGATTTGGATGTGGACACAGCCAAACCATATCAGTGAGCTATGAAATTTTTTCTTCTTCCCTTTGTAGTCCATTGTTGAAACTTTCCCCTCCATTTTGTAATTCTCTAAGTGTACCTTTCATTTCCAGAAATTCTGATTTGCATTTCTTTAAGATATCTATCTCTTTAGAAAAGTTTTTATTTGTATCCTAAAATTTTTTAAAATTTCTTTATGTTGGTTTTCACCTTTCTCTGACACCTTCTGGAATAGCTTAATAATCAAATTTTTGAATTTTTAAAATTTGGTGTTTCAAAAGGTTTGTCTGGGTTTGGATCCATTGCTGGGGGGGGGGGGGCTAGTGTGATATTTTGGGCAGTTATAGCACCTTATTTTGTCATAGCACCAGAAATATCTTTCTGATTTCTCTTATTTGGTTAGATTATTTCTTCTAATTATACTTGAATTTATTTTTTATTTGACTGTTTCTTCAATTTCTTTTTTCTTCCTGAAGGATGTTTATTGTTTCTTCTAGACTAATTCAGGTCTTGGTGCTTTCAGGAGTGAAGAGTTTGTATGATTTCCTCAGTTATAGAGAGTCTTTGTCTGATGGCTTTCTTGGCTCTGGTTGTAGCAGCAGTGTGCTCAGTGTGTGAACAAGTTCACTTTCTCCTCTAGGGTTGGAATGGCAGAAGTCTCTTGAAGCTTATCTTATTCCTCTGTAGTCTGTGTATTTCTTTCTTTCTTTATTTTCTCCTAGTATTTTATTTACTTGGTTGAATACCTCAGGCTTCAGGCCCAAAGAGGAGGTGCCCCTGGTAAAAACCTGCTGTGGCTAAAGCAGGTGCATAATGCAGTACCCAATGGTGGGCAGAGGTCCCAGCCTTGACATAGGTGGCTGGGGGAGCTCTCAGTGAAACACACTGAGATCTTCTCAGATAGAAGGATTGGAGCCAACTCAGCTCCCAGGAAAGTTACTCACTTCCCAAACACACTCTTGAACGAGTGTTCCAGCTATTCAGATTAGACAAGCACCTCTTTTCATCTTCAGGAATGTCTAAATAGAGAGGAATTGTGACTCTATTTCCCATGCAGGCCTGGACCTGGAGGGTGCTCCTTCTGTGGGAATGCAGTCACCCTGCAGTTCCAGAAGGGCTGTCTATGGGTCTACCTTTGATGAGTGACATGGTTTGGCTCTTCTGATTGGTGGTTTTGGGACCTAGAAGCAGTCAGCAGTGCTCAGAAGCAGCCGCAGATCTGGGATTCCACTGGCACTGAAGTTGCAGAAAGGTCATCGTTGGTGGGAAGCACAGGCCAGGCAGGGAGGGGCTGCAGTGTTAAAAAAAAAAAAAAAAAACAGCGATGTGAAGAAAAGTAAATTCTGTGAAGCTGATGGCTGCAGTGACCTTCAAAGAGAAGCAGAAAATTGGTACCAGAAGTTTGGGGCACTGCTATAAGATGCCTGAAATGTGGAAGTGGCTTTGGAAGCAGAGATTGGAACAGTTTGGAGGGCTCAGAAAAAGGCAAGAAGATGTAGGGAAGTTTGGAGCTCTTTAGAGACTTGTTTAATGGCTGTGACCAAAATGCTGATAGTGATATTAGCATTCAGTCCATGCTGAAGTGGTCTCAGATGGAGATGAAGAACTTATTGGGAACTAAAGCAAAGGTGACTCTTGCTATGCCTTAGCAAAGAGACTAGTGGCATTTTGTCCCTGCCCCAGAGATCTGTGGAACTATGAACTTGAAAGAGAAAATTAGCGTAACTGTCAAAAAAATTTCTAAGCAGCAAAGCATGCAAGATGTGACCTGGCTTCTTCTGAAAGCACATAGTCATATGTATTCACAAAGAGATTGTCTGAAATGGAACTTATGTTTACAAGGGAGGCAGAGTACAAAAGTTTGGAAAATTTGCATCCCGACCATGTGGTAGAAAAGAAAAACCCACTTTCTGGGAAGAAATTAAAGTCTCTGGCTGTAGATATTTGCATAAATAAAGAATAGCCAAATGTTAAGAGCCAAGACAATGGGGTAAATGTCTCCAGGGCATTTCAGAGATCTTCTTGCCATCCCCTCCCATCACAGGCCCAGAGGCCTAGGTGGGAAAAATTGTTTCATGGGCTGGGGCACAGAGATCTGCGGAACTATGAAGTTCCTGCCCCAGAGATCTGTGGAACTATGAATTTGAAAGAGATAATTAGAGTATCTGTCAAAAAAAAAAGAATTTTAAGCAGCAAAGCATTCAAGGTGTGACCTGGCTTCTCCTGAAAGTGTATAGTCATATGCATTCACAAAGAAATGGTCTGAAATGGAATTTATGTTTAAAAGGGAGCCAGAGCAGAGACTGGCTAAAAGAAACCAAAGTACAGCTTGAGCCGCTGCTTCAGAGGGTGCAAGGCCTTGGCAGCTTCCATGTGATGTGGAGCCTGTGGGTGTGCAGAAGGCAAGAATTGTAGTTTGGGAACCTCCACCTAAGTTTGAGAAGATGTATGGAAACACCTGGATGTCCAGGCAGAAGTCTGCTGCAGGAGTGGAGCCCTGGTAGAGAACCTCTACTAGGACAATGCGGAGGGGAAATGTGGGGTTGGCACCCCCACACAGAGTCCCCACTGGGGTACTGCCTAGTAGAACCATGAGAAGAAAGTCACCTTCTTCCAGACTCCAGAATGATAGATTCATCAATAGCTTGCACTGTGCACCTGGAAAAGCAGCAAACACTTAACACCAGGCTATGAAAGCAGCTGCAGGGGCTGTACACTACAGAGCCACAAGGGCAGGGCTGCCCAAGGCCTTGGGAGCCCACGTCTTGCATCAGTGTGCCCTGGATGTGAGACATGGAGTCGAAGGAAATTATTTTGGAGCTTTAAGATTTAGTGACTCTCCCACTGAGTTTCAGACTTGCATAAGGCCTGTAGCCCCTTTGTTTTGGCCAATTTTTCCCATTTGGAATGGGAGCATTTACCTAATGCCTGTACCCACGTTGTTATCTTGGAAGTAACTAACTTGCTTTTGATTTTACGTGTTCATAGATGATAGACTCTTGCCTTGTTGCAGATGAGATTTTGGACTTGGGCTTTTGAGTTAATGCTGGAGTGCATTAAGACTTCAGGGGACTCTTGGGAAGGCATGATTGTGTTTTGAAATGTGAGAATGACATGAGATTTTTGATGGGCCGGGGTGGAATGATATGGTTTGACTCTGTATCTTCACCCAAATCTCATCTAGAATTATAATTCCCATGTATTGAGGGAGGTACCTGGTGAGAGGTGATTGGAGCATGGGGGTGGTTTCTCTCATGCTGTTCTTATGATAGTGAATGAGTTTTCATGAGATCTGATGGTTTAAAAGTGTTTTCCCATTCTCCCCTCACTCTCGCTGTCTCTTGCCACCCTGTAAGACATGCCTTGCTTCTCCTTCACCTTCCACCATAACTGTAAGTTTCCTGAGGTCTCCCCTGTATATGGAACTGTGAGTAAATTAAACCTCTTTTCTTTATAAACTACCCAATCTCAGATAGTTTTTTACAGCCATGTGCAAACAGACTAATACACTGAGCTTCCATAAGAAGAGCCCCAGATGTGTCTGCAGTGATAAACAAGGGGGGAAAGAAGTCCCCTTCTCCAAGACTCTTTGCAAACACCAGAGCTGCCTGTCTGTTGGAGTCGAACCATAGATTTTCGGTGCTGAGCCCAGCATTACAATGGCTTCTTTGCTGAAAGAAACCCTGTCAGCAGAGAGATCTGGACCTCAAGCCTGCTGTTTGAGTTCTTTTGTCCCATGAGGTGTCCCCTTAATGTGGTACGCTCCTTGTTCTTCTAGAAGTAGGAGTCCCTGAAAGCCAGGCTACTGTATATGCTGTGTTCCTCTGGGATTACCTACACAGTGTGGCTGCCACATTCCGGGCTGTTGATGGAGAACACCTGCAAGTAATGAACAGGTCACCTGGACAGACTCAGAACCTCCTGGTTAGCCAGGTTGCTGCAGGCAATGGTGATAGCTGAGGTCATGCACAAGTTTTCCCCTTCCTGGGTACAGTGTTATTCTATCTGTTGATGCTATAATGGACTGTGTCGGTTGGCTTCCAGTCAGGAGGTGGTGCTTGGAAAAGTGCATCAGCTGTCAGAGTAGCTTTGGAATTTGTGCTTGCCTTAAGCTACCATGGCCAGTATAGGAGCAAAGCCAGCTGGGGGATGGGTCAAGCAGGTCTATTCTCTGAATCTCTGCATGTGGAGCAAACCAAGGCCCCTGCTGCTGTTGGGTGGGAGGGTAGTTTTCTGCCAACTGGGGTAATGTTACAGAGAGGAGTGTAACTGCCTCTGCTGCAAAGAATAGTTCATACAGAGAGTGGGGAGTAACATGCTGCAGCAAACCCCACCCAGCTCCTATGCGCTGGGAAGGACAGATCTCACACCCATAGTTTTCTGGTAGCAGGAGTGAGCTACATTCCAGGTCATCTAAGCTCAGAACTCAAAACTGCTCCGGACCATCTACCTTCCTATGAATACAAGAACTACAGCCTTCTGGCCACATCCCTTCCAGTTCTCCCACACAGCCTGGGTGCCCAGCTCCTGCACTTATGGCTGTAACACACTTCCCACTTGCCTGCACCCTACAACCCTGCCTGCCCCGGCTCTGGCTAAGGGAGTTCTTCCCCACTTGAGGTTATATCGCAAAATTCATTTGGGTTGGCAGACTTCATGAGGTCCCCTGTGAGGCAGAATAAGGAACGATTTCCCTTCGTCTGTGCTGGAGACTGGAAATTAACACAAGTCTCCTCCCACTGCTATTCCTACTTTTATCTTCCTCACTGCCACCTAAATCAGTTCCAGTGCTAGGTAGGTTAAGGCCTTTCCTCATAAGCTAGACTGCCAGGTTCCCCAATGGGGGAACATATCCTAGAGACAGTCTCTCTCCCTCTCACACTCTGAGGACTTAACAGTTTTTCGCCTGGCTCATGGTGTAGGCTATGGCCTGCCACTTCTTTCAAAAAACCTGTGGATTTCAGTTTTCCTGTTAAGTTCCTGCATTGCTCATTGGAAAAAAGTTCACAGTGTGAATATCTACATATCTTTTGTCTTTCCTAGTGGGAGAGGCATGCTAACACTGCCTCCAATATGCCATGTTTGAAATAGGAAGTATTATTAAATCACCTTCACATTTGAAGATACTAAAATTCAGAGCAGTGATTCTCAAATACTATGTGTGGAAGTCACTTGATGTAACAGAGTTTGGGACTTCAACCCCAAAGTTAAAGATCCAAGAGTTAACATTTTCAACAATTTCCCAGTAATATTGATACTTCTAGGTCAGGAACCACACCTTGAGCAGTAATACTTTAGAATATAACCAATTTACCAAAGTGATGGAATTGGAAACTGACTGAGTTGAGAGTTTATCCTTGGCTATCTGACTGCAACATGATTTTCTTTACAAAATAGCCTCCAGTCTGATGGAAAATCAAACAACCACCACATCAATAACTCAACTGGCATTGCAGTAAAAGAGAGAATAAAATGTAGTATAAGGTTATTATTTTGAATTATTAATAGATAAAAATACTAACAGGTTATAATAATTTTAATTTAAAATATTAGAGGAGAGTTTTGTGGTTAACCACTTCAAATTCAGAATCAACCCTTTTGTTCACTACCACTCAATGCAGGCGTCTTTTGAGAAAACAAATATGCATGACTTATCCATTGCCTGTGTGAGTATATTTTTACAAATATAAGTTATATTTCATCTGACTTCTTTCATTCATAAATGACCGTTCTTCCATCTGGGATTTTGTAAAAAACAAAGCGGAGTCACCTCTAATTCAGTATATCTTTGATAATATAAACTACATGGTACGAGAGTGTTATTAAATATTTAAATTTATCATTCAAATAAGTGTTCATCAACAACCATCACAATCTCCATGCTTTGATTAAAGCATTCTCTGATAGTAAATTCTCTTCAGCAAGAGATACAATACATCATTGTGGTCTGTTAAGTACCGAGAACTGTCTCCAATTTCGCTATTCAAGCTCATTGAAAAGAACATATGAGGCTCTCACATGTGCCCACTTTGTGTCTTCATGGGATTTTTGCATATGCTGGTCCCTCTGCCTTAAATTTTTGTTGTTGTTATTGTTTGTTTGTTTGTTGCCATTTTTATCTTGCTTTATTTGAGCCATCTTTCCAATTTCTGCTCAGTAATATTTTATCAGAGGAGATTTTTTCTGAAACCCGTCCTTTTCCAGCATCATGTGTTCCTTTTATTCTAGAAACTCTTCCTTTTAGAATTATAAAACATTATATATATATGTTTATATATATATACATATATATATATATTTTTTTGAGACGGAGTCTCATTCTGTTGCCCAGGCTGGAGTGCAGTGGTGCGATCTCGGCTCACTGCAAGCTCCGCCTCCTAGGTTCACGCCATTCTCCTGCCTCAGCCTCCCGAGTAGCTGGGACTACAGGTGCCCGCCACCACGCCCAGCTAATTTTTTAGAGATGGGGTTTCACTGTGTTAGTCAGGATAGTTTCCATCTCCTGACCTCGTGATCCACCTGCCTGGACCACCCAAAGTGCTGGGATTACAGGCATGAGCCGCCGTGCCCGGCCTAAACATTATATTTTTTAAAGTTATAATGTCAAAAGTATATTATGTCATTACATTTTAGAGATATATTATGTCCCTAACAATAAATTATGAGGTCGGAAATGCCATTTAATTTTCGTCAACATTGTGCTGACAGATTTCATCTAGGTAATATTAGAATGATTGAATCAATTTACCTAAAATGCTTGATCTGGAAATAACGATACAATACTCTTTCTGATATTTAGTTTTCTTTTAAAATTCCTTCATTTTAAAATAAAGTTGACTCTTGAAAACATGGGTTTGAACTCTATGAGTCCACTTATACACAGATTTTCTCCCACCTCTGCCACCTCTGAAACAGACAGCAAGACTAGCCACTTCTCCTCCTATTTAGCCTGCAACTTGTGAAGATTACAGAGATAGAGACCTTTATGGTGATCCACTTTCACTTAAGAGCAAACATATTTTCCCTTCCTTATGATTTTCTTAATAATATTTTCTTTTCTCTGGCTTACATCAAGGATACAGCATAGAATAAATAGAATACAAAAATACGCGTTGTTTATGTTATTGGTCAACAGTAAGCTATTAGTAATGTTGTTTAGAGAGTCAAAACATATACTGGCTTTAACTGTGCAGGGGGCCAATACCCCTAACCCCTGCATTGTTCCAAATTCACCTGCATTTGTTTTCTACTGATTCTTGCAAGTGATTAAAAAATGCCTTTTGAGTAGGTCCCTGTCTAACTGACAATATGTATAACAGTGTGTAAAGTTTCAGGCCCAGAACTCTGACACAAAGTACTTAACATAGAACTTATGTATATAGAAATCATTTAATAATTTCAGCCTACATAATTATAATTTTTAATTTATCTTAAAATATTAAGATATTTGCACATTACACTTTTATAACTCTACCATCTATACAATGTACTGAAATGAAAATTTAATTTGGTCTTCCCATCCCCTTTAAATGTAGTGGGTTGCTGTATTAGTCAAAATTCTGTTGCTTATAACAGAATACCTTAAACTAGGTAATATCTAAAGAAAATAAATGTATGTCTTACAGTTTTGGAGGCTGAGAAGTACAAGGTAACAGAAGTATCATCTGGTGAGGGGCCTTCTTGCTGGTGGTGAGACTACAGTCCTGAAACAGCAAGGCATCACGTGGTAAAGGGGAAAGGGGCTGAGCATGGTAATATGCTAGCTCGGATATCTCTTCCTCTTCTTATAAAGCCCCCATTTCCACTCTCATGGTAACCAATTAATCCATTAACCCATTAATCCATTAATCTATTAATGGATTAATTTATTCATGAGCTCAGAGCTCTTATGATCCAATCACTTTTAGATTCCCACCTCTCAATAGTCACACAATGGGGATTAGGTTTCAGCATGAATTTTGAAGGAGACATTCAAATTGCAGCAGTTGCTTAACCCATCTATGTATCTTTTCCTGAAATACGCAAAGTTTCACAGACTCTGCACCCCAAGTTTCTCTTGAGTGAATACATTAATTATTTTTATGATTAAAAATCAAATGAAGGACTTAAAATAGAGCACTTGTAAATAAAAATTAAGTACCTTGTCAGGTTGTGAGTAAAACAAATGTTTTTCTCCATATTTTAGATACAAGTTTTGAGAGAGCCTCCTTTAGAAAAAAATTGGAGTAGATGACTATTAAATTACCCTTTAATTAATAAAAATGTCAGTTCATCAACTAAATATTTTAGATTTTATTAAATCCATTTGAATGTGCTTTCCTCTAAAAATCTATACTCCTAGGAAATACAGTTAAAATATTTTCAAATAGTTATACAATTAAAATACAATACATTTTGTTTATTAAAGAATAATATTGCATAAATAACATAAGAGTAGCTTATTATCTCAACTGTAGAGTATTCTGCAATACTCTGAAAGCATTTTTACAGTTTGGTAAGATAAACACAAGAAATCAGCCACAGTATTTGAAGATTTCTATGTAAACTTGGTGGACTTTTATGTTATTAATCTTCCCATTCTCCAAGTGATTCCATTTATTATTTGTATTTGAAATCCATAAACCTATTTCTTTGCTAGTGCCAAAATCAAGAAATTGTCTTCCCTGTTGTTCACAAAGTTGCTTTTCTTTAAAAGTAAGATTATAAACTATGTATCAGAACTAGTTTCCAAGTTATTTATTACATGTATTGTGTGTCATAGAGGGAACCCTGTAATATAATTCAATTTGATCTATGACCCTCAAACTGTATTCCATAAAAAGTCATTTCACTGTTGAATTAGTGGTTTAAAGGTCATCTTAAGATCATGTGCTTTAAATTCAAGGATATTTCATAGGTGTCTTTGTATTTATTTATTTATTTATTTATTTATTTATTTATTGGAGATGGAGTCTTGCTCTGTTGCCAGGCTTGAGTGCAGTGGCATGATCTCAGCTTACTGCAACCTCCACCTCCCGGGTTCAAGCGATTGTCGTCCTGCCTCAGCCTCCAGAGTAGCTGGGACTACAGGCACACTCCACCACGCCGGGCTAATTTTTTTTTTGTATTTTAGTAGAGATAGGGTTTCACCAGTTGGCCAAGATGGTCTCGATCTCCTGACCTCGTGATCTGCCCACCTCTGCCTCCCAAAGTGCTGGGACTACAGGCGTGAGCCACTGTCCCTGGCATAGATGTCTTATTTTTAATACTTGTAGACACTTTGATGACTTGGTCCATTAATATGTAGTATTTTGTCATAAGATTAAATCGTTTACTACTTACTTGGCACTTCACACTATTTCATATAAATTATATTCGATTTTTTAATGACTACTCTGGAGGTGTTAAACTTGTTTAACCATTTTTGAATTTGTAATATGTCTGAAATGTGTGAAGAAGATTAAATTAAAATAAATTGTGAGAATCCTTATTTCTCTATTAGCTGGTATATATTTGAGAAACAATGATATGCAGCTGTAATTTTCAATTTAATTGTTAATTATTTTTGTTCATACTGTCACTGATATCTGTTGCTAATTTTTAAACCAATGTTCACTAGTGTTTTGAATTTTAGTGACACTGATTACTTTCATTCTCTTTTCATGAAGCTGAACATTTTCCTCCCCTTTTTATCTCTCTTCCTTTCTAATGGTTGTTCATTCATATTTACAATATTCTTATCTAGTTTACTGACACTAAAGGCTTGGGTGTGAAATCTGCCAGTCATTCCTCTGTTGTGTATCAGAATTCAGAATCACACACACATTCACACACATTCTGATCGTGTTCCTAGGTAATCTTCAATATATTCCAAACTTAAATTTATTTACTGACATCCATGGTAGGGATTAATGACTGTAAAAATAACAACATCAAGGAAATAATATAAGCATTTGATGTTAGGTTCTTTTTTCCCAGGGTATTAATTTTGAAAGAAAAAAAAACGTGATATTATATTTGAGTATCTTCAGACACAATGATCATGATCATAATCATAATCATCATTCATGAAAATAAAGAGCCAAAATGAATTGTGAGCAGCTAGAAAATTCACACATTATATTATATATGAAGCTGGATTAATTAATGCAAATGTTGTGAATTCTTTTATAGCTAAATCAGTAGTTTTGATTCTTATAGAAAATGTTATCCTGCTAAGTAAATCAACAGCATTTCTGTTAACTTGTATTAAAAGTTTTATGAAAGGCATAAGCTGCATGACATATTATTTGTATTCCTAGGAGACGAAAAAGTTATGGATTTTAATAAAGAAGCTCTAATCATATCAAGATTTCTGTTGCATAGTTGTCTCTTTCTTCCTTTCATTTAAATAGTATTTCTGTGACCATGGACATGCTAAGGCCATCTAACCTTCTCTTCCTTATCTTGCTGAGAGGGGTAGCTTTCAATATAGCTTTTGAGCACCATGTCAGCCAAAATTATCTTCTAGACACTTATAATTAAAACTATTCTGGCATATTTCTATAACTAAGGTCATTCAAAGAAATTTAACTCTATACATTCTGATATTCACACACCAGGTTAAGAGAAGGAAATTCTAAAGCAAAATAAACCAACAAACAGATAAAACATAAAAACATAAAATGACTTCAAATAGAAGGCACTTGAAATTAAGAATATTTTATAGAAGAAAAGAGGAATTTTCCCAAAATCGTGTTGTTAATTAAATTGGTATTTAAGACAAATAAGTATATTAAAATATTTGTCAAGTAAATGAAAAATTTTCAAAATAAAAAATAATTATTAAATTATTAATATTATATAATCATTGTCATTATATTATAGATATTAGCTAATGAAGAAGAAAAAGGATTCCCTGAAAAAGTTAATTACCATTGGAGAAACAAAAGTTTGCATTAACAAATTGCATTCCTAAAAGTCTCCGGTGGCCAAATTGAATAAATCTTGTATAATTTAGACTAGTAAAGCATAGTAAAGATGAAAATTCTATGTAAAAAACATTGCTTTGATATCTATACCTAAAATTTTTATAAACAAGAAAAAACACAACAAAAACAAAACTATAGAACAATCACAAATATATATATATATATAGAGAGAGATTTTTTTCTTCCAAATTATTTGTGCAAAATAGAATGCAAACTAGAATCATTTCCAAACTAAGTCTAGAGTCATTCTGCAGGAATTTCTGTATGTCTTAATTATAATCCAGCTGGTATATAGCTTATTTTCAGGAAAAGCATCAAAATGAGTCTAGACTTAAAATACTCTCAGGCAATTTTCAAAACTAAAAGACAATGGAAGGTCATGGACAGGGTTCTAAGGAAAACAACTCTGTAAATATGTGTTTGAAAGTAAAGTGCCCATAGGTGGATATTCTCAAATTAAAAAAAAAAGTTAAAAAATATAGCACACTTTTGTCCTCTTCACCTTAAAATATGATTGTTTTCTGCTATACAAAATGCATACTCACTTGAAACATTAAAACACCACAGGAATACATACAGCTTGAAATTTAGTGTACTGTTTATTTGAAAATCACGAAGCCAATGCAGCCTAATTGGTCTATTAAAAGGCAACTTTTGCTTTTATCAAATCATATATGACTAAGTTAAAATGTCAAGTAGTTTTTCAAGTATCACTGAAATTTAAAAGAATGTCATACATTTTCCTGTGCATTCTGTCCTAGGGGCAGCCACTTGAAAGAATTTTTTCTGTGGTTTTTGATATTTTTCTGCATATATTTACAAAATATGCTTACATTTCTTGATAATTTATTGATTTGTTAACAAATATAAGATTGCCCTACACATATTATATATGTTGTTTTCCCTTTATACGGCTGAGGCAAGGAGTCTACTATGATTTTTTTATTATATACATTTGTTTTTGCTTGTTTCCCATGGAGTAATCCCAATGTAATCCCAATGATTACATTGTTGTCATTTACTCTGTATCTGGGTATTTATCATAATTTAGCAATTAATCCACTATACATGTAAATTTGCTTTTAAAATATGCAAGCTTATCATTTTTAACCTTCTAAAAGATAGCAATCTCAGAGTTATCTTACGTGTTCCAATACGGATCTCCAAATACTAAAAACTATTTTTATGAGGTACCTCCTTTAGTAGCTTCTTGAGACAATGGGAATGGGAAGAAAATTTTTGATACTTTGCATATCTGGCAAACTTTATTTTGCAATTTGTTTGGCTAGAAATTTTATTCTGAGTTGGAAATAATTTTACCTTGGAATTTTTAATATCTTCTTTGATATTTTAATATTGGAATTATTAATATCTTCTTAGTTTTCCAATAGTGGTTTCCAATTGTGGTTGTTGAAAACTAATATAGTTCTGATGCTTGATCTTTTGTGTGTACTTTTAAAAATTCTTCTGCAATCTTGTAGGAACTTCTTTTTGACCTCAGAACTCTCACATTTCAGCATAATGCACCCATCATGTGGTTTTTTCTTACTCTTTGGGTTTATCATTGGGTGTGTCTTTTAAAGTTAGATACTTTGTCTGTTAACAGAAAGAACCTTGAATTAGTTAGTTGTTCAAGTCCTCTCTGTTGAGTAACAAGAACTGCTATCATTTATATTGTTATCTACTTTAAAATTTTTTTTCCTATTTCTCTCTGCTCTCTGAGAAATTTCCCCAAGTGTCTAACATTTTTCAATAATTTAATTAATGATATAATGCATTTATTGTCCAAGAGTTTCATGAAAAATAAATAGGTTTTTCAATAACAAAGTGAGTTAATAATATCACAGTTATTGGAAGGCTTAGAAGAGAAGTTAGAATAAGCACCACACTAACTTAGATTTCTTGATCTAACAGATATTCAGTCAAAAAAACAGCAGCTACCAGCTAGAGTCAGGATACTGACTTAGCAGTTCCTCTGAAGCCTCAGTGTGAATGAATGTCAGAGGCATTCAGAGGTTACTGCAAAAATTCCCACCTAAACCCCAACATTCGGTTACCACTCCTGGAGGAAGAAGCAAATGCCTTGTTTCTCCTCCACATTGCAAATCTTTAGGGAACACACGGCTAATGATGAAAATCAGATTCAACACACTAAAGACAAGGGAGGGCTGGGCACTATGGCTCATGTCTGTGGGAGGATCACCTGAGGTCGGGAGTTCGAGACCAGCCTGGCCAACATGGTGAAACCCTGTCTCTACTAAAAAACTACAAATATTAGGTGGGCATGGTGGTGGGCGCCTGTAGTCCCAGCTACTTGGGAGGCTGAGGCAGGAGAATGGCGTGAACCCGGGAGGCGGAGCTTGCAGTGAGCCGAGATTGCGCCACTGCACTCCAGCCTGGGCGACAGAGCGAGACTCCATCTCAATAATAGTAATAATAATAATAATAATAATAATAATAATAAATGAAAACAAGGGAGACTTTGAATGACGGTTAAGTACCTTCTTGCTCAGATATATGGCAAAGTAGAGCAAAGACTGAGAAAAAATGATAATTTCTTAAATTAAGAAAAAAAAATGTACATCAGTCACAACCATTTGTATAGTTTATCTCTCTTCCGTAAGAGGTCATGTTTCCCAGAATAGAATCTTCCAGTGGCCTGCCTAATTGGTAGCACCTAGGTGCCGCAGATCAGTGCATCAGTGTGGTAGAGGGGATAGAGGTTACTCAGTACAGCTGTTTTTATGAGGCACCCTGATCCTCAGGTGGCAGGTGTTCCTACAATGCGGAATATTTCTGTTCAGTCTCTCATTAGATTAAATATCCACAATTTTATGAGTATTTGGGGAAAATATACCCTCTTTTCTCATGGTAGCTTTATTCTAGCATTCTTAGACAGGGAAACAAATAGCAAGAAAATAACACACAAATGCAGACTTCAGAGATAAATATACAGGATTTATTTTTGAACTATTTTAAAAGGAGTCAATTTTGATAATAATGACAGTGTCGACAACAACACTGAGTGTTGGAAAGCATCACTGAATTGCCCTGCGGCCCTGAAATGAATACTTTCTATGGGAAAGGCTTAGGAGGCTAGGAAACTACTACTATGTACCTTTTACAATTTATTTTAAGTAAAATAATAATAATAAATAAATGAGATACAGGCATTGGGGATATTTTTTCTATTGTTATTGCCTCTTCACATAAAATAATTATTTAATAATTTTTATAATTTATCTCAGAATTGAGTTTATCTTAATTTTTGAATTAACAGTTTTGTACTTGTTGGGCACATTTTCTAAGTTACTAGGAATTCCTCTTTACTTCTAAGTTTAGAATCAGATTACTGGTTCTTCATTTATATGACTGTAGATCAAAACAATTTCCTCATAGACTAAACATATCTGTTTGGAAATTCTGATCTTAAAAAGGCATTTAAAATTTGCATAAATATAAAAATATTCTCCTATCTTGTTAACAATTTTTAGATAAAGCTAGATTTGCAAATATTTATGCCGATCATTTTCAAAATCATTTGAATGTATAATATGTGCATGAGATTATGTGAACTATTTTGAATTCATTTCAAATTACTAAGTATGTTACAAAGAAATTCCTATCAAAGCTGGATGTGGTGGCTCACTTCTGTAATCCCAACACTTTGGGAGGCCAAGGCAGGAGGATCACTTGAGGCTAGGAGTTCAAGAACCAGCCTGGCCAACATAGCAAAATCCTGTATCTACTAAAAATACAAAAATTAGCTGGGAGTGGTGGCACCCACCTCTAATCCCAGCTACTTGGGAGGCTGAGACAAGAGAGTCACTTGAACCTGGGAGGCAGAGGTTGCAGTGAGTTGAAATCGTGCCACTGCACTCCAACCTGGGCAACAGAGGAGAGTCCTTCAAAAAAAAAAAAAAAAAAAAAAAGGAAGGAAGAAAGGGAGGAACGAAGGAAAGAAGAAAGGAAGGAAGGAAGAAAAATTCCTATCAAAATTGTAGTAAGTTTTTTTGGACAGGTGTGGTGGTTCATGCCTGTAATCCCAGCACTTTGTAGGGCTGAGGCAGGAAAATCACTTGAGCCCAAGAGTTCAAGACCAACCTGGGCAACATATAGGAAGATCTTGTCTTTACAAAAAAAAAAAAAAAAAAAACAGAAAATATGCCAGATGGATTGCTTGAGTCTAGGAGTCAAGGCTGTAATGAGCCATGATTGTTCCACTACATTCCCTCCTGGGTGAAAAGAGAGACTTTGCTAAAAATAATAATAACAATGTAATAATTTTTAATATTAAACTCATCTTTAAAAATTAAATTATTAATTGGAGAATTGTTTGCATTTCATTTCAAAATGTCAGCCAGATGAATGGAATGAAAATATATTTAATAAAATAATCTAAATTAACAAAATTATTTTAGTTATGACTTAGATTTTTGAAGATATGTTCCACATTTCTAAGAATTTAAATTTGATGAGATGTTTGCTTTCTATAGTAAGTGTAATGCTCATGAGAACACTGGGCATATCTTAGTATTAGTTATAAAAATAAAAGTACAATAAGTATTTTAGAGTATGGAATTATATAGTATTTGTTTTGACATGTTGGTCTGATATTTAAACTTAATTAATTTTAAAAATCCATTCTCAAAACATCTTTGTAAATAAGTAGATATGATTTAATGATCTAAGTCAAATTCTAGCATGTCTGTTAAAAACAATAAAGACAGTTTATTTGTCTATACAAAAATCAGTTAAGCTGAACCCGTGCAATTTGGCCTCATTTAACTAAAATACCTAATGAAATTAAAGTATAATGAACGTTAAATAAAAATCACCTTCTCATTCTGTACATTCCACAAAAACAGTCATTGCATAGTACAATGAAAAACAGACACTATAGGATAAAATTATGTGAAACAACAGCATGATTATCAGTTATTAGTTTTTGCAGAACTGGTAGTAAAAAATGTCTTTAACCATTCAAAATAATTTTGCTTTCGTTATTGATATCATTGCTGCTCCCGTTTTTGGCACCATTAGAAATGTAAGATATTTGCCTGGTGAGAAATATTTCAACTACAAGAAACAATGAGCTATTAAGTGTTCTATGATGAAACAAAAAAAAAATCTTAATTTTGGTTTCTTAAATGTCATAAATATTTCATTAATTGGTTTTCCAAGTATCTTTGGAAGGAGAAGAAATGGGGAAATTTCTAATAAATTATTATTTAATTAAAGTAGCTTGTACTCTATTACTTATTCAACAACTTTCACTCATAAAACTTACTACAGATTGCAAATATTGCCTCATCAATCATCACTCAATGAGGGCAGAAAACTTGACAAGTTTTAAATAATTTTCAAGAGCTTCCAATATTAATATCATACTCTATTTACAGAAAATAAGGTATAATCCTTGTTGAGTGATCATGCTGGCTTTTACAGAGGATAAAAACATCAATCCATGTCCCAGAGGAAAACTGACAAAACACTATTTCAGTGGTTGACTATAATTAGAGCAATGGATTTTAAAATGTGGCTCTTGACTGTAAGATCAAGTGCAGGAAAAGCTATCAAATTTCCCTTAACTCAGCACTTACAATTATAAGATGAACTATTAATAAAACATTCATTATTAATCATATTACCAATGAAAACGAAGAGTTTTATCATAAACCTTAAGAATTTCAAACCTTCTTAAGTGGCATAAACTATTTCAGACCAATAGGAACTGTTTGGATGTTTTTCCCTATTCAATTTATGGAGACTAATTGTGACACTTGAAAAAATGTGTGATTGTTTTAAACTTCTGTTTTAATTCTAAAATTATCTCCAGAAAACTATATGCTTTAAATGTTAGCTGGCACAATCATTATTTTGGAGTCAAATTTTCCAATTCCCCACACTTACTGGACATAGGACTCATTCAATGAGTCATTCAATAATGGCTTGTGAAGTTACTGATGGCTTAATGCAGTCACCTAAGGATGTTTGTTACTCTTTTCATAGCAACTAATTCAGAAACCAGTAAACTGATAACATTTATTAAGTGGCATTAGTATAAGATTAGATTATATTGTCGATTATCTGAGGGATCTTATATGTCAAATTAAAGTCTCTAAAATATGTTTTGAGAGCCAGTGTTCTTGAGGCTCCAAGACATAAATACTTATCAACCCAGCAATTGCCTTTAATTTTTAAATATATTATATCCTCAGAAAATATTGTATCATAATTCAGCTATGAATCATAACTTCAGTTGGTATTTCTAAATAACCAATAAGTATTTGGAAGAGCATCGAGTGCTAAGATACATATATGGTTAAAAAAGTATAATCACTTTTTATCTAAATAATTTATAAATAGAATTCTTCATAAATGACTAATAATGCTATTAGATGTTCCTCCTGAGTACTTTAAATATGATGTTTTTGTCTTTATAAAATATGATCTTTTATCTTTAAATATGAGTCCTTGCTTTTGAAAAATGTTTATAACAGTGATTTAATACTTATAAAAAGTACTGGACTCAGAAATACAGATATTATTGATTACATTTTCAGCTGTGTAAATTGACATTTGGAGAGTTTAAGTGAATTTCGTTAAGGTCATAAAACCAATACATTTCTATTGATTTATTTTTATGTAGTTTGATATGTAGTAGAAAACATAAGCTTAAATGTGAAATCTAAATACTTATCCAATGTTCTTTGTGATAAAGCTATTTGACGCTCACGTGGACTCTCGGTCTTCCAGGCTACCATTTAGGATATTACAATAGAAAGAAGTGGAAAGACCTCAAAGATGTATATTTGACAACACAATTGTTTTTCGTGTTCAGGCTTTTATAGTTTCAGTAGTTAAAAAACAGAATTCTGGGGAAATTTTCAATTTTAATTAGCATAAGTAGACTCAACTGATAAAATAATACATATGTTTATATTGGTATATGCATATTAGTGGTTATTTCATCACTCTTTTAGGCTCCTTAGTTATATTTTAATTCATTGAACAAATATTTATTGATCAACCATTATAGGCCAGACCTGTGACAAATTTAGTGGACTGTTTGTTAATTTAGTTGAACATATACTTACTGTGCATGTACTATGTTCGATAGTACATAGGTGTCTTGCCTGTTAAAAATAACATGCTTGTTAATAGGTTAAATAAAAACTCTACACTCAAGGTTCTTAAAGAGAATTATAGCCTCTGAAGCAATGTTAGAGCATTTCCAATGTCATCAATTTACAGTTAAAAAAGGACAATGTTTGCTTGTGAACTGGATATTTCACTATTATTTCAAAACAATAGTTGCCAAAGGGGATGCCAAATAAGTGGGCAGGAGGCCATTAGCCTGAGACTGTCTCTGGACTTTGAGTTTCTAAGCAACAAGCCACAACCTAACTTATTATAGTAAGTAAACAAACTGAAGCCTAACTTGGGAGTATATTTTCATAACGAACAGCTGAATTTCAGCCAATCAAAGATAAACTTCAGACAATCATGAGCAGCCAACTAATCAGGCCCCATGCCCAAGTAAAACAAATGGCTCATCATGCTATGTTTAAAAAGGGCAAAGGCCTAGATGTAGCCAATCAGGTGATTTCTCTACTTTCCTTCCAAAAGTATAAAGCCTATAAAGCTTGCTGCCCACACTGCTGGGTAGAACTCTCTGAATCTCTTCTGAGTGCTACCTAATTCATGAATCATTCTTTGCTATCAATCATAAACTCTGTTAAATTTAATTTGTCTAAAATTTTTCTTTTAACAGAGATCAGCGAAACCTGGGTAAATATGGGCCTTTACAGTTCTTAATTTAAGAAGTAGCATATAATTGTTATATATGATTTAATTATTAATTAACCAAATAAAATAATAAGCATTATAAATATGGTGATATCAGATAATTGCATTCGTTTTGACATTAAAAGAAGTAGTCCGAAAATGAAGTCTGTGTATGTCATAGAAATCTACTTCATTTCAGAAAACAATTGCCTTGTATAGAATTCTGCAAAAGTTATATAGAAATATAGTTTTCTGTACAAATGAATAAGAAATACACTCTGCATCACTTAAGTCTTCCGCTTGTTTGGCTTTAAGTTATTTTTTCTTTGTAAAGATTATTTGGTCTGAATTTTAATGTATTTAAGAGACAAGGTGAAATAAGAGTCTCATTGCTAGATGTTTAATCAATAGTGATTTAATTTTACCTTCTTTGTTTTCCGAACTGACTTAGAAAAACAGTTAAAGAAAACAAATGACATTGCTGTGAGACTTTGCTTCAAAATAGTTATGGATTTTATGTTTTTAAAGCAAATTATGAGCTAACTTTAAATTTCCACAGTGGTCACATATTTAATAATAAAAAAATAAAGAAAAAGAATAAGGGTAAGTCATGAAATTGTTTTTATAAATTGAATAGTTTTATAACAGTACTGTCCTGTAGAACTTTGAGATGATAAAAAACGTTCTCTGTTTGTGCTGTACCATATGGTAACTGACACTAGTCTAGGACTGCTACTATTGGTTACAATATCAGTCAGTACAATTTGAGACCATGAAAATTAATTCTATAGCATGTTAGTTAAATTTTTAAGGAAACTATTTATAAGTTTGTTGATGACATCCAAGATTTTAACATATCAAGATACTATGATACTGTACTTTTACAACGTATAATGTCACTCATTAAATTTTGAAATATTAAATGTATAATTTAAAACTTTAATAACTGTATTCTCCCCATATTTGTAGGAATGAATATCCTTTTTAAGATTATATTCAGTCATGATGCTTTATTTAGTAGTGAAAATAATTGAGAATTCAAATATGATTTTAATTAGACCATTTAAAAAATAAATCAATGGTTATCAAAATACATACCTTTAAGTATTTAACTTTATGTAAATGTAAAATGTCATATAAAATTAGCTTTGCATTTCTCATGTGTAAATAAAATTACTTATAATTCTTAAATTGAATAAAAAATTATAGTGCCTTATTTTGTTTTTATTTTATGCCTAGTTAAGCCTGATGTGAATATCAACATTATAAAAATAGAATTAACAACATGGGGCCTGTTTTTAGTAAACATTCATCTAGAAGCTAAAGGCATTTCTTCCACAGCATACTAGTTTGAAAAAATACATTGTGATCAAGTATTTTGGAGGGGAGTTAGTTTTCACATTTATAAATTATCAACTTACAAGTGCTGCCGACTTCCTATCATAAACATTTATTTTGAGCAGACTGAATTACTGAAACCAGATGCTTACAGTGATCAGTTTCACCCATCTTTCCACTTCTCTTTGCTTCTATTGGCACAAATTTAAAATTTCATAATTTCCTTTTCACAGTAGAATAACAACATTGCTCTTTCCCTTAATGCATTTCTGTAGAAGGCAGATAGATAACACTGAGATTGGTTCATCTGTTCTTATCTCTTTTATATCCATTGCCTGCTCACCCTTGATAACATAAATATAATTATCATACACCTTAGTCAGTAATAGAAACAGATTAGCTTTTTATACCAACAATCTTTTCAGCTTTACAAGGGCTTTTGCAAAACCATAATTGACTATGTCTTTTTATGACCATGTTTAATGTGTTTTGGTTCAAGTTTTTCATATTTTCTCATAAGTTTACTACATGATATATTCTGAATCAGAACTAGAATTATACTTAACTTTTAGCACATGCTACCACAATCCAGAAATTCTACATTCTGTGAGTGTATTAGGAAAACCCACAGAAGTTTAGGATAGTTGCTATTGAGAAAATAGTAGAAATGCATGTGCTGAAATGGCAAGCAATATCATCATGGAGAAACTGCTTCAAAATAGGAATTTACTTGTACTACAATATGGTAAATCAAGGAATTGGACATTATTTCATCTCTAGTTGTCCAGCCATTTCCAGAAGACTGGCTTTCAGTTTGAGGAACCTGTTAATTTATGGAGAATTGTGAAGGAACACCACCCATTAGGCCCCACCTCCAACACTGCGAATCAAAATTCAACATGAGGTTTGGAGGGGACAAACATGCAAAGTATAGTAAGCATGTTGGGTTTGCTTGAGACAACTCTAAGACATTCAAGAAAAATACCAAACATATGAGGTTGGATATGAGACTCTTGTGAACAGAAAGGTGATTAAGAAATAAATTTGTAAGCTACTTGCAGAATTGAAAAAAATAGTTCTGTGTGTGTGTGTGTGTGTGTGCGTGTGTGTGTGTCGTGTATGATTGTCCAGGAAAAGGATATAATTTTAGCAAAGCAGATAGCTTGTAATAAATATTGAGGATTTTCAACTTTTCTTATCCAGATAGTATAGCATCAGCCAGCAAGGGTCATAATAGGAAAACAAAGAGAAAACTGGGTCACAACAAAGGAATAGAATGTTACCAAAAGAACACAGGATTTCACTAGGACAAAATCTGCTGAGAAGTCAAGTAATATGGGAGCTGAAAATCTCTGTAAAATGACCTATGTGAAGACAAAATTAGAGTAGTTTTGGTGGAGCAATACAGGAGTTAGTGCGGAGTGAGGAACAAAGATAATAGTTAAATAAAATTTTTGATAAATGTAGTGTTAAGAAGAAGAAATAGATATATCTGGAGAGGTCCACGTAATTTGAATTGAGATTTTTGTGTCTTTAAAAATAAGTGGGAAGATATAGTTTCAAGACAGGTTGAATGTACTTGTGAGGTACGAATGGTGTCCAGAAACAGGCATTAGCCATCAAGAAGAGTAGTTTTTGTATTTAAGGAAGAAAGATAATCAAGATGTAGTTTTTCATATTTTTCAGTGATAAAATGGTATAAGACACTAGAATATATGCATACCTATCTATATCTTATATCTATATAACTATATTTATATTACTCTCCATTATATAAATTTTTTTAATTCCTGGGGACTGTGATAAAATAATCAGTAATAAAATGGTAGAAGAGAACAGAATATATACATACATAAATATCTAGACCTACTTTCTTTATCTATATATCAATCTATATCTAGAGGTAATTTTTTTAAATTTCCTGGAGATTGTGATAAATAAACCAATCTCTACTTACAATGGCTTCAGAGTAAGTGGTGCCTTTGTGGTAAGGGCAGGTTCAGTTAGAATATGTAAGGGAGGCCGGGTGCGGTGGCTCACACCTGTAATCCCAGCACTTTGGGAGGCCGAGGCAGGTGGATAATGAGGTCAGGAGATCAAGACTATCCTGGCTAATACGGTGAAACGCCATCTCTACAAAAATACAAAAAAAAAAAAAAAAAATTAGCTGGGCATGGTGGCATGCACTTGTAGTCCCCACTACTTGGGAGGCCGAGGCAGGAGAATCACTTGAACCCGGGAGGCAGAGGTTGCAGTGATCCAAGATCGTGTCATTGCACTCCAGCCTGGGTGACAGAGGGAGACTGTGTATAAAAAAAAATATATGTAAGGGGAGAGAGCATTCAGAGATATTGAGAATGGGGCATTTTGTTGGATATAGAGTGGTAATTTCAAAAATGACTGTAACTAGGGATGTTGAAAGAGAAAAAAATACTAAAGCAAGAAAGATACATTACACAAAGTTTCGGGGTTCATTGTACTGAGGAACAGTGGCTTAAACTTTGAGATACAATGTATTGTGAAGAAAGTTTTAAGAATCCTTTCAATGTTAGCGGATTCTATTTGTAGTTTTTTGCATAATAACACTTGGGAAATGACTGATCCAAAATCACTGGATCAGTCATTGTACTCATAATGCTAAAGCAAGCTCCAACATTGTGTAAGTAATATATTGTGAAAGAAGAATCATATTATCACTGGTGGAGGGTGTCCAGGTTCTTGGCATCTTGAACAAAGTATTGGACAAAACACACAAACAAAACAAGGAAGGAATGAAGGGATTTATTGAAAATGAAAGCATACACTCCACAGTGTGGGAGCGGGCCCAAGCAAAGGGCTCAAGGGCACTGTTACAGAACTTTCGGGAGTTTAAATACCCTCTAGAGGATTCCATTAGTTACTTCGGGTATGCCCTATGTAAATGGAGAGGATGAAGTAAAGTTACAAAGTCATTTACTGGGCCTACGCCCTATAGAGAGGATATTTCCTGTCATAGCTGAAGTGTGAATTGGCCTTATGCTCTCTGCCTCCAGATTCTATTTTCCTGCCTCAATATGATAAATCTCATTCTTGAAAATAATAAGAGTCCTAGTCAGTGAAAATAAAAGAAAGTGGTATTACTCCAAGTAAATATTTTAGGAAACAGAACTCACTGGACACCTCAGCTAAAATTCAACTACTTTGTGATGATTCTGGGGCCATTAAGTCTCTGTGTAAAGACCAGCTATGGAGAGATGTCATCCATTCATAAAAGAATAACCGAGAAAGCAGACAAACAGCAGAGTACCTATCAAAAATCTGCAAAATATGAAAATATTGTCAAGAACTTTGTGATTCACTGAAGAAGCACATTTCTGAACATGATGTATTAAAGAGTTTACTTAGAAAACAACAGCTTTGTAGACTCCAAAATACAAGAAAATTCCAACTCCATAGCATAATATAAAAGAAAACATGGTAAGTCAACAAGAAGGAAAACACACTGTGAAAGGAAAATAAATCCTGGGGCCCTAAAAATCACTAAGCTAAAGTGAAAAAGTCAAGCTGGGAACTGTTTAGGGTCAACCTGCCTCCCATTCTATTCAAAGTCACCCTTCTGACCACTGAGATAAACGCATATGTGATGGTATCTTTTGGAGGAGCTAATCAGAAACTCAAAAGATGCAATCATTTGTCTCTTACCTACCCATTACCTGAAAGCCCACTCCCCACCTCAAGTCTTCGTGCCTTTGTTTTGAGTTGTCTTGCCTTTCCAGGCACAACTAATGTTCATCTTACATGTGTTGATTGATGTCTCATGTCTCCCTAAAATGTATAACACCAAACTATGATCTGACCACCTTGGCTACATGTCATCAGGACCTTCTCAGGCTGTGTCACCTGTGCATGCCCTCAACCTTGGCAAGATAAACTTTCTAAATTAACTGAGACCTGTCTCAGATATTCAGGGTTCACAAGGCTAAGAGAAAGAAGAATATAAAAGAAATTTGGGATGAAAGTTACAGTAAAAAATTTACACTATTAGTTCAGCTTATTATGGTCCCAGTATAGATATCTATTCTCTCTCTTACTGTAAATCTGTTCCAAAATACAAACAAAAGTGAAATATTTCCCAAAAATTTTATGAAATTTCCTTAATGGTGATTTAAATAAATCATATACTTATCATTACTTCTTAGAAACTACATCTCTTATGGAGTTAAAAGGAGACAAATTTCCATTCATTTATTGTAAATATAAAAAAACCAATAATACTTGGTTATAATAATAATATGTGTTATAACAATAATAATACTTGGAAATATCAAAGAAAAAAATATTTTGGAAAAAGTCATAAATCAGGTTTTAGAAATCAATATTTTTATGTTAATTAGTATCTAAATTCTGTCTTTTGAATGCAAAACATATGCATGAATTGATAGGCTTTTATTTATCCTTTATGTGTGTTTTCTTAAATTTTCTACTTTGTTTCAAGAAATTTAAAACATTAAAATGAAGAGGCTTAGATGACTTCAATTTGAATAGAATTTTCTTTCTCTAAGTATTTCTAATATGACATATATATGATTATTATGTTTTCTGAGAGTAATTCATGGGTTCAGACATCTAATGTACATTTGACTTAAATTTTGAGAGTTAATTTTTAATACATCAATAATATACTATAATATTTATTTGATTAGTTACTGATATATTTTTAAGAAGAGCTTTTTAAATATCTCCTCATACTTACATGGTATTTTAATATTTTCTAATGATACATTTGATTATGGTCCTCGTAAGTTAAATTAAACTTGGTCAAGTCAATATAATGACCTTAGTAGATAATGTTTTATTTTGTTCCAGTTAAATACTAAAAAAAAAAGGAGATTGCTCAACTCCATCATTTTGTTCATTGTTCTCCATCTGAAACCAACAAAAAACCCATATCATGTCTTCAGTTACTCAATACTTTAATCAGTTCCAGAGATTCGTGTTATAGATGAACACTGTTTCATTAATAAAAGGAAATGAGAACAAATTAATATGCTGGATATTTCCTCAGGCTGTGAATTCATCAAGTTGTGGGTTAATTGGAAATCAGAATCAATTTTAATTTATACAATCAAATAACTGTTTATCTTTTATTCTGTGTAGGTGTAGGGTACTTTGTTTTTCACTTTAACTTGGCATTTTATATTAAATAATATGTCCTTTTAAAGTATATTCTAAGTGACTAAGTGACCATGGATATTGGCCGTGGTACAATATCCTATAAGTTTACCTTAAATTTAGTTGTTACTGATTTTTTTTTTAACTTCAATTGACTTAGACCTATTAACACTTAAATCCTGTTTTAGGCAATTTATTCATAACTCTTCAAATCTTTCAAACTATCCCTAACGTTAGGGAAAAATTGTCCCTAATATTATGTAGCATTAACTATAAAATGGTAAGTAGCATTAACATGTCTTCAGGCCACATAATTTTTTCTCTAAGATATCCATTTCCCCTAATTAATATTTAAATTCATTCTCTTTATTACTGTGCTTACTTACCAATATGATTAAAGAAAAACATGGCTGGGCGCGGTGGCTCAAACCTGTAATCCCAGCACTTTGGGAGGCTGAGGCGGACAGATTACAAGGTCAGGAGATTGAGACCATCCTGGCTAACACGGTGAAACCCCATCTCTACTAAAAAAAAAATACAAAAAATTAGCCAGGAGTGGTGGCAGGCGCCTGTAGTCCCAGCTACTCGGGAGGCTGAGGCAGGAGAATGGCGTGAACCCGGGAGGCAGAGCTTGCAGTGAGCCGAGATCACGCCACTGCACTCCAGGCTGGGAAACAGAGTGAGACTCTGTCTCAAAAAAAAAAAATAAATAAATAAAAACAATTAGCCAGGCATGGTGGTGTGTGCCTGTAATCCCAGCTACTTGGGAGGCTAAGATAGGAGAATTGCTTCAACCCTGGGATGGAGATTGCAGTAAGCTGAGATCGCGCCATTGCACTTCAGCCTGGGCGACAGAGCAAGACTCAGTCTCCAAAAAAACAAAACAAAACAAAGCAAAAAATGTGAAAAAAATGCAAGCGTGCCTAATGAATGTTAACATGAGTTATTTATGAACAAAATCTTGATTATGAATAAAATAAATACTAACTTTTCCTCTCATTGGTGGATAAAATCAGAATAATGATTTATCTGGATCTTATTTTTATATCATGAATATGTCAAATCTGGACTAAATAAAGAGAAAATGAGTATTCAATGGGACACCAAACTAGTATAATTAGAAGTGATTTGCACTCTTGTGCTTATAAATGTTGGATCAATTTTCTGTTTGTCATTGATTTTCAAGGTATTGTTTAAATTTTTAGCAGCTAAACAAATTTTCAAAAAAGTTCATAATGTTAATATAATTACCTTTTATAATAAATCATATTTTATATTAACTCCTCCTAAGACATATAAATACAATCTAGTATTTATAGCAGGGGTGTCCCATCTTTTGGGTTTCCTGCACCACATTGGAAGAAGAAGAATTGCCTTGGGCCACACATAAAACATCCTAGTAATAATGATAGCTGATGGCCTAAAACAAAATTGCAAAAAAAATTCATATTGTTTTTAAAAAATTTACAGATTTGTGTTGGGCTGCATTCAAAGATATCCTGGCCACAGGTTGGACACACTTGCTTTATTATTTTATTTTTAAAATAGGTGTTAAAATTTTCATTTTAAAACATTTAAGAGACGTATTATTTTTATTGATACATAATAGTTCTACATACTTATGGGGTACATGTGTGTTTCTGATACATGCATACAAAATGTCATAATCAAATCACTGTAATTAAAATCTTCCTCAGACGTTTGCTATTTCTTTGTGTTGGGAACACTCCAAATCTTCCCTTCTAGCTATTTTGAAATATACTATAAATTGATGATATTATTTTACTTTTAAAAGGACCAGAGAAAAATAGAATTAAAAAATAAAATTTAAAAAGAACTACTATTTAATTAGGAGAAGGTAGCTAAAGGATGAAATCTGAATTAGCTGTTTTTATTATTATTATTATTATTATTATTATTATTATTATACTTTAAGTTCTAGGGTGCATGTGCACAACGTGCAGGTTTGTTACATAGGTATACATGTGCCATGTTGGTTTGCTGCACCCATCAACTCGTCATTTACATTAGGTATTTCTCCTAATGCTACCCCTCCTCCAGCCCCCTAGCCCCTGACAGGCCCCGGTGTGTGATGTTCCCCACCCTGTGTCCATGTGTTCTCGTTGTTCAACTCCTATCTATGAGTGATAACGTGCGGTGTTTGTTTTTCTGTCCTTGTGATAGTTTGCTTAGAATGATGGTTTCCAACTTCATCCATGTCCCTGCAAAGAACATGAACTCATCCTTTCTTATGGCTGTATAATATTCCATGGTATATATGTGCCACATTTTCTTAATCCAGTCTATCATTGATGGACACTTGGGTTGGTTCCAAGTCTTTGCTATTGTGAACAGTGCCACAATAAACATACGTGTGCATGTGTCTTTACAGTAGCATGATTTATAATCTTTTGAATATACCCAGTGATGGGATCACTGGGTCAAATGGTATTTCTAGACCCCACTGTCAATATTAGACAGATCAATGAGACACAAGGTTAACAAGGATATCCAGGACTTGAACTCAGTTCTGGACCAAGAGGACCTAACAGACGTTTATAGAACTCTCCACCCCAAATCAACAGAATATACATTCTTCTCAGCACCACATCACACTTACTCTAAAATTGACCACATAATTGGTAGTAAAACACTCCTCAGCAAATGTAAAAGAACAGAAATCACAACAAACTGTCTCTCAGACCACAGTGCAATCAAATTAGAACTCAGGATTAAGAAACACACTCAAAGCCACACAACTACAAGGAAACTGAACAACCCGCTCCTGAATGACTACTGGGTAAATAACGAAATGAAGGCAGAAATAAAGACGTTCTTTGAAACCGATGAGAACAAAGACACAACTTACCAGGATCTCTGGGACACATTTAAAGCAGTGTGTAGAGGGAAATTTATAGCACTAAATGCCCGCAACAGAAAGCAGGAAAGATCTAAAACCAACACCCTAATATCACAATTAAAAGAACTACAGAAGCCATAGCAAACAAATTCAAAAGCTAGCAGAAGGCAAGGATAACTAAGATCAGAGCAGAAATACAAACTACCATCAGAGAATACTATAAACACCTCTACGCAAATAAAGTAGAAAATCTAGAAGAAATTGATAAATTCCTGGACACATACACCCTCCCAAGACTAAACCAGGAAGAAGCTGAATCTCTGAATAGACCAATAACAGTTTCTGAAATTGAGGCAATAATTAACAGCCTACCAACCAAAAAAAGTCCAGGACCAGACGGATTCACAGCTGAATTCTACCAGAGGTACAAAGAGGAGCTGGTACCATTCCTTCTGAAACTATTCTAATCAATAGAAAAAGAGAGAATCTTCCCTAACTGAATGAGTTGTCCTGAAAACTATATTTTGAAATAGTAATAGAATTCATTTATGAGGATTTTGTGTTTGCCATTTACAGGAGCAATAGGTAATGGTCTTTTGTTGAGCTAACAAAAAGGGTTTCTCTGCTTATTTCTACTGAGAACACACACATACACACACACACACACACACACACACACACACATATGACTTTAGAACTAAATAACATGCTTAATCAAAAAGTATGTCTTTGGGACTTTGACACAATAATTTAGATCTAATATAGTTTATAAGATAAAACATATTCAAATTCAAGAAACAATTTATCTACTTAAAATTATATTTTGAGTATATGGATGTACAGACATATACCTCCAAATTTATGTAGAATTTACAGCAAAAATGTTCTTGATTAACCATAAAATTGGAAATTAAATTTTCTACATCATTCAATATTCAAGTTGTTCATTAGTGCAACAAACACTTTTCAGTGTGCATAAATGTCTCATCATTAATGTCGAGTGTAAAAATAATGAGTAAATCAAATGAGTAAACATGATAAAAAAGAATGCAATCTCACTCATTTCCCAAGAAAGTTTCCAGTGTAGGAAAAGTAAACCCCTGTCTGTTTCTCATTATTGTGATTCAGAGTCATGGTTTGTGTTGAAAGAACCAAACTGTAAGATTTACACGTGACTCTATTTGGGTAATTTCAAGAGAATATATCAATTATTGTTTCCTAGCAATCTACCTAGAAAATAGCAGATTGGAATTGCAGTTTGGGTCATATTTTGTGTGTTACATTTGTAATATTTATTCTATTTTTTTTTTTTTTTTGAGACAGAGTCTCACTCTGTCTCCCAGGATGGAGTGCAGTGGAGCAATCTCAGCTTACTGCAAGCTCCGCCTCCCAAGTTCACGCCATTCTCCTGCCTCAGCCTCCCCAGTAGCTGGGACTACAGGTGCCCGCCACCACACCTGGCTAATTTTTTTAGTACAGACGGAGGTTCACCGTGTTAGCCAGGATGGTCTTGATCTCCTGACCTCGTGATCCACCTGCCTCAGCCTCCCAAAATGCTATTTATTCTTTTTTAACCTTGAAATAAATTCTATCTTTGCATCAGACCATGTATGTGGCAGTCAGTTGACAATGAGTAGCTGAATTACTCTGATGCTGTGTATGAAGATAGCCTGTTGGGATAAAAGTAGACACATTTGTATTTCAGAGGCCACTTTGCTGTTACTCAAAGCAGTCAAGCACCAAACCTGAAAGTGGGTAGAATAATATGTAATCATAACTTTTTGTAAGCAGAATAATGTCCAACGGGGTGATAATTAATATGATATAATCAGTTAATATAATTAATGATTCATACTTAGAATGATTATGAGAAGCCTTTGTCATATTCAGAGCGAACGACCATAGGAGTTGAATATGCTGAATCTAAAATATCCAGAAGGCACACTCTTTTGGACACTTTTACAGTATTCTTGAATTGTATGCATACTTCAAGCACTCAGTGGCAGCAGCATTTGTGATGGTATAAGCTGCACAGATTCCAATTTGATGGCTTCAGTGTGCAAAAGGCATTTTGGGTCTTATGACTTGGTTTCTCTGAACTCTTACCCCTGATAATGAGAAGAACTTTTTAACCTAGTTTGGGACACTCATAGGGGTGTTCCACTAGAATACTGACAACACTCAGGAGTCAGCTGAAAAGATTATGAAGCAATATGTAAGTGGTGTATGTATATTACTAAACAGGGCTACAGGGCATTCTGCTTGCCAACAACTCTCAAGGAGATCATAGCCATTCAGTTAGAAAGAACTCATTGGCATATTGATTGCAGGGGGATCTGATATACTTAAACGGTCAGTGGCTAGGTGTGCTGGAGTACAATATTTATGAAATCATTATAGCCATTCTAAACTATGACAAACTTGATCTTACAGTAACTGACTCCCAGTTAAAGGGACACAAATTAAAATAAACATGTATGTCACGTGGTTAAATTAGCATGAGATAAATTGGGAGTCACCATTGTGCTACATTCACAGGAGAGAAATCGGCTGTGATCCAACATGACACTAGGAAGCCTGCATTAATAAAGTTTGTTATTAGCTTGCTAGATATGGTTAAGTCTCTTTATAAATAGACTCCTGTGTTTTTTCTTCATTGGCCTCTAGTGACCTACCCACTAATGAAAGACATATGACTTGTAGGAAAATGGTAATTTTGCTAGTAAGTTTGGGGAAATAACCCAAAATCCTGTTATGTCTACACTATTGTGCATAAAATACTATTATATATAGTTGCAATTATAGTTACAAAAAATACCTAAGAAATACATGTTATAAAAAATTATCAATGGTTATAGATGTATTCGAATACCCTTTTGACCTGAATTGGCTCATTCCCACTGAGTCCCATCTTTGTGACTATAAATGCTTCTATAGAAAATGATTAGGAAAGCCAGAATCCATATCTGGTATTAACGACACATAACCTATGGACTTTATGTGTTATATTGTCAGTCTGAATAACTCCTTTGTTAGTAACTCTACTTTTTTCTTATTACTACCCTTTTACTAATGCAGAGGGTTTTAAAAATAGTAAATACCTTATCTAAGCCTGCACATCCTTTAAATATCAGGAATTTGGTTATACACCTAAGAATTTTATTTCAAATACAAGTGTTTCCAACTTAAGAATTCAAGAAGTTACATGGAGGCTGGCATGTCATTACTATAAGGAAAAGCAACAAACAAAACAAACATTACAATAATAGAATGCATGTCTTTACTAAATAGGAAATGGAATTCAGTACTATTTAAGGCTTTCAAAAAGAAATAAAAGGACAGATTCAGATTCAAATGGTAACTGATTTTTAGCACTAGGGGTTAAAAATCCAAATATAATTAGGTTTACAAATTTAATATATATTTATGCACGTTGGCACAATAATAGCGTGTTTTTTTTATATGCCTCAGTTGTGAATAATTTATTGTTGAAGATTCTCCTTAAATTTGGATAATGATAACATAACATGCCCACCAAAACCCTCTATTGAGTTTATCACGTCTCTGTTAAACAAGCACTTAAAATGAATGGAAAATAATATGATATTTATTTTCAAGAGATATGTGCCAGGAATTTTAAACTGTTGTCAAAGTTTGATGATTTCTATCCTATCTCAAACTAAATCACTTAAAAAGAAAGCAGATTAACCTTGGAAGCAGATTAACCATAGAAGCTAGTCAAGAATACCCCATGACCAGACATGTGGTTATTGATCTAGGAAATACTAGTAATGTCTATAGTGATTTGGAAGAACCATTATAAGCAGTTCACTTTTTTTTTTTTTTTTTGAGATGGAGTCTCGCTCTGTCGCCCAGGCTGGAGTGCAGTGGTGCGATCTCGGCTCACTGCAAGCTCCGCCTCCCGGGATCAAGCCATTCTCCTGCCTCAGCCTCCCGAATAGCTGGGACAGCCGCCCACCACCATGCCCGGCTAATTTTTTGTATTTTTAGTAGAGACGGTGTTTCACCATGTTAGCCAGGATGGTCTCGATCTCCTGACCTCCTGATCCACCGGCCTCAGCGTCCCAAAAGTGCTGGGATTACAGGCGTGAGCCACCGTGCCCGGCCGCAGTTCACTTTTACCTGGTAACAACAGTGTAGCTTCAATTTTGTACTGCAGTTCTATGTCGATTCTGTAGTCTGGCATAGGCTAGTCTGTGAAAAAACCCAATCTTCCTAAAATCCTGCCCATTATCACACTGTTTCACTACTTGGTTGACACTGAGCCTGGAGAGAGAAGGAAATAAAAAACTAGATGCTTTGCTAACATATATATAAGATAGAGCTTGAGAGAGAAACACAAAAGACATTCAGGGATCTTCTCTCTTGGAAAGTTTCCAGTCATCCTGTGAGCAAGAGCTTGTTAGGATATTTTCTCTGTAATGGAAAATTACTGCACTTTGCATTGTGTGTCATTAATATGGAAGCACTTGACTGGCCTCTTTGGATTCTGGAGGCCACATTCCATGTTTGAGTAAGCTACTCTGGCACTTTTACTGGGTAGTCAGGAAGGCTGCCAGGTTTGAGTACAGCCTAGAGCAAATGAAGCTCTGAAGTATATCTAGAAGATGGAGGCAGATGTTTTGCCCTTTGTACTTTAAAAAAGAGGTGAACAAACAACATTCAAAAGATTTGTATCAAAGAGTTGGCTCTAATGAGCTCTAGGGAGCTCCATCAGTAAATCACAGTATAGGGAGTTTACTCCCTAGGTATGGAAGTAAATCATGTTCTTTTTTTATAGATAAATATTCTTTGGAGAAACAGCTTAGCGTGATACTGGGTTCTGGCAGAAAATGAAATCTGATAATGAGGTATCAAGTGAATGTGCAAACTGGGTTGTTTATTATGAATGGAGTATTAACTTGCTCACAAACATGTTATTAGATTGACATTGACAGGAATAGCTGAGGTTGCCAAAGTTTAAAATATTTTTCTCAAAAGATAGGAGAGAGAGCCCAGCAGGTTTGTTTGTGGTGCTATAGTATGCTGAATAACAGGTCTGGGTAAATAAGGTGGTATGGGAGAAAGTGCTTATTGTGTGACATGTACATAATAAAATTCCTATCAAATGGATTTTAATGGATTTCATATTTCTTGCCTGTAAATGCTTTTTGACTTAAATATATATTTGCCAAAAATATAGAGACTATGCCTTATCATTGGATATTTCACTATGTGTTTATATAGGCTGCTCATAATATTACATTATAAAATAGAACAAAATTAAGATAAGCACTCATAAAAACACTGCTCATCATTATATTGGATAATGGTATATTATTTCTTATTTTACATTAACTTTTCATTGCAAAACCCAATTACGGTGGTATTGCTTGCATAGCAACAGTAAAACATGCTAGTATTCTTACTCTATACTTTTGAAATATGGAAAGAAAAAGTCAATTGTAATTTAGTTTAGTTCCTTTATTATATCAATGAGGAACCTAAAACAAGAGAATTAAAGACTTCACCAGGTTTATACTATTAATTTTTGCAGCATTGAGTTCAAATTCATGTTACCAAGCCTATTGTAATGAGCTTTCACTAACTCATTAACCTCCATACAAAAGGAAAAAAAAACTCATCTTTTTATTTTTTCATTCAATTTTTCTAAAAATTTTAAACAAATGCTTCATATGAAAGGTCATAAATATTGAGCAGTTTTGAGGGTAATAAATTTTATTATTCCCTCTACAGGGCTAACCAGTATTTTCAGCTATTCATAGTATAAAATGATTTTTTTTCTAATGCACAGTCTATCGTTAGGCATTTATGGAATATCTATTACTTGCCTATTTGATGTTCACGGCTGAATGGAATCATGGTCCTTTATTTATAGGTAATGAAATCTACTTCCTTATGAATGCATGACAGTGACACATTAAAGAGTTAAATAACAGTATGAATCACTATTTTAATTCATTATAAGTTGGAAAAATGGAGAAACTCAAAAGATATATCTGCCCTTGGATCAGTTATAGAGCTTAGATAGATTAAAAGGTTGAAAGATTTTCAGAAAGTATTTATAAATTCACTTTGAATACAAACATAGGGTTTCCCCCAAAATATTATTTCTTTCTTCTTAGAATCTATTCTTCTATGAAAATAATTATTTTAGTCATGGAAAGAAGTAGAGGCTATCCATTCAATATATAAATAAATTCATGGTGAATATATTGCTTTCAATAATTTATTTAATAATAGATGAGACCATAAGACACATGTTTTGCCATCTGCTTTGTCTAGCTTTCCCTTCTTCCTTCTGTTGCAAAAACACGGTGGAGAATTTCTAGTAACATTTCTGTTTATGTTTACTAATCTTGAAAGAAAGAAAACTATGATTTTATTTTCATGTTGGGACAGACACTATGATTAAATAACTGTTATGTGGACAAGTTGCTTTTGTTTTTTAAGACTAATTTCCTCATTTATAAACAAAGTGAAATAAAACAACATGATTGCTAAAGTACTGTAGTGGATGTAATTTTGTTTCCAAATATTGTGATTTTCTTTGTTTCATGACTGACTCTGTAGAGGGATTACTGAAATCCTTGACTCTTTAAATCCTTAAATCTATGTTGAACTCAGGATTTCCATGTTATGTGCATGAACTTTGATAGCTATGTGTGATGCTCCATTTTTCTTTTCCCATTTCAAAGATATTCAGAGAGAGGCTGCCTGGTCAATCTGCGTTCTGGAGTGCAGATGACATAGAGAAGGCCTACAGCCAATCTATAATTAACCTGAACATGAGCAAGAAATAAATTTATTTCTGTAACCAAGGATTTTAAATACTTTTTTTTATTACAACACTACTTATGTTTTAACTGACACAGTGACCATTAGTTAATCTGTATAATAAGGACTACTATTCAAAGTATGTATCTTCAGATATGAAGTTTATATGAGAGAAATCGTTAGAACAACTTAATTAAACATATTGATTGCTACATTTTTAAATGTTTGTGTCACCCAAAATTCCTAGGTTGAAATCTAATCTTATATGATAGTATTAATTGGTGGGAACTTTGGGAAGTGACTAGATCATAAGGGTGGAGCCCTGATGAATGGAATTAGTGCCCCTAGAAAAGAGGCCCAACAGAGCTTGTTTGCCCCTTTCATCATGTGAGGATGAAGCAAGAAAATTCCATTTATGAGGAATTAGCTTTCACTGGATGCTGAATCTGTAAGCACCTTGATCTTAGACTTTCCAGCTCCCAGAACTGTGAGAAAATAAATTGTTGTTCATAAGCCACACAGTTTATGCTATTTTATTATAGCAGTCCAAATGGACTAAGACATTTGTCACCATGAAAAAAGATTAACAAACTTTCAAATTTACTTAATTTAACTTTATTCTCTTTAATACGACCACAAAACTGGACCTATAACTTATCCATAAATGTGACAATGATTCATTGTGTATTGACATGTAATCTAAATGTAGTCATAATAGTAGATACTTTTACTTATTATCATTTTGGGAATTCTGAAAAGGCCATCAGCCTTAAAATAAACAAACAAGGACAGAGATATTCCCCAAGACACTTTTTGAGTCTTGGAAATTAGAAAGTAATTTTCTTTTCTCCATTATATATCAAATTCCTTTAAGGTAAAATAAAGGTACCTTCTTCTGAACGATAGATTGATATTTGTGATTTTATCACCTCGTTTTTGAAAGAGTATGTTTTAATGGTGCATGTAAGAGGAGGATTTGGAACAGGTTGGTGATAGAAGCAACCTACCCTAAAGCAGAAAAAAAGATGATATATATGTATACTGGTTGCTAAAGACTGGTTTTGTCTTCCTTAAATTGTTGCCATGATTCTCCTGAATAATATATTTTTTCCTTATTTTTGCTCTTGCATAAGAAAAATAAAAGATATGAGTATTCTTTTTAAAAGATAAGACTATTCTTTTTAAAGGGGGAGAAGCATTTGGAATGTTGTGCAATTCAAATCCACATTAACCTTTAAGATATTTTACAGAAGGAAGCCAGATAATCATTCTGTGTTAAGTTAAAGTTTCTATTCCTGTAATATTTGAAATCATCAACAATTTAAAACATATTTTGAGTTTGTTTTTCAAAGTATTTAAATGAAAATGCTATGGAGTCAAAATAAATTTTTCCATATACTGAAACTGTGAAATGTAATTATTATTTTTTTAACATTTACCAAAAAACTTTTTCAAATTATTTCATTCTTCATTATCTAACTTTCTTCCCCTGGAAATCATAAAACAAATATGAAGATACTTTTGTAGCTTGTCAAGTATACTTTTAAAATGATTTTTATTAGATTTTATTTATCTTTTCTAACTCGATTTTAGGCTCATGGGATACATATACAGATTTGTTACATGGGGAAATTATAGGTCACTGAGGTTTGGTGTATGAATGATCACATCACCCAGGTAGTGAGATAAACTAAGCGGTGCATGGTGGCTCACGCCTGTAATCCCAGCACTTTGGGAGGCTGAGGCAGGTGGATCATGAGGTCAGGAGTTCAAGACCAGCCTGGCCAACATGGTGAAACTCCGTCTCTACTAAAAATACAAAAATTAGTCAGGTGTGGTGGCAGGCACCTATAATCCCAGCTACTCAGGAGGCTGAGGCAGAGAATTGCTTGAACCCCGGAGGCAGAGGTTGCAGTTGCCGAGATCGCACCACTGGACTCCGGCCCGGGCGACAGAGTGAGACTCTGTCTCAAAAATAAAAAAAAAAAAAAAGTGAAAGAATTTAATGCATTTATTTTTAAAATAATTCTTTAAATTTTATTACGTAGTATTTTTTCATATTTGAATAAACTAAATTCTCTGAGAAATGCAATGTTTTATGGGAAATAATAAAGTGTTGAGGATACATTGATTCTTTTTACTATTAGATTCGCTTGGTGACAGAGACTATGCCCTGTGCTCTGCCTTAACAAAATAGAACTCAAACTCCATCATTTTGAGCGACGTGAAAAACATTGAAAATATTGAGAATTTGATAAGGGTGAAATAAAATATGGGTCTTGGCAGCTTTTCATTATTATGAAATAGACTTCAAGAAGATTAATGCTTCTAGGTACTATGTTATTTCAATTATATTTGTGATTATGATTCTATTCTAATATATTTTGTTGAATTTTTTAAATAAAATTTTGCTGTAGTACTCAGAATATCTCAATTAATTTTAACTAATAACTATTTAAACATTTAAAGATATGACAGTTTTCAGCTAAATCTAATATTCTTGTCTTAAATTTGGAAGCAAAGATAGTGTTGGGACTTTTATTGTCCTCTTTTTATATGCCATGCACAGGTAAATGTTCTTTGCCCCTTTATTTAAGTATTACAACTCTGTGAGATAGGAACTTTCATTATTCTTACCTTATAGATGGCAAAGCTAAGAGTAATTAATTGGAGAAGTTAATTACTTTTCTCAAAGCCATATCGGGAGCATGTGGCAAAACTAGGTCTCAAACACAGGTCTGCTGAAAACAGTTGTGCTATTGTAAGCTATTTTTATTCTACCTCTGTTTACTGATAAAAACATTGTACGAAGGTAACCAGATACAGTTTTTGTTGTTGAGTTTATGCTTTCATGTCATTTTATTTTTAATGAGATATAAAAATCAATAAAATGCACAAATCTTATTTAACTTGATAGATTTTATAAATATATTTACTTAAGTAACTGTAACTACCACTCCTATAAAGATGTAGAATATTTCCATCAATCTATAAAGTCTATTGGACCCATTCCCAATCAGCCAATATCACATGACTTATTTTCACATATGTCACACACATCAAGTTGATGGTGTTTTCTGGTTTTGGAAAAAATAGAATGATGGATAGGAGACAGGACAAATGTGCATCTCACTCTTGGACGTACAGAACAGCGTGTGGAGATTCACATTGTGAACTTTTGCTTCAAGAACCACCATATGAAGTACCGTGAAAACTGAAAGAATTCACGAACCCTCTAAAAAAAGCAGTTTGCTACTGCAAACTCCACAAGACAGCTCAGATCATGGGAGAAGGATTTAACCTTACCTAGAGCTGAAACAGACTTAGGGAGCCAAGTGAAATATAAAAGTAGAAGCAGCGGGATGAACTCTGTAGGCACTCCTGGTCCCCAGCTCTAGCCCAGGGAAGCTTTAACTCATAGGGGTCCTTGGGGAAGGCAGCCATCAGAACTGGGAAGGTACCATCAGATGATGGAAGTTTTTAGCTGAATTTTGTAATAATTTGGACTGAGCATGAATTTTCCTGAGCAGAATCAAGGGGGTGCAAATGGGAAATGCACATACAAGTTTAGATGCCACAGCCAGTGGTGCCAGAAGTGGGGAGGGATGAGGCCTGAAAGCCCAGCTTGCTTTCTCATCCGGGAGTCTTGTAGCCTGGGGCAAAATCTCAGCCCTGCTCACTGGCTGCCTGAATATAAACTCGATGCTACTGATGGGGCATGGGGAAAGTAAGACTGGCCTTCTTGGTTGCATGGATGCTGGGTGAGGCCTGTCACTGCCAGTTTCCCCCCACTTCCCTGGTGACTTGTATGATGCAGCAGAAGCAGCCATAATCCCCCTGGGAACATAACTCCATTGATCTGAGTACCACTCTCCACACCCAGAATGGCTACAGCAATCCTGGCCCAAGGAGAGTCTGAGCTCAGAACCACCTAATGGCCTGCACCTGATGGTTTTTCTCTACCTGACCTGGTAGCCGATGACAAAAGACATAAACTCTTGGGAGCTCTATGGCCCTGCCCATCACTTGAAAAACCCGAATACTGATTCTAGCCAACCTAGGACAAGCTTATATTCCCCTTTGACTACTACAGCTGGTGCTCTCTTGAAAATGCTACCTCCTGGTTGCAGGCCAACCAACTCAAGCCATTATGACGACTCAAAATGGAACAATCCTGCTCCAAAGAAGGAGAAAACAACAGTTAATTCTACCACCTGCAACACCTTGACTAACCAGAGATCCTAAGTCTGTCCACATGACAACCTCACTGCTAAAATAACCAGAATTCAAGTAAAACTCCACACTAAACAAAACAACAACCAAGGACTCCCACAGAATCCACTTCACTCCCCTCCCACCTTCACTGGAGCAGTTGCTAATATCCATGGCTGGAAGACCTGAAGATGGATTACATCACAGGATTCTTTGCAGCCATTACTCAGCACTAGCCCAGAGCCTGATAACCCAACTGGGTGGCTAGACCCAGAGGGGCAATAACAATCACTGCAGTCCAGCTGTCAGTAAGCCCCATCACTAGAGGAAAGGGGAGAGTACCACCTCAAGGGATCACCAGTGGGACAAAAAAAATCTGAACAGCAGCCCTTGAATTTCAGATCTTTCCACTGAAAGAGTCTACCTAAATGAGAAGGAACCAGAAAAACAATTCTCGTAATATGACAAAACAAGGGTCTATAACAACCCCAGAAGATCACACTAGCTCTCCAGCAATGGGTCCAAACAAACAAGAAATCTCTGAATTGCCAGATAAGCAATTCAGAAGCTTGATTATTAAGCTACTCCAAGAGGTACCAGAGAAAGGAGAAAACCAACTTAAAGAATTTAAAAAAAAAAAAACAGAATATGGATGTAAAAGGCTCCAGAGAAATAGATATCATAAAAAGTTACAACTTATATAAATGAGAGACACACTTAGAGAAATGCAAAATACACTGGAAAGTTTCAACAATAGAATTGGGCAAGCAGAAGAAAGAACTTCAGAGCTCAAAGACAAGGACTTTCAAATTAACCCAATCTGACAAAGACAAAAAAATTTTTTAATAAATAAAGACTCCAAGAAAATTGGGATTATGTTAAATGACCAAACATAAGAATAACTGATGTCCTGAGGAAGAAGAGAAATCTAAATGTGTGGAAAATTTATTTGAGGAAATAATTAAGGAAAACTTTCCTGGCCTCACTAGATATCCAGACATCCAAATAAAAGAGGCTCAAAGAACACCTAGGAAATTAATCACAAAAAGATCATCACCTTTGCACATAGTTATCAGGTTATCTAAAGTCAAGATGAAGGAAAGAATCTTAAGAGCTATGAGGCAAAAGTATCAGGTAGTCTATAAAGGAAAACCTATCAGGTTAACAGCAGATTTTTCAAAAGATGCCCTACAAGCCAAAAAAGATTGGGGTCTTATTTTTAGCCTCCTTAAACAAAATAACTATCAGCCAAGAACTTTGTATTTATTGAAACTAAGCCTTATAAATGAAGGAGAGATAAAATCTTTTTCAAACAAACAAATGTTGAGACAATTTACGACTGCAAAGCCAGCACTGCAAGAAATGATAAAAAGAGTTCTATGTCTTGAAATAAAACCTCAAAATACATGACAATAGGACCACCTTAAAACATAAATCTCACAGGGCCTATAAAACAATAACGCAATGAAAAAAAGTATTCAAGCAGCAACAACCAGCATGATGAATAGAACAGTACTTCAAATCTCAATATTAACATTGAATGTAATGGCCTAAATGATCCACTTAAAATATACATAATGGTAGAATGGATAAAAAAAAAAAAAAAAAAATCCACCAACCAAGTATCTGCTGTCTTCAAGAGACTCACCTAACACATATGGAGTCACATAAACTTAAGATACACAGGTGGAAAAGATATTCGATGCAAATGGATACCAAAAACAAGCAGGAATAGCTACTCTTACATCAGACAACATAGACTTTAAAGCAACAACCGTAAAAAACAAAGAGGGACATTACATAATGATAAAAGGATTATTCCAACAGAAAAATATCACAAACATAAATATATATGCACCAAATACCAGGGCTCCCAAATTTCTAAAACAATTATTCTGAACATAAGGAATGAGATAGATGGCAACACAATAATAGTTGCAGGGATGTCAGTACCCCACTGACAACAATAGACAGGTCATCAAGACAGAAAGTTAACAAAGAAACAATGGACTTAAACTATACCCTAGAACAAATGGACTTAATGGATGTTTACAGAACATTCTACCCAACAACTGCAGAGTATACATTCTTTTCATCAGCATATGGAACATTTTCCAAGATAGACTGCTTAACAGGCCACAAAACAAGTCTCAATAAATTTAAGAAAATTGAAATTATATCAAGTACTCTCTCAAAGCACAGTGAAACAAAATTGGAAATCCACTCCAAAAGGAACCCTCAAAACCATGCAAATACATGGAAATTAAATAATCTACTCCTGAATGATGGTTGGGTCAACAATGAAATCAAGAAGGAAATAAAAAAATTCTTGGAACTAAATGAGAATAGTGATACAAACTATCAAAACCTCTGGAATACAGCAAAAGTGGTGCTAAGAGGAAAGTCCATAGCATTAAATGCCTATATCAAAAGGTCTGAAAGAGCACAAATAGACAATCTAAGGTCATACCTTATGGAACTGAAGAAACAAGAACAATCCAAACCCAGCAGAACAAAATAAATAATGAAGAGCAGAGCAGAGCTAAATGAAATTGAAACAACAACAACAACAAAAAAGATAATTGAAACAAAAAGTTGGTTCTTTGAAAAGATAAACACAATCCAGAGACCATTAGCGAGATTAACCAAGATAAGAAGAGAGAAGATCCAAATAAGCTAAATGAAAATGAAATGAGAAATATTACAACTGACACCATAGAAATACAAATGATTATTCAAGGCTCCTGTGAACACCTTCATGCACACAAACTAGAAAACCAAGAGGAGATGAATAAACTCCTGGAAATATACAATCTTCTCAGATTAAACCAGGAAGAAATAGAAACTCTGAACAGACCAATAACAAGTTGTGAGATTGAAATAGTAATAAATAAATTGCCCACAAAAAATAGTCCAGGACCAGATGGATTCACAACTAAATTCCATCAAATATTCAAAGAAGAATTGGTAACAATCCTACTGAAATTACTCCAAAAGATAGAGAAATATGGAATTCTCCTTAAACCTTTTTATGAATCCAGTATTAACCTAATACCAAAACCAGGAAAGGACATAACAAAAAAAGAAAACTATAGCCAATATCCCTGATGAACATAGATGCAAAAATCATCAACCAAATACTAGCTAACTGAATCCAACACCATGATCAGGTGGGTTTTATACTAGGGATGCAGGGTTGGTTTCACATACACAAGTCAATAAATGTGATGCACCACATACACAGAATTAAAAACAAAAATCACATTATCATCTCAAAGGCAGAAAAAGCATTTGACAAAATCCAGCCTCACTTTATGATTAAAAACCTCAGTAAAACTGTCATAGAAGGGACATACCTTAAGGTAATAAAAGCCATCTATTACATTATACTGAACGGGAAAAAGTTGAAAGCCTTCCCCCATGAGAACTGGAACAAGAAAGACAAGGATGCCCATTTTCACCACTTCTATTCAATGTAGTACTAAAAGTCCTAGCCAGTGCAATCAGACAAGAGAAAGAAATGAAGGGCATCCAAATCAGTAAAGTGGAAGTCAAACTGTTGCTGTTCACTCATGATATGAACATATACCTGGAAAACCCTGAAGACTCATCCAGAAAGCCCCTCGATCTGATAAATAAACTCGGTGAAGTTTCAGGATACAACATCAATATACACAAATCAGTAGCACTGCTATACACCAACAGGGACAAATCCATGAATCAAATCAAGAACTCAATCCCTTTTACAAAAGGGATTTTAAGTATTTTTGGAAAAAAGAAAACTACTTATGAATGTATATAACCAAAGAAGTGAAAGCTCTCTACAAGGAAACCTATAAAACACAGCTGAAAGAAATTATAGACGACACAAACAAAGGGAAACATATCTCATGCTCATAGATGAGTGGAATCAATACTGTGAAAATGACGATACTGCCAAAAGCAATCTACACATTCAATGCAATTCCCATCAAAATGCCGTCATCACTCTTCAGGAAACTAGCAAAAACAATCCTAAGATTCATATGAAACAAACAAACAAAAAAAGAGCCTGCATAGCCAAAGCAAGACTAAGTAAAAAGAACAAATCTGGAGGCATCACATTACCTGATTTCAAACTATACTACAAGGCTGCAGTTACCAAGCAGCATGGTACTGTTATAAAAACAGACATGTAGACCAATGGAACAGAATAAAGAACGTTCAAATAAGGCCAAATACTTAGAGCCAATTGATCTTCAGCAAAGCAAACGAGAAACTTCAACTGGGGAAAGGCAACCCTGTTCAACAAACGGTGCTGGGATAATTGGCAAGCCACCTGTAGAAGAATGGAACATTATACAAAAATCAACTCAAGATGGATCAAAGACTTAAATCTAAGACCGGAAACCATAAAAATTCTAGAAGATAACATGGGAAAAACTCTTCTAGACATTGGCTTAGGGAAAGAGTTCATGACCAAGAACCCACAAACAAATGCAACAAAAACAGAGATAAATAAATGGGAAATTAACTAAACTAAAAAGCTTCTACACAGCAAAATAAATAATCAGCAGAGTACACAGACAACCCTCAGAATGGGAGAAAATATTTGCAAACTATGCATCCAACAAAGGACTAATATCCAGAATCTAAATGAAGTCAAACAAATCAGCAAGAAAAAATAATAATCCCATCAATAAGTGGGCAGAGGACATGAATAGACAGTTTTCAAAAGAAGATATATAAATGGCCAACAAACATATGAAAAAATGCTCAACACCACTAATTATCAGGAAAATGCAAATCAAAACCACAATGCAATACTACCTTACTCCTGCAAGAGTGGCCATAATTAAAAAATAAAAAATAAAAATAGAAGTTGGAGTGGATGTGGCAAAAAGGGATCATTTTTACACTGCTAGTAGGAATGTAAACTAGTACAGCCACTAGCGATAGCAGTATGGAGATTCCTTAAAGAATGGAAAGTAGAAGTACCATTTGATCTAGCAATCCCATTACTTGATATCTACTCAGAGGAAAAGAAGTTATTATATGAAAAACACTTGCACATGCATGTTTGGAGCAGCACAATTTGCAATTGCGAAAATATGAAGCCAGCCTAAATGTCCATCAACCAATGAGTGGATAAAGAAAATGTGGCATATATCTATATATATATATGTGTATATATCTATGTATGTGTGTGTGTATATATATATATAGTGTGTGTATATATATATGTATAAACATACCATTGAATACAGTATAAATTTGTAAAGAAATGTGGCATATATATATATACACACATGCATACCATATATGTATATACACACACACACACACACACACACACACACACCATACACTATGTATATGTCAGATCAACAGCAGCATTAGATTCTCACAGGAGTGTGAACTGTATTGTGAACTGCACATGGGAGGGATCTAGGTTGGGCATGCCTTATGGGAATCTAACTAATGCCTGATGATCTGAGGTGGAACAGTTTCATCCCAAAACCATGCCCCACCTAACTCCTGTCCATGGCAAAATTATCTTCCATGAAACCAGTCTCTGGTGCCAAAAAGTTTGGGGAGCACAGTTCTACAGGATTTCAATTTATTTTCTATTTACTCAACATATTCAAAAAAGAAACATTGCCCATACCAGAGTGAATTTAGGAAATTTGCTGCTCAGGCATTCTAGAATGAGTATGATAAGGCCTGGAAAAATGTAAAAACAGTGGCATAATAGTGCTAGTGGGACAAACTCTGTTTTCAGACCTGGATCAGGAAATACTGGAGTCGTCATTATTTTCTATGATGGCATCACACGTTAATGTCAGACGTTTCTGTGTGTAATGAATAGTAGTATTTATTTACATTTTTTGAATTCTAGTGTCCACATTTCATTTATATTTAAGATCTTCTAAGATTAATATGTGAAATGAACCACAAGATTGTTATTTTATAGGCTGAAAAACAAAAAAAAATTAACAGAAATTTGCTAACAAAATATTTCTAGTAACATCTTCTGGATAAAATGCTACTATCCTAAAAATACCATAGAGTAAGATTGTTCAAATATAGGCTTCAGATCTCAAAACAAACAAACAAACAAACACACACATACACACACACACACAACTGAGGTTATTTTTAGTGGCATTATTTGTATTTTTAAAAAATGCTTCTAAAATAAATATCTTTAAAAGGGTAGTTTGCTTTAGTACTGCCAAGTGAAGAATCATGAGGTTCACCAATTTGAAAAGGAGAGTTTTATTTCTAAAGGGGAGCCTCACATCCTGCAGGCAGGAAAATAAAGTGATTCAAGGGTGGGAAGCATGAGACAGGAAGATATACCAAATGGGTTGGCTACATATACATATTCAACAGTTTATAGAAAGGGCTCTGAATATTCACAAAGGGGAGGTACACACATGCCTGTCTGAAATTTCCTACTCATCACGGCCAGGAACTCATTTTTTTTTTTTTCCTTTAGGTTTCTCTGAGGTCTTCTTGACTTAGAGGAGGTCCATTCATTCAGTGGGGGTTGCTTTGGATTTTATTTTTATTTCTCAGTACAAAAATAGACACACCGTACACACACAGAGAGACAACTAAAAGAACGTTAATAGCTTTTCTTCTATTCTTATTTATGTTATGAAATGCTAGAAAATCTTTTTCTCAGGCATTGAAGAAAATAATGTAGCTTTTTTTTATTGATGAGAGCTACGCTTTTATTTATTTTTGCTCTTTTCCTAGCTTTGCCAGGAGATGTAGTTACCTAAAAGAGAAGAGATAAAACTACTTTTTAATTTCACTTTACCTTCCTATTAGTGTACTGTATTAGAAATAAAATTAGACAAAGGAAAATCCCCTCAAAACTGAAAATCAGAAAATCCACACCTGAGTGTCAAGCTTTTTCCAGAAATTAATTTAGGTGAGACGGATAAAGTTGGCTTTGGGCAACATGGTACTGCTAAGCAAAAAAAAAAAAAAAAAAAAAAAGAAAAGAAAAAAAAGAAATGGTGAAAGTACATGGAGCACAGCTAGAAATGTGTCCTCTGCCTGCACTTTGCTATGCTCTCCTTTGCTCATATTTTATCACAGCCCGATCCAAATCCAACTTTCCATCTATTCTCTATGTTAAGTGGTCTCACTTTAAATTCATAATCAAGAATCACATATGGGCACTGTCTACACACTTTCTTAGTTTTCTCAAGTCTTACAGCCTTCATTCTTAGCTGTATGCCAATGACCCCATCAATTATATCTTCCATTCAAACCTTTCTAAACTGCAAATTTGTATAAAGTACTTACTGACCGCTCCATTCAGATATTTAGCGTATTTAAAGTTGAACCATTTTTCTTTTATTATTCCTAAAAGAAACCCTCAATCCCTCCAGAACTTTCTCATTTAAAATAAGGGCAGCCAAAATAAACAAATAATAAATAGTACCCTCTTAATACTACTTTCTTTCTTACTCTCATCCAATCCAACAGGAAATACTCTCCTCTCTTGAAAATACATTCTTAATCTGATTACTTATTATCATATCCACTGTTACTTCCTTAGAGGAAACCACCAACCCTTCTCTCCTTGATTATTTAAATAATCTTTGGGTCAGGTTTTTAGTTTCTCACTGCCTTACTAGAATCTAATCTTGACACAGCAGCCAGAGGCATTCTTTGAAATGTTTGAAAATTTCACTATCTACTCAAAATCTTATAATGGCTTCCACTTCTCCCAGTATTTCCAATGGCCTAAAGTGACCTGCAAGATATAATCCCCTCTCTTTGTGCACTCTGACCTCAAATTCTATTATTTTTCTCCACATTTCCTCTGCTTCCGGCACACTGACTCTGCTTGGATTGATTGTTGTTAAAATTCTAGTCCTTTGTCAGTTTAGGGCCTTTGTCCTTCCTAGCACTTCTGCCTAATTTGAGTTTCCCTCTGATACGTATGTAGCTAACTTCTTCACCTCATCTAATCCTCTTCTCAAATGTCATCTGCACAATAAAGCCCACTCTGATCATTCTCTTTCATTCTTTGGCTTGCCTATTTTATGCTCACCATGTCCCTCACCTAGTTTTCACCCCATTTATTACTCTCTACCATACTGTGTAATTTACTTAGTAAATATGTTACCTAGCTTTTGTGTTTGCTACTCATCTCTTCGTGCTAGAATGACAGAGGGATCTTTATCTGTTTTACTACTGATGTAGAAAGGTGTCCAACACCTGGTGAGTGATTAATACATGTAAAATGAATGAATGAATAAACAAATGGTTAAGTGTTTTATTTAAAAAAACCTGCATGACTGATAAATAAAGAGAGTTTCTTACCACACCCATCAAGGACACGACTGCTTTTCTCATATTGTAGCTCCTAAATATATCTTCAATCTGTTTGCTTTTTTTTTCCATCCTTGTTCACTCAATCCTGTTCCAAGACACCATCATTTTCATCTGGTCTACTTGCTATAGTTTTCTGTTGGTCTCCATTTTTTCACTTTAGCAGCTAAAATAAACTTTGAAAATATACTTCAGATTATGTCACTTCTTTGGCTTAAAACCTTTGAATAGCCTCTCCATTCCAAATTTAAAAATACCTATACAACTAAATATCATGGCTGACATAATTTGGCCCCTTGCTAACTCAGCCATCTCTTATACTTCTCTTCCCCTCTCCACTGTTTATTACGATTGAAGTGCAACAGCTTCCTTGCTGTTTTGTGTAAAAGTGATTCATCTCTCTTAAGCCCTTTGTATTTCCTGTTCCTGCTTTATGTAGCAACTTCCCCATATTTTCCCTCTGATTGACTTTATATTCTTCATTTCTGAGTTTATACTATTAACACCTCTCATCTCTGGGTAAACCTGGTATCACTGACATAGTGTCCCAGTCAGCAGACAGGTTCAGCACATACAAAGATTCTTTGTGAATGGTACAGACATATGGACATTTTAAACTTAGGTAATGCGACATGGTATACCTCATAGAAATTTTAATGTCATGACTGCTAAGTATATGATTCTTCATCTCTTCTTATAATCACTGATTGTGGCTTTCTCACAGGTAAATTTTTCTTCAGTGATCATCCTGTTACCCTGAGTAGGTTGATTAAATAATTTACTATATTTTTCACTTCAAAAGTCATGTCTCATTTGAATTTTTTTATTTTCTGGTATACATATTCATATCCTGATGACATTTTTTCAAATACTTTGACATGATTTTATGCAAATGCTGACAATGCTCATATAAGGATTAAAGAGCCCTACTGAATTTTTAGTACCAGACATCTAAAAAAATAATCTTTTTTTTAAAGAATTATTTTTACTGCTCATTTGAAAATTACCTATATAATACATTTGTCTGGCTTTAGATTTAAATGCATTATATATAATATACCAGTATTTTTCTCATACATCATAAATTTTTATTTTCTAATGTTTTATTTCAAAATGAAAATATATCTGAAAATACATAAATGTACCAAAAATAATGAGACACATATGTATCCATTACTCAATTGTTTTGTTTTGCTTCTAGAAACAAAACATGTCTATTATAGCTAATGCCCACCTAACATTTCATCCATTCCCATGTTTTACTGGAGTAACTTGAAAATTTGTGTGTTTCTTTTCCATGAACATTTCATACTTTTGTCAAGATTTCCTCTGTTTGTTTGTTTTTTTCATTTGAAATAGAAAAAAGTACAGAAAATTAAGAGCAGAATAAATTAAGATAATATGTCTTACTTCTCTCTGTGCTCTGTTAGCCTCGTGCTGCATTTTCCAAGATAAATATGTATATCTTTATTCTTTGCATGCAACTTATTTTGAGAGTTCTTTTTTTCCATTAAGAGGTCAGTATTGTTAAAAAATAAAGTTAGACTTAAAATGAAGGCATGCATGGAATATGTATGAATTCAGTCAACAAATACTGAGTAAGCACCAAATAGTGCTAGGAATATGATTTAGATTATGTTGACATATATTGAAACATTTATATATTATATATATGTGTATAGACACACACACACATATATATATATATAAATTCACCATGCCTTTGCAAATATAATTTTTATTACAAAAATATATTGTTAGATTTTACAATGTCATGAACAAAATATAATTGGGCAATAATATTGAATATTTACATTTAGCTCAGTTAGCAAGAAAATACACTTTGTTGACAGTTAAACAATATTGTAACATATTTATGGCTCAACAATAAGAACCAATTTGAGGCTGATAGAAATGCAAACTAGCCTGCAAGGACGCATCATTCATATTGTATGTTGATATTTTCAGACTCAGTACAGTTTATTTTACATCCCAGGAAAGCCAAGAGTTCATCTATCACCTGCTTTATTGTCTGTGGCAAACATTCAAGCCTAAGGAGTGTTGAAAGCATACTGTCAGCATAGGGAGAGCAAACGGGCTATTCCATGCATCTTCTCCTCTTTATAAACACAAGGATGAAATAAAACTGTGTAAGGAGTAAAGACAGTAAATACAACTGATGATGATTGATAATGATAATGATGAAAGTCAATAATAAGCATTGTGGATAAGTACTCAGGCTCTTGTTTTGTTGATGAATGAATTAGAATCTCATTGCTTTTGCTTATTAATTTTACATTAGACAGTCTATTTAATTTCTTTGTACCTCAGTTTATCTATCTTAAATATATAGATTAATCAGATCAACCTTATGACTTTCTTAAAGGAAGTTAAGGTATATAATGCATTTGGTACATAGCTTACGTTTACTTTTTTGGTTACCTTATTAAAATGTGAATCTTTCTTCAACAAACGTAAGTAACAGTAATGAGTGCATTCATGAATATCAGACCCATGAAATTTCTCCTTTTGAAAAATACAAGCCCAAGGGGATAAATTTCTTGATCAGATTTTCTCCTTTAGGAGCAGTGTGGCTGTATCTATCTGATTCCTCCATTCTTGCTTCTATTTTCTGCCTGCTAAATTTCGGTAGAGTTTTTTTTTTTTTTTTTTTTTTTTCCATTTGAACATATTGTTGCTATTCTAGATTTTTCCCTCTCTTCTAGATAACAAGTTTGATTTGGCATCTGACAGCAAAAAGTAAAAAACAAAAAAACAAAACTTTTCTCATATGCTAGATTTTAATAGTTTTTGGTTTTTGAAGCCAAAACTGTTCACTCCAAATACGTAATATTTAATTATTTTGGGCTATAGCTGAAAAAGTACCCAAATATTAATGGGTCCTTTTTTTTTTCCCCTCAAAGACATATGTCGTCTCATTCCCAGACTCAGAAATTGGGAAGATTTCAACTTCCAATTTGAAGGACCACAGGAACAGGAAAACAATTTTAAGTACCTTATTTTTCAGCCCCATCCAAGGGCCTTACAGTAGGGAAGGTACACCTAACTTGAAAATTATCTGCTTTCCTAAGCTCAAGCATATCTCTAATGGTCACCATGAATTTCATTGGCTATTAATGCAATTCATCTAGATTTCTATCATAAATTTCAAAAAAAAATGCATATTTCCTTCTACATACAAAATACTATGTTAGTTTGTACAATCTCCAACAACTTGCAATTTGGTATCTGCCAGTGATATTGAAATGGGATCATTCCCCTGACCCCTTCATGAGACTTATAACGGGGTTGGCTCATTTACTCAGCCTGCCGGTCTCAACCCCTCATTCCAGTGTGAACAGTCAGGTGAGTGGGTGCAGCGGCCAAGACAAGTGCTTCTGAGCCCCGGCAGGAGTAGTTCTTTTCCGGTGTCCAGGAAGAATCAGGTCACGTGAACAAATTGCATGGTGGTGAATGAGGATTTCATTGAACAGCGGAAGTGGCTGTCAGCGGGAAGTGGCTCTCACTGGGGACCACCAAACTCTTTTCCGGAGTCCCGCCATCAAGCCATTCCTCTGAAGTCAAGCTGCTTCTCTCCAACACCCAGCTGCTTCTTCTCTTCACTCTTTCTCTGCTGCTCTGCCACTCTGCTGGTGGGGCCTTGAGCTTTTATGGGTACAGGATGTGGGTGGCGGGCAGGCCAGGGTGGTTTTGGAAAAGGCAACATTCGGGCGGGAAAAGTATTTTTCACCTCCAGGGATACAATATTGTTTTTGATTTTCTATTTTTCTAGGTAGAAGCAGATCTAATGGCTTCCATTTGGTTTTTCCCACCATAATAGCCCTCACCCTATCAGTCAAGGAGCCAATGTGGGGGCCCTGCCAGCTGCTAAGTATGCCTATGCCAATTATCCATTCTAGCACTGGGGAAATGACCACAGGATGAGTCTGGGGACCCACTGGACCCACTGTAAGTGGCCCTGAGCTAAAACTCCATTAATTACTTGACCTCCATAAGCTCCTAGTTTAGTTGGAGGGCCACAGTGATGTTTTGGATCCCTTGGAATCAATGTCAGCTTACAGCCAGTGTCCAATAGTCCTGGAAATGTCTGATCATTTCCCTTTCTCCAGTGCACAGTTACCCTGGTAAAAGCCCAAAAGTCTCCTTGGGGAAGGATGAGAGAAAGATTCCCTGATAAAAATTATCAGTAATGTAGTAAAGTCCTTCCTCAAGGGGACCCAGCCTCCCCTACATTCAAGGGGTTGTGGGTGTATAAACTGGCTCAAATCTGGAAATTGATTGAGGGGCCACGATTCTCTGTTTTTATCATTCAAATTAGCCTTTTCTCGATTTGACCTAGAAGTTTTCTGCTTGTATGAATTAAGTAGCGATGCAGTAGGCTTCCTTCCAATTTCATTGCAAGGAACACTGTGATTAATTAGCCAATGCCAGAGCTCTACATGAGTGAGACTATTCTGATTGCTGCTTTGCCTCTGCTGTCCATTATGTAGCTACACCCACCTTGCCTTTGACGGTTGAGTGGCTCCACTTGGTCCCTGCCACCTCGGGATCCAATTATTCCCATTGTATTTAAATTTTGTAGTTGAGTGACTATGGTTCCTAATGTTAGATCTGGCATACAGAGAAAAGCAATTACAGGGCTCTTCAAAGATGCAGGTGCTGCCCTCATAAATCTATTTTGCAAGGCATTGGTCAAGGGTATGTCTCCTGGACCCTCCCAGCTGGGATGTGTAGGTCTAAAGTGACTAATCCACTCTACCATGCCAATCTCCCTAAGCCTTTGGATTCCCTTCCTCTACATTAAACCAAGGGAGATCAGGCATTTCCAGCTTGCTCACAGTGGGCCCTTTTAATACATATTTTGGCTAAACAAGCAAGCAAACTATTAGAACCCTTTTTAATTCCCCGAGCTGCAACATTAAATGCAGAGTCCCTACTTAGTGGGCCCAAATCAATAAATTCAGTCTGATTCAACTCTATGTTTGTTACACCATTATCCCATACTCCTAATATCCGTTCCCATGCCTGTTCTTCAGATTTCTGTTTATATAAATTAGAGAACACAAACAGTTCTTCTTGAGTGTACCACACCTCCCGTGGGTCACACTCTCAACCTCACCTCTAGGGGCCCATAGGGACTTTAGTCTAGTTATAGGTCTAGAAGCAAACAGGGGCATTGGGGCTGACTCCTGAGGAGAATCAACGTTATTTTGCCTGGCAACTGCCTCAGGAAAGCCCATCACTGTTGCCTCAGGCAGTGTAGGGTTTACCTCCTCAGACAAAGGTGGAAAGGGTGATGGTACCATGGGTTGGGGAGGGGATGTTGCCACTACTGGGGATGGGGAAGCTGTTCCTTCTGGCAAAAAAGGTTCATCAGAGTTTACAAACTCAGTGTCCCTAGTTTCATCAGGGTCCTCCCACGTGTTCCCATTCCAAGTTGCAGGGTCCCGTTCTTTTTCAATCAATGTCCTCACTTTAACAGTAGACACTTGGCGAGGCTGTGTGTGCACCTTTTGTTGCAGGTCAGCCACTCGCGTGGTAAGCGCTTGTGTCTCTTTTTCCACAATTTCAGCTATTTCTCTACAGAAGATAAGACTCTCACTCAGGGCAATCTTAGGAGATTTGAGGCTCAGTATCTGCTTCTGAAGCCCGGAGACAGAATCCCTGAGTTGATCATTTTCTTTCATCACTTTGTCTCCTGAACTTAGGAGTAACCAACCAGCTTCATTATGTTCCTTGTTTTTCCATACTTGGTCAAAATTATTGTGTAGAGAGTCACTAAACTCCTTGCCTATCATGAGCAGTCAATCAGGAGTGTCAAATGCATTTATTTTGCATACCTCTCTAAACAATTCACACCAAGGACTATCAGTGTTCTTCATACTATTAGAGGTAGAGTCCTTAGCATTTTGAGTCTAATCATATTAAGCAGCAAACTCCAGACACCCCAAAACCGATGAAAGAACTCCATCCTTAATATTCTGTTCCTCTAGAACCACTCCTGGTACCAAAATCTGTATTAGTCTAGGTTCCCTAGAGGAACAGAACTAATAGGATATATATCCTATTAGTACTGCAGCATATAATATATATATTTATATATTATATAAAAATTTATACATATAAAATTTATATATATAAAATATTATATATATTATATATGGTAATTAATTATTAACTTACATGATCACAAGATCCCGCAATAGGCTGTCTGCAAGCTTGAGGAGGAAGGAGAGCCAGTCTGAGTCTCAAAACTGAAGAACTTGGAGTCCAGTGTTCGATTCAGGAAGTTTCCAGTACGGGAGAAAGATGCAGGCTGGGAGGCTGGGCTAGACTCGCCTTTTCATGTTTTTCTGCCTGCTTTACATTCGCTGGCAGCTGATTAGGTTCTGTCCACCAGATTAAGGATGAATCTGCTTTCCCCAGACCACTAACTCAAATGTTAATCTCCTTTGGCAACACCCTCACAGACACACCCAGGATCAATACTTTGCACCTTTGATCCAATCAAGTTGACACTCAGTATTAACCATCACAACTACTGAAAATGGAAGAAGGGATGACTTACCTGATTGATGAAGGAAGTGGCTGTCAACTCCTTTATCCACAAACTTTTAGACCTGGCTTTCTATAGATAAAGTATAATCAAATTGTTTTCTGTCTCTTTATTGGGGGCCTGCACTTCTCCACTGTTACTGGTTGGATATGTGAATAAGTACTAATAATTTAGAGAGAAATATTAGCCATTTGGGTTAAAGATAGAAGCATGAGTACTGCAGCATATTATTTGTATAATAATTCTGACATCTGATAGTCCTGTGCCTAATTTCTATATTTGTGTATATTTCAACCTGTGAAACCTCAGTGATTTTAAATACATATATTGGTGTTTCCAAAATAGCTGTGTAGCTCTACATTACCTTTTAAAATAAAGCAATAGTGTCAGGTCAAAAAGTTTATATGTTATTTAATTTAATTAGGAGTTTCCACTGAAGAAAATAAGAATGTCACCCCAAATTAAGATAGTCTGCTTTTTGCAAAACACTGTCAAGAGAATTAAAAACAAACTATAAATTGGTAGAAAATATTGTAAAAGCACATCTCTGAAGAAAAACATATCCACAATCCGTAAAGAGTTTAACAAATTCAATAATAAGAATCAAATCACTAAAAATTGTGCAACAGATTTAAACAACCCTTCACCAAAGATTTGCAGATCATAAATAAGCACGAGAAGAGATAGTCATCATTTGCCATTATGAAAATACAAAGTAAAACCACACATACTTGAAAGTCTAACATTAAAAAGACTAAGAATTTCAAGTATTGAAAAGAATGTAGAGTAACTGGAATATTTATGCAATGTTAGTGGCAATGAAAATGTTACAAGCCTTTCAGAAAACAATTTGAAAGTTTCTCAAACACATATGTATAGTATAATTAAATGATTATAGTATTAAGTATTTTCCCAAGAGAAACGAAAGCGTAGGTCCATACATGTATAAGGATTGTACACGAAGTTTGTATCAGCTTTATTTGTAATATCTTAAACCTGTAAACAATCCAAATGTCCATCAACATGTGAGTGGATAAACAAATTGAAGCACACACCACTTATAATTATGTACCCTTCCAGCAATAAAAATAAATGAATTATTTATACAAACAATAAAATGGATAAATCTCAAAATAATTTTGTTGAATAATACTGCATAATACAAAACATTATACAGTAGATACTTATTAGTCCTATATATATAATATATTTAGAATAATATATATTCTACATATTTAAAACATAGCGACAAAAAGCAAATCGGTTGTTGCCTGGGTATAAGGAATTAGAGAAAGAATATCAAAATTATGGATGTGTTCATTATCTTGATGTGGTGATGGTGATGTTTCCATGTGCATAAGGATTTGTCAGACTACTTAAAATATGTACATTTTATCGTATGTCAATTATACCTCAATAAAGTTGTAAAAGGGGAAGAAAGAAAACGTTGTCCAAGCAGATGGGCTGCTGCCATCACCCAGAATGATCTACCGCAAATTATGGTAATAAATAAACAAAGTCAATAACTAGATCCAACCTAAGTTCCTACTTTCATTTTTAGCTAAATAACAGAGATATTCATGAATGTGCTAGAAATCAGAGCTAGCATGCCTGTCCTTTCAAGCCTTGGTATATAAACTTTGGATTCTGGAGAGAAGGAATAGGCTGATTTGAAACATCACTGCAATGTTTGTCTCTGGCTTGCATATAAGTTCACTAATCAATAGCAATAATGGTTTGCACCATAACTTTTGCCAAGATTGTACAGTTGGAACTTTTTTATTAGAGCAGGAAAAAAAGCATTTGGTATTTTTTTCTCTCACCAAATTTCTTTTTTTTTTTTTGAGACGGAGTCTCGCTCTGTCGCCCAGGCTGGAGTGCAGTGGCGCGATCTTGGCTCACTGCAAGCTCTGCCTCCCGGGTTCACGCCATTCACCTGCCTCAGCCTCCCGAGTAGCTGGGACTACAGGCGCCCGCCACCACGCCCGGCTAATTTTTTGTATTTTTAGTAGAGACGGGGTTTCACCGTGTTAGCCAGGATGGTCTCGATCTCCTGACCTTGTGATCCGCCCGCCTCGGCCTCCCAAAGTGCTGGGATTACAGGTGTGAGCCACCGCGCCCGGCCTCTCACCAAATTTCTTAACAGTGGGCCAGATTTTCAACTCCTATTGCCTATCGTGTTTGTGTTGGTTTCTCCACCCTCTGCAATGCCTTTTGTCATGCTTGTAGGATTTCCAGATAAAATAAAGGATGCATAGTTAAAAGTGAATTTCATGTAAAAAACAAATAAATTTGTAGTATAAGTATGTCCAACATATCATGTGAGACATACTTATATTAAAAGCCATAGCTAGTCTGAATTTCAAATTTAATTCAGAATCCTATTTTTTGTTCCCCTAAATCTAGCAACCTTACCTCCTTGACACAGATGAAGTCAAAGCATCATTATAGGCCTTCCTAGCACTGTAGGACATGTTTTCCTAGCCATTATCAGAACTGCAGTTTTACAAAGAAGGGAGGAAATGGATAATTAGGAATTACGCAAAGAACTGGAAGAAACGCTGTTCCAAGCTGAATTAACAATGTTAGTAAAGTCGCTAAAAGAAGACATTGCATTATTTTTTCAGAATATAATGCATATTAGTGTTGCTGGAGTGTAAAGTGTGTTCAGAGAGAGAAAATAAGGCAAAAATAGCAATTCTCAGAAATGTCATGAAGATCCTTTTTTTTTTTTTTCAAGCGAAGAGGCCACTGATTAATCCTAAAGTAGAGTTGGAGCTATAGAGTATTGGCAAATGAGGAAAAATGTTATCAAATTTGTGTTTCACATAGGTCAACCTAGCTGAAAATAATGCTGAAATGTAAATATTGAAAGAATGGTTATGAGACAATAAGTATATTTTATGTCTGAGGTTATGTGAGTTTAAGCTGGAACCAAAGGAGTATAATTTGAGAGAATGTGACAGATGTGAGAATTACTTGGAAGTAAAATAAAAACTTGATGCATTAGTTAATGTATAAAATAAGAAAGGGGCTGGGTGTGGTGGCTCATGCCTGTAATACCAGCACTTCGGGAGGCCGAGGTGGGTGGATCACCTGAGGTCAGGAGTTCGAGAGCAGCCTGGCCAACACGGTGAAACCTGTCTCTACTAAAAATACAAAAATCAGCCAGGCGTGGTGGCAGGCACCTGTAATCCCAGCTACTTGGGAGGCTGAGGCAGGAGAATCACTTGAATGCAGGAGGCGGAGGTTGCAGTGAGCCAAGATCATGCCACTCCATTCTAGCCTGGGCAACAGAGCGAGACTCCATTTCAAAAAAAAAAAAAGGGGGGGGATGGTGCTCCAAGGATACTTCTTAGGTTTACAATTTGGAAAAATAAAAGAATGATGGATATAACTAAGATAGGGAAGGGGCAGCAAAACTAGTTCTTGGGTGAATGTGATTTTGATTTGGGCTACGTTAACTTTGAAGATACCTGTACCTCAAATTGTACCATTGAAAATATAAGTTGACAAATGAGAAGTTGGATTCAGGGATCCAAAATTCTGGAAAAGGATATGAATGGAGATAGAGATTTCAAATTTGAACATATCAATGTAAGTCATATAACTGTGAGAGTGGATGATACTGTCCCAGGAATGAATTTAGAGAATGGTAAAGCAAGGCTAAAATTCTAAGCTGTATCTACATTTAAGATTTGTTCAGAGAGTTAGGAGCAGATCCAGAATGTGTGTTGATATGGAAGTGAATGGAATTAAGGAAAAAGAATGTGATCACCAGTATCAAATATATCAGAAATATTCAGCAAGATAATAACAGATTGGAAGCTAAAGTTTTATATTTTCTTCTAAGTATTCCAAAATGTTGAAAAGACCATACTCTTTTGAATAAAAATACTGGGAGAACTCTACTAAAAATGTGATTCTGGTAATAGCATTTTATGTAAATTGGGAGAGAGTAAAGATGAAACATTTGAAGATAATTATAACACCTCACTGCTTCAAAATTCTATTCACATAAAAGTATGCTTGCCCTCAGGTTTCCTAATAAAAGCTGAAAAAATGATATTAAAGGGATACTATATGTAAAGTGCCACACTGACCTTGCAGGAATGTAATGAGCATGTTGAAAACACTTGCAAAATAAACGAGTAAAAGAATATAGTATTTTTCTACCTATGCATTATTTTAATTATTTCCAAGAATTATTTTCTATTTTCAAGACTAAAATCTTAACTTTAAATTAGCATAATTCATCTCCTGAAACCACATCAAAATATTTAAAGTAACTTTTCTTAGTATACAGTTGACCCTTGCAAAACACAGGTTTGAACTGTGTGGGTCCACTTATACACAAATTCTCTTCCCACCTCTGCCGCCCTTGAGACAGTAAGACCAATCTCTCTTCTTTTTCCTCCTCTTCAGTCTACTCAGTGTGAAGATGACAAGAATGAAGATCTTTATGATGATCCACTATCATTTAATGAATAGTAAACAGATGCTCTCTTTCTTATGATTTCCTCAGTAACACTTTCTTTTCTCCAGCTTACTTTAAGAATGCAGTGTATAACATAACAAATACGTGTTAGTTGACTACTTAATGTTATTGGTCAGGCTTCTAGTCAAGAGTAGGCTATTAGTAGTTAAGTTTTGGTGGAGTCAAAACTTATATGCAGATTTTTGACTGTGTGGGGAATCAGTGCCCCTCAGCTCCAAGTTGTTCAAGGGTCAACTTTCTATGGAAAGGAGGGAATGCTGTAATGAACATAAATCATTTGGAAATTATTTTTTTCTCTCACAATTAATTACATGATAAAGAAACATAACTACTACTAATTATGTGCTTAGCTTATAAAATATTTTCAAGTTTCCCTTTTTACCCAGAAATTAATATTATATATGCCTACCATTAAACCTATTGTACTATATTTAAAAGTTTATTCACAATTCACATTTTTTATGAAAAAAGATCAAATTTCTTTTTAGCTCTCTCTTTGATAGTGGACCCTGAGGGAAAATATTACTGATACAATAATTTTAAAATGTGAACTAGAGGCTTAGGTGTAAGGTAAATATTACAAAATGTATAATTGCACTGCTAAGAAAATCAACTATGAAGCCTTGTACATCATTTACATTTGTATCCAATTTAATATCAAAACGTGTACATTATGTATTTTAATTAATCAGTTAAATTATTTTACTATTGAATTGCTAATTTTGATGTGCTATGTTGCTCTGTTTTTCATAAAATCCTTTCTATGTGGAAGAAGATACGTTAGGAAAGGCCAGCATTTTTACTTGGTTAACATTTTTCCAATTCACTAATCAAATCTATTTCCATTGTGATTTTATAGAACAGTAAAACTGAAGGATTTGCATACAGTTTTTATTATTCATATTTACCTAAGAATTATGAACTACCTTATGTAAGTTATTTATAAATATTTTGATCTAGAAAAGCATTTTTGTAAAGGAAATTATTGATACTGTTTTGTCCCCCCCATGAACTTGATCTAAGTAAGGAAATTGAAATAAATATATGTATAGTAAAACATTAAACCAAACTCTTCAAAACAATATCATAAGACACATTTCTATATAAATTATATAGTAGTAAGATGACTTATTCAATAAAGGGTATGAAGAATTCCATTTATATGGTAATATATACATGCAAGGAGTTTATTCTCTAATGGAAATAAATTGTTCTGAGAGAAATTATCAGTCCGAAAGCAATGTGTCATATCACCAAAAGCATTCTAAAGCATAGTAATTTGAATGATATGCATAAAATTTTATGATTCATTTATACTATTTCAATATTAAAATGGGTACAAATATTTGTAAAAGATAATATAGATGTGTCTTTTTATCATTTTCTATATTCTAGGAATGGAAGTAGAGAAAGAAAATAAACTAGACGTTTAACTTGCAATAGAAAATGCATTAAATTATATTTAATTTTATTTACAATTCACTTACAAGAAACCAGGAGATAGATATTGTTTCCTTCTCCTATTTTAGGTATATATGAAGTGAAATGTGTGAAATAGGGAAGCAGTTTGCTTGTGACATTAATTTTTAATTAAAATTATTCATTACAAACAAGTAGAATGATAAACTTGTCAGGTAAGTACTCATTTACCAAGTCCCAACCCAAATTTGAATGGAGTACCCTAAAGGCAACTTGAGAGAAGCTAAATTTCTCAGAATACAGGCATTTTACCTTGAGGTAAAAAAAATGTGATTCAAATATGTTTAAGAATTGACATAGGGGAAAAATATTTCACAGCATAAAAGGAGGAGATACGTGAAAGCTTATGTACAAAAAGCATTTTTCTTAGAAATCAAAACATTTTAGAAAGTAATCGCTTGCTTTTTTAATGAAGTAAATAAAATGAAATAAAATAAAAATATTAAAATTAAAAATCAGATTTATGATTATCTTTAGAATCAGAAATAATAATATGAAAACCATATTGACTAGAAGAGATACTCATGAGAACCTGCTAAAAGAAAACAATATGGTAAGGCCGGGTGTGGTGGCTCACGCCTGTAATCCCAGCACTTTGGGAGGCCGAGGTGGGCGTATCACTTGCAGTCAGGAGTTTGAGACCAGCCTGGTCAACATGGTGAAACCCCATCTCTACTAAAAATACAAAAATTAGCTGGACTTGGTGGCAGATGCCTGTAATCCCAGCTACTTGGGAGGCTGAGGCAGGAGAATTGCTTGAACCCGGAGGCAGAGGCTGCAGTGAGCCAAGATCGTGCCACTGCTCTCCAGCCTGGGCAACAGAGTGAGACCCCGTCACGCACACAAAAAAGAAAGAAAACAATATGGTAATACTTAAAACAATGAGAATATGAAATATATGAAAACAAGAAAATAAATAGTATGTAAGTGCCACAGAAATTACATAAGAAATATCCTGGAAAAAAATAAGAATAGTAAAATAGGGAAAAATATCTACTGAGCTGTAAAATAATGCAGCATAAAAATATTTCTTAAGTAGACATAATACTTAGTATAATATTTGTTAAAATGTCCTTCCTAAAATGCATATTTCTTAAAGACTTCAATAAGAAACAGATTAATATTTCAAATGATACAAACCAGAATCAATCCGTATTCTCTAGAATACTTCACTGAAAGTGATAAAAATCCTGTTTTAAATAACTACATAGAAAATAAAATAAATATAAATAAAGGTTGAGGGAGAAGGAGAGAGATGCTCTAGTTAGTCATATGATTTAAATTTCTGAGTAAAAACTAGGGTATTTTAATAATTGCTGCATCTGAAGCATACAACACACTCCCCACCCCCTCAACACATACACACAACTTTGTCTTTTCCCTTCTACCTTCTTTATTGTGGTTTCATTCTCAGTAATCTCTACATGATGAAACATGGCTGTCAGGGCTATTTGGATTTCATCTTGAATTTTTGATACCATAATCAGAAAGCTTCAGAAGTCCTGGATTTGTTTATCACTACTTTAATGGGTCTGGATTGGATAATTTTTCAGCTCATGAACCAAATGCACTTGGCTTGATGGCACACTACTGGATTGGCTCAGACTGAGAAGCACATTCTCATTCATTAAGGTGGAATCAGACCCGTCCATAGCACCGGGAATGAGAATTATCAAGGGATATCAGAACTTCTACCAGGGAAAGAGTTAAAAAAAAAAGTGCACTAGTTCAAACAATGGCAATCTTTAAAAAAATAAATGTTATGAGAGTACTGACAGGAGATTATACTCAAGGTTAATATGCTCAGCCAAATTATTTCACTTATGTTAAAATCTGCCCCAAGTACCCTGGCCAACAGACAAAATCCCCATGGCTGACTGAGGGAGCAGTCACATACTCTGTGTCCTCAGAAAGATTAAAAAGATGTAAAGTATCACAGGACCTCACTTCCTACAATTAAGCCAAACAAGTTTCTGTGTTTAGTGCCAAGATAAGCTGCTGCTGGAATCCCATATCACCTGTCATCTGAAGAAAACATCTGGCAGAGAAATCTGTTTTTGGACTTGGAAACCAACCAATCAGAGCTCACCTGAACCAATCAGTCAGAGCACATCTGCCTAGACAGACCCACTCAGAACTCAACTGTATCAACCAATCAGGACTCAGCTGTGTCAAAATCCGAACTAAGCAAGTTTGAATTCTTCATTTGCATAAATGGAACAGATTGGGAACCTGCCTGAGAACTTTTAACATAAAACCAAACCCTGTCTTTGTTCTCTAGACTGTTAGCTTCATTTTCCACCAATAGCTGCATCTCCCAGGTTTCCAAACTATTCACTGGATTAAAGTCTTGTTTCTCCATATTCCTTCTCAGAGAACTTCTGTTAACACTTGTACAATAACAAAATTGAGATATGGTTGACTCTTGAACAATATGGGTTTAAACTGTGTGGATCCACTTATACATGAATTTTTTTTCAACCAAACATTGAATGAATAGTATTCACGAGAAGCCAAACCTGCATATGTAGAGGGCTTTTTGTGGCACTTGAGTATGTGTGGATTTGAATATAGGCAGGGGTCCTGGAACCAATCCCCTGTGTGTGCTGAAGGACAATTATATGCTTAGATATGTATAACTTGATCAACATCCTTGATACTTTCTTGACAAAGGACACATCAAATGTATACTGCAGTCCTCTGGTTCATAAAGTATGATTCTTAAATGAACATGAACATGATCTGATGACATCTTAAAATTGGATGTATTCAGGTTCCATCCCGTATTCTACTGAAACCAGAAACTCTGGGAATGGGGTACAGCACATTTTGCTTTAGAAAACTCCCCAGGTGATTCTAATGCATACAATTTTGAGAAGCACTGCTTTTAGATCACCATCAGATAATGACAAAAAAAGTTAAATACAATTTTATAACTTTAAATAATTGAAATATCTTTAATTTTGATTCTAATGGTAATAAATGTTTTTAAAAATACCCCAAAGAGTACACAAATATATAAAGTAAAATAGAAAAAATAACCTTCATTTTGCTCCATTAATACATCATTTTTAATGCTTTGGTATATAGTTTTATTAAACATTCCAAAATCCACAAAATCATTGTGTTGAATTGATTCTTCTTGATAGGATACATTCACAAACAACTTTTAAAATTTCCCACTAAGGACTTGTACTCATTTTATTTCTTCCTTGTCACTTGATTAAATTTCTGATAGATTTTGTGTATTTTGGACATTCTTAAAACAAATAAACAAACAAAAACAACAACACGCTCCAGGGAGTTTTGGAAGTGGGGATAGGTGTGAAGCAGAAAAGGTCTTATTTAACTCACACAGTCATGTTTTATTTTGTTCTCTGGGTATGGTAGATGGTCAAAGCTGATTTCTTTTCTTATGACACAATTTTTATTTTGGTGTGTCAAGAATACATTGTCATTATTTTTTAGCATCCAGTTATCTTTTGAATAAACAAAAATAAAAAGATATTTTATATGCTTATGTGTTTGCCATTTTTAAAGCATTTTATCTGGTATTATTTTCCTGCCTAAAGCTTTTTTATTACCATTTCTTATAGTGTTGCTCTGCAAGTGATGACTCTTTCCAATCTATATATGTTTGATAGTCTTTATAAAGACTTAAATCTTAAGTCATTACATCGGTTTTACAACACATTCATTTTTTTAAAAACTTGTGTTGGATAAAGAGTTCTAAATTTATGTTTTTATTTCCTAGGAAACGAGAAAAGGGAGAATAATAAACATTATACATATAGAAAACTAGTAGCAATGTGGTAGAAATGAGCATTATTATCAACCAAACTTATCTAATTTTTAAATATGTAATATATATTTCTGAAATGTATATATTTGTGAGATTCAGTTAAGTCAGTATTTTCAGGTGTATTTTTAACAATGAAAATCAATATTAGAAAAGAACAAAAAGATTCAAACCAATTATCTCAGCTTCTCTCCCATGAAAATTTATGCTATCTGATTCCAATATATATGATAAAAATGCAGTAGTCAAGACAGCATGGTAGGTAGTGGTGGATAGTCCAACAAATTAATAGAACAGATAAGAGTCTAGTAATGGACGGCCGGGCTCAGTGGCGACACCTGTAATCCCAGCACTTTGGGAGGCCGAGCCGGGCAGATCACCAGGTCAGGAGATCGAGACTATCCTGGCTAACACGGTGAAACCCCGTCTCTACTAAAAATACAAAAAATTAGCCGGGCGTGGTGGTGGGCGCCTGTAGTCCCAGCTACTCGGGAGGCTGAGGCAGGAGAATGGCGTGAACCTGGGAGGCGGAGCTTGCAGGGAGCCGAGGTCGCGCCACTGCACTCTAGCCTGGGTGACAGAGTAAGACTCAGTCTCAAAAAATAGGAAAGCCTAGTAATGGACTTACACATATTCATACAATTGATCTTCGACAAAAATGTAAAGGCAATTTACGGAGAAAAGAAATAATCTTTTTCAGGAAACGGTGGTAGCATCAGTCAGTGTTCCACCAGAGAACAGAACCAGTAGGGTAAGTAAGTGGGAGAGAGAAGGTGGGAGCGAAGGAGAGAGAGAGAGGACAGAGATTTATCGCAAGGCATTGGCATAGGGAAGGCTGTCAGGGAGGGCAAGCTGAAACACTTCACGTATTCTAGACATGAGCTGAGGTTGCAGTCCATGGGCAGAATGGCTTCCTCCTCAGGGAAAACTCCCGCCTTCTCTTAAGGCTTTTCAACTGACTGATTCAGGCCCACCGTGATTATCTAGAATCATCTTCCTCACTTAATAATATCTACAGAAACGTCTTTGAACAAAACTTAGATGTTAGATTGAATAATTAGGAACTATAGCTTAATCAGCTTTACACATAAGGCTGATTATCACAGTGGTAAAACAATTAATGGCCGACACGGTGGCTCAGGCTGTAATTCCAGCACTTTGGGAGGCGTAGGTGGGCTGATCACTTGAGCCCAAGAGTTTGAGACCAACCTAGGCAACATAGCAAAATCTAGTCTCTACAAAAAATACAAAAATTAGATGAGCGTGATGATCCATACCTGTAGTCCCAGCTACTTGGGGAGGCTGACGTGGGAGGATCACTTGAGCCCAGAAGTTCAAGGCTGCAGTGAGCTGTGTTCACGCCACTGTACTCCAGTCTGGGCAACAAACTGAGACTCTGTCTCAAAACACAAACAAACAAAACCAATAATTAATGTCCATTTTTTTTAAAAAAAGGAAATATGCATGGTATCTTTATCCTTACTATGCACCATAGACCTAAAGTTAAAATCTAAAACAGAATCTTCTAGAAGAAACCTTAAGAGAACATCTGTGTGACCATGAAATAGGCAAAGTTTTCCTAAATAAGACAACAAAATCATAATTTATTTAAAAAATAAATGAATTGATAAAATGTGCTTTATCGAATTGAAGAACTTCTAATTTTTGGAAGACATTAGAAATAAAATAAAAATTTAAGCCAGATATTAGAAAAAATATTTGTAAATCTTGTATGCGGTAAAGGATTTTATTTAAGATATATGATGCACTTGTAAAATACAATAATAAGAAAAAAACTCAAATTTTAAAACTGTGCTCAAGATATGAAGAGGCTCTTCATAAAAAAGGATATACGAATGGCAAATAAATTTATTAAAAGAGGCTGGAAATCATTAGTCTTTAGGGAAATACAAAGCAAATCTGTAATAGTATGTCAATGCACATTTATTAGAAGGCTAGATTTTTTTCAAAAAGAAAATTAAGAAAAAATACAAAGTGTTGACAAGGATGTGGTTGAACTAGAACTCTCATATACTGCTGATGCGAGTGTAAAATGGTACAACTACTCCAAAAAGAGTTTAATCAAATATATATATATGTGTGTATATATATGTTTATATATGTGTATATATATATGTTTATATATGTTTATATATGTGTATATATATGTTTATATATGTGTGTATATATGTTTATATATGTATATATGTTTATATATGTGTATATATGTTTATATGTGTGTATATATATGTTTTTATATATACACACATAAACATTCACATAGCATATGATAGGTGCTATGAGTTGCATGAATAGGAGAAAAAGTGTAGGTTCATATGAACTCTGGAAAAGGATGAAGCTCTCTTTGCAATAACCAGGAACTAGTAAAATCCAAATGTCCATTAAGTGTATAAACAAACAAATTACAGTATATCCTTACAATGGAATACTACTCAACAATACAAAGGAACAGATTTTTGATACCTGTAGCTACATGGATTAATCTCAAAATAATTATCCTAAATGAAAAAAGTCAGAAAAAAAGGTGGCTCCTGTAATCAGTCCATTTATACAAAATACTAACTAATCTTATAGTGACAGAAAGCAGATCAGCTGTTGTTAGGAGTGGGAGGAAGTAGTAAAAAGAGGCAGGATGGAGAAAGTACAAACGGGTATAAATAACATATTTTTGGTTGACAGATATGCAATATTTTCATTATCTTCATTATTTGCACTAGACATACACGTATCAAAATTTATCAATATTTGCAGTTTATGGTATTTCATTTATACTTCAATAAAATTCTAAAAAAATGGGAAGAGAAAGTAAAAAAGATATTTCTGATCTTCTTTTTTTTTTTTTTTTTTTTTGTTGAGACAGAGTGTTGCTCTGTCTCCAGGTTGGAGTGCAGTGGCGTGATCTCGGCTCACTGCAACCTCCCCCTCCCAGGTTCAAATCATTCTCCTGCCTCAGCCGCCTGAGTAGCTGGGGCTACAGGCACCCGCCACCATGCCTGGCTAACTTTTCTATTTTTAGCAGAGACAGGGTTTCACCATGTTGGCCGGGATGGTCTCAATCTCTTGACCTCATGATCCGCCCGTCTCTGCCTCTGATCTTCTTTAATCAGCATCTCTTCTAAAGTCTCCTTTGCTCTTCTTTTGACACACACACGCAAATATGTAATGCACACATCACTGCCACTGGAGTCAGACAGAACTAGATAAGATCCTGATTTGTACTTCTTACTCATTTGGTATTTTTGAAATTGACTTAACTTCCCTAAACCTGTTTTTCCAACTTTAATATATGAGAAAATATCTACCACAAAAGAGTATTATGAAGATATAACATAATAATTTATATAAAGCCTTTGGCTCACAGTAGCCTCAATAAATTTTATTCTAGTTCTGTCCTTTCAATGTAATAAGCAAATTTAATTATTTATTGGTGATATTTTAATGATTTGGTTTCCTTCCAAATACTGTTCTGTAATCCATGAAGAATGTCTCTTCAATTTTAATGTCTATTTCAGTTACATAACCTCATCCAACTTTAAAAAAGGAGATTAATGAAAAGCTACCTCTACTCTCCAAGGTTAAGTAAGTTCAAGCATGCAATTTTTTTATTAGTAAATACAATGCCTATTAAATCTGAAATACATTGAACTTTATTCAGTTCAAATTTATTTTAATTACATTGAAAAAAATCTGCTCCCTGTCTCCATTTCTATAACCAATTCACTCTCGTGTACAGTAGCTTTATAGTTCAGGAGAACATTGGAATAATTGTTCTATGAATAATACTTAACAATTTGAGTTCTTAAAAATTAACACACTAAAATTATTAAAGTAAAACCTTGGGCTTTTAAAGCATTATTACTACAAATTGAAATATTGTGTGTCAGTAGGCTAATAAAATTTAAGTGAGTAAATAAAAGTAATTTAAAAAGCAAAAGTTTCAGATAAACATGATTTGAATGCATTCTTTTTAGTTCAGAATTATTTTGCATTAAAAGGAAAACGAATAACATTTTTTTTTTATTATATTGCTATGAAATCTTGGCTACTTAATTGTTAAAGAAAATGTGCTGTTTGTTAGTGAATAATTTGAATTTTTAAAATTTACTTCAATACACTGACCGCACTTTTCAAAACTGGATGGATTACTATCAGCAGAATAAGCTCATGTAAAGTGAAAATATAAAAGTAGTTCCAAGTAATCCTTGAACTTAAAATGTTTAAAATCATGAGTGTGTATAAATTAAAAACTATAAGGTGAGTGATATCCCCAAACAAGTTCTGAAATATTTAACTGTCGCTTGTAATAATTTATAAAGTAGGTATGCAGACATTTGCCTGATAGATCTGAGGGGCATGTTAATGGGGTACAATGAAGACAGATAGCTCCATTCTGGTACTACTGAGCAGACAGCCGCCTCACGAAACGCTTCTCAGCCAATGTACATCAATCTTGCCATGATGGCTGCTCAGATTAGACAAGAAGGCACACTCCTATGAATCTTAAAAGGCCATTTCTGTCTCTTGTGAAGTTGTTTAACTTTGTTTTCATTTTATGGAGCCTGGCTGAGGTCTAAGACACACAAGATATGACAGATCGATTTTTATAAAATACTGAGGAAACAGTGATTTTTACTGAAATATAAATTACAAATTTCACAGAAGAAACTGAGTTTGGTGTTAACTTGAGATACGATAAGAAGGTATTTATTATTTATGGCTTTTCATATATTATTTATAGGTTGATTTGTATGTTTGTGACACTATTTGATTTGTTACAATTTGGAATGTGATACCCGCCAGTAGGAAGGCAAACTTTGTACACACAAGTGTAATTATTTTGAAACCTAATTTATATGGTTTATGAATCACTCAAAATTATTGACATCCCAGGAAAACATCCAATAACTGTTCCTGGACAGTCGGTAGGATGATGATTTGATGTGCTGAAACCTGCTCCCATCATGGATTGCTGTCATTCTTTATTCAGTATCATGCAGCAACAGAAAACAAAATGCAGTTCCTATGTTTTCCAGAAATATTTTTTTTCTCAGATTTGTAAACCTGCAGCAACATAAAGTCAAAGTAAACAATATCAACATTCAAACTATTTTCATGTATTTATATCTAAAATCAAGTGCCATCTATTATTAAAGACACCATCAGCAAGATACCAGACAGTGCTGCTCAGAAATCCCACCATGTCATTTGTTTGATTGTTTACACTACACAACACAATTGGCCAAACTAAGTCAGTGTAAGCATACTCAAAAAACATACTGCTACAAAATTTAAACATTCCTAGGCGACTGAAGGCCTTTGCTATAAATTCTATGAATCCCTGAAATATGGAATGATTCTTGGATGAATGATGATAGCTGGAGTCTGAAAATGACTTTGAGAGGAGGACTTTTGTTCCACATCATCTTATCACCTACCAGTGCCAAGTGTCTGTCCAGCCTCGGTCTCCTCCACTCCCCCTACGTGCATTGGCTTCTTTATCTGTCAAGCTCAGGCCTGTCTCAGTTCCCAGTCAATGTGAGGCTTAAAGCAATAAGTGGTTAAACCACTCATATTTCCCCATTTCAGGCAGGACATTATTGCATCTTCCCTTCTATCACCCTGATACATATCTCCCGGGATGACCAGTATGCTTAAAATGCAATGCAATAGTGGAAAAGCAAATGGTGAATATTCTGTCTCATCAGCTTCAGTTCAGCCCTGCTGCAGCTTCCACTCTCGTACTTGGATCCCCTAATCTTGTACTGAGAAGGCAAAGTTTTCTTACCTCCTGTCCCCAGTCTTCTGGGTGCTATCTGGAATAACTCTTCCAGTAACTAAAATAGTACTTTAGTTTCCTGTGAGGATGAGGGTCTGTCAGGATCTTCCCCTTCATGATGACTAGAATCCTACATTTTTTTTAATTGTTATTTTTTAGACAGAGTTTTGCTCTTGTTACCCAGGCTGGAGTGCAATGGCATGATCTTAGTTCACTGCAACCTCCGCCTCCCAGGTTCAAGCGATTCTCCTGTCTCGCCTACTGAGTAGCTGGGATTACAGGCACCCACCACTACGACCGACTAATTTTTGGTATTTTTAGTAGAGACGGGGTTTCACCATGTGGGCCAGGCTGGTCTCGAACTCCTGACCTCAGGTGATCCACCCACCTTGGCCTCCCAAAATGCTGGGATTACAGGCGTGAGCTAGAGTCCTACCTTTTTACCTTAATATAGTACTTAGGAATGCCTGCCTGTGGACAACCCTCCACATTTTAAATACTTGCCTGACAAGATTTCTATGCATAACCCAACTCAGTTTTTCTCCACCTGGAAGGATGCTATTTGAACCTCTAGTGCAATCATTAGTATCTTGATCAGAGAATATTTGCTCCTCCCTCACCAACATCCACCTGGGATGTGCAATTTTATGTCATTAATGTGTTTTGTTTTTTTTGCTTTGTTGTTTTGTTTGCTGGCTTTCTTCTTAAACCCAAAGATGTGTGTGTTTTCTTTTTCCTTTTGCTTCCCCAAGTTGTTCCCAGAGCTCAGCATATGGTAAGTGTGCTATGAGTGGTGAAGTAATAATCATACTAACTCTAGGGGAAGCACAGATATTTTCCTTCTTCTTGCTCCAATCACTCATAAGGATTATGCAGGACAAATGGAGACAGACCCCCAAAGAGGAGAAGCAAGGGTAGATTCATGTTCAAAAACATCAATTGGGCCATATTTCTAGGAGTTGGGTTTTAAATCGAATAAAAGAAAATTACTGTACATCTTCTATTGAGAGTTAGAAACTGGTATGACAAAACTGATTTCCTTCTAATAGTAAAAAAGAGCCCTATTTTCTTGAACCTCTGGGTTCAAGCTGAGGTTTTAAGGAGACTTAATGAATCCATGTATTCTGTTCCATTGTGTCTATTTTTTTGAGAATTTATATGTCACAAATATACCTTGTTAGACAACTGTATTAGTCCATTCTCATTCTGCTATAAGGACATACCCAAGACTGGGTAATTTATAAAGAAAATAAGTTGAATTGAGTCACAGTAAGCATGGCTGGGGAAGCCTCAAGAAACTTACAATCATGGTGGAAGGGGAAGCAAATACATCCTTCTTCACAGGGTGGCAGGAAGAAGAATGAGAGCCAAGTGAACGGGAAAGCCCCTTATAAAACCATCAGACCTCATGAAATCTTGTGAGAACTTACTGTTAAGAGAATAGCATAGGGGTAACTGCCCCCATGATTAAATTACCTCCCACCAGGTCCCTCCCAGGATATGTGGGCATTATGGGAACTACAATTCAAGATGAGAGTTAGGTGGGGATGTAGCCAAACCATAACAACAACTCATAGAATAAAGAAATCTATTCATTCAACTGAATATCTCCAGTATGTGAATAAATACCTCTGATGTACAGAAAAAGATGTACCTCTCTAATGACTTGATCATCTGACTTTATATTACAAACATCAAAATGTATCCACCACTGGCAGTGATATAATGGAAAATATACAATATATTGCATATAACATATAAGATATGGTGTATAGAATATGACAAATAATGCATTATTATATAACATATAATATATAATATATAATGAATCCAAGTCACTTTATCATAACATAACACTATGCCCTGAAAACACATCCTTGATTTTCCTCATTAATGGGCATCTATGTTATCCTAGCCCTTTGGGAGGCCGAGGTAGGTGGATCACCTGAGGTCAGGAGTTCGAGATCAGCCTGGCCAACATGGTGAAACCCTGTTTCGACTAAAAAAAAAATACAAAAATTTAGGTGGGCATGGTGGCACGCACCTGTAATCCCATCTACTCAGGAGGCCGAGGCAGGAGAATCGCTTGAACCCAGGAGGCAGAGGTTGCAGTGAGCCAAGATCGCACCATTGCACTCCAGCTTGGTCAACAAGAGCAAAACTTCATCTCAAAAAAAAGAAAACTAATCACATGTTTCAAAGGGACAGTTGCAGAGAATTTAAGGAAGAGACAATATAAAAGCTTACACAGAGAAGAAAGACACTAATAGACAGAGTTATTAGACAGAAAAGCCAACAGAAGACAGCAGACACTTTTTGCTTTCATAAAGGAAACCACCTAATGAGAACTGTGTCTGTGGGAGAGGGCTGCCCAACAGAAGCTGTGGCTCTGGACTTCAGCCACTGCCAAACTGCAACCTGCATGGAGGGAGAGTTGGGGGATTGGGAAAAAATATGTTGATCTCCATATTAGTTTCCTAGGATTGCCATACAAATTACTACAGATCAGGGGCTTTGACAACAACAACTGATTTTCTCACAGTGCTAGAGGCTTGATCTGGAATCAAGATGTTGCCTGGTTTGGCTTTTTCTGTGGCTCTCTGTTTGGCTTGCAGATGTCACCTTCTCACTTTGTCTTCATCTTAGTCTTTTCTCTGTACAGGAACATTCTTGGTTTTTCCCCCTGCATGTCCTAATCTTTTTTATTTAAACAAAGGCTACCAATTATATTGGATTAAGGTCCACTCCAAAGGCCACATTTTAATGAATGTACTGCTGTCTTTAAAAGCTCCATCTCCAAATATAGTCCCATTCTGAGGAAATGTGAGATAGGTCTTCAACATACACATTTATGTGGACACAATTCAGTCCATAACACCCTGTGATTCATGAGTACCTCCTGTAGTCAAAGCCACCTAGAGGCCAAAGGTCATGAAAACTCTGTATGCATATGCAGTTTATTGAGATCAGCTTCCTGGATAGCCTCCTGGAGGTCAACAGGGATGTAAGGAGGGAGGAATGGGAAACATTCAGCACACCTGGGTAATATCTTCCATGTGTGTTTTCACAAAATATAAAACAATGCATTTATATTTATCATCAAAAATAAAAGTACTATCAACTAAATATTTTATTAAATTACTAAAAATATGCTTTTTTATTTCAAACATAGTAATATCTCCACTACTCACAAACTATACTACTATAATTTTCCTCTATTCTACTGTAAATTTCTGATTGCCAAGTTCATCTATTCTCAATCTGTTTTCTCTTTCCATTCTTACAGAATTTGACATGGAATATTACCTCCTTTATTCATACACACACACACACACACACACACACACACACTCTTATTTTGACTTAAATTGATTCGCAGTATTCAATTCTTAAGTTCTTCAGAGCAGGGGGCTTTTTAACTAGTTTACCATTGCATTGCCAATATACAGTTGTTATTTTGCGAGTGTAAAACATAAATATTATTCTGGCCAAAATATGAATTTTATTCTGGACCCTTCATGGAAATCAGATTATTGGGTTATCTGTTGCCAAATCCACCCAAATGGAAAGGACAAAGGTTTACATTTAAATTGTTCTCTCAGATTAGTCCATGTTGTTGCAGAGAGCCATTTTTTTAGGCTGTTTAAAGTGGATGGAGAGCATATTTTTGTTAATCTTTCCCTCTATGCGGTTTTGCACATATAGTTAAAAGTGAAAAGAGATGTTCTGCTACAGTGAAAAGGAAGATGATGTATTAGATTTCTGTAGCCTTGTGCCATTGGTGTGGGTAGCCTGTGCCCCAGTGAATTAACTAACTGCAGAGGAAGACTTTGATGGACATGTGTGCTGCGCACATCAACATAGAAAGTGGCCACAATAACAAGTCAGGATTCATTCTGAGGACTTAAAAAGTCTTGGGCAGAAACACATGGCAAAAAAACAAATCTGTTTATAGAATTGTGAATAAATTTTAACTTCACAGAGCTGGACAACCATTTTGAATTTACAGACATCCTGAAGAAGTAGAAACTAGAAAACTGACACTTTTTTTCTTAATCGATGTAACAAGCATTGTCCTGATATACAGAAAATATTCTTTTGGTCTTACAGGTCAGAAGTGAAGCTGAGAGAGGAGAGCTTATTTTTCTAAGTTTGCACAGCTAAAATGTTTAGTATCAATTTTGATGGCAAAGCCTGATGTATTTTCTTCTATTTACTGCTTTCTTACAGAAGCACAGATTTGTTCACAAAACCTATGCTTCTTCTCTTGTTTACTTTTCATATTTTATATTTTAAAGGTAACACCTACTCTTTTGATATGATTCTTATGTACTAATCATGGAGCTATCTAAAGGTGTCATTCCTAAGTGTTAATCATTTGTTGTTTAATGTGGTTTAGAAACTGTTCTGTGTGCTTTGCCCATATTACTTAAATTCTGACAACAACTCTACAAGGTTGGTTCTATTTTCCCTTATAAGGGATGAAGAAACCAATGGAAGGGACGAGCTCAAAGTTACTCAGATAGTAAGTGGGAAAACTATAACAAAATCCAGGCAATCTAATTCCAGAAATGAAGCTTTTGTTTACTATTCTGCTTCTATCACACACAATACGAAATCATTGGAAATAACAGAGCTGAAAAGAATCAAGAGACCAAAAAAAATTATGTATTTATAAAACCCAGGAAACTTTGTATGTCAAAAATCATGAAATATTTTTAAATAAATTGTCTTATGCAAAATCATTAAGAAAACAAGAAGTAAGGAGAAAGATATAGAAAATATTAAACCTGATTCTCTGAAGAGAAATGATGAATGGTGTCGTGGGATGAATTGTGTATCTCCAAAATTCTTATGTCAAAGCACTCCCAGTACCTCAGAATGTGATTATATTTGGAAATAGGGCCTTTAAAAGATAATTAAGTTAACCCAGGCCCTGATCCAATATGCGTGGTGTCTTTATAAGAAGGGAAGATTAGGACACAGAGGGAGACAGACACCAGGGGCACGTGTACACAGAGCGAAGACCATGTGAAGACACAGCGAGAAAGTGGCCATCTGAAAGTCAAGGGGAGACCCCCTCAGAAGAAACCAAACGTGCCAACACCTTGATCTTGAACTTCTGGCCTCTAGAGGTGTGAACTTTTTGTTATGTTTTGTCTGGCCTTTTATGTTTTGTCTGGCCTCCATTTTGCTCTGGCAACCCTAGGAAACTAATGCAAATAGCTTATAGGAAATAAAATTATTTACACATTTTCTAACTGTTAGGTAGACACAGATGTAGACTTTAATGATAGAATGTTTTATAACCCTCACATTAGGAAAATTTAAGACTCTTAAAATGAGAAGTGTTTAAAAGAATATGGTGAAATTGTTATGCACATAAATCACTTATGATGCTGTAAATTAATACATTTCTTGACAATTTCTGTCCCAAGTCTAGGTCATTTTCATAATTAAAACTAATGTTATATTGTGTGCAAACCTGTATCTTGCTTTTTAGCTTAGCAAAAGAAAATTAGAAATTTTCCAAGTGATTAAATGTTATTGTAAGTACAATTTCAATTACTCCCTGATGGTTATGTTAATGGATTTCATATGATTATCAAACCATCAAATATATTTTATATCTAGATTACATATTTTTATCATTAGTAGTAACACCACAGTGAACATTTTTCTGTATAAAACTTTGCATATGTAGGATCATTTCTCTTGGCTGGATTTCTAGAAGTAGAAATGATAAAATTATAAATACAAATGTTTTAATGCTTCATGAAATATACTATGAAAGAGAGTCTAGTATAATTATATCAATTTATAATCCTTTTATATGTAGTATGATTATTTCACTTCTCTTAAAACCAAAATTAGCCTTGAGTCTGCTATTGATAAGAAAAATTCTATACTTTGTCCTGTCAAAATAAACAATTTTTCAAAAATTTAGACCTGTGTATTTTAAAATAATAAACTGCCACGTCCATGTAAGAAAGTAAAAATAAATGTCTTATATTGTTTATATATATTGAAAGCCTCTAAGCATTAAAATAACTTTGTTAATTACCAAATTTTACTTTAAAAATATAAATTTTAATATTTTCAATACTGAAGTTACTCATTAATCCTAGGAAACGGATATACATTTTTGATATTTTAGACAAAGCTATGTAAGTTTGGGAAATAAAAAGTTATGGATCTTTGTTCAATCACCACATTTTTGGACTACTAGAAAGTCTTACAGTAAGCCTATGTCTTACTCTTGGAAATGTAATGTCTCTGAGAGCTAAGATAACTATTTTGGAAATAAAATGTTCATCTACATGAATTCATATTTATATGAGGGAATAAGATAGCCTATTATAATTCATTACCTCTTTAAAGGTACAAGTTCAAGTTTTACCTCCATTCTCATCTTTCCATTAAATTCATAGAATTTGACTTATATTATCTCAAATATGTCATCAAATACTCTACACTGAGTGGGCTTTCAGTGGCTTTAGCTGACTTTTATATTTCTTTGGTCAATCATGGACTTTAAGATTATTATGTTTTTGAAAACTAACCTCTCAATGCCAAAATGTTAGACTGAAAGTGACTTGATTATATCTCTAACAAATATACCAAATAATTGCTAGACTTACAATCAGTTGATTAAAAAATAATTGTTATGTATTTATAAAATATTTTATCTCATGTTTCTTATAGTTTCAATTTTATTTTATAAGGATTCTGAAGTATATATACTCTTTTTCCAGACATTCCATTAAATTCCATTTTAAACTGTCCATACACATACTTAAAATGAAACATTTCATTTTAATCACAATGAGCAATGTCTCTGTGATAGTTTTTTTATGAAGACATAACATAACATTATTTTCTTATACATAGCTAACTCTCAAAAATATTTTTTTTGATATACTTTATTATAGTTGTCAAAGACTATGAGTCACTATACTTGGTTTGCTATTGTTACCTTATTTGATACTACCTCAGGGATTATAATTAATTCTGACCTGTGTAAACAATTCCCACACTTGACTTAAACACACACACTCAGGCGCACAGACACACACACACAAATGTATTTTCCCTCTTTTTAACCTCTTTTATTTAGTCATATATCAAAATAAGAATAAGAACATTTCATCTATTTTTCAGTTTGTGTATCTCCTAATATATTAGATAGGTGCAAAGTTAATTGCGGTTTTGGACCATAAATTTTAAATCATTATAACTAGGCTCAAACACATTTTTATTAATCAAAATAGGAATGATTACAATCGACCCATTTTTGCCAATGAGAAATAAGTTTGTTTATTCCTGTAGCGTAAAAATCCGTGCTTTGGGATTTGATGAACTCTTGGAAAGCATTTTCTGCATCCTGCTGGTTGTGGAAGCATTTTCCCTGCAAAAAGTTGTCAAGATGCTTGAAGAAGTGGTAGTCGGTTGGCAAGAGGTCAGCTGAATATGGTGGATGAGGCAAAACTTCATAGCCCAATTCATTCAACTTTTTATTTTTATTTTTATTTTTATTTTATTTTATTTTTTGAGACGGAGTCTTGCTCTGTCACCCAGGATGGAGTGCAGTGGGGCGATCTCAGCTCCCTGCAAGTTCTGCCTCCCAGGTTCACGCCATTCTCCTGCCTCAGCCTCCGGAGTAGCTGGGACTACAGGCGCCGCCACTACCCCCAACTAATTTTTTGTATTTTTATTAGAGACGGGGTTTCTAATAAATTAGCCAGGATGGTCTGGATCTCCTGACCTCGTGATCCGCCCACCTCGGCCTCCCAAAGTGCTGGGATTACAGGCGTGAGCCACCACGCCCGGCCTCATTCAACTTTTGAAGTGTTGGTTGTGTGACGTGCCACTGGACCTTGTGAAGAATTAGCCCCTTTCTGTTGATGAGTGCCAGCTGCAGGCCTTGCCGTTTTGATGCATCTCATCGATTTGCTGAGCACACTTCTGAGATGTGATGGTTTCTCTGGGATTCACAAAGCTGTAGTGGATCAGACTGGCAGCAGACCACCCAACAGTGACCATGACCTTTTTCTGGTGCAAGTTCGGCTTTGGGAAGTGCTTTGGAACTTCTTCTCGGCCCAACCACTGAGCTAGTCATTGCCGGTTGTTATATAAAATCCACTTTTTGTCGCACGTCACAATCCTATCAAGAAACGGTTTCGTGTTGTCGCATAGAAAAAGAGAAGATGACACTTAAAAATGACAATCTACTTTTATTTTTAGTTTTGTTCATCTCATGAGGCACCCACTTACTGAGCTTTTTTACTTTTTCAATTTGCTTCAAATGCTAAATGACCATAGAATGGTCAGTATTGATTTCTTCAGCAACTTCTCATGCAGTTGTAAGAAGATCAGCTTCAACAATTGCTCTCAATTCGTCCTTGTCAACTTCCAGTGACCGGCAACTATGCTCCTCAACTTCAAGGCTTTTGTCTCCTTTACAAAACTTCTTGAACCATCACTGCACTGTAAGTTTGTTAGCAGTTCCTGGGCCAAACGTGTTGTTGATGTTGTGAGTTGTATCCACTGCTTTATGGCCCATTTTGAACTAGAATAAGAAAATTGCTTGAAATTGCTTTTTGTCTAATATGATTTCCATGGTCTAAAATACATATAAAATAAACAGCAAGAAGTAAGTCATTAGCAAAGAACATAAAGTGAGAAATGCACGTTAAAATGATCCAGAGCCCTCAGAAATAACGCCGCATATTTACAACTATCTGATCTTTGACAAACCTGAGAAGAACAAGCAATGGGGAAAGGATTCCCTATTTAATAAATGGTGCTGGGAAAACTGGCTAGCCATATGTAGAAAGCTGAAACTGGATCCCTTCCTTACACCTTATACAAAAATCAATTCAAGATGGATTAAAGACTTAAACGTTAGACCTAAAACCATAAAAACCCTAGAAGAAAACCTAGGCATTACCATTCAGGACATAGGCATAGGCAAGGACTTCATGTCTAAAACACCAAAAGCAATGGCAACAAAAGACAAAATTGACAAATGGGATCTAATTAAACTAAAGAGCTTCTGCACAGCAAAAGAAACTGCCATCAGAGTGAACAGGCAACCTACAAAATGGGAGAAAATTTTCGCAACCTACTCGTCTGACAAAGGGCTAATATCCAGCATCTACAATGAACTCAAACAAATTTACAAGAAAAAAACAAACAACCCCATCAAAAAGTGGGCAAAGGACATGAACAGACACTTCTCAAAAGAAGACATTTATGCAGCCAAAAAACACATGAAAAAATGCTCATCATCACTGGCCATCAGAGAAATGCAAATCAAAACCACAATGAGATACCATCTCACACCAGTTAGAATGGCAATCATTAAAAAGTCAGGAAACAACAGGTGCTGGAGAGGATGTGGAGAAATAGGAACACTTTTACACTGTTGGTGGGACTGTAAACTAGTTCAACCATTGTGGAAGTCAGTGTGGCGATTCCTCAGGGATCTAGAACTAGAAATACCATTTGACCCAGCCATCCCATTACTGGGTATATACCCAAAGGACTATAAATCATGCTGCTATAAAGACACATGCACACGTATGTTTATTGCGGCATTATTCACAATAGCAAAGACTTGGAACCAACCCAAATGTCCAACAATGATAGACTGGATTAAGAAAATGTGGCACATATACACCATGGAATAATATGCAGCCATAAAAATGATGAGTTCATGTCCTTTGTAGGGACAAGGATGAAATTGGAAATCATCATTCTCAGTAAACTATCTCAAGAACAAAAAACCAGACACCGCATATTCTCACTCATAGGTGGGAATTGAACAATGAGATCACATGGACACAGGAAGGGGAACATCACACTCTGGGGACTATTGTGGGGTGGGGGGGGGAGGGGGGAGGGATAGCATTGGGAGATATACCTAATGCTAGATGACGAGTTAGTGGGTGCAGCGCACCAGCATGGCACATGTATACATATGTAACTAACCTGCACAATGTGCACATGTACCCTAAAACTTAAAGTATAATAAAAAATAAAATAAAATTTAAAAAATACTAATTTTTAAGAAATGCTATCTTTAATGTTTAAATATAACCTAAGCACAGTTAAAATTATTTAGATTATATCCATATCTTTGATAACATTAAATGTGATTATTTTTTCCCAGTAGAAATAATGTTCTGTAAATTAGCTATTATCTTTTGAGTTTGATAACACTCAAGAAAAAAAGTAACATGCTGTAACCCTTCAAATTGGAAGAAAACATTTAGCAATGTCTACATTGAATGTTTAAACTCTTACTTTCCTTAAACTTCAATATTATGCTAATACATACTATAGCCACTTAAACCTAAGGGATGTTTAGAATCACATGTTATATACAGATGAAAGCAGTTTTTTATGTAATTCAATGTGGGGGAGGAAGAGCGCTACTGATCTTTTGCAGATGGAGTCCAGAGAAGTGAAATTTCCTGTAATGATTGAAATGCTATAGCCCACAAGGAGGCTATATTGCTGAAATGCCGATAGCACACCTTATGAACATTATGGAGAAAATATGAAACCCCCAATAGGTTATCTCCTTATATTAGTGAAGACAAAAAGTATATTAAAACCACATTGTTTGATCTAATTCTCTCCTTAGGTATTGAGCACTTAGCACTAAGTTTTAGAAAAAAAGTTGCCTTTAATTACTAAAGCAAAACAGGTTTTATATGTCCAGAGAGTTTAAGATAAATAATAACAAAAACAGCACACACACACACACACACACACACACCTATTTTTTGTAAGACATCTGGCACATGATAGCTAACCTTCAAAAATGATGTCTGGAATGGAACAACCATCATCTCTGTATTTAAATAATTCAAAGTTTTCATCTCTTCCAAATTTACATGTTACTTTAAAAATCTATTCAGGGGAATTTTAAACTATAAAAGCATGAGGTAGTGTTTCATCTAGCTCTTCTGAGATTCCTTTCTACCTTTTCTGTAAGCCCTCATCCTCACTTCCTACTGCATCCGTTTTCCACAGGCCAGCCACCCAAATTCTTCTGAGAATTGCACTCCTCCTAATGGGAGCCTCCTTTTTCTGCCATCCAGGAAAGCCAGAAGTTCAGCTCCCTTGCCATTGATGGAGCAGAACAATACTGGGGCTTGACTTCATTTCTAAGTTCCCTATGGGATCAAGCTGAACACTGTCTTCAAGGATGAAATCATATCCTTGTTGAGCTCGTTCCACTTCCTAATCTTAAATTTGCCATTGATTTACCTGTTTGTCTTGCCACCAGGTTTTATAAAAATCATTGACTTACCCATTTTTATCTCAGGACCTGCTTCTTGGGACTTTAAAACATCAGTCTCAATATAATCAAAATATCTTCAGTTTGAAATTTTTTTGTTTTATTTCAGATATAATTTTGAACTTACAAAGCATTTCAAGAATAGTACAAAGAGTATCCTTTACCAGTCAGATTCACCTCTCATTGATATTTTGCCCCATTGCGCTCTCTGTGTAGGTATGTATGCATGTATATATACATCTTATGTATTAGATATATGTGTACATATATATGTACACACATATGTAGTTATATATATATAATTTTGCTGAACTATTTGAGAGTTAGATGCATATATCATCGATCTTTACATTAAATATATTAGGAACAAGAAAATTCCTTTAAAAAATGACATTATCAACTTCAACAAATTTAACTCTGATACAGTACCTTCCATACCCATTTTTGCCAACTGAGCACATAATATGATTTATAGCACATTTTTCTCTCTCCAAGGAAAATCCATTCTGGGATCACCTGTTACATTTGCATATCATTTCTCTTTAGTCTACTTCAATCTAGAAAAATTCTTCATACTTTTCTTAAATTGACATAGAAGTTTTCAGTCTTTTTCCCTTTTTATTTTCCAATTTTATTAAAATTGATTTTTAAATATGTATTATACTTCCTTCTTTATAAATGAAGCTTACACATCCTCAGGCTGCCTATTACCTAAGTCCAACATGTCCTTGACAGAAAGTAACATCTGGAAACTCATGCCATCTGCCTGGCATTAGTGATGTTAATTTGGACCACCTGGCGAATGATATTTGCTGATTTTGTCCACAGCATGATTGCCATTTTTTTTATTTACTAATCTATGATCTGTAACAAGTCCCCACATATTTCTTCTTATAGTTATGGACCCCTGAATTCTTATACTTAAGGGTGTATTATTTATCACTGAGTTTAAATACTTAGGTGCTCAAATGGTCCTAGACTTGGCTATGAGGAACCCCTTTAAGCTGATTCCTGTGTCTTTGTGATATATGTTCAACATTGTTTATCTCCATAATTTTCTACTGTTTGATCACATTCCTCCTTTATGGCAAATAAAATTTTCCAGACTCATGTTTTACCTCCTCTGGCCTACCCTTAGAATCAGCAATTCTGTGAAAGAGCTGACTTCTTTTAGTGAAGAATGGTATTAAAAAACAAGATCTGGATGTTAGATAGTTATATGAACTCATTGCTATTGGAATGATTTTGCATTTAGATCATTTTAACAAATAGAGATAAGTAAATGCAGAAGTGTACAAATATATTATTTATTATAAAACACATATTTATACATAAGTGAAATATATATTACATATGCATATATGCATGCATATACATATTTTAGACATCATAAGTTCACATTGAAATCCCTTATTCCAATTCAAACCATGGGGTTCTTTCTTGCCTCTCAACATTCTATGCTTGACATTTAGATCTCTGAACAATTTGGGTTTTTCTCCTATATAAGCTCTGAGTATTAAATCTGATTTTACCATATTTCAAATAAATATTCATGTATTAAGAAGTTCAATTTTCTTCAGTAATTTGAGATAACACCTTCATTATTAACTAGATTAATATATGTAACTGGGTCTATTTTCAGCTTTCTATACCCTTCTCTTGGGTATCCACACATAGTTATCATTTCAATGATAAAACCTTAGTGAACTATTTTTATATTCAATAAGGCTAGTCCTCCCTCACAGCTTTACTTTTAAATATTTCTCTATTCTGTGTATTTATTTTTATAATAATTTTAGTATTCATTTATTTAGCTTCATAAATAAAAACGCTTATGATTTATCTTGGGATAACGTCAAATTTATAAATCAATTATGTAGAAATGACTTCATGATGATGTTGAGTGGTTCTAAATGAGGAAAAAAGGATGTCTTTCCATTATCTAATTGGCATAAACAGAAAGTTGGATGGCAAATAGATAATAAACAGATAAGTAGGCGAATATAGATATAATAGTGATTTTTTAAAAATATAACCTGCCAACTTGCATTATTTTATATTTTATCATTTAGGCATCTATATATATTATTGATATATATTATTGTCATCTGCAAATAGAGACACTTTTTTTTCTGCTGCTCTAGTTTGTGTGACAATTGTATCTAACTGCATCAACTAATAACAATATTAAATAACAGTGAGGAGAGTGGGCATGCACTTTTTTTCAGTACTCTTGTGGGACTACCTGTATGTTTTTACCCATTAAGATGTGGACTTTCCAATTGAGGTATATATATTTTATCGCTTGAAGGAATTAACCATATCTTTCTACATTCTCATGAAAAATATATGTAATTAGGAATGGATGCTGACTTCTCTGAAAGGCTTTAAAGTATTGCAAATATACACATATAGTTTTTTCCTAAGGCCTATAACTTAATTTGTGTATATTAGTCTGTATTAATAAATTTCCCAGTATTGAACCATTATTATAGTCCTGGAATGCACCTCCCTTTTCATTGTGGCCAAAATCATCATGAGAATGGAAATACTTATCTTTTTTTATTATTGCTGTATAATAAACTCTTCAATAAAATTTTAAATTATTGAAGTGAAATAATGTAGACTCAATTTTTCACTAATCATCATTTCAGGAAAAATGTATCTACATGGATGTCAGTATACATGGCTATATAATACAAATTTGCATAAGATGTCTATGTCTCCTTAGGACTGCTGAGTTCTATAATTTTATCCTTGAGAAGGAATATACTAGCTTCTACAGCAAAACACAAAAATAAAGGAAATTCTATCCCTGTTCAATGTTTGGATTTTCTTTATATTTCTAATGACTATATTCTGATTTCAATTAATCTAATAATGACTGTGTGCTATCAGATTTTAGTGAATTTCATAGAAGGAATCCTTTGTCAAATTTAGAGATGTAAACTGTAAACTATTTGTTGAACACACAGTAACATATAGGCATAGTTAATTTCTACTATCAAAGCAGCCCTGAACATTTATATTGACTTGCTGATAGCTATTGGTTATGTTAAATAATGTTTGTGAAAACATCTAATCCACTGTCTCACATACAGCGGAGAATAAAGACATAATTTAAGTAATATCTTCTTACTCTTATTTGTATTTTCATGTTACAGCTGAGAATATTCTGATTCAAGACCAGATTGTGTAAAACTTTGTAGTTGATATAGTACACTTACAAATATCATCTTAGGTGCCATTATAATGCTTGTTTTTGCTTTTGGAAAAGGCACAAAATAAAAAATGATTAACCACCAGATTTTAGTTTAGATCTGAATGCAATTTCCTCTCTTTATATATTACTCTTGAAACCTCAGAGTTATTTAATATTTTGGAGACAGTTTCATCTGTAAACAACAATAATAATACTTTTAAACTTACTGTTTAGAGAATAAAACAAATGTATACATCTGTGTAAATTTCTTAGCAATATGACTGGATGTTATAAAAGCAATAATAAATATATTTTATTACTAGTAGTATTTCAACCACTCCTCCTCATCCCATCCCTTATTTTTATTCTTCTCTACTGTAGTCATCATTTGGGTTCTATTACTATGCTTCTTAAACTCACTGTAGTGCAAGACACTTTTAAAAAATATTCCATACTTCTACAATATACAAAAAAAGTGTCATTGCAATGTGCTTTACATGTTTCTAAACACTAATTCACTTTTTATACTTGTCTTGTAGCTAACTCTCAACAAGCAGTTTTCAGATAAACTCTACTCGGTGGGTCTACACTTTAGATAGCATGTAGTATATTATTATATCTTGCATATTCAGTGAATGATTATTTAAAAAATAAAGTTAAAAACAGAATTGTTCACTCTTATTTCTTTCACAGTTATAAATGCTAATTCCATGCAATTTGCTTAGAACAGAAGTCTATGAACAACTTTTTGAATTCTTCCTACTGGACTTACTCTTGCTTGCTATTCCTTATATAGTTTATGGTTAGGTAAAATGTGACTTAATTATGATTACATGAATTATTTTATTTGTTTATATTACAAATACATCAATGATTTTCACACTTCTGTGTATTATGTTTGGCATTTATGTTATAGCAATTTCATTAAGCAACTTCAAACTTTAATATAAAAACTAACAGAAGATAGCTATTGTCAGTTTTGCAAATGTAAAGAGTCCCTGTAAATTATTTGTTATAAGAGAATCCTTAGCTATTGGCTAAATGACTATTGGTATTGTTGGTGGAGTATTTCTTTGGATGAACTTCTATTTCCACATTCTTAAAAATAATCAGTAATTGATCATAAATTTTAATAATAAATATTACATCATAGTCTCAGCTAATTTTTCTACATTTTCTATGTAATTTATTACTTTGAAGAGTCATTCTTATTTGTCTTGGCATTTATGAACATAGTATTGATGGCAGCATTAGATATTTAGTATGATTTTTATTTTGTTTATGTCAACATAATTATATCTCAATTTCATTATGATTTAATATAAAGGTTGAATTTGTAATAGTATACTGCAATATTTATAAACTAATTGAATTGTACTTTAAAATAGCGATATTTAATTTTTAAGCAAAAAAGCACAACAGCTTTTCTCTGAATGTTGCTACCTTTAAGTTATTTTGCATTATTTGACCTAAAAACAACTGAATTATAGCTGAGGCAGAAGATAATAATGTGACTACACAACTTTTCACTTTTCCTATTATTTCTTTTAAGACAGTACCATTATATTATGTAGATGAGTATGCACATGCGTATTTTGTAATTATTTTCGTAGATAATATAATTGAGCCAGCTTGCTTCAGATTGTTCTATGACCAAATGTGGTAGCTAACCAACATCCCATCAAGGTTAGCTCTTCTTGGGTCAAAACTAGAGTCTGAAATTTTTAAATGGTCTCTTCTAGCTTTTGAGTTCTAAACAAACTTGTGTCTCTCTCTAACAGAGAGATTACGAAAATTATAGTTGTGAGTTTGTTATCCACTCACTTGTTCTTTTTGTTTGTTTGTTTGTTATTTGCTTTGGGTTTGGGCATTTCAGCCTGAGAATAGACAGTTTAAGATTTGACAAATGCCTGGAGGGAATACTGCACACAGAATTTTTGGCTTACTTAATTTGAACTTGGAGTGTTCAACTTCTAGGCAACACAAATTCTAAATTATCTACCCTGATCTTACATCTCAGCAAGACCTCTGCAAGTCAGTGGCCCCAGGTTTACCTTAAGCCTTTATTCCCTGCTCTGTGAACTAGCAAATAACGCAAGAGAAAAAGCAGTGGCAAATCTGAGGCTTACTTTCTCATGTTTTCCTTGTCTATGGGATTTTTTGTCCACTCCATCCTGACTGACTTAGTTATTCTCCAATCCTTTTCAACAATTGTTTTGTTATTTTCTGTTAAGGGATTGGTATAATTATGTACTTCAGAATGGTAGAAATAAAAGCCTATGTAGTAACTGAATGCCTAGCTTAAACAAGTCAATTTAAGTTTCACTAATTTTCATTTTATTATCTTCAAAATAATAAAATGAAAATGTTAGGGCACTGACCCATAGATATCTAAACAAGAAACTTGAAACTGAAGGAAAGTAGCCATAATCAGTAGCATTATAGTCACCATTTTCAAATTTACCTACTTCCCTTAACCTTCTTGGCTCCCATTTAATTCTTTTTTTTTTTTTTTGCATTTGAAAAAACTCTCAAAAGCCAATCATATTAGGAACACTCCCCTTTTCTCCAAGTCATTTTTGTTTTTTGACAATCTGTGAGGAATACTCACAATGCACCTTTCCCTCTGGGAAGCACGTCTGTGAAGTAAAACATCTGCCCTTTCATCATAAATATTTCCATGTCTGATTCTAATCCTCTTGTGGTCCAATATGTACACTCAGCTAACTTTTCAGAGGACAATGACTCCGAAGAGTATTTATAAAACTTTCACGACAATTAGTTTAGCAGGACCAACTAGCTACTCAACTAAGGTTGCAAAATTACACTAATACTCCACTAAAATGCTGAAATATGAAAAAACATATATGTCACAAAATAATTTTGATTTATATATTTATCTCTGTTTTCTTTTTTCCTCTCCCAGAAGACATAAAAAATTTTAATAAGTTTGAAATCAATTTAAAACTATTCACTGATCAAAATCTGTACTTAGTTACAAACAAGATTTCCAGTAGACACACACCTTTTACTTGTATGAATCAATTTCACTCTTCTGCTATTTGCATAGCTTTTGATTATGTTATCCAATATTTATATATTTTATTTTTCTTAATATTGCACTAAAACTAATATGTAAAGATTCACTCTTCAATGTAAAGCTTTACTGAATGAGGTATTGCAAAATTTATTTTATTCATTTTTAAATATGTTATTTGCATTCTTTATTTTTTATTATTTTTTAAGTTCCGGGGTACATGTGCAAGATGCACAGGTTTGTTAGATAGGTAAATGTGTGCCATGGTGATTTGCTGCACCTATCAACCCATCACCTAAGTATTAACCCCAGCATGCATTAGTTATTTTTTCCTAATGCTCTCCCTCTCCGCACCCCAGCCCCCAACAGACCCAGTGTGTGTTGTTCCCCTCCCTGTATCCATGTGTTCTCATTGTTCAGCTTCCACTTATAAGTAAGAACATGCAGTGTTTGGCTTTCTGTTCCTGCACTAGTTTGCTGAAGATAATGGCTTCCAGCTTCATCCATGTCCCTGCAAAGGACATGACCTCAATCCTTTTTATGGCTGCATAGTATTCCATGGTGTATATGTACCACAATTTCTTTATCTAGTCTATCATTGATGGGCATTTGGGTTGTCTTTGCTATTGTGAATAGTGCTGCAATGAACGTAAAGTTCTAGTGCCAAGAGATTGCCTTTCAATATGTCTCTTCTTGCTATTGTTTCCTAGTCACACAGGGTCTGAAATTTGAGCTTTATATTATAGGTAAAAATTTCTGAGGATTCCTTTATGATTTCATAATGCCATTTTTTCTTATAACTAGCTAACTTGTTTTATAAGTGTAATTGTTATAATTCAAAATCAATAACCAATATAAAAGTTGGTAACTAAGACCTATGAGCAGTAGAAAAATTGCATATGGCTTAATTTTTATTTACTAATAACTTGTGTTACTGGTAAAATTAGTAAATTTTTAGAATGGAATCTATTAAGTAATGCTTTACATAAATATACTATAAAAACAGTACAATAAATTAAATGTATATTTAATCAATAAATTCTGTTACTTCAGTCTATTGATTAGGACAGCAATGAATGTTCATTTTTGTAGACAAGTAATTGGCATGATAATAGAGAAATATTTTACCGTAACATGTATAGGACAATTTAACTTAAGATATACAGTTTTATTTTTCTTACATTTTGTTTTGTGAGAATTTTGCTATGTCTAATAAAAAAACTTTATTGTGCTCATCATAACAACTCTGCTTGATTTGCAGTGTTGTTATGATATTGAGACAAAAGAAAACAGGTCTATTATAAAAGACTTGTTTATTCTTCAGTGAAATACCGAAACTTAATTCTGAATATAAAAAAAGACTTCTTCCAGTTAGCAATGACATTTATTTAAAAGTAATTATAACTCATTATGTCAGACTTAAAGAACTGTGATTAAGCAATATATTGTTTCTCATTTTGTCTATTGGTCTATTTATATCATTTATGTATCCCAGACTGCAAGATAAATGTGGGCTGACCACATACATGGTAAAACAGAAAAATAAATTTTGAATTTAAATTTTTGGGAAAACTACTGCTAGGCAATGCATTTAACTCTAGTATTTTAGCATTCGTTAAGGTTCTTAAATTATACTGTCCAGTGATAAAAATTTTCAAGATTTTGGTTACGGTCATTTTCACTGTCTATAGGTACTATTAGTACAAATCATCTGCAGAATGCCTTACATTTGACAACATTTCGTATAGGTCTAATGTAATCAAAGCCTCATAATGATTTTATTCCACAGGTGATGAAACATGTTCAAGGAAATGAAAATTTCTATGAATAAGGCAGATAAATTGGATGAATAAAGAGATATGAAACCATGCAAGAGAAGCAAGGTTCATGTGCAAATACTAAATTGTTCACAGGATATCTAGGATGATGTACTGTGTTATGCACTAGGAAAAAAAAAAAACAAAAAACTCTGAGAGGTGATGGGCTCAGTATAAGCTAAAGAAAGAGACAACCCTTGCCATAGCATGTCAGCTGATACATTCACTAAATCATTCATTTGCTAATCTATTGTGCAGCTGTCATTGAACTGGGTATACAGTAACCAATAAGACAGAGCCTGTCTGTGTGCAGATTATATACTAGTGTGGTTAATATTATTAAATAAAAAATAAAATAATGATCTATTATTATTTTATGTTACTAACAAAGACAAGTAAGAGGTTCTCAGAGGCAATAACTGGGAAGATACCATTTAGTCCCAAAATAAAAGATAAGAATGATATAGATGGAAGAGTGTTCCAGCATATACAGATGACCTGAGTGAAAAAAATAGTAATTTGTATCAGAAAACAACTTTTCGGTGGGGCATTAATGATTGTAAAGGACACAGTAAGTAGAGTTGATATAATTAAGAAGATCAAAGGATTTTGCTTTGGAGATGGTTGAGCTGAGATATGGAGGAAGAGTAACTAAGCAATGTTAGAGGGAAATGAAAGGAGCAGTCCTTTGGAGGAAGAGGCCAATATGCCTAAAAGACCCCTGCCTGAAGTTGTACAGGTAGAAACAGAAATATGAAGTGAAGTTTTTGGGCAGGTGGTTTTACAAGAAAATGTTTGTCCTGGTAGGTAGGATGCTGAGAGTGTGTAGGGCAAGGCTTCCTGGAGACAAGCAGAATGCATTTGAGCTGAAGTTGAATTCCCATTTCCACACTAGGAAAAAAAATATGGGTTCTCAGATAAATCCTCCATATAGCCTGTAAGGTTCTGAAGTTTTATCACTGTGGAAGATGGTGCTTTATTTATTCTGGTAGCAAGTAATTTGTTTTAAAAATAAAAATGCATGGCTAATAAGTGCTAATATAGGAATGCAAATTCTAGTCTTTTCATCATATTACCATTTTTCCTATTCTATTCTACATAAGTATGTAATCAGTTCCTCCAGAGTATTGTTAAAATATTCCTATATGAAAAATATTGTATTCTGTTGAAATTAAGTCAGGTTGAAGTGAATCTTCAGAGCCTTCTGTTCCACGCATTTATATAGTTAATTCTGGGCAGAAGGAACAGCAAAGGTAGAGTCAGAGATGTAGTGTTTTTGAAAAGCTCGCTAAATTCTGGCAACTTCAAGTGTTTCTCCCTTTCTCTTCTTTTACATTGTCCCCACTAGTCCATCTGACATCTGTGTCTCTGACAATTGTGATTGGGATGAGACTGACATTAGCCAGCCCCAACTGCTGTTACTCCCTTGGCTTAAGGATGATTTAGGAATCCATGCAAATTCCACAGAGTATCTCTCAGGCATGTGAAACTGAAAAGATGCCTGAGGATTTGGTTAAGTCATTTGATGGTAGTCTTCTGAATACCTGGTGCCCAAATTTTTGCTACTGAGATCCCTATTTCTTCCCCAGTTCTGTTTCCAATGAACTGGATATTCATCTTCCTTATTCCTAAGAGGTGTGCATTATCATCACAAAGCCTGGAAGTTATAATTAATCAAATAGTTTTTGTGACTTGTAAAACTTCTGAGAGGAATAGTAATATTTAGCTGAAAAGTCATATAATGAGAATATGAATGGGGAATTGCTTAGCATGCTAGGAGTATAATTTTTTTTAATTTAGTTTTTGGTTTCATTGTAATCTAAAGATTACAAATTCAGTTTTCTACAGGGATAGACAAGTAATTTAAATGTTTAACAAAACAAAGTGAAGGGGAAACTAAAAATATCATTCCCCATCTCAAGATATTAAATTGCAATATTTGATGCCAGCTAGCTAAAACATATTCTTACCTTGAATTTATGTTATTTTGTTATAAATGTATGTTATTTATATAATACTCTGTAACTGTCATGTAGATCATGGGTAAACATCAACTGGGATTAACAAAGCAATTTTTAATCATATTTATTTGGTTGCTTAAGCATTGCCACATGTATTATATTCATTAAGCACTAAACATTCCTTGCAGCTTCTTTTATCAAAGGAAGGAGTCTATTTCCCTTAGTCTTGAATCTGGGTTGCATTTAGGACTTACTCTGGTGAACAGAATGGGGCAGACATTATATTGTGTGAATTCCAGACCCTAGAATTTAAAAGGCCTCGAAGCTTCTGTGCCTACTCTATGAAATTCCTCCCTCTACCATGTGAGGCAGGCTGGGCTAGTATTACAAAGTATGAGAAATCACATTATAAACCAAGAAGACAGTTCTCAATCAATTTAGAAAGCTTATTTTGCCAAGGTTAAGGACACGCCTGTGAAAAGCCTCAGGAGGGCCTACCACATGAGCCAAAGGTAGTCAGGGCACAGCTTGGTTTTATACATTTTAGGGAGACAGAAGACATCAATCAATATATGTAAGATGTAATTGTTTCAGTACAGAAAAGGGGGACAACTCGAATAGGGGAGGGGGTTTCTGGGTCAGGGGTAGATAAAAGACAAATGATTGCATTCTTTTGAATTTCTGATTAGCCTTCTAGTGAATATGTAACTTACAGGAATAGTCCCTTATGCCTTAACCTGGCTTAGTGAAACAATAAGGCAAAGGAAACAATCAGATATGCATTAGTCTCACATAAGCAAAGGGATGACTTTGAGTTCTGTCTGTCCTACGTCCACAAGGAATTTCTTTGTGGGCAAATTGTGAGGAAGATATGAAGCTTCTTATCTTTGTAGCTATGTTATTTAGGAATAAAATGCGAGGCAGGTTTGCCTGACATAGTTTCCAGCTTGACTTGCCCCTTGGCTTAGTGATTTTGGGGTCCCAGGATTTATTTTCCTTTCACAACATGGAGAAAGCCTCAGCCATCAGCCAGCACCAAGTCTCCTGACGTGAACACCTTAGACCCTTTAGTCTCAGACTGAAATAGCATCTGAGGAACCACAGTAGAAACCTAGGAAAGAACCAACCAAGTGAACCCAACTCTTCTATAGAATCATAAGAAATAACAAACTGTTGTTGTTTTTAGCAACTGAGTTTTAAAGTGGTTTTCTTATTTTCTAATTTTTATTTTATGTACAAGGATACATGTGCAGATTTTTTATATAGGTAAATTACATGTCACAGGGGTTTGTTGTACAGATAATTTCATCACCCAGGTAATTAGCACAGTACTCAACAGTTATTTTTTCTGATCCTCTCCCTTCTCCCATCCTCCACTATCAAGTAGGTCCCAGTGTCTGTTTATGCCTCCTAATATCCATGTGTTCTTCTTGTTTTGCTTCCACTTATAAGTGAGAACATGCTGTATGTAGTTTTCTGGTCCTATGTTAGTTTGCTTAAGATAATGGCCTCCAGCTCCATCCTTTTTGCTAAAAAGGACATTATCTCATTCTTTTTTATGGATGCATAGTATTCCATGGTGTATGTATACCACACTTTCTTTATCCAGTCTGCTGTTGATAGGTATTTAGGTTGATTCTGTGTCTTTGCTATTGTGAATAGTGCTGCAATGAACATATGCATGCATGTGTCTCTGTGGTAGAATGATTAATATTACTTTGGGTATATACCCAGTAATAAGATTGCTGGGTCGAATGGTAATTCTGTTTTAAGTTCTTTGAGGAAATGCCACACTGCTTTCCACAATGGCTGAACTAACTTACACCCCCACCAGCTGTGGATAAGTGTTGATTTTCCTCCACAACCTTACCAGCATCTGTTATTTTTTGACTTTTTAATAATAACAGTCGTTCTGACTGGTGTGAGATGGTATGTCATTGTGGTTTTGATTTACAGTCTAATTATTAGCGATGTTGAATATTTTTTAATATGTTTGTTGGCCACATGTATGCCTTCTTTTGAAAAGTGTATGCTTATGTCATTTGCCCACTTTTTAATGGCTTTTTTTCTTGTAAATCTGTTTAAGCTCCTTATAGATGCTAGATATTAGACCTTTGTCAGTTGCATAGCTTGCAAATATTTTCTACCATTCTGTAGTTTGTCTGCTGACGCTGTGGATAGTTTCTTTTGCTGTGCAGAAGTTCTTTTCTGTACAGCAATAGATAAATAAGATGTTATTTTTAGAATGGATTAGAGAAGTTGAGATTAAAAGAAGGAAGAGTTACAGTAATTCAGGCAAATACGAGACCATGAAAGGCTCAGAGAAGAGAGCCAGATGGTCAAGATGGTCTAATTGATAGGGTTTGGTGAAACAGAAGGAATGAAGGAGAGTGATGTGCTTTAGGGGATATCCAAGGTGGTTTCATTTTAAAAAGTAAGGAAAACAGAAAATATTGAGAAGGCAGCTGCTTTATGTGACAAGAACATTATATTTGATTTAATTCCACATTTGATGAGATTGGATGTCTATGGGACATCCAGTTGGAGATATACAGTAACATCTAGACCACAGCAAGAAGACAGAATTAGACAAACATGGACTCTACTCCTAACTCTTCAATTGGCTTTTTAAAAGTTATCACCGCACCTGTCTTACTGTTTTCATATGTATAATATAAATTATAAAGACACTGTTTTACTGAATGGTTTTTGTTATATAACAGCTTTACTGATGTGTAATTCATAAAGTATACAATTCAACTATTTAAAGTGTATAATTCAATGTTTTTTCTTTTTATCATATTCGCAGAGTTGTGAAACCATGACCACAATCAAGTTTAGAATACTTACATTACCCTCCCCAAAACACCACATCCATAAACTATGCGTCAATTTCTCCTCTACCTTCCCCACCTAGGCAATTGAAAATTTACTTTGTGTCTCTATGGATTTTCCTATTCTTCATGTTTCATGTAAATTTAATCACATAACATGTGGTCTTTGGCTGCTGGCTCCTTTAATTTAGCAAGATTCATTTTGTTGTAGCATGTATCAATACTTTATTACTTATTATTGCTTAATATTTCATTGTATGGAGATATAACATTTTACTTACTTTATTGTATGGACATAACACATTTACTTACTTGGTTGTGGATATATGAGTTGTTTCCATTATTTTTAACTATTACTAATAATACTGCTACGAACACTGTTGTGCATTTTTGTATGGACATGTTTTATTTTCTCTTTGACATATACTTAGGAATGGAATTGCTAGGTCATATAGTAACTCTAAAGTTTGGATATTTTTATTTTTTTATTTTTATTTTTATTTTTTGAAACGGAGTCTCGCTCTGTCGCCCAGGCTGGAGTGCAGTGGTGCGATCTCGGCTCACTGCAAGCTCCGCCTCCCGGGTTCATGTCATTCTGCCTCAGCCTCCCGAAAAGCTGGGACTACAGGCACCCGCCAGCACGCCCGGCTAATTTTTTGTATTATTAGTAGAGACGGGGTTTCACCGTGTTAGCCAGGATGGTCTTGATCTGCCGACCTTGTGATCTGCCCGCCTCGGCCTCCTAAAGTGCTGGGATTACGGGCGTGAGCCACGAGCCCGGCCAGGTTTAGCTTTTTAATGAACTTCCAAACTGCTTTTTAAACTTTCTTCACCATCTTACAATTTTACCAACATCATACTAGGATTTCAATTTCTCCACATCCTTACTAACACTTATCTGTCTCTTTTTTAATCTGTCTTTTAAATTATAGCCATATATGGGGTGTGAAGTGGTATCTCATTGTGGGATTGATTCACATGTATCTAATAGCAATGATGTTGAGCATTTATCCATGTGCTTATTGGTCATTTGCATATATAAGTATTTAAAAAATCATAAGCTCATTTGGGATTGCCTTATTTACATATTTACTATTGAGTTGTCAGAGTTTAGAATTCAAATCCTTTATCAGGTTTATAATATGCAAACATTTCCTCAAATTCTGTGAATTATGGTTGCAGTCTTGATGATATCCTTTGAAGAACAAATGTTTTTAATTTTGATAAAGTCCTAATTTCTCTTCTTGTTATTTGTGCTTTTGGTGTGATATCTAAGAAGGCTTTGCTTAATCCAAAGCCATGAATATTTACTAATGTATTTTTCTGAGTTCTTTATCTCTTAACATTTTGGTCTGTAATACATTTTGAATTAATGTTTGTATATGGTGTGAGGAAAGGTTCCAACTTATTTACATGTGCTTACGTTGTCCAATCATTTATTGAAAAGAATATTCTTTCTCAATTGAATTTTCTTGGCAACCTTCTTGAAAATCAATTGATTGTTAATATAAGGGTTGATTTATGGACTATCAGTTCTATTCCCTTCATCGATATGTCTGACCTTATTTTGGTACAACATAATATTGCTAGTAGTTTTGAAATAGAAAGTAACACTCCTCCAGTTTTTTTTTTTTCTTTTCTTTTGAGACAGGGTCTTCTTCTGCCAAACAAGGCTGGAGTGTAATGGTGCCATCAGAGCTCACTGCAGCCTTGAGCTCCCAGGCTTAAGCAATAAACACCTCAGCCTCCCAAGTAGCTGGGACCACAGGCATGCACCACCATGCCTGGCTACTTTTTAAATATTTTTGTAAAGAAGAGCTCTCACTATGCTACCCACATTAGTCTCAAACTCCTGGGCTCAAGTGATCCTCCTGCCTAGGCCTCCCAAAGTACTGGGGTTACAGGTATGAGCTACTTCACCAGATATCTTTTAAAATATTGTTTTGTCATTCAGGGTCCCTTGTAATTCCATAATAATTTGAGTATTGACATTTACATTTCTTCACAAAGCTGTCAGAATTGTGATAGAGATTGAATTGAATCTGTAGATCACTTTGATGAGTATTGTCAACTTAACAATATTGTCTCATAATTTATGAATATGTGATATTTAAAATTAAATTAAGCCTTCTTAATTTTTTTCAGCAATGGGGTGCAGTTCTAAATATACAAGTTTTTCATTTCCTTGTGTAAATTTATTTCTAGATATTTTATTCTATTTTATTCCTTTGGAATTATTTTCTCAATCTTACTTTTGACTGTTCACTGGAAATAGTTTATTTTTATATATTGATCTTATGTCCTGAAATCTTTTCAATTGTATTTATTAGTTGCCAAAGATATTATTCGTTTGTACTAGACGTTTTAGGATTTTTCAAATATAAAATTAGGTTATTTTCTCATAGGGACTATTATATTGTTTTCAGTTTTAACTTATGCCTTTCTTTTCTTTCCTAACTGCCCTGGCTAGTGTTTCCTGTATAATGCTGTGTGTATGTGTCATGTGTTCTAATAATATGGCTCACAGCATTATTTGATTTTTTTTTGATATGGTAACAACCTTACATTCCTTGGGTAAATTCCCCACCCCCAAGTTTTGGTGCATAATTCTTCTTATTTATTGCTGGATTTGATGTGGTAATATTCTTCTGAGAATGTTTTGTGTCTATATTCATAAGAGACATTGGTTTGTAGATTTATTTTCTTACCATGTCTTTGTTTGAGTTTGGTATTAAACTAATTAAGCCTTATAAAGTGGGTTGTGAACTGTTCTCTTTGTTTCTGATTTTTGAAAGAGTTTGTGAAGAATTTCTATTAATTTTTCATCAAATGTATGCTAGAATTCACTTCTGAAGTCATCTGTATCTGGGTTTTTCTTTGTTGTAATTTTTTTTTTCAATCACTAATTCAATCATTTTCCTTGTAGGTCAGTTCAGATTGAGTATTTGTTCCTAAGTCAGTTTTGTTAATTTTGTCTATTTTTCACTTTCTCTAAGTTATCTAATGCTTACAATATTGCTTTATAATCTTTAAAAAAACTTATATAAGAACAGTAGTAATGTTCTTTCATTATTGATAGTAATAATTTGAGTTTTCTCTCATTTCTTGGTCACTCTAGCCAAATATTTGTAGATATTTGCCTTTACAAAGGACAAATTTTTTGTTTATCACTTCTTTTTGCTATTTTATTGATTTTCACACCAGTATTTGTTGTTTTCTTTCTTCTGCTTACTTTGAATTCAGTTTTCTCTCTTTTTCCAGTGCCTTACGGTAGAAGTTTAAATTATTAATTTGCTACATATCACAAAACAAAACAAAGTATCATAAACAAGTATCAAAACTAGTATCACAAAACAAAGTATCACAGCCTAACATTTCTGGAGGCTTCAATTCTAAGATCAAGGTGTTGACAGCATTGGTTTCTTCTGAGGTCTCACTCTTTGGCTGGTAGATGCCTTTTTCCTGAGTCTTACATAGTCTTCCCTGTGTACCTGTCTGTATCCAGTCATATTGGATTAGGGTCTGCCTTAATGATTTCATTTCATCTTTGTTACCTTTTTAAAGACTATAAATACAATCATTTTCTGTGGTAATGGGAGCTAACACTTTAGCATGTGAATATTGAGGGATACAAAATTCACCCCATAATAATTTGAGATCTTTCTCTTTTTTTACAGAGGCATTTACAGCTATAAATTTCCCTCTATGCACTGATTTAGGTGCAGCCCATGACTTCTGTTATGTTGTCTTTATTTTTATTTATCTCAATGTTTTCTAATTCCTATTGTGATTTCTCCTTTGAACCACTGGTTTTTTTTATTAGTATTATACTTAACTTGTATATATCTGGAAATTTTCCAAATTTATTTGTTATTAATTTCCAATTCCCTTATGTTATGGACTCAGAGCATACATTGTGTGATTCAAATCTTTTAAATTTTATTGTCTTATTTTGTGGCCTGGCTATGGTCTATCATGGAGAATGTTCCGTGTACACTTGAGAGAATGTGTATTTTGTTGTTGTTTGGTGTTGTTTTCTATATATCACTATGAGATCTAGCAATTAGATCTAGTTGGCTAATTGTGTTATTTAAGTTTTCTTTTTCCTTGTTGTTCTGAACAATTTTTCCATTCCTTATTGAATATTTTATATTTGTGTTATTCAGAGTTCTCTGGAGAAACAATATATTATCTATCTCTTATCTATCTATCTATGTATCTATCATCTCCTTCTTTATATCTTTCTCTTATTCTAGCCTATTGTCTCACATGAATATGAAGGCTGAGACATCACACAAGCTGCTGTTTGCAAACTGGAGACCCAGAAATGCTGGTGGTGTGGTTAGTAGACCTGAGAGCCAGAGAGCCAATAGTGCAGAATGAGGAGAGCGAAAATCACCTGGTGACCATTGAACAGGACATGAGACAAAAACTCTTTATCTGAGGAATTTAGAAGAGAGCAAAGACCACCTGATGACCATCAAACAGGTCATTTGGAGGCAAAACTCCTTATCTGCGGGAATTTAAAAGTACTTAAACTTCCCTAGCATCTAAAGTCAGCATCTGGTTCCAGGCCTCTTTTCAACGTAAAATTTATAACTAGAATTTCTATTCTTCTCCAGAATGCCATGCCACAACTCATTTTGCAACCCATGCTTACATTAAGGCACCAAAATTACTACAAATGTAATCATGTATCATGACAAACCTGACTAGTGTGGTCCAAATTATCCTCAAGTTTCTTCCTGAAGGTCCATAAATGCTCCTAAGGAAAATCCGCCATGGCACACTCAGTCCTCTCATGCAGAGGTGCCCCACTGCACCCTTTTGCAGCGTGCTTTCTAATAAACTTTCCTTTTTCAAACCTATACTGTAGTTGGTAAATTCTTTTTACCAACCTGCGAATTGGCCAGTTCCTGATGCCAGGGCTCTGATGCTTCCCCTGGCACAGAATTCAGTCTGGGCTTGAAGGCTGGCCTTCTGGATTCTGGGTTTGGAAACACCCTCACAGACACACCCAGAAATAATGTTCAACCGGCTCTCTGGACATTCCATGGCTCAGTCAAGTTTAACACAAAATTAACCATGATACTTATCGAAGTCTTCAACCACTATTTTTTTTGTCTATATCTCCCTGTTAATTTTTGCGTCCTGTACTTTGCAACTCTGTTGTTAGATGCGTGTATATTGATAGTATTTATATCATAATTAATTCACCCTTTAATCAATTTATGTCTTAAACATCTTTTGTTTAAATTATACTTTTGTTTGATGTTAGTATATCCATTTTAAGTTCCTTATGTTTGCTGTTTGCATGATATAGATTTTTGTATGTCTCTGCTTTCAAGCTATTTTTATCTTGTGGCTAAATTATGTATCCTGTAGACAGCATATAGTTAGGCCCTATTTTTACTTATTTATCCTGGCAATCATTGCCTTAGATTGAACTTTTTTGGATCCATAATTATTAATGTTATTATTCATATAATAGATTTACATCTACCAATTAACTTTTTTCTTTGTTTTCTATCTTTTTTGCTACTCTGTTCTTCTTTACTGCTTTCCTTTGAATTGTGATTATTTTCTACTGTAACATCTTAATTCTTTAGTGCTTTTATCCTTTATAATTTTTGAATTTTTTCTTAGTGGAGTAGCAGAGGAAAAAGTAATCTTTTTCTCACCACTATAAGATCATGGCTAGTATCTCTACAACAAAAGACAGATTGACAAGAGAAAAGCATAATAAATTTATTTTACCAAAGTTTTATGTGACAGAAACTGGGTGTGATGGCTCTTGTCTGTAATCCCAGCACATTGGAAGGCTGAGGTGCACGGATCACTTGAGGCCATGAGTTTGAGACCAGCCTGGCCAATATGAATATGGCAAAACCCCATTGCTACTAAAAATAAAAAAATTAGCTAGGCATGATGGTGCATGCCTGTAATTCCAGCTACTTGGGACACTTAGGCATGAGAATCACTTGAACCTGGGAGGCGGAGGTTGTAATGAGCTGAGATCACATCGCTGCACTCCAGCATGGGTGACAGAGCAAGACGCTGTCACAAAAACAAACAAACAAACAAACAAACAAACAAACAAAAAACTTTATGTACTACAAACATCTTGAAAAATGAAGACCAAAGACCCAAGGAAAATTCTGTATTTTTATAGTTAGGTTTACTGAAGAATGAACAGTCACATAAATGTGCGATTGGACAAAAAGAGTATGATCTAATAGTAATAAAGAGGAGGTAACTTAGCATGGCCTGTTTGCTCAGATTCTTCTCTGTGTCTCTGTGTGTTTATTCTTTTCCTCTGGGCATAAGGCAGAACACCTCTCACATGAGGGTCTTCAGGGGAGACAGGAGGCACAATTGTTTTTTTATAATCTCAGGGGAGCAAAACAAAACAAAGGCTCAGAATGACCTTTCTGCTTATTCAAAGGTGCCAGGTTTTAGGGTGTCATATTCTGAGCCCCAGCAGTGGCTGGTCTAGAGTTTATTACATTCATCTTATCTTGTTAGAATGTACTTCAGATTTATATTAACTCTAGTGAGAAACCAAAATGTGGAGGCCTTACCCATATAGAGCTCTTTTTCTCCGTCCTCCTTTTTGTGATATCGTTGCTATGCATATTCTATCTACCTATGTTAGAAAGCCAACAATATATTGCTACAATTATTAGTTTATGCAATTTTGTCTTTTAAAAAACAAAATAAGAAAAAATAAACACATATTTGTTGAGTTCTTTATAGTAACCTGTTTGTTTGAAATTTTTGGTTTTCTTCATTTGTTTCTCTGTCATCTTAGCTGACAGTGGTTTTACCAGGGCTTTCTTTGACTTTCTCTTTCCTGATGTCACTGTTATGCTGTCTGCATCATAGCTCACTATATCATACCCAACTGTTAGGCTCCATTAAGTACCGATTATTTTACCGGTTGTTTTAAAAAATGTTCTGCTATATAAATTGTTTCAAAGCCTAAAACAAATAATTACTGCCACCTTTGTTATTACAGGTTAGGCCAGTAAAAGACTGGGACCAGTCTTGGAGATTTATTTTTATACCACAAGGAGGTTTTTTTTTTTTTCTCTGTTCTTTCTCTAATTGCCTCTGGTACCCTAGCTGCCCTAAGGTTTCGCTGTTTCTCCCACTGGGTTGTCATAGCCCTACTAATTGCTTGCTAAAGAAGTCTCCATTGTTTCTATGAGTACCTTTGGTCTTGAACTTACTTACACTGTTTTCCAACTAAAGTCAGCTCATCTGCGGAGAAGTTGGAGCTCTGTTCTTAAGGCCAGCCTCTTCTCCTGGGCACTATCTCTGAATTACTGATCCAGGAATGGGGGTGGGAAAGCATCATGCTACTCTCAATAGGACACCTCTGGTTTTTTTTGTTCTTGTTGTTGTTGTTGTTTTTTGAGACAGAGGCTCGCTCTGTCACCCAGGCTAGAGTGCAGTGGCATGATCTCGGCTCACTGTGACCTCTGGCTCCCGTGTTCAAGCGATTCTCCTGCCCCAGCCTCCTGAGTAGCTGAGATTACAGGCACGCACCACCACACCTGGCTAACTTTTGTATTTTTAGTAGAGATGGGGTTTCACCATGTTGGTCAGGCTGGTCTCGAACTCCTGACCTCATGATCCACCCGCCTCAGCCTCCCAAAGTGCTGGGGACATCTCTGTTTTCTAAGTATGGTGCTAGGCAAGGGTGGCAGCCTCTCATCTTACTCATATTCATTTTCCTCTTTATGAGTGGTCTGGATGATGATAAACGACCCCAGTGTTCTCAGTCTGCCATACTTGGGGTATAGCCTGCTGTTTAATCCGAGGTGCCAAGTAGAGGGAAGGAGCAACAGATTTCTTAGCCACACACTTGCCTGGAATTTAGACTCTTCACCAAAAACTGTGTAGATTAAAAATTGTAGGCTTTCTGCTTCTACTGATTAGTAGCTGAGGAAAGCGAGAATCCCATTTTCATGGCCACAGTACCCAGAATGGTGTTTCTATTATTCCAGAATGGGAGATGGGGAAAGAAAAAGTTGGTAGGTTAAAGCTCAAGCACACAGATTTTCCTTGTTCTTACCAAGATTTACTGTATTTTAGGGTATTTTTAAAATAATGTCTATTAGTTGGTTTTATCTGCTCAGGATAATTTCCAGAGACTTTATTTTAAAAATTTTTAACAGACATTGTTGTTTCATTGGCATATGGGTCCATGAAACTCCTCACACCGACATTTCCTTCTCAAAGTCCATCCTCAAAGTGTGATGTAAAAAAATTAAATGCTATTATATAGAATTATATGTGTGTATATATATGTGTGTATATATAGATAGATACATGCATATATAATTTATATTTTATTATATTATTAATATGTACAACATATTAATAATATAACATATACAGTGTGTGTATTTAAGAGAAAAATCTTGGCTAGAAATAAAAATCTGAGATTTCAGTCATGAGAGTGATGAAATCACACAAAAAGTCTTCAATATAAGGTAGCCAGAGAAAAGTCCTGTTTCAAAATTAAAACTAGCAAGAAATCTTTAAAAATTCTGTTTGCCTACTCTGTCTTTTTTCCTCCAACATTTTTTTCTATAGTCAGCATTCATTTGCAATGCTATCTAAACTATCACATTTTATACTACACATAAGAGCTAAATGATTTTCATGATATTCTCTTAAAGGAGCTCTATTGTTGATGATAGCTAAAAAAAAAACGCAGAAAACATCTGCTCATCAGAATTTTGAATATGTTTCTTATCAAATCACAAAATGAACACTATTAAGACCTCTCAGTGTTGTTTATGACCAAAAAAATGGAATGCTAAATATAATATGGATATATGTATAAATGCAGTTGTCCTCATATGTTTTGGTTCTGGCTTCATAGAAAATACTAATAGAAAATGGTAAGTTATTGCTTCTCAGCCTTTTGGCTAAAATCAAGTGAAAATGGTAAGTATGTTTTGAAAAATGGTGATCACACCACTTTAGTCAGTCCTGGAGTTTAAATAACAGCCTTGGGCAGTAAAAGTTATATCTAAAACCTGTGATCCAGCTGCTTCCTTTCTTGTAATGGACTCTGCAACAATATGACTTTCATAAATATTATAGCAACTGCTTCACCTTGAAGCCGTTGGACTTAACAACATAAGTTAATGGAGAAATAAAAAAAATGCTGTCATATCTGTATTATGTTATGCCTATAGGGTTCAAACAAAATGAGATTAAAACACTGCAAGTTCAGGATATTTTGGCCAATTATTACTAAGGTTTTCAATAAATAGTGTCAACCTCAAAATAGAATACTTGGAGAAATAGGATAACTTTCCAAGCGTGTCACAGAATTATAGATTAAGAATAGGGAAGAAACACAAGGATATCAACGATTATTGAATGTTTCAGAAAAAAAAAATTATTGCCCTACAATTAAAAATTCATTTTCTGGGTCCTGGTATAGTAGCTTCTATTAAATCAACCAGTCCCTTCTGCAAATAAGTATAAATTATGAGAAATCACAACCAATTGAGGGCATTGCAGAGTGAACAAGAATAGAAGGCCATTGGCAGAGAAAAACGTACTGGGAGAGTTACCAATCTGTCCATTTCTGCCTGAGGGCACACCCCAATTGTGGGCTGGTTAAATTCCAAATGGAAAAACTGTAGTCTTCTTTGAAGAACCAAATAACTGAATCTAAGATGTATGCAAAAAGGGCAAACTTTGAAACAGAGACAACTGCAGAAAAAAACAACTCTTTGCATAGTCTCTGCTCAAATCTCTGTCTGATCTTTAAAGTATGCATTCATAGTTACATTCCTAGCAGCACAAGTCAGGTGAAAATAACTGATATAAGATTTTAGTTTAGAGTCTGAATGTAGCTCTTACTAACTGTCTGGGTTTTTTTAAAATTTAATACAAATAACTTTGAAAAACAGAATCCAAAGTCTTCAAACTTTACTATTCATAATATCTAAGACAGGATACCAATTTCTATGCATATAAAGTAACAGCAAGTGTGACCCATACTCAAGGAAAATGAAAATGAAGGCCAACCCAGTGGTGACTTTGGTGTTAGAATCAGTACGCCAGAAAGTATGCTCAAAGACAAAAAAAAAAAAATTGTTACAAAAGAAAAGCAGAAGTTAAACAACTGAAAGACACAGTACAGAAAATTATAGAAAAAAAAAAAAAAATCACCAAGTGACCCTAGCAGAAGATTAGGAGGACAGAAAAATAAGTGAGAATGAATACAGATCAATAAAATAGTTATCTAATCTGATGTACAAAAAGAAGTAAGATTAGAAATAATAATGAACAAAGTATCAGGAACTTGTGAGGCAATATAAAAATACTTAACATAGATGTAACTAGAGACCCAAAAGAAAAGGATAAATAAAACATACAGAGAAAATATGTTAAAAGGTGATGACCCATACACCTCAAATTATTGAAAGACATAAATTTAGATAGCGAAAAAATCATAGAAGCATAATCAGTTAGAAATAAATTTATAGTAAGCATATTATAGGCAAATTTCTGAACCCCCAGATACAGACAATGTCTTATAAGAGGACAGAGAAATAACAGTGTAAACAAGGCAGGAGCAATTTGAATAACTAGTCAATTTTTATCAGAAACAGGAGATAGTAGAAAACAGTGGAATGATATCTATAAACTGCTAAAAAAGAAACCAGTCTTCAAGAAAACAAACCATCAAGACAAACAAACCCAAATCAAAATAAAACAGCATTCTATATTTAATAAGCATACCCTTAAAAATGCAAGTGAAATTAAAAGCATTATTAAATATATTAGAAGAAAATTTGCATAATAAAACAAATAAGTACTTCAACAAAAAAGAAATTATGCAGAGTAGATATCTGGATTTTCAAGAAAGAATGAAGAGCCCTGGAAAGTATAATATTTGGTAAACATGCAGACTATGTTTGTCGTATACATTTCTTTAAAATATATAACTGTGGATAAATTATAGCAGTATCTCCAGGAGCTTATGATAAATAGAAGAATAATACACATAAAATAATGCATAAAGTACTTCAGAAATGATAAATAGTCTTAAATCATTGTATGATATCTACATTTTACATAAAGTGGTACAGTGGTACAGTGCAACTCTTAATAGACTGTGAAAAGTTACAATTATATATTATAATCTCTTGAGCAAGAGCTAAAATAATGCAAATAGATAAATGTTATATTGCCAAGATTAGTTAAAATATAATTCTAAATAAATATACTGTTATTTAAATTAAGGCAAAACAAGGGGAAAAAGAAACAAAAAGCAGAGGGTACCAAAAAAATTGAAATGCTAGACATTATGGATCCATGTGCCCCCATGATTCAATTACCTCCCACCAGGTCCCTCCTATGACACATGGGGTTACAATTCAAGGTGAGATTTGGGTGGGGACACAAAGCCTAACCATATCATTCTGCCTCTGGACCTTCCCAAATCTCATGTCCCTTTCACATTTCAAAGCAAATCATGTCTTTCTAACAGTACCCAAAATCTTAATTCATTCTGGCATTAACCCAAATGTCCAAGTTTAAAATCTCATCTGAGACAAGGCTAGTCCCTCCTGCCTATGAGCCTGTAAAATCAAACACAAGTGAGTTCCTTCCAAGATACAACGGCCATACAGGTATTGGGTAAATATGACTGTTTATTTTTGGGAGAAATTGGCCAAAACAAAGAGTCTAGAGGGCCTATGCACGTCTGAAATCTCATAGGGCAGTAATTGAACCTTAAAGTTCCAAAATGATCTCCTTTGATGCTATGTCTCACATCCAGATCATGCTGATCGCAAGAGCTGGGCTTCCACGACCTTGGACAGTTCTGCACCTGTGGCTTGGCAGGGTACAAACCCTCTCCTGGGAGCTTTCACCAGATGGCATTGAGTGTCTGGGGCTTTTCCAGGTGCACAGTGTGAGGTTTCAGGAGGTCTACCATTCTGCTGTCTGGAGGACAGCACTAGGCAGTGCCTCAGTGGGAATTCTGTGTGGAGACTCCAACTCCACACTTCCTTTCCACGCTGCCACAGGAGAGGTTCTCCATGAGGGCTCTGCCCCTGCAGCAAACTTTGCCTGGACATCCAGGGGTTTCCATGCATCCTCTGAAATCTAAGCAGAGGCGATCAAAACTCAATTCTTGTCTTCTGCACACCCACAGGACCAACACCAATTGGAAGCTGCCAAGGCTTGGGGCTTGCACCATTGTTAAAAGGCCACTGGAGACATTGTACCTGGCTGGGACGCAGGTCACCAAGTCCTGAGGCTGTACACAGCAGGAAGGCCCTGGACCAGGCCCAGGAAACCATTTTTCTTTCCTAGGCCTCCAGACCTGTGAGGGGAGGGGGCTGCTGTGAAGGTCTCTGACATGTCCTGAAGGCATTTTCTCCATTGTCTTTGCAATTAGCTTTTGGCTCCTTGTTACTTATGCAAATTTCTGGAGGGCTTAAATTTATCCCCAGATAATTATTTTTTCTACTGCATTGTCAGGCTGCAAATTTTTCAAACTTTTATGCTCTGTCACCCCTTGAATGCTTTGCTGCTTAGACAATTTCTTTTGCCAGATACCCTGAATCATCTCTCTCAAGTTCACTGCTCCACAGATGTCTAAGCCAGGGGCAAAATGCCACCAGTCTCATTGCTAAAGTATAGTAAGAATCACCTTTATTTCAGTTCCCAAGAAGTTCCTCATATCCATCTGAGACCACTCAGCTTGGACTTCGTTGTCCATATCACTTCCAGCATTTTGGTCAAAGCCATTCAACAAGTCTCTAGGAATTTTCAAATTTTCCTGTATCTTTCTGTCTTCTTCTGAACCCTCCAAACTGTTCCAACATCTGCCTGTTACCCAGTTCCAAAGTTGCTTCCACATTTTCAGGTATCTTTACAGCAGCACCCCATTATCTTGGTACCAATTTACTATATTAGTCCACTATCACGCTGCTACGAAGTAATACCCAAGACTGGGTAATTTATAAAGAAAAGAGGTTTAATTGACTCACAATTCAGCATGGCTTGCGATGCCACAGAAAGTTACAATCACGGTGGAAGACACTTCTCTACAGGGTGGCAAGAGAGAGAATGAGTTCCAGCAGGGGAAATGCCAGATGCTTATAAAACTATCAGATCTCATGAGAACTCACTTACTATCATGAGAACAGCATGGGGAAAACTGCCCTCATGATTCAGTTACCTCCAACCATGTCCTACCCACTGAGACACAGGACTAGCTGGATTTCCTAGGCAGACTAAGAATTCCTAAGCCTAGCTGGGAAAGGTGACTGCACCTACCTTTAAACACAGGGCTTGTAAGTCTGCTCGCTCCCAACCAATCAGGTAGTAAAGAGGGCTCACTAAAATACAAATTAGGCTAAAGCAGAAGGTAAAGAAATAGTCAAATCACTTATCACCTGAGAGCACAGAGGGAGGGACAATGATCGGGATATAAACCCAGGCATTCGAGCAGGGAGTGGCAACCCCCTTTGGGTCCCCTCCCATTGTATGGGAGCTCTGTTTTCACTGTACTAAATCTTGCAACTGCACACTCCTCTGGCCCGTGTTTATTATGGCTGGAGCTGAGCTTTCGCTAGCCGTCCACCACTGCTGTTTGCCGCTGTCGCCGTGGCAGACCTGCCACTGACTTCCACCCCTCCGGATCCGGCACGGTGTCTGCTGTGCTCCTGATCCAGCAAGGTGTCCATTGCCACTCCCGATCGGACTAAAGGTTCGCCATTGTTCCTGCATGGCTAAGTGCCCTAATTGAGCTGAACACTAGTCTCTGGATTCCACGGTTCTCTTCCTTGACCCACGGCTTCTAATGGAGCTATAACACTCACCGCATGGCCCAAGGTTCCATTCCTTGGAATCCATGAGGCCAAGAACCCCAGGTCAGAGAACAAAAGGCTTGCCGCCATCTTGGGAGTGGCCTGCCACCATCTTGGGAGTGGCCCGCCACCATCTTGGGAGTGGCCCGCCACCATCTTGGGAGCTCTAAGAACAAAGACCTGCCAGTAACACCACCACACATGGGGACTATGGGGGTTACAATTTGAAGTGAGATTTGGCTGGGGACACAAAGCCTAACCATATGATTTGTATTTCTGTGGGGTTGGTGGTAATATCCCCTTTGCCATTTCTTATTGTGTTTTTTTTTGGATCTTCTCCACTTCCGCCTTTATTATTCTAGCTAGCAGTCTTTTTAATTAATTTTTTTCAAAAAACAGCTTCTGGCTGGTTTTTCTTGCCTCAATCTCCAACAGTTCAGCTTTGATTTTGATTATTTCTTGTCCTCTGCTAACTTTGATGTGGGTTTGCTCTACTTCTCTAGTTTTTGTTGTTGTTGTTGTTGTTGTAATGTTGATTTGTTAATTTGAGATCCTTCTAACTTTTTGATGTCAGTGTTTAGTGATTAAATTGACATCTTAAGACTGCCTTAGCTGTGTCCCAGAGATTCTGTTATGTTGTATCTTTGTTCTTATTAGTTTCAAATAACTTGATTTTGGCCTTAATTTCATTATTTGCCCAAAAGTCATTCAAGAGCAGGTTAATATTCCAGTAAATGTATAGTTTCGAGTGCTTTTCTTTGTATTGAATTTTATTTTTATTGTGCTGTGGCCTGAGAGCATGGCTGGTATAATTGTGTCCTTTAAAAGTTCCTGTGGATTGTTTTATATCCCATTGTGTGGTTGATTTCAGAGTATGTGCTTGCTATATTCAGATGAGAAAAATGTATAATTTGTTGTTTTGGGGTGGAGAGTTCTGTAGATGTCTATCAGATCCATTTAGCCCAAAGTTGAGTCTAGGTCCTCAATATCTTTCTTAATTTTCTGCCTCAATTATCTGTCTAATACTGTCTGTGGAGTGTTAAAGTCTCCCACTATTATTGTGTGGGAGTCTAAGTCTCTTTGAAGGTCTCTAAGAACATGCTTTATGAATCTGGGTGCACCTGTGTCAAGTGCATGCATAGCTACGATAGTTAGTTTTCTTGTAGAATTAACCTTTACCATTATGTAATATCTCTCTTAGTCTTTTTTTTTTTTTTACCTTTGTTGGTTCAAAACCTGTTTTGCCTGAAATTACGATGGCAACCCCTGCCTTTTTTCTGTTTTCCATTTGCTTGGTAGGTTTTTCTCCATTGCCTTATTTTGAGACTATGGGTGTCATTGCATGTGAGAGGGGTCTCTTGAAGACAGCATACTGTTCAGCCTGACTTCTTTATCTAGTCTGGCACTCTGTGCCTTCTAACTGGGGCATTTAGCCCACTTACATTTAAGGTTAGTATTGATATGTGTAAATTTCATTCTGTCATTGTTTTGTTAGGTGTTTGTCATGCCAACTTGTTTGTGTGCTTGCTTTATAGTGTCACTGGTCTGTGTACTTAAGTGTGTTTTTTGTAGTGGCTGGTAATGGTCTTTCCTCTCCATATTTAGTGCTTCTTTCAGGAGCTCTTGTAAGGCAGGTCTGGTGGCAATTAATTTTCTCAGCATTTGCTTCTCTGAAAAGGATCTTATTTCTCCTCTGCTCATGAAGCTTAGTTTGACTGGATATGAAATTCTTGGTTGGAATTTATTTTCTTTGTGAATAATCAATATAGGCCCCCAATTATCATTTGACTTACAGAGTTTCTGCTGAGAGGTCCATTATTAGTCTGACAGGCTTCCCTTTGCAGGTTACCTGCCCTTTCTCTCTGGTAAATTTTTCCTTAACATTCTTTCTTCAATTTTGATCCTGGAGAATCTTATGATTGTGTCTTGGAGATGATCTTCTTGTGAAGTATTTTGCAGGGGTTCTTTGCATTTCCTGAATTTGACTGTTAGCCTCTATGGCTGGGTTGTGGAAGTTCTCATGGTTGATATCCTAAAATAGTTGGTTCCATTCTCCTCATCTTTTTCAGGGATGGCAATGAGTCATAGATTTGCTCTCTACATAATCCCATATTTTTTCAAAGGTTTTGTTCATTCCTTTTCTTTCTTTTCTCTTTATTTTTATTTTATTTTCTTATTTTAGAAAGCCAATCTTCAAGCTCTGAGACTCTTTCCTCAGCTTTGTCTATTCTGCTGTTAATCCTTGTGATTGCATTGTGAAGTTCTTGTAGAGTATTTTTCAGCTCTATTCAGTTGGTTAGATTATTTTCTACACTGACAATTTTGTCTTTTGGCTCCTGTATTGTTTTATCATAATTTGTAGCTTCCTTAGATTGGGTCTCAATGTTTTTCTGAATCTCAATGATCTTCATTCCTGTCCATATTCTGAATTCCATTTCTGTCATTTCAGCCATCTTAGTCCAGTTTAAAACTCCTGTTGGAGAAGTAGTATGGTCATTTGGGGAAAAGAAGACACTTGGGGTTTTTGAGTTGTTAGAGTTCTTGCACTGGTTCTTTCTCATCTTTGTGAGCTGATGTTCCTCTAATCCTTTAAGTTGCTGTCCTTTGGATTATTTTTAATTTTATTTGATGACCCTGGTGATTTGACTGTGGAATAAGGAGGTCTTAATTGACTGGCTTCATTACTGGAAGATTTTATGGGGTCAAGGCTCAGCTCAGGACTCCTGGACTGCAGGCTTTAACTCTGGGGGACTGGTTTGGGGCCCTAGATTTGATCTGTGGCACCTCATGGTTAGGAACCTATTGCACTGGAGAGGCCAAGGTGCTCCCAGACCACCAGTCACAATACTTCAATGTGTGTTTCTGGCCAGGGCACTTCACAGGGCAATGACAGCAAGATTCATTCTTGTTTGCATATGGCAGCAGAAGTGGCAGAAGTAGTGTGGTGGGGTGCATGCTCATCAGCTATAACAGTGTGCTAATGGGTATCAGGATGTCAGCCCCTGTGCACACGTTTGCAGAAGCAGTGGTGTCTTGGGGGTCAAGGGTCCGCTGTCAGTGACTGCATGTTCCCACTGATAATGGTTAGCACTGGGGTGGGGTTCTGGTGAGTAAAGGACTCTATGCATCCTTTCTGTGCCTTCATGCTGGCAGCAGTGTCCACTCAGGGCTATGGGTAGGTCAGCTGTTTTCTGTGCCTACTTTTGTGTGCCGGTCGCCCAGATGCAGTGACACGGTGCTGGCAGGAGCAGGGCTGGCAGGCTCTGTGCCCACCAGTGCTCTGATAACAATGGCAGTGCAGCAGGGGGAGAGAAGATGGAGGGGAGTGGGATGCACTCACACTGGCAGCAGTGGCATGGCAGGGTGCACATGCACAGACATGCTGGCAGGGAAGGGAAGGCTAGGTCCGCCCCCACACATGTGACAGCAAAGTGACGTGGGGTGTGGCCATGATGTGAGTGCCTGCAGGCAAAGCAGCATCTAGGAGGTGGTGGGGGTGGGGAGAGTGTAGGTGAACTGGTTTTAATTTGTATCTCTTTGATGGTTGGCATTCTCTCATGTGACTGTTGGCCATTTGTACGTCTTCTTTGGACTACAAAGGTATAATAATCCAAATAGCATTATATTGGAATAAAAATAGACACATAAATCAAGGTACCAGAATAGGGAACCTAGAAATAAAGCCACATATTTACAGCCAACCTATCTCTGACAAAGTGAACAAGAACATACACTAGGGAAAGAACACCCTTTGCTAGAAATAGTGCTAGGATAATTGAACTGTCACGTGCAGAAGAATGAAAGTAGACCCCTATCTCTCACCATATACAAAAATCTACTCAAGATGTATTCAAGACTTAAATGTAAAACCTGGCTATAAAAGTACTTGAAGAAAATCCCAAGAAAACACTTCTGGACATTAGTATAGTTTAAGAAGTATTGACTAAGACCTCAAAAGCACAGACAGCAAAAACAGAAATAGAAAGTGGGAGGTAAACTAAAAGCTTCTGCATAGAAAAAAAAAAAAAATCAACAGAGTAAACTGATACACTTCGGAGTGAGAGAAAATATTTGCAAACTATGCATCTGACCAATAACAAATATCCAGAATTTACAAGAAACTCAAAACAACAAAGAAAGAAACAAACAAAAACCCCAAATAATATAATTAAAAAGTGAATATTCCGTCTTTAAAAAAGAAGAAAACTCCTACATATGCTACAACATAGATGAATCTTGAGGACATTATTCTAAGTGTAATAAGCCAGGCACAGAAAGATAAATATTGCTTGATTTTACCTATAAGAGCTCCCTAGAGGAGTCAAAATTATAGAGACAGTGTTTAGAACGGTGGTGATTAGGGGCTGGGAGAAAGGGAGGATGGAGACTTAGTGTTTATTGGGTACTGAGTTTTAGGTTCACAAGATAAAAAGAGTTTTGGAGGTGGATGGTGGTGATGGTTGTACAACACTGTGAATATATTTAATATCACTGAACTACACACTTAAAATTAGTGTTAAAAGAAAACTTTAGACAAATTAAATTTAACAGATTTTAACTGAGCAGGGGGAAAAAAAGACTATTCACAAATCTAGCTGCCTCTAGAATCACAGCAGATTACAAAAATCCAGGGATGCCTCGTGGTCAGAACAAATTTATAGGCCGAAAAGGGAAAGTGAGGTACAGAAACAGCTGGATTGGTTACAGGTTGACATTTGCCTTATTTGAACACAGTTTAAACACTCAGCAGTCTGTAAGTGGTTGAGGTGTGGCTGCTGGGATGGACCAAGACTCAGCTATTGTTACAGACGCATACTCCTAAGTTAGGTTTTCAATCTTGTCTACCTATTGTTATGCTGCAGTTCATCCACAAGGACTCAAATATAGAAGTAAGGAGCCCTTCTCTGGCCATATTCTGTTCGCTTTAACATTGGTTAAAGTGGCAAATTTTGTTATGTGTATTTTACCACAATAGAAAATTAGGAAAGGAAGATAAATCACAGAGAAAATAATAAAATCATTTAAATGTAAATGATGATAAAAACTGCACCGTTATAAATAATAATAAGGCAAAAGTGCATTCATGTTTCCTGTAAACTTCAACTAGTTGGTGTAGATATGAAATGCACATTTTTCTTTAAAAATCCAAGGATATTTAAATCTTAATTTCTCATTAATTGTTTTATGTCCCATAGTTTTATCTGAGATTTTTGTATGATATTTATACAGCACATAGGCACATAGTTACTTGGTAAATGTTGCAAGGATTGTGGCTTACAGTCTTTGAGATCTGAACTCATCACTTCTCAAAAACATCAAAGCTCTCATTGCCTTCATTTTCTAAATTTGATGCTGCCAGAATGTTAAAAGTATGACCTATTCTTCATACAATCCTTTAGAACCATGTGTTATTGTTTAGTTGTTTGAGGTATTTCACTTTATTTTACTAGAAATAGGAGCTCAAATGTTTGTATATTACCTTTATTTCAGCATGGTATGTACACAAAAATGGGTGAGAATAAAACTATTTTGAGAAAAAATAATTACTATAGATATCATTGAAGCAAATCCAATAGTACACCAAAGGCTGCACGGAGGGTCACTTGAGCCCAGGAGTTTGAGGTTACAATGAGCTATGATATCGCCACTGCATTCCAGCCTGAATGACAGGGCAAGATCCTGCCTCTAAATAAATAAGTTAACCCCGGGAACTCATAAATGAGAAAGGAGGACCAAAGACCTAGTCTCAAGTGGAGACAAAACTGGATAAAAACTGGATTGCCAAAAAAGGAGAGGTCTTGAAAGTTTACGTAAGAGAATAAAACTAGAAGATCATGCTTTTTAGAGTTAGGAAAAAAGAAGCCTAGCACATTAAAATTGCTTTTCAAAGGTATACTTTTCAGCTTGGGAAAATTACTGAACTTTATGTTTCTTTAAAATATTGTGCTTTTACATATACATCTTTCTATCTTTCTGTCTCTCTGTCATCAACTGTCTGTGTCTTCAACCAACCAATCAATCAATCAATCAACCATCTACCTGGCTATCTGACACTTATGGCTGTATGTGTTTTTGCAGTTATGCATACACACAAAATCGATGGTACTTTGAAAAGTTTATCATATAGCCAAATTACTACCTTCTTATGAATTAGTATTAGAGAAAGAAAATTATATTATTAAAAAGAGACTGAGCAAGTACTTGGAGAAAAAGGTAATTAATATGTAATATCACTACTCCTTGATTGAAAACCTATTGGTTAGTAATTTCTGATCATGATCTTTCAACATTTTCAACAGTATTTTCTCTGTACAAGCCATGTAATAACTTAGATATAATTTTACATTTTTTAAAGTGTCTAAAATAATTTACTTATGGTGAAGTGTAATTGTATGAACTCCATATAGCAGACAAAACCAACACTTTTGGAAAGAATGTGTTAGTTTTTTAATGATGTTGTTTTCTGACGATTGGTAAAGAGGTGAACTGCACTGATCAGTTGGTTAAGTCAGTGTGTTAAGAAGGTTTTGTGGATTGCATAAAGAAAATATTTAACAACATTTTTATTAACATTGTTTTGATGAACTGGGAAAAATGCTTTATATTTCTCAATATAAAAATTCATTCTTGTGGATCTTTAGGGTGTTATAAAGATTTTGAAGGTCAAAAATTTTAAAGGTATCATTTGCATGGAATAAAATTCACCCTTTTAAAGTGCATAGTGCTATGAGTTTCGACAAATGTGTTAGTTGGGTAATAACCACCAAAATAAAGATATAATACATCTTCATCACTTTATAAAATTTCTTTGCACCTTTTATAGTAAATCTGCCTCCCCAACAAACAGTCACTGGCAAAAAATGATCTGTTTTCCGTCACTCTGACATTGTCTTTTCCCAGATGTCATATAAATAGAATGATGTAGTATGTAGCCTTTGAATTGGACTCCTTTTCACTTTGCATGACACATTTGAGATTCATTCATGATATTGCATATATCAGTAGTTCATTTATTTTAATTTCCAAGTGGTATCCATTGTGTGAATATAGAGTCTGAAGCAGATATTCGGCCTATTTACTAGTTAGTGGACATTTCTGTGTTTCAAGTTTTTAGAAACTATTAATTGCCAAATAAACATTAGCCACTATATGTGTTGGCATACAAGCTTTTGGGTAGAGATGGTTTTCTTTCTCCTGGGTAAATGCTTAAGAATGAAACCTGGGTCACATGGCAAGTGTGTAATTGAACCTATTAAGAAACATCCAGACCATTTTCCTAAGTAGCTGTAATTTTTGTTATTTCCATCAGCAATGTATGAGAGTTACCATGGATCCACAGCCTTGCCAGCACTTTGCATTGTAAGCCTTTTTTTCCTTTTTGCCCATCTAATAGGTGTGTATTTGGTATCTCACTGTGGCTTGAATTCATAGCTCTCTAACAGTAACTGAAACAGTCATATGCAAAAAAGGTCACCAGTAGGTGGAAGCACATGCCTTTGTGGGAAGACAGGGAAATAGTTTCTAAGGAGTTTACAATCATTTATTAAAAGAAGAATAAATTTAAATCTGCATGCATTTGTTAGGTAATCCTGACCTGTTTTTTATTCTGCTGGTTGATCAGGTTCAGTGTATATGTCGATTTATTTACCTTTATCTAGCTGACTCGGACAGATACTCTTTGCCTCCACTGGATTCCTAGACTATGTGCCCAGGTTGAGCAGAGCCTATTCAGCTTGCTTCTTGACTAGCTCTTTCTGAAGCATTGGCCTCTCTAAGGTGTAGGTGAAAGGTTAGTAAATAAAGGCAGAGATTCAATAAAATAGATCAATGCCTTTGAAACAAATTTCTTGGCAGTAGAAAATTTTTTTCAATAATAATATGAAATAAGTTATCATTAGTATTCTATTGGTTTGTATCAACAAGCTAAATAAGGTGCCTCGTATTCAAGAGTCCATGTATTCAATAAAAAAGATACTTTAGGGAGGACTTTCCCTGAGCTCTGTGATCATGATTAAGCTAAATAGCATAAAAACACTCAAGGGGCTGAATGTCTAGTGATATGTAGAAATACAAACACATAATTGCAATGACTTGTAGGTAGTCTTTAACACTAAGTTATTTAAAAAGTGCTCTGAAAGTATAATTAGGGTCAATTGATTCATCTTCAGATTGAAGAAAAAATTTTCTCAAGCATATTGCCTCTGAGGTTGGTCCTACTACATGATTGAGGAAGAGTTATAAGACAATGAGCCCTAAGAAATGGTTAGAAGGTACAAAAATACTCTGATGAGCAATGTGACAGAGTTGTGTAGCAGCCCAATGTGTGAAGAAAACAGAGTAGTGTTACTGGGTAAGAACGAGTAGGAGCTAGGCCGGGCGCGGTGGCTCACGCCTGTAATCCCAGCACTTTGGGAGGTTGAGGCGGGTGGATCACGAGGGCAGGAGATCGAGACCATCCTGGCTAACACAGTGAAACCCTGTCTCTACTAAAAATACAAAAAAAAAAATTAGCCAGGGGTGGTGGCAGGCGCCTGTAGTCCCAGCTACTCGGGAGGCTGAGGCAGGAGAATGACGTGAACCCGGGAGGTGGAGCTTGAAGTGAGCCGAGATCGCGCCACTGCATTCCAGCCTGGGCGACAGAGCAGGACTCTGTCTCAAAAAAATAAAGAATGAGTAGGAGCTAAAGACATTTGGAAACATGAACTTTTGTAGGTCCTTCTACAAAAATTAAGAACTCATACATTAATTTTAAAGATCAGTAGTTTTTACATTTTTTTTCTTAGAGAGTATCTCTAAAGTTTTGGTCTCCCTTCTTTGCAAAATGTATTTTTGAGAAAAATGTGGTATCTTTTTTTTGTGCCTCATTAGTTTGCTAAGGATAATAGCTTCCAGCTCCACCCATGTCCCTGCAAAGGTCATGATCTTGTTCTTTTTTATGGCTACATAGTATTCCAAGGTGTGTATGTACCACATTTTCTTTATCCAGTCTATCACTGACTGGCGTTTAGGTTGATTCCATGTCTTGTAATTGTGAGCCAAATGATGAGAACACATAGAGACACAGGCAGGAACAACACACACTGGGGCCTATCAGAGGGTGGATGGTGGGAGAAGGGAGAGGGTCAGGAGAAATAGCTAATGAGTACCAGCATTAATACCTGGGTGATGAAATACTGTGTACAACAAACCCTCATGACACAAGTTTACCTATGTAACGAACTTGCACATCTACTCTTGAACTTAAAATAAAAGCTTAAAAAAATTAAAAAAATGTATTTCTGTATTAAATACATTAAATGTGTGTACAGTTAATTGAACCACAGATGGCGCACTTAAACCCACTCATAACCTCTGGGGTGTTCTTAAGGTCCTGATGTAGTTATAGACAAAGGATTGAGTGTTTTAAGAAAACTGTTATTGCCTAATAAATGAAGAAGTAATTTAATGGCTAAAACATTGCCAAGAGGGAGAACAATATAAAGATAGTAGCACTTTTTTAAATAAAAAAAATTTAAACTCACACATGCAAAATATCTGGTATCCTTGAACTCAGCTTACTTATTGCCGATAAAAACATCATTAGTATTATCATCATTTTAAAAGTTAATATACAATTTGCCAAAATTTAAAAAACTAAGAAGTTTGCTTTTACACTTTTTTAGTTCAAACTGAAACACTTATGCTATACATAATTCCAGTAAATACTAGCCAGCACCTTTAAGTGAGTGTATTAGTCTTTTTTCACGTTACTGATAAAGACATATCTGAGACTGGGTAATTTACAAAAGAAAGGCGTTTAGCTGGACTTACAGTTCCACATGGCTGTAGAAGCCTCACAATCATTGCAGAAGGCTAGGAGGAGCAAGTCACCTCTTACATGGATGCCAGCAAGCAAAGAGAGAGCTTGTGCAGGAAAACTACTGTTTTCAAAGCTGTCAGATCTCATGAGGCTTACTATCACGAGAATGGCATGGGAAAGGCCCCACCCCCATGATTAAATCACCTCCCACCAGGTTCCTTCCAGAAGGCATGGGAATTATAAGAGTTACAATTCAAGATGAGATTTGGGTGGGGACACAGCCAAATCATATTATTCTGCCCCTTACTCTTCCCAAATCTCATGTCCTCACATTTCAAAACCAATCACACCTTCCCAACAGTCCCTCAAAAGTTTTAACTCATTTTAGCATTAACTCAAAAGTCCACAGTCCAAAGTCTCATCTGAGACAAGTCAAGTCCCTTCTGCCTATAAGCCTGTAAAATCAAAAGCAAGTTAGTTACGTCCTAGATACAACAGGGGTAGAGGCATTGGGTAAATACAGCCACTCCAAGTGGGAGGAACTGGACAAAACGAAGGGGCTACAGGCCCCAGCAAGTCTGAAATCCAGCAGAGCAGTCAAATCTTAAAGCTCCCAAATGATCTTCTTTGACTTCATGTCTCACATCCAGGTCATGCTGATGCAAGAGGTGGGTTCCCATGGTCTTGGGCAGCTCCACCCTGTGGCTCTGCAGGGTATAGCTTCCCTCCCAGCAGCTTTCAGGGGTTGGCATTGAGTGTTTGCGGCTTTCCCAGGCGCACTGTGCAAGCTGTCAGGGGATCCACCGTTCTGGGATCTGGAGGAGGATGGGACCTCTTCTCACAGCTCCACTAGGTGGTGCCCCAGTAGGGATTCTGTGTGGGGCCTCTGACCCCACATTTCTCTTTCACACTTCTGTTGCAGAGGTTCTCCATGAGGGCCCTATTCCTGCAGCAAACTACTTCCTGGGTATGCAGGCATTTCCATGTATCTTCTGAAATCTAGGTGGAGGTTCCCAAACCTCTATTCTTGACTTCTGTATACCTGTAGGCTCAACATCATGTGGAAGCTGCCAAGGCTTGTGGCTTCCATCCTCTGAACCAGCAGCCAAAACTGTACCTTGGCCCCTTTTAGTCACAGCTGGAGTGGCTGGGACACAGGGCATCAAGTCCCTAGACTGCACTCAGCACAGGGGGCCTGTCCCACTAAACCATTTTCTCTTAGGCCTCTGGGCCTGTGATGGGAAGGGCTGCTGTGAAGACCTCTGACATGCTCTGGAGACGTTTTCCCCATTGTCTTGGAGATTAACATTCGGCTCCTAGTAACTTTTGCAAATTTCTGCAGCCAGCCTGAATTTCTCCTCAGAAAATGGGTTTTTCTTTTCTATCACATTGTCAGGCTGCAAATTTTCTGAACTTTTATGCTCTGCTTCACTTGTAAAACTAAGTGCCTTTAACAGCACCCAAGTTAACTCTTGAATGCTTTGCTGCTTAGGAATTTTTTTTACCAGATACCCTAAATCATCTCTCTCAAGTTCAAAGTTCCACAAATCTCTAGGGCAGGGGCAAAATGCTGCCAGTCTCTTTGCTACAACATAACAAGAGTCACCTTTGCTCCAGTTCCCAACAAGTTCTTCATCTCCATCTGAGACCACCTCAGCCTAGACCTTATTGTCCATATCGCTATCAGGATTTTGGTCAAAGCCATTCAACAAGTCTCTAGGAAGTTCCAAACTTTCCCACATTTTCCTGTCTTCTTATGAGCCCTCCAAACTGTTCCAACCTCTGCCTGTTACCCAGTTCTAAAGTCGCTTCCACATTTTCGGGTATCTTTTCAGCAACAACCCACTGTACTGATACCTATATACTGTATTAGTTTGTTTTCTCACGGCTGATAAAGTCATACCTGAGACTGGGCAATTTACAAAAGAAAGAGGTTTAATTGGACTTACAGTTCCACGTGGCCGGGGAAGCCTAACAATCATGGCAGAAGTTAAGGAGGAGCAAGTCACGTCTTACATGGATGGTAGCAGGCAAAGAGAGAGCTTGTGCAGGAAGTCTTCCATTTTTAAATCTATCAGATCTCATGAGACTCACTATCATGGGAACAGCATGGGAAAGACCCGCCCCCATGATTCAATCGCCTCCCACTGGGTTCCTCTCATGACACGTGAGAATTGTGGGAATTACAATTCAAGATGAGATTTGGGTGGGGGCACAGCCAAACCATATTAGTGGGTTATACAATTTCTGTAATTAAATTGTCTTAAGTATTTAAAAATGCATTTACTAATTTACCATATTTGATTTCCAAGCACAAATCAACAAAACCCCATCACATATTACTCCAAAAAACACATAAATATGGTTAATATTATGGTTTCTGCATATGCTAATATTACTTAAATACTTACAGTTCTCTTCTACCTTTAAAACCTAAAGTTTGATTCTATTATTCAACAGAATTTTATATTTGATTTATAATGGGAACTTATTTGATATTCCCTTATACTTGAATCTCTTACAAACAGCAAATGACTAAAATGAAATGCATATATCTAATTCATGAAATAATTGATTTAAAATATTATTACAATTATCAATATTTATATTTAATTTTAAATTATTCAATGTTAAAACTACTCTAACTTATAGAGAAAATTATTTTACAATTCCCAGCAATCTTTTTCTAACCCTCCCAATAGAATTAGAATAACTCTTCTGGGGACCTGCAATTGTCCAGATAATTTGATCAAGATATAAAATTCGAAGCTACAGAATCCTTTCTTGTGGATTCTGTAGCTTAGTGAAATTTGCTTTGTTTTTTTCTTTGTATTTATCCATAAATTTTGGAATTAACTTTTAGATTTTATGAAATCACTTGTTACAATTTTTATTGGAGTTGCATTATTTATTATTGGAGTTGCATTAATGACTATTACTTTGAGGACAATTAACATTTAAAAAAATTGAGTCTTCCAACTTATAATTATGGTATCTTTATTTATATAAAGCAATATATATGTAGTAGATAAAATATCTATATATATATCTAGATATATATGTTAGATAAAAATATCTAGGTATACATATTAGATAAAAAATTTTATCTCTAATGTTTTCTATTTTTTTGTGGAAGATTTATACATATCATTTGTTAAATTAACCTTTGTTGCATATTTTCATGTTTTTCTATATTAAATTTTTATTTTATTTTCCAGTTTTTAATTATATAGAAATAAAATAAATTTTTGTATGTTAGCCTTGTATTCTGTAATCTTGTTAACTTACTATGTAAATTTCTTCACTCATTTGAAATTTCATGAAACTTTTTGTATGGCCCAAGTTATGGTCTAAGTTGCTAAATGTTTTCTACAACTTTGGGGTATGTGTTTAATAAATGTTGATTACTAAATTTAGCAGATAGTTCTTGTTAAATATTTTATAGACTTAGTGATTATTTAGTATTCTTATTTTATCAGTCAATGTGAAAATGGTGTTAAATCTTTAATTATGATTGCAGTTTTGACGTTTTCTTTCTTCACTACCATGTGATTTGGTTTCAGATATTTTGAAACATTTTTGTTAGGTGAATTCATATCTGGATTTTTGTGTCTTTCTTAATTTTTCATTTCACCATTAAAAAATTCCTTTTAAAATCTTAACTAGTGCTTTCTACCTTGATATCACTATTGTCTGATATTAATACAGTCACTCAAACTTTTTTCATTTTTAATGATTTTAGGGTATATCTTTTTCCACTTTTATACTTTCTATCTTCTTGTGTCTCCATGTTTAAATTGTATCTCTAATAGACAGCATATAGGCAGTGTTTATTCTATACTTTAATTTTAAAACAATTATTAAGGTATTTGAGTTTACATTCACCTCTTGGTCTTTGTTTGCTATCTGACCCATCTCTTTTCTTTCCTCTCTTTCATTTAACTTTTAAAAATTCTCTTGGGATATTTAGATATATAGAATGACAGATAGAAGATAGATAGATAGATAGATAGATAGATAGATAGATAGATAGATAGATGATAGATAGATAGATAGATAGATAGATACGGATACGTAGACAGACATATACATATAGATAGATAATTCTATTTAAAGGATGTTTACCTATACCTCTATGAATTGCATTTAATGGTTGCTACACTGATACAAATGTTCTTCAAAAAACTCGATCTAAGGAAAAAGAATACAGTATATATCGCCTGTATTTCCAGCACTTGGGGAGGCCGAGGTGGGCGGATCACGAGGTCAGGAGTTCAAGACCAGCCTGGCCAATATGGTGAAACTCTGTCTCTACTAAAAATACAAAAATTAGCTGGGTGTGGTGGAGGGTGCCTGGAGTCCCAGCTACTCGGAGGCTGAGGCAGGAGAATGACTTGAACCTGGGAGGCGGAGGTTGCAGTGAGCCAAGATTGTGCCACTGCACTCCAGCTTGGGCAGCACAGGGAGACATCATATCAAAAAAAAAAAAAAAAGAATATATATCATTTAACCCATTCAATAAGGCATGAAAAAGTTGTAAAAATTAGAGAAAAGAGAGAGAAATTAAACTCCCCTATTTGCAAATGACATAATTATGTATATGGATAATAACTAGGAAGCTAAATAACAACTATTAAAACTAGTGATCAACATTCTCTACTTTTTTGTATGTGTTGTTTGTATACTGGTCCTGGTGGTTGATTGACAGATTGCATACATTTGTCTTCCTTTAGAGGGTAATTACTTTTGATCTTTCAGACAGCTAAATTCCTGCTGGATCGTTTTTATTCTATGAGGCTTGATCTTATTTTTAGAGCAGGTCTATTTCCTAACTTCATTCCTAAGGTGTAGCATTTACTTATTGTTTTTTTTCTCCTAAATCATGGTCTTTCTAGAGGCTCAGCTGAATTTCTTACATCCCCTGTGAAGTTTTTCCATTCTGGATAATCTAGAATTTCAGCATTTTTCTAAAGTGCATGACCATTCATTTCTAAATCTCATAGGAGCTGCTCTCTGCTATGTGTTGTGAGGTCTCAGAGTGAATGTAAACATGGACCAACAGGAGACTAGTACAGAATTCTGCCTCCCAAAACTCACTCAGCTCCATTTTCTCCAGGCTGGTATGCAAATCTAGCAAATTAAGCTGCTTCCAACTGCCCATTATGCCTGCAGAACTCAGTGAGACCACTGTACGATGCTTGGGCTCCACCTTACCCTTTTAGGAGCCCAGGTGAGCCTGCATCTCACATCATCAAGTTTTGTTTTTTCAGTGAGCACAGGTCTATGTTACTTGTCTGAAATTGGTTGCTTCATATTTTGCTCAGTTTTATTTTATTTTATTCATAATAGACAGAGAGCAAATGTGTCACCAAATACTTTTTGTGGCTAAAGCTAAATTCTGTACACACTCCAAATGCACTTTTAAAATATTCCCCCCCTCACCTAGTCCATGAAGTAGGGGTATGTATTCATTGTCCTCAACAATTTTTCTCCAAAACCTACAAAACATATTATATGTTTACTTTGCGTTACACATTATATGCATGTATGAGCCATCATATGTAGTACCTTTTCTCTGAATATTTGTTAAATGTATTGATATAATATGAACACTCAAAAAATCCCTTGGAATATATGTATTTTAAATTAGTATACTTATAAAATTTCTAGTAAAGAAAATATTTATCTCTAACTTAACTAAAGAGTAAGTACAGCAGAAAGCAACAAGGAGTATTTATAACTAAGTTTAAAATACCCCAAAGTAACTCCATCAGACAATATCAAAGTAATCTAATTAGAGTTCAATACTTGTAAAAATAGAAGCTGAGAAAATCAGCAAACCAATGTGTGAATTATGACAAAGGAAAATACATATTATACATCGATCCTATGACATCATTTGATAATAATTTTTAATGGAATATATAGAATCCATTTTTGTGGAAAAGTCAAATTGCCAGGCCACCTTTCTGGAAAAGGAGCCATAGGTATAATAGAGAAATGTGCAATGCTGAGGATAAACAAAGGATAGAAAAGAAAACATTGATAATATCAAAATTATTTGTATTAGTCAAGATTCTTCACAGAAACAGAACCAATAGAATATATATACACACAAGTATATATGATGAGATTGATTATATAGAATTTGCCCATGCAGTTATGAAGTTGAGAAGTCTCATGATGTGCAGTTCAAATACTGAAGACCCAGGAAAGCCTGTGGTGCAGTTAGAAGACCTGGGACCCAGAGAGCTGATTGCATAGATTCTAGTTCTGATGGCAGTGACGACCCACCTTGAGTAGCTGCTGCCATGACGCTGGCAGCAGTGGAGGAGGTGCAGCCGGTGCTGCGTGCTGCAGGGAGCCAGTGGGAGCTGGAAACAGGCAAAAGCCCTGCCCGCTTCTGAATTGGCATGGTGGGAACTTCACGTTCCCCAGGTACAGCTGCAGCCACCCAGCTACAGCTGTTGACCTGGGCCTCCCTATGCTCTTGGGAGCTGGGAGCAGGCAGGAGCCCCATCATCCCAAGTGCAGCTGCAGCTGCGCAAGCCACAGCTGCAGACCCAGGCATCTCTGCACTCTCAGGGGGCTCAGAAGTGCATGTTCCTGCTGCCTGGCCTCTCCCCACTCCCAGAGCCTGCTCCTATCTGAGCAAAGTTGAGGCCGAGACTGGGTGCTGTCACAACCTGGCCCAATGTGCACATGCTTGGGGCAGCACTGACTCTGTACTTTCCGTGCCAACGAGCATGGGAGGGAAGCCAGGGGGATGCTGAGGGCAGCTTGGCACTGGCCTGCAGGTACCCCTCAGCATGAACAGCCTGGGCACCATGAACAGTGTCAGGAGGCAGACAGACTGCAGGCCAGAGCGGGGCAGTTTCCCTGTGAAACCTCACCTTCAAGCTAGGGAAGGCCTGAAGCCTGGGGACCAGGCTGCCAGCCCTGCAGACTGGAGTAGGAAGTGGTGGTGCCTTTTCTGGGCCCACCCATGGCCACCTATGGACCAATAAGCACACACTTTCTCCCCTCTGAAGCCCTTAGAAACCCCCAGACTCAGCCAGACTCAGCGAGGCAACGGGACAACCAGCTGCTGAGAGGAGCTACCCACCCCAGAGTCTCCTGTCTGTTGAGAGCTGAGCACTTGAGATGACCTGCCCATGGAGAGGAGATACACACTCCAGGTCTCCTCTCTTCTAAGAGCTGAACATTCAGTGGGACACCCTGCCTACAGAGAGGAGCTACCCACTGTGGGTCTCCTCTGAGGTGTTCTGTCGCTCAGTAAAGCTCCTCTTTGCCTTGCTCACCCTCCACTTGTCTGCATACCTCATTCTTCCTGGACACAGGACAAGAACTTGGGACCTGCTATATGGTGAGGCTAAAGAGCTATAGCACAAAAGGGCTGAAACACACCCCTTGCTCACCACATTGCACACAACAAGGAGAACAGAAGACAGATGGGGAGGCTGGGCGCCTTGGCTTACACCTGTAATTCCAGCACTTTGGGAGGCAGAGGCTGGCAGAACACCTGAGGTCAGGAGTTCGAGACCAGCCTGGCCAACATGGTGAAACATCATCTCTACTAAAAATACAAAAATTAGCTGGGTGTGGTGGCACATCCCTGTAATCACAGCTACTTGGGAGGCTGAGGCAGGAGAATCACTTGAACCCAGGAGGCGGAGGTTGCAGTAAGCCAAGATTGTGCCATTGCATTCCAGCCTGGGTGACAAGAGTGAAACTGCTTCTCAAAAAAAAAAAAAAAAAAAAAAAAGACAGAAGGAGAGAACAGCAATTGGGTCCCATTGGGGAGGCCAGACTTAGAAGCTCCTCAAGCCAGGCTGTGACACACTCTTTGTAGCTCTATGGTTCCTGGCATCTCCATGCTTCTGGGCACCACTGTGTGCCCTTGATGCCAACTGTGGAAGTTGCTTGTGGTACGCCTGGTCCAGCTGCAGCCTCGCAGTGAGCCAGCACCCATGCTGGAGCCTGGAGCTGCCTGCCCCACCACAGCCAGAGTGCCTGGCTGTGCGCAGTGGCCAGATCCCAAGCTTGCTCACCCTTGGCAGGCATGTTATCCAACCTGGTAGTGCCAGCCAAGCACAGCCTGCCAGGCTGAGTGGGTGGAACAAGCTCAGTGGGCCAAGCAAAAATTGGGCAAAGGCACCACTGGCTACAGAGGTTTCCAGCTGGCGAAGCAACACCCCAAGCATCCTGTGACAGTTCCAGTCTGAAGGTCTGAGAACCAGGAGCTCCAAGGGCAGGGAAAAATCAGTTTTCCAGCTCATACTGTCATGCAGAGAGAGAGAGAATTCAACCTTTCTCCATCTTCTTCTTCTATTTCAGACTATCAATAGATTAAATGATGTCTACCTACATGGGGAAGGACCATTTACTTTATTGAGCGCACCAATTTAAATCCTGATTTCTTCTGCAAACCCCCTCACAGACCACCCAGAAATAATGTTTAACAAAACATCTGAGCATCCCCTGGCCCAGTGAAGTTGATATATAAAATTAACTATTGCATTATTTATTTCCTTATATTTTGCTTCAAGGGGTATTTTATTTTTTGAATCTTGTTAATTACCTCCTTCAATAATTATTGATGTGGATTGTGTACTATATGTTGTTAGCCAGTATCTAAGATGCTGAGGTTATTGAAACTAAGATAATAACTCTGATGTAAGAATAGTCACTTAATTTTATATTAATTTAAGAATGAATACCTAAATGATTAAATTGTCGTTTAAACCTTTTTCAGATATCTATGTCCAGTGTGGATGCTGAATATTCATAATCTACTCATAATATTGCTACCTGGTGGCAGATACCAGAATTAAAGGGATAATGCTCTTAGGATGAAAAAGGCCAGTGATTTATCTAGGACTGACTTTATGTTGTTCAGTTTAGAGCAATTCTATAGCCAGAGACTAACAGGAATTTGATTTTAAGGAAGATGGTGTATCCTGAGAGCAGATTCTAAAATTATTTCAGGGCTCCAATTGAGATGGATTTCTGAGAATATTTCCATTCCAACTGGGGAACTGAAATATTCACTAGTAGGTTCAAAGATGATATTCTTTTTTGTACTGGATCCACAGAGCTACATCAAGGTGAAATCAAAGTTTTGGTGCATAAAAGTTATCACTGGACATCCACCTGCCAGATATCATAGTTGTTTTTAGCAGAACTCTCTGCTAATAGAGACAACATTTCAACTATACGGCCAAAATTTAATCAAAAGAGACAATTTCTTTGTATTTTACATATAACATTTATAGTGAAGAAGTAAGAAAAGGATGTGACGTCTGTATTAGAGTATGCATGGGCTAAGTTGTTTTAGAAGAAATTTATGGTTAAAGTGCCAGGCTGGAAAATATCTATTATGTGCCATTATTTCACACATATATTTAGATTTATATTTTTAAAATAGTTTTTATATATAAATAATTCTTGCAATATTTAAATATGCCTATCAAGTTTGGATGTTCAGTATTTACGTTTAGCACAAAAATAATTGTAGTGATTTATTAATATTATTTTAAAGTTTTAGACAAAATATATCAAAAGATGCTATTTTTTCAAGGTCAAAATGGTTTTGCATATAAACCATTTTTTTGGTCCTAAAAACCAAATTACCATATAAATGACTGCCTGTAATGTGTTTTATCATATAGATTGATATGATTATTATTCCATGAAAACAAAGTCTATGTAGATACAACATTTGGTAAAAAAAAATAATTATTTTTTAAAGGTATGATTACAGTCACATTTCATTTGAAAATATAAATTTGCCATAAGATTTCTCACTTTGGGGAGGTTTTATATTATTTTCCAAAGACATTATAATTTGAAATCAATTTAAAACATATTGTTGCCCTATTTTGACTTCTTCCAAAATGCTCTCTCAATTCAGGGAGCATATGGTTTTTTTCTATTTTTTTCGCTACCAACCTGCTGACTAAACAATGAAACATCCAAAAACATTTAAAAATGCATAAACCAAATGCTATAAAACAACCATGGTCTGAGTGAAAAGCCAGGCTTGCAGACAAATACAGAGCAGGCTAACCCTCCCAAGTGTTTGGAATGTTACATACGGAGAATGATACAAACAACCAAAAGCTGGACAATTTAAATAAAGGATCTGTTAACATGGTACAATGTGAAAGAGAACTTTCCCCTCTTTCCATTTCAGTTTTGAATTCATAGGATGCTTTTATCTTCTTGCCTCTTTCTATCATGTCTTAATATGTTCCTCAATAAACCATAATGATGCATTTCGGAATGAGTGGGTTTGATGTCCTCACCTTGAAAGATAGCCCTCAAAAAACAAAAGGGCAGGAGTCATCAGCTCCCACACAAAGTAAAAAAATATGAACGTAATTTTAGCAGTGTTAATGAGAAAAAAACTGTCCATGAATTACTGCATCAATAATGCCTTTGTTATGACATCTCTTTTCCCTAAGGCACAGGAGCGAGTGGTATATACTTGTCTGGGAACCAGTTTCATAAATGCTGTTGTTATAATCCATCAAAAGATGAATAGCAATATTTGTCACCAGTTTCACTACCTTTTGGAGTTTGGAGTTTGGGAACTGTGACAGTTCCAGTCTGAAGGTCTGAGAACCAGGAGCTCCAAGGGCAGGGAAAGATCAGTTTTCCAGCTCATACTGTCATGCAGAGAGGGAGAATTCAACCTTTCTCCATCGTCTTCTTCTATTTCAGACTATCAATAGATTGAATGATGTCTACCTACATTGGGAAGGACCATTTACTTTATTGAGCGCACCAATTTAAATGCTGATTTCTTCTGCAAACCCCCTCACAGACCACCCAGAAATAATGTTTAACAAAACATCTGAGCATCCCCTGGCCCAGTGATACATATCCATACTGTGGTAGTTATACTTTTTAATGAGTTAATTTTAAGTGAAATTGCCGTTCTAAGTTTGTATGTGAAATCAAGTTCATACATACTAAAGCTTACTTATAAAAAATTTAAAAAAAGATGAAATGGAAAAAAATTAGAAAAGAAAAATGATGTGGTTTGTTCTATGATAATTTATTCCTTCTTAATTAAAACATTGACTAGAAAGACATTAATGATATGACAAAACAAGATAAACTCTATCTTGCATGCTTTTATTTATTCATTCATTTATGTCTTTTTATTCATTTCATACCAAAAGGTTCACTTATACTTGTAACTTGTACTCATAACTTTCCAAAGGACTTACAAGGATACGGTCTTTGCCTTCCGATGTAAAGTTTTTGATGATTCATTACTCCTCAAATTAATTTTTTCCATAGTCATTTATCGTCATCAAGTTTCTGTCATGTGGCAGGTTACTCATGTCATGCCAATTGCTGCATCCTCCTTAGATTGACTTCTCAAGGGCAAGAAAGGCATTTTCTCAAGGTCACAGGTATTTAAAACAGTGTCACTCCACCGAGTTGATATTTCTACACAAATACATGGTTGGGTTTTCTTTCTTTCTTTCTTTCTTTCTTTCTTTCTTTCTTTCTTTCTTTCTTTCTTTCTTTCTTCCTTTCTTCCTTCCTTTCTTTCTTCCTTTCCTCCCTTTCTTTCTTTCTTTCCTTCTTTTCTTTCTTTCTTTCGAAAATATTTATAGAGACGGGTGACAAAAAATAGAAGTCTTATACCTAAAACTGGTTTTTATCTAGTGTAGAATTCTACGTCCCATTTAAAATGTGTCTCTAAATGACAAGTTTACCTCTGTGAGGAAGGATTATCATGGAAACCTTCCAGACTTTGATGCCTTGGCAACCATTCTTTTTACTCCAGTGATGCAGGATGGAGAGTGTTAGCCCCAAAGCAGAGACCGCGTAGCAATTTGTTTTTGCTCCCTTATACCCTATGACACATATCTTCCCTAGCTATACTTAAAAACAAATTACTTTCTGTTTCATGAGCTACTGTGTAACACAACTCAGTAAAAGAAAAAAAAAAGGATGATGACTGTGAATCCACACTATGCATTGAATGTGAAACATGAGTGTCACTTAAGCCAGAAGAGACAGGAACTACTGATGATATAACTCATTGTAATTACTGAGTATAACTCAGCTAATAATTAAGGGAAAAATTAACTGGGAAATACCATCCTTCTAAAATGATAAAGCAGCACTATTGCCAGAGACATTTAAAGAAACCTGTTTCTATTTTTCTTTGTTGAAACAGATCTAGTCTATTTAGTTGATCAGAATATATATTAAAAACAAAGTTGTGTATATAGTGTATTACATTTTATAGTGTAGTTAGTTTCAGTAATTTTCTAAGGAGGATATTCCTATAATAAGTGAAAAACAGAAATACTGTCATCTATATATATTCTGTAATTTATAGTTTGCAAAACTCTGTTGGTATGAACTGAATTTTGTCCCTCCAAATTTTGTGTGCTCCATCCCTAAACTGTAATATGACTATATTTTGAGATAAACCTATAAGGAGATAATAAAAGTTACATAGGGTTATAGAGTAAGATCTTCATCTTATAAAACAAGTATCCTTAGAAGAAGAGGAAGGCATAGCAGAGATCTCTCTCTCTCTCATCACACATGCACAGAAAAACAGGCATGGGAGCACAGAGCAAGAAGGCAGCCATCTATAAGCCCGAAAGACAGGCCTCATCAGACCCCAACTCAGCTGGCACCTTGTGATTGACATTAGACTTCCAGCCTCCAAAACTGCGAAGAAATACATTTCTGTTGTTTAAGTCATTCAGTTTGTGGTATTTTGCTATGGCAGCCGAAACTGATCAATAATACATCTGACGTATTTATTTTTAGTTGACATATATTAAAAATAAAACAAAAGGGTTAGCAATGATTATAGTCACAGTGCCGGAGCTTAAGAAATTAAACATCAGAAAGTTTGAGTGTCTCAACTCACGTAGGTAGTAAGAGATTTATGATTCAAGATCCATTGTCTTTTTTATAGGAAAGTTTTATGTTTAACCAACTGGTCAAGTAAAACTAGGAGTGGAAAATAGCCATAGCAAGGTGGCTTAACAGCAGCATCATTATGTATAAATGGAAAGAGATAGCTGAAACCAAGATTTTCTTGAAATTATAGAAAAAACAAAATAAAAATATCAAAATGTAAAGTTGTAATATAGTTAGTCTGTCAATATTTTAAAAATTTGGGGGGCGGACAATGAACATGTTGTGTGAAGAATTATCACTTTAATTATATATGTGTGTGTATGTGTCTGTGTAGATACAGATTTAAACCTTATTTAGTTCAATGTGTCTAAACATTGTAAAAGAAAAATCACTGCTATGTCTCTTTGAAGCAATTTACTAAAAGTAATGCACCCATTTCAACCTGCAGAAGTTCAACATATAAAATAAATTTTCTTATCCTCACACTTTCTGAAAGATATTTCCATATTTATTCATAAATATGAAATATACTTATATTAGTTCCGGTGTCATCTGAGTTCCCTTTTTGGGATACTTCATTTTACATTTCTTTACACTTGCCTATGTACCGGGGGAATACAGTGCTTTTAAAAGTTATGTTGGTAACATTTATATCTAATTAACCTCCGTGTGCCAGAGTTACTCCTTACAAATTATATGGACATGTATCCTTATGGGGAATGAAATTTCTCATAACTACACCCCCATGAGTCCTATATTTGAAGAAATCGCTCAGTATAAGTAGAAGAGCAGTTAGGATAGAAACTGTTTAAAGAGCCGACTTCTGTTACCATGGTAACTATAACCTCACCAGGCTCGATCCAGGGTTTATATGAAAGCAATATAATTCTGGCATCGATTTTTTTCGCATTTGACTTTCTTTAAAAATAAAGAGAATCTCTACAGAATAAATTAATGAGAAAATATAAAATATTTTTTCTCCTTGTATTAGTCTGTTCTGGCAGAGCCAAAACATTAGAAGTTATCTTAAAAGTCACATCAACAAAACAAGTAATATTTGTGTTAATAGCCACCTCCTCTTTTAAATTGTATGGATCTCTTAGTGCTTATATTCTGAAAGTACCAAATTTAAGATAAGAATTTGATATCAATAATACCGAGGGAAAAATATTAATTATGACCTAGGAAGTTTATTTTTCTTACGCACAATCCCATATGTCTTAAAATGAGACACAAAACACTGAAATTATAGAAATTTATTTTTTAAAACCCCTTTTTTACTATTATGTTTCAAATTATCTGGTGCTGAGTAAATTCCTTCTTGGATTTGGAATCACATAATGGACAATTTTCAACAAAGCAACAATACAAAATAATGATTTCAAACACAGTGTTTTAGAAAATATCTGGAAATAAGAACCTCATTTATGAAAGATGTGAGACAATCCGAAGCAAGAGAAGAACATACAGAAATATTTTGAGCAAATCTTTTAAAACGTTTAGTGTTAAGGTGCATTGGTAATATGAAGTATAATAATTCGAAATAGAACTTTTCAGCATCAATTGCTTTTCAATAAGGAAAAGAATAACAGAACAAGTAGGAAATGCTTCATTTTTGCATATAATCTTTTACTAGCTTTCAAAATGTACTTTTCTTGTCTGAATTACAATTATTCATTCTTATATATCTTTTGATCAGAACTGTGAAAGACGCATCCACTCATTTTCACACTCAGAAAGTTTGAGAATAGCAGGCAAGTTCATGCAGTTAATCTGTGATAAATACTTTGGCATATGTTACAAAATCTAAAAGAATAATTTATATGAGGCACAACATCTGCTTATAAAAAGAAGACTTGCTAATCAGATTTCATGTACTCTTTCTGTGCTCATTTTTCTGGATGGCAATAGGATAAACACCAGGCTACTGCACTAGTGTGCCATCTGCATCACAAAATCACACCTTGGCCAAAATTCAAGCACACAACTTTAATTTTTATTCCCAGAAAATTTCTGGCACAAAACCATAAAGGGCAGGTAGATTTAATGTATGGGTGCATTTAAAGGGAATGGTCTTTTTTTAGTATTGTTAGAGTTCTAGGTGTGAATGCAGAGTAAACACGTCTTATGGAGCAGATTTAGTCCCTCTACCCCCACAATATACCTATAGCAACCAATACAAATTTTTGCATAGGACATATAAAAATTTGAAATAGTTTCTGTCCTTCCTACCAGTTGCAAGCTCCCTGAGGACAGTAAGTCTTTAAATATTTAAGGCCTGTCAGAGAGTTTAGCATAGAGTAGGTGCTAAATAATTATTTGTGGCTGGAATGCATAGGAGTGAATCATAGAACAGCGGTGTTCCCTGGAAGGAGGCCATATCTATTTATATTTTCATTTCATGTATTTACTCTGCTGGCACATACCAGGCAGTGAATGTATTTGTGCTTGCTGATGGACAAATGAGTTCTATGTGTCATCCTGACAGCGATTTTCATGGTAGAAAGAAATAATTCCACAACATTGTATATTTTCTCCTAACTGCTATATCCTACAGTTTTTTAAAAACAAAACATCAAAAATGTTAAACTGTCCCTTATGGGAAAATGGTGTGAAGGAAAGGCAAGTAGAATTTTGATCTCCAAGACTCTTCATATCTCAAAATATTCGTTGATTTCGAAAGAAAGAAATAAAAAATACATACATATATTGAAAGAAAATATATTTGGAAAGTCAACATTGTAATTTTATAAAAAAATTGGAACAGAAATGCACAATAAATAAAGGGCTCATTAGGCACAAATTATTACATTGCTTCATATTGCCTAAGACCATGTAGAAGAAGGTATAAAATTGTATTGCTCTATGGAACCATCTAATTGCCACAGGTTTATGTCTAATTATCCCTCTGAAGCCCCTTGACATGTAAATGGGCTGAATTTTTATATAAAGATTTTTAATATCATTAGAATTATGAATTATAAAGATAATTTTTTCACAATGGGTTTTTCTTTGAAGTATGTACATAAATAGCATTTGAAAAATTAATTGGGAAAACTGTTACTCACCAAAAACTACAGAAGTCTGAGAAACTGCCACAGCCAAGAACAGCCAAAGGAAACTTGACATCTCAATGTGATATGATATCCTAGATGGGATTCTGGAACAAAAAAGGGACAGTCACTAAAAACAAAGGAAATATAAATAAATTATGAGCTTAATAATAATGTATCAATATCGGTTTATTAATTATAACAAATATGCCATATTAATATAAAATATGAATAATAGGGGAAACTGGATGTGGGGTAATGGGAACCTTCTGTACCATCTCTTCAATTTTTCTGTAAGCATAAAGCTGTTTTAAAGAGTGAATTATATTAAAAATAAAGAAACGTGCCTTTCAGGGCACACACTTCCTTTTTCCCCTTGAGTTACAATGTAACTGCCTGGCGTTGGTAAGTCCTTGACTCATTCTGCTGGAAGGTTCCAAAATTCTCTACATGCCTTCTCTGGTGTATATGTAAGTGTTTCTCCTTTCTCTGAATTTTTTATGGAAATTCTCTCTAGATATACAATCCTTAGTCTGTAAAACTACTGCACCATGCTCCAATTTCAAGTCATTAAACCCCTCCACAGATGGATACTTTTGTAAATAATAATAAATGGATCAATAAGGTTAAAAAAAAACTAATGAAATGAATTAAAAATTCCTACGTGTGCATGTGTCTTTCTGGTAGAATGATTTATAATTCTTTGGGTATATACCCAGTAATGGGATTGCAGCACTGTTCACAATAGCAAAGACTTGGAACCAACCCAAAAGCCCATTAATGATAGACTGGATAAAGAAAATGTGGCACATATACACCATGGAATACTATGCAGCCATAAAAAGGGATAAGTTCATGTCCTTTGCAGGGACATGGATGAAGCTGGAAACCATCATTCTCAGCAAAGTAGCACAGGAACAGAAAACTGAACACCGCAATTTCTCAATTGTAGGTGGGAGTTGAACAATGAGAACACATGGACACAGGGAGGGGAACATCACACATGGGGGCCTGTTGGGGGTCGGGGGGCTAGGGGAGGGGTAGTATTAAGAGAAATACCTAATGTAGATGACGGGTTGGTGGGTGCAGCAAACCACCATGGCACGTGTATACCTATGTAACCAACCTGCACATTCTGCACATGTACCCCAGAACTTAAAATATAATAAAAAATTCATAATTAAACACCTAATGTTCATAAACTTTAAAATAATTTTAAAAACTTTAAATTATGACTATCCCTATATCATATCTCCATTTTCAAAAGTAATCTAAATGAACAGTTAAAAAAATTCCTAACAACAAAACGAGTGCATACCCTGCCACCAAATACACAAACACACACATAAAATAAATCAATGTTTATAATCTTTTAAATTATGAGAAAGGACTCCATCTTTATCAAACTTGTATAATACTAGATAATTTCTCCACAGTGAAAAAGAGTTTCAATAAAAAGTGTAAAAAATATGATAATCTGTTATTCTAAGGTAATACTGGACTAGTACTGGTCAGAAACAAGTTATAAGCTAAATATTATATTTATATAAAGATTTTTAATATCATTAGAATTATGAACTATAAAAAATAATTTTTTTCACAATGAGTTGTTCTTTGAATTATATACTTAAATAGCATTTGAAAAATTAATTGGGAAAACTATTAGTCAGGATATGCTTTCAGGAGAATGAATTTTAAAGCTAACAGCAGCATTTAAATAAGTTCTTTTGGAATTAAGGAGAAACGAACCAGTTATCGTGATTTTGTGTTTGATTTATCCAGTTTGTTTCTTCCTCTTCCAAAGGAGTAAACCAATGCAACAACAGGCAAAGGAAATCAGGGTGGCTGCAAGAGAGAAACTATCATCATCTATGCAATTTATTCTGGGCAGGGTACTAAGTATGAATACTGGTGGATAAATGACTATAAATTGTTGATATAATCAATATGTTAACAATTGCAATGGTATTAAATGATTATTGGTGAAAGCATGTTAGAGAGAGTGGACTATACTGAGGTATCATTGAACAGAAAATTACTGAAAATTTGTACTTGCTTTAAAACTTACTGCCCAGTTTTCTGACTTAGGAGAATAATAATAATAATAAACATTTCCATTGATCAGTATGGTAAATATAGCAGAATGAGCCAATTTAGGGGAAATTCTTCTTAGCTAATGATGAGCTTAGTGTATTTGTGCTATAGAGTTTCCCTGTAGGTACTTAATTCTGAAAATATACAAGTCACTAAGTTTTGAATAAAGTCATATTTTATTGGTTATTAATTTTCTCTTGGAATGGTTATTTTAAGCAGAGCTGAGAAGGCTCAGGTGATTATGTTTTCTGAAGACTAAGGGCACAATAACTGTGAATGTCAACATTTAATGATTCAGTAGAAGCGCTGGCCTGGAACTGGGAGAAGGAGCAGGATTAAGCAATATCATTAAAGAAGGATACAAGCGTATCACGTGACAAAGGAAGGCAAAACCAGAGGAAACCTGTCATGTGGACACGGTTTTTGCCTTATTATTAGAGAATCTGGTGAACAAACTGTTACCAGTGTCAGTAGCGTGAAAGGGCACCAGCTGTGTGATTCCTCTAGGTTCTACCCTCAGCATTGTTGTGCAGAGATCAAAAGGAAAACGTGAAAGCATCAACTCAGAATACAGGCAGCTGATATGGAGCCTTGAGGGAGGAGATTCTAAAGGTTCCTGAATCAGGTATTCTCAACAAAATGGCAATGGCTATGCTGAATCTTAAAGGGAAAACATATACCTACCTGACAAAGAGAACCGTTCAGAACACAGAATTCCAGATGGAAGTAAAATGTAATTTGTAGATTGTTGTCAGTAAAAGGAGGATGTGCTCTGTATGGCATTTGTACAGCAGATACTTCATGGGCTTTTCAAAACCTAAAATACTCTATATCATATACTGTAAAGCTTTAATATATACAAATTTTAAAAACCAGTATGTTAGAGGATTTCTGGATAGAACGTAGGCTGTAATAAATGAATCTGTGATATAAGTGCCTGATATAATCTCACTAAGGGGTTGCGCAAAAAAGAGTCTGACTTAAGTAACTTTGGATAGGAGTATTTTGACTGGAAAATGTAATAAAATAGTTGTATATAAATACTGTACTCTGTGAATTTGTTTCTCAGAAGGGTATGGGTTAAGAATACTGGAAAAACTTTACCTCTGTACTAGGATTAAAAAATAAGTAAGTAGGCTGGGCGCGGTGGCTCACGCCTGTAATCTCAACACTTTGGGAGGCCGAGGTGGGCGGATCACGAGGTCAGGAGATGGAGACCATCCTGGCTAACACGGTGAAACCCAGTCTCTAAAAAAAATACAAAAAATTAGCCGGGCGTGGTGGCAGGTGCCTGTAGTCCCAGCTACTCGGGAGGCTGAGGCAGGAGAATCGCTTGAACCCGGGAGGCGGAGCTTGCAGTGAGCCAAGATCGCGCCACTGCACTCCAGCCTGGGCGACAGAGAGAGACTGTCTCAAAAAAAAAAAAAAAAAAAGTAAGTAAATGCTAGGTAATGGAAGCTAGATTTCTCACTATCAGAGAAACAAGTTATACATCAGGGAAGCTAGAATGAAACTTGGGATATTGGACTGGAGTCGGAGACATTGGTATGAACTTCTGTTTAATAGATAGGTAGATGGATAGATTAAGGAAATAGATGATAGAAAATTACATATATGTGGATATACATGGGTTAGGCTATAAACATACTTTCTAGTTCTGTTTGCTTCTAGAAGCAGTAACATTCCAACAGATTTTTTCTTCTTGTTTTTTTTTTTTTTTAAACGGAGTCTGGCTCTGTCACCCAGGCTGGAGTGCAGTGGCGCCATCTTGGCTCACTGCAAGCTCCGCCTCCCGGGTTCACGCCATTCTCCTGCCTCAGCCTCCAGAGCAGCTGGGACAACAGGCAACGGCCACCACGCCCGGCTAATTTTTTGTATTTTTAGTAGAGGCGGGGTTTCACCGTGTTGGCCAGGATGGTCTGGATCTCCTGACTTCGTGATCCACCCGCCTCGGCCTCCCAAAGTGCTGGGATTACGGGCATGAGCACCGCGCCCGGCCTAGATTTTTACTCCTAAATGCTACTCTCTAATAAAGGAATCACACCTCCTTGGTGAAAGAACTAACTGATTTGAATGCTGGGTCAGGAAATACTGCAAGATGACCCTGGAACCTCTTGAAGTATAATACAATAAAGAAGTGTTAGGAAGCCTAAAAGGAGGCCACGTGTCAATGGGACACAGGAGCCAAGCTGGAGGAGCCCTGGACAATTCGAGCAGCAAAATAATGATGTGCTATTAGGTTATCACTCAAAAGGTAAAATAAAAAAGAATATCTTAAAATAAACAAGAATACCTTAATGGAAATTACTTAAAAATAAATAAAGGAGAAGAGACAAGTTTTCCTTACAGAATCCCACGTCATATGTAGATACTGTTCCCTTCAGGAGGTAGACTTAAATCTCCTCCTATTAGGTGAGATCTGTATTCTGTATATTACATGCATTCTGTGTATTATAAAAATATATGGGTGTATGGAAGGAAACAAAAGATTTAAAATAAAACATCTCTGAAACTAAATAATGTTGGCAACAATATATTAAATTTAGTTTTATATTCTTCCACCCTGAGTGTGAAATATTCTTAGTGGCTTATGTTCAGAGTATGGAAAGAGAAAAAGATAGAAACTTTATGGAGGAGACATCTGAAGACAGTATCTCAACTAAGTGGTTAAGTTTAACGTCACCAATAGTAAGTCATGCTGACATCATGCACCCAATCCTATCACAGAATGCATCTCATCATGTGATGAGATAAGAAGGGCACTTAACAGTACTCTTTCTCCAAGGAGGCTGTAATCAGTCAATCCTTTCTCCAGGGAGGCATGATTCCTTTTATTGAAGAATAGCATTTAGAAATGAAGATTTATTGAGGTCTTACTGTTTCTAGGTGCAAACAAAACTAGAAAATATATGTTTGCAGTCTAATCTGTGCATACCCACCTATCTATAATTACCTATGTATCTATCTATCTGTCCATCCATACACTACCCTATCTATTAAAATTCTATCCCAGGATGCATCTCATCATGTGATGGTTTAAGAAGGACACTCAGCCAAGATGAAACCTAAGGAAGTCGTCAGGCACTCCCCAACTGAGGGACAGTCATAAAAATATGTGACTAGTTCCTTTCAAAGATATCAAGGTCTTGAAAGCCAAGGAACTATTTCACATACTTTCACAGTTCAGAGAGAGTAAGGAGACATTATATTAAATGTAATGTGGTACCCTTGATGAAATCCTGAAAAAGAAAAAGCACACAGTGTAAAAACAGATAAAGTCAAATAAAATCTGGAGCTCAGTAAAAAGTAGGTTGCCAATGTTAATCTCTTGGAATTTAAACATCTCCTATAGTCACGTAAGCACCTAATATTAGGAGAAAGAAGGTCAAGGGTGTATGGAAACTCTCTGTTATCTCGGCAGTCTGACTATGAATATAAAACTATTCCTAAATAAAAACTTTTCTTAAAACATAGAATAGTAATCCTTGCATGTTTTTAAAACTTTCTTGTCATGCATTCTGTATTCTGTATATTATGAAATACATGGGTGTATGGAATGAAGCAAAAGATGATTTAAAAGAAAATATCTGTAATAAGCTAAATGATGTTGGCAGTAATATATTAAATTTAGTTTTATGTTCTTGAGGATTTTGTGTTGTCACAGGTATTGTAGTACTTTAGTCCTTGTGTTTTGTAACTACGCACTTAACTGTATGTGGATGAGCCTTTCTATTGTTCTACGTATTCAGATGCTAATGTTTCCCTTGCGTTCCTTTCAACCCTGGCCAAGAACGCTGTAGAATCTAGATGTTTTGAGTAGCATTATGTTTTCGGGTGATCCACAATGCTTTTCTCATGCATATCGTGATTAGCATTTTCTCTTTTGGGAAGTGTGAAAATAATCTGCCTCACTTCACTGAAATCATCACCATCATAAAGGATGTACTTGTGTTCATTTATTGACCTCAGATAAATGAGACATTAATGTTGGGACATAATCACAAACACATAGTCTTTAGCTACTAAAAAGTTGGAAAAAAAAATCCTGTACAATGCTCCAGTGAAATAAAAGATGGTCTAAGGAACAAAATGAATGTCTGCCGACACAGAACACAAAAAAGTTCAGACTAATAGTAGTCCCACGAGATACAGAGAAAATACAGTGAAAGTACTGCCAGCCTCGTTTCTTTACCTGTTCAATCAGAATTCATTTTGCTCCGATAGCTCATAAAGATCTAGTCAGCAACTAGCAGAAAAAACTAGCAACTTTTTGGAAAATTATGCTTTTTATGCATTCTACAGATGTTAGTTTGAAAGTTACTTTAATTCACTTTAATACTCATAATCAGACAAATCAACATTCACATGTTCTCTGAAGTCCATGGAGTCGCAGATGGAATTTATATGATGATTTAAAACTTCACTTTATTTAGTTTTATCAAGCATGGCTGCTCTACCTTTCTAAGAAGAAATCCCCATTGCTATCTATCTTTTTTGATGATAAAATGTTTCTAGATGGATGCTTTTTGTGCTTTCCATCATAGCGGCATACTTGGAAAACAGCTCTCATCAATAAGTATGAGTTATGTTGCTTGATTGGCTACATATAGACAGCAAAGCTAAGGATTCTACAGGTTCCTAATGAATAATGACTTTTCCAGAGTTTTTCCTTAGCAATTATTATCTACATACATATCTTTTCTCTAAAGCAGAATAGAACATACATAAACATTTTTTCTTTGATTCTTCTTTGAGGTTTAAAGAGATGTGATTTTAAGACAGATTTTGATAATTTAGAAATAAATTTTCTGATGAAATAATCAGTAAAAAAGATCGTTTTAGTGGATTGCTACTTATTTTGATTACAGTTCTGAGTTCCAGCAAAGCATTAAATAATTAGTATTTAAAATAATTATTTCAATTTAGGTGGGAAAAAAGCACAATAATTAATGACTCTTCCTATGGATTTCTAAATAGCTAGGCAGGATATTCCTGCTATTCAAGCCAAGATGAACCTTTGAATCAGATAGTTTAATTAATTTCAGCACAGTTATTATACTTCCTAAAATGTCATTTGACATTTTTCTTAAACAACTTAATGCATTAAAATGTATGTTTTACATTTTGAAAGCTTGTGGTGGCACTTTGGTGTAAGAAAGTACAAATGAAATATTTTATTGTGAAAGTAATTTAATGACCCAACAAATTTCTTTATAGCTACAAACCTGTATTAGTTCCTTTTTACCCTGGCATAAAGATACTACCCGAGACTGGGTAGTTTATAAGAAAACAGATTTAATTGACTCACAGTTCCACATGGCTAGGGAGGCCTCAGGAAACTTACAAACGTGGTAGAAGGGGAAGAGGAAGCAAACACCTTCTTCACAAGGAAGCAAAAGAGAAAAAGTATGCAGGGAAAACTGCCACTTTTGAAACCATAAGATTTCCTGAGAACAGATCATGAAAACAGCACGGAGGAAGCCACCTCCGTGATCCAATCACCCCCCAAGAGGTCTCTTCCTCTACACATGGGGATTACAATTAGAGATGGGGTTTGGGTAGGGACACAAAGCCAAAGTATATCAATACCCTAAAAACAATTGTGTGTGCCCACTAGGAGACATACACACTTAAAAGAAAATGAACTATGGTTTCATGAATCTTATAAATATATTCTAAGTGGAAAAAAAAATCTAGCCCTAGAACTTTCCATACAGTATAAAACTATACTTATAGTCATGAAATATAAGCAAAATAATTTTTTTTTTTTTTGAGAGTGACTCCCACTCTGTCGCCCAGGCTGGAGTGCAGTGGCGCCATCTCAGCTCACTGCAAGCTCCGCCTCCCGGGTTCACGCCATTCTCCCGCCTCAGCCTCCCGAGTAGCTGGGACTACAGGCACCCGCCACCACGCCCGGCTAATTTTTTGTATTTTTAGTAGAGACGGGGGTTTCACCGTGTTAGCCAGGATGGTCTCGATCTCCTGACCTCGTGATCTGCCCGCCTCGGCCTCCCAAAGTGCTAGGATTACAGGCGTGACCACCACGCCCGGCCAATAAAAAATATTTTTAAAAGATATTTACTTGGGTAATAAAATTATTAAAGAGAAGAACAAGATAAACAAATTATACGTACAAATGGTTTTCTGTGAGTGAGGATGCAGGAAAGATGACAGCATGAGACATGGAAGAAACATAGGAATTATTTCAATGATATTAATAATAGTTTGTTATTTGTTTTGTGCTCCACAGGTATTCAATTCTATCTTATGCTTCATGACTTAAGTGTATGTTGAACATATCTTCTTGTATATTTCAAATATTTTGTCAAAAGTGCATTTTTAAAAAGGCTTTGTTCATTGGATTTTCTATTTGAAATACTTCTGAATTATGAATCAAAAGGGCTCATGTCCTCGAAAACATGTACATATGCTTCATATTACCTGAGTCTTTAGGAAGATTTCCATCTTTTTTTCTGCTTAGGAGAGGGAAAATGCTCCATGTGTGTCTTCCCTGATGCTAACAACATTACTGATTTTGTTGATGATAATGCTCTATCTAAGCACTCAGACCAGGTTCTAATTCATTCTAATACCCCTTCAGAAAAGAAGAGTTGGTAATGGAAATGCTAATGGTTTAGACCTGACAAATCCTTAGAACCAGCTACCTCTCTCTATGTCCCATGGGACCCCTCCACCCTAGAGTCATTTAATTTCTGGGGAATTGCTATGTATTGATTTTCTATTCTCTTTCATGATTCTCTTATTTTCCCTTCAGCAGTTTCCCTATTGAATCTGATCTGAGATCATTTGGCTCTTACTTAAGCTGACAAAATGAATACTTATAAGGGGAAATATCATTTCTAAATGAACTCTTAGTTAATTTACATAAAAGAGAATTGCTGTTTAAAAGTAGACGAGCCAATAGTAACATGATATATGTTAATAGAAAAGGATAATGGATGGCCTTAAACTTGATTTTGCACTTTTATATTATCATCTTTGCTTGCTTCACATTTTCAGTGGGATGTAGATATTTATATATGAAAAATTTAATTCTCATGTCATTGATTACAGTATAGCTGAAATTAACTATACTTATCTCTTTAACAGCTATGTGTGGCAAAGCCTGAATTAATTTTGCACACTTCAGATATCAGATATAGATAAAGTGAGCTGACAATACCAATTTTCTCTTGGAGTACTTTTAAAGCTTTACTTCTCTATTTTGGTTTTAAAAATATAAAAGGCATCTCCAGTTACCTAGCATCTATCTTAATTACAAAGAAAGCATTTTTCATTTAACCTTGAATTTCAAAATATTTAATGAGAATCAAAAAGTACCTGTAAAGACTGGAGGCCTCAAATATGTAAAATGAATCTTCGCAAAATTTTTATGATTTTTACTCTGAGTTATTAAAAAAAACATATATCCTTTAATGTCTCTAAATATCCTAGTGCTCCAAATTATTATACTTCTGTCATTTTTAAGTAACACAGAATCATCTACTTTATTACCAAGAAGATCTTTATTACTAGATTTCATGCAGCAATAGAAAGAACATTTCTTTGTTTTGTTTTTTGTTTCTGTTTTTCTATAACCAACTTGTTAAAATTCCTATGCAATTCAGTTCAAGTGGGGTTTTGAAGAGCATTGAGAATCTAAACCTTTTGAAGCATAAGGTGTCGCTATAATGATTTGAGGAAAATATACAAAATTGAGGTTTCAAGCCAGAGGTTAATTTTGAATGTCAGGGGCTGTAAATGCACACACTGAGGATACAGTCATCTTTTCAAAAGACAAGCAAAACATAGATACCTGTCTGTACATATATGTATGGTTTTAAAAGACAAAGTCTCACTATATTGCCTACGCTGGGCTGCAGTGGTATTATCACAGCTCACTGCAACCTTGAACTCCTGGGCTCAGGTGATCTGCCCGACTTGGCCTCCCAAAGTACTGTGATTACAGGTGCAAGCCACTGTGCCTGGCCCTGTAGAATTTTTTCTTCTCATTCTTTTTTTTTTTTTTTGAGAAAAAGTCTCATTCTGTCGCCCAGGCTGGACTGCAGTGGCGTGATCTCGGCTTACTGCAACCTCTGCCTCCTGGGTTCAAGTGATTCTTGTGCCTCAGCCTCCCGGGTAGCTAGGACTGCAGGCGCCCAGCACCACACCTGGCTAACTTCTGTATTTTTAGTACAGACGAGGTTTCACCTTGTTGGCCAGGCTGATCTCAAACTCCTGACCTTGGATGATCCACCCGCCTCGACCTCCCAAAGTACTGGGATTACAGGCCTGAGCCACCGTGCCCGGCCTACAATTTTCATTATTATTATTATTATTATATATTTTTAAAATTAGCTCAGCATGGTGGCGGGAGCCTGTGGTCTCAGCTACTCAGAAGGCTGAGGCGAGAGGATCTCTTGAGCCCAGGAGTTCTAGGCTTCAGTGACCTCTCATTGCACCACTGCACTCCACCCTGGGTAACACAGCAAGACCCTGTCTCTAAATAATGATAATAATAATAATAATGATGATTGCTGTAATTTTACATATCATATTCCTACAAATCAAGTAGAACTATGGAATAGTCACATCAGCGACATCACTCCTATTTTATCATAAAATTTAAAACTTTTCCACATAATCCCAGGAGATTATAATCACATATCTTTAACCAATAGCTCTGTCATAGACCTATTGATGCTGCAATGGTTGCTCCCAAATGAATATTTATTAAGGTACATAATCACCTCAAATATAATTCATGGCCTATTTTCAGTTAAAGATTTTTGTGTGAGATTAAGTTTGCGTTGTCAATTAGCTATGATCGTCAGGGGACTCAAGGGAGTATTTAAGGAGGTGAAAATCCAATCTAGAAATCTAAGTGAGAAATATTAATCAGATATCAGGGTGCCTGCTTGTTTTTGTTTTGATATAAATGATGACTTGTTTAAAAAATGTCCATGGAAATGAAAGCTAAAATAAGGAAGAAGTGATGTTGTAGAAGTAAAATTAACTGTGGTTAACAATTTAAATAATGTGGGAGAATAAGAAGAGTAAATGTTAAAATCTAAATTTTGAAATTTATTGACTTGGCATCTTATTTATTCAGTATTAAACCATTCTGGACAATAGTACAGAGGTTCTTCACAAAATTAAAAATAGAACTGCTATGTGATCTAGTAATCTCAGCACTGAGTATATAACTAAAGGAAATGAAATCAATATGTTGGAGAAATCTCCACTCTCATGTTCAATGCAGCATTATTTACAGCAGTCAAGATATGTAAATGACTTAAGTGCCTATCAGCAGATGAGTGGATTAAAATAATGTAATTTATATACACTCTGAAACACTATTTGGCCTTAAAAGACGAAGGAAATCTTGTCATTTGTGACAACACAGATGAACTTGGAGGGCGTTATGTTAAGTGAAATAAGCCGGCACAGAAAGGGAAATAGTGAATTATCTCACTTATACATGAAATCTAAAAAAGTTGAACTTACAGAAGTATAGAGTAGACATCAGGAGTGGCAGCTCATGCCTGTAATCCCAGCAATTTGGCTGAGGCAGGGAGATGGCTTGAGGTCAGGAATTTGAGAGCAGCCTGGGCAATACACCAAGACCTCACCTCTATAAAAAATTTATCTAAAAAAAGAAATGCACGCCTGTGGCCCTCGCTGCTCAGGAAGCTGAAGTAAGGAGTATTGCTTGAGCTCAGGAGTTTAAGGGTGCAGTGAGCCAGGATCATGCCACTCCACTCCAACCTGGGCAACAGAACAAGATCCCATCTCTTAAAAAAAAAAAAAAGAAGTGGAAAGTAGAAGGGCCTGGGGCCTATGAGATCTTAGGGAGATCCAATCAAAGGATATAACATTTCATTTAGGTGGGAGATATAAGTACTGGTGATCTGTTTCCCAACATGGTGACTATGGTTAATAACAATATATTTTATTTTGAAATTTGCTGAGAGTAAATTTTAAGGGCTCTCATGATGAAAATAAAAGAACAAGTATGTGAAGTAAGCCATAAGGTGATTAGTTGGATTGAGCCATTACACAATGTATATATATTTCAAAACATTGTTTTTGGAGGAGTGTTTTTATAAAATTTCATTTAGATAAGAAGAATGAGTACTGGTGATCTGTTTCTCAACACAGTGACTATAGTTAATAACAATGTATTTTATTTTGAAATTTGCTGAGAGTAAATTTTAAGAGTTTCCTTAAAATTTTATCTTTATAAATGGTGAAAGAAAAAGGATAAGTATGTGAGGTAATGCATATGGTGATTAGCTAGATTGAGCCATTACACAATGTAAATGCATTTCAAAACATTTGTCAACTAAAAAATAAAATACATATATAAGAATGAGAAAGTTCAAAAGGAAGAGCTTTAAGGGAAATGGTGACAGTGAAAGATGAAAAACGTAGCTTATGAGAGTATCTCAGTTTATAGACAGTCATCTTGAATTGTAGAACTGGATCTTGGGACTAAAAACACAGGCTTAGCCATCTGTTAGCAGACCACAAATCACAGAAGAAAGTGTGGCAATTGATTAGTTCACCAATGAAAAGAGTATTAAAAAAATGTAAGTACTTCGGAAAAATAATACTTGACATTTTAGTTTGTAGGCTCAGGGAAAGCAGAGAAGAAGATAAAGAGAAGAAACAGAAACAGGGAATCTAGATCATTTTTGCAATGATAAATATGTATCACACACTTGCTAGCATCATGCTAGGGGTTATACATGCCACAAAATAAAACACAGTGTCTGTCCCTGAGCAAGTTATGCGTAGAAGATAAAGCTGTTAAATGGACAATTAAAATATACAGAGAGGCAATCCATAACTGCAAACATGGTGCCATGTGTGCCCCTAGAAGGGATCTTCACCCCGAAATAGAGTCATAGAGATGAAACTATTGTTGATTTGAAGAGATGATATCTTCATTAAAACAAAAAAGATATAATCAAGTCTATGAAAGTTTCAAGAGTAAAGCTAAGACGATTGTGTCAGTTGACACAGATGCCAATAAAATGAACAGCTAACAACATGCAAACATATATGAACCTAGGAGCTCAATGATGTCTATCAAGAAAGCATTCACAATTTGGCACTAGAAGAGGGAGGGTAGAATGCAGGAAGTACTAAATGCTGTGTGGATAGCAGGGACATTGAGACATCAAGTACGGGGGATTCTTCTGAGAAGCTTGTTATTGAAAAGGGGGAAAACAAAGCTATAAATAATCATGAGCATTGAAGATAAGGAAGTTTATATTTTTAGGTGCAAGTAAACATTGCTTTGGATATTTAGTATATTTCTAAAATATATATGATAGCCTGCATTACCAGTTTCTATCCTATGGTTTGAATGTGTCCCCAAAAAGTTGAGGGGTTGGAAATTTAATCCCCATTGCAACAATGTTGGGAAGTAGGGCCGAATAAGAAGTGGCTGGGTCACCAAGGCAGAGACATCATGAATGGATACAATGTCATTGTTGTGAGGGTGGGTTAGTTATCAGGAGAGGGGTCATTATAAAGCCAGTCAGCCCCCAGCGTCTCGCTCTGTCTCAGGTGCTCACTCCCTATGTGATGCCTTCTACCATCTCCAGATACCAGTGCCATGCTCTTGATCTTCCTAGTTCCAGAATTGTGAGTAATACTTTTTTTCTTTATAAATTGGCCAGGGTGTATAATAGTATTCTGTTATAACAACAGAAAACTGACTGAGACACTTACCTTCCCTTTGAAATGTAAACTCTGAAATAACCAAAGCAAGATCCACTTTTTCTAAAATGTGGAAATCTGCTCTATTTAACAAAATAGCCTACTTTGCAGAAACTCTGTTTAAAGTAATATAAATATTTCTGAAGGTGTGTCGGTGTACAGTGTGATGTCACACGAATTTACAAGTTAATAATGTGTGATTCAATACAGGACCAAGTGGTGACTTCTCAGTGTTCAAATAATATATAGGACAAATATATACACAGTAAAGAATATAGGACCCTGAGCCTAAGCTTAGCTAGACTAGACACTACGTGTAAACCATAATATATTTACTGTAAGCATATAGAAAATTTAAATAGTTTAAAATGTTTTTGTTTGTTTTTAAAATTCTCATGGTATAACAAGTCAGGCTGTTTTTTAAAATCCTGGAATAAGTGTGTGTGTGTGTGTGTGTGTGTGTGCGCGCGCGCATGTGTGTGTGTGTAGGGAGGTAGGTCATGATACATCAGTCGGTGCCACAGGCAACAAGGCTTCATGGACATGCTTTTATGTAGCTCTGTTTTACTAACAAGCGTTTGAATATAAGGCTTGTAATACAATTTAATAGGGTTGAGTTGTGTAAAACTATTATATCTTGAATGGCAAAGAAGTACAGAAGCTATAAAAGAAGTTATAAACTAATTTAGAAGTATTTCTTACTTATTGTGTTACTTCTAGGAAAATGCTGCCTGCAGTATGTACAGTTTTTATCTGACTCCCCGCTGTAGACCCCATCAACTTAATCAAATCACTGTACCTTGTGCTTGCCAACCTCATTATCGTGAAGTATTATGTAGTTGTCTTTTAAATTCATTAGACAGAAACCTTCAATTTAAAGCACATTAATTTCTTTACTTTTCAAAAACCTTCTGCCAGAGGTAGAAATTTATAAGGGTTAATTCATTATTCAAAAAGAAATGCGTTTGATTTGGAATTTTGTTTTGGAGTAATCGCTAAAGCAGTTTTACCTACAAAATTAAAGAAGCTTGTTCTACAGAGTTCCTCACTTACTTCTGTATCTAATTGTATTTTATTTTTAACAAATTTTATTCTTTTATTTCAAGTAGTATTTCTCAACGTGGGAATCTTGGCACTTTTAGACAGTCAATTCCTGGGGTGTGTGTTGGGAGGTATCTTGTGCATTGTATGCTGTTTATCAAAACTCAGCCTCTACCCACTAGATTCCACTTGATGAGAAATTAAAAAATGTACAGATATTTCCAAAATTCCCTAGCAGGGGACTGAGAGTCAGCCACATTGGGAATCACAGACTTAAAGGCTCCTGTCTTCTCAAATTTTATAAGCTCCAGTCACACATGTGGCCTGGATAGCAACCAAAAGAAGCATCAGAGAAGGTATAATATTTACCTTTGTTATAACCCAGAATACTACGTGTAGATGTTTTTAAAATGCATACATATTTGTGAATTTTTATTAGCAAAATATACCAGAAGTTAACTCCTTTTGGCTAACAAGGAAATGACAGACTTACTAACTTGTAAGTAATGGACAGTTTCAAATAAACTCCATTTAACAAAATAGCACCGATTACACAGAAAATGTTGTTAAAATGATGGTGAACTATGAATTCAGGCTATATATACCATTATGTGTTAGATGCAATCAAGAGAAAAGCATTGTGTCTAGAAGTGGATATTTCTACATTGACGAAGTTAAATCTAATATATTAGGTCTTTTGTGCCAGGTAACAAACTCTTTCTTCCACAAACTGAAAATCTGATGAAGAAATATAAATCATTGAATCTAGTTGTATATTGCTATCAATGCATTCAGTAACAATGTAAGAAGGTTACTTTTCCCATCTTAGAGAATTTATTAATATCAAGAGCTTTATAAAACAATAATGTATATAGAAGCACTATTCAAAAAATTGTTGATAAAGATAACCTCCTGCACATGAGAACTCTTTGCTTTAAATCATTTTAATGTTTGTTTGTAGTATTCTTTATTTCTTTCTAAAAATTTGTATAGTCATTTGGAAATGGAGAAAATGGCATGAGATAAAAATGTAAACCATGGCAAAATAAAAAAGGTAAATTATTTGCTTTAGAGATCACTGAAAAATCAATGTCAATTTAAGTCCAGGTTTCTAAGTAGTTTGACTGTTTCTAGAAATAGTGAATAAAGTATGATTTTAAATTGTGTATGAATTCAAGTATATTTGCTGTTTAATTAAATAACTAATATAACTTTGTAATAATGAAAGAAAATAGATACATTTGATAAATGTTTAACAAATGTCTACACTGTTTTAGATTTTTCTGATTTGTCTTTCAATATAACCTAGGATTGTCTTTAACTAAAATATCAATATGTATTTTTAAATATCCACTTTGGGGACAATTCATTGAATACTATCGTATTGTTATTGGATTAAAATTAAAATGTCATTTGTTTAAAAAGAAAATGCAACTATATAGTCTGATTAATGCTATTGTATTAATTAAAGCCATTAGCAAGCGTAAAACTGTTCCCTAAATGTCTCTCAATAAATCTATTTTCTTATGTGAAAGGAGAAGATACCACACGGAAGCCATTAGCAATACTCAATATTGAAACAATAAGTTTTCTATTGCAGAATGAACTCTAGAAATTAAATTACTATTAAAAAGAAGACTTGTGTATGTGTGTGTGTGTGATAGAGAGATGAGGGTAGGGAGTAGGGAGACAGAGTATGAGGGACAGGGAAAGATTGAGATTGAGAGAAAGAGAGAGAGAGAAAAAACATTTGGGGTTTATGGGTGAAACATGTCGTCCAGATCAGGACTTCATTATCTCGGTTTTGCTGACCCTTCTGGAGTACTGGAAGTCGTGAAATTCTAGAGAAAAGAGTGGCTAACTGGTCATGAGTACTTTTCTAAGAAAAGGAAATATCTTTCCCCTACCTGTCTTCCCAAAATATAAAGATTCAGTGGCCTAGAAATGTAAATATTGTTTATAATTAACTGCTTTTGGTAAAATGAATTCTGATGAGGATAGTGTTTAGTGAAATAGAGGGAAAAATTCTACCTAATTGTTGTAGTCCACATGTACTTAACTAATATGCCCATTAATTGACTAACTGGTACAGCTTTGAAATTAATGTAATTTTAAATTTATTTCTATTTTAAAAATTATTCCTCACAACTCTTCATTATTTCAACTGCTCTGCAACACCACAAAGATGAAAAATATCCATTTTCAGCAACACTTAAGAAGCAATAATGGCTCATACTTATCAGTAGCTCACTGTGTGCTCAATACTGAGCTGAGTGCTTTTCATGAGATCTCATTTTTCCTTTAATCTTTCCAACAATGCAGTGAAGAGAAACTATTGGGATATGCATTTTATTACTAGATGAGAAAACTTAAGCTCAAAGGGATTAATCAATTTTCTAAAGTTCAAGGGATTCCTGTAGGAAAGGTAGTATTCTTCAAATGTGGAGTTCTTGCTAGTTTCACACTGCTGCTACTGATTTCTCCAGCACTACAATATGTTCAAGTGGTATTGAATTACTTAGTAAGATCAAATTAGTCAACAGGGACCACTAGAAAATATTCCAAATTGCATGAGCCATTGCATCAACAACGTTTTCTGGATGGTCATGGTTATGCCAATAATTTCTTTCTTCCAGAATTTTCAGCCAAAAGGAGTTGAAGTCCTTTAAAACATGTGTAGCAAGTTTTTCTACAAATCTACATCAGATAATTTTCCAAGTTATTGTATAGGATCTCATGGTCGTCACAATCTGAAATATTAATCAATTTAACAATTGGCACAATTGCCTTTACCATGTCATGGTAGTCAAAAAGTGTTGGAAAGGCACGGTAAAATAATTGATATTTTTTCAACTTGTCCACTCAGGGAAAGACATGGTTTTGTTGCAGGACGGGTGAGACCCAAAATTAAGGCTTAGCCTGGGAGAGTTCTTGGTTTTGCCAAATAAAGAATTCAAGGGCTAGCTGGTGGTGTTAGACAGCAATCTTGTATGGGAAGGTACTGCTCCTTGCAGAGCAGGTATAACTTACAGGCAGTGGGTGCTTGGCAAATGTATTTATACTCATGTAAACCCACTTCAATTACATGCAAATTAAAGGATGAGTCAATGCAAATTGAGGGGCATGTTACTTAAAACTGTCTAGGAAATATGCAGTAACTTCTGCGTTGTTGCCATGGAAAGGATTGGTAACTTCCAGGTCGTTGCCATGGTATTTATAAACTGTTGTGGTGCCGGTGGAAGTGTCTTATCCTAATGAGAAATGAAGGCAGCTAGGGATTGCTTTTGTTGCTGTCTGCTGGTTCCTGCTGTTTTTTTCACTTTTTCCTGTCTGGACCAGATCCAGTTTTGGTCAGCAGGATAACTAGAAAACAAGTCTTGCCAGTCTCCTACCTCATTATCAAAGCATGTCCCCATCAAGTACTTATTTTTCACACTAAAATGGCTTAAATAAAGCACCTTCTGTTCAGAGCACTGGCAGAATGTAGAGACAAATGGCAGGATCATCAAAATCTCAGATTATGAAGACACACCAGAATTATTACGCATAAAAACACTTACGGACAAGCAACTTCTTTTTTAGAGAACTGCCTTGACGAAACTTATTATTTTCTATGCCTGTCATAATCATACTTTATCTTATTAAATTCAAATTCATTTAATCTAAGTAAAATGTTTGCCAAGTAGATGTTTTTGTTTCTATTATTTAAACATGGAAACTGGGGTTAGAAAATGTAAAAACATTTGCTTGAAATTTGTTTTTCTGATGCTATCTTCTGTTTTCCTCTTTATCTTTTTTCCAGTTCATCCTAATTTCAGAAGAGGCAATCAGATGCCATATTTTAATATACTCTATTGTTTAATAAGGTAAACTGAATCATATAATTTCACTGTTGAATGTGTCTTAGAGAACATAGCAACAGGATAAATAATGAAAGAATGAAATCACTGGAATACTAAGACCTCCAAAATCCATAAGCCATCTTTTAAAGACATACAAAATATGTCAAAGCTGCCATGTAGAAGAGGATATTGACTTATTTTACATTACTTCAAGAAGAAAAACTTAGAAAAGTAAATAAACTCAATGGAGAAACATAGTTTAGAAGAATTTTCTATCGGCCAAACTAAAATGACTTTTCTTATAAGATACTTAGATTGCTAGACTGCTGGTATTCAATCACATGGGCAGTGTCATTGGAGATAAGATGTGCAGCAACTTTACTGTCCAATATTTTCTTCTGATAGGTGATGGGTTCACTTACAGGCAACTCAGATGTTAATTCTAGAAAGGCCAATACTAAGTACATCCTACATATACATGGGCATTAGGAGGCAAATTATTCCTGATATCAAGTAATCTAGTTAGAGTTAACATCTCCATGGAAATCACACCAAAGTTGATGAAACAGTCTTGTCTTTGGCATACAATATCTTTGTTCTCTGGTTCTTTAGCTAGTTAATGTGTTCAAATTTCCAAATTAGGTGTTGCTTTGTGAATATTTCTGTCACTCCCTCTACTGTAATAATTATTGATCTAGGCTGAGGCAATCACTTCCTCAGTCGAGCAATTTCTCCACTGTAATTATTTACTTCTGTGTATACCATGTCTAAAACATAATTTGCTACATTGACATGACAATAAAAGGATGTTTTATTGGTCTTCATTCCCAGCTGTCTATTACAGAATTTTGAAAGTACTGGGTGTCAAGAAAGTATTTATTTTATTGATAAAGAAATTAATGGTTGCATGAATAAGTTGATGTTACTATTAAATATATCAACTGCATGTAAATATAACAGAATATATTAATTTATATCTTCATGAAGATAACCCAACAAAACCCTAATATATTTTAAAAGAAATAGAAAAATTAACAACCTTCGAAGAAGTAGAAAAAAGTTGGACAAGGAGGCAGAAAATCCGGTCTTGCATCCCGATTTTATCACTTAAGAACTCTGAGTCCCAGTTTCTTTCAGCTTTAAAATGAACTTGCATTATACCTGCATGATATCTACAAATACCCTTTAAATTATCCTTGGACATTACCCTCAAGCACTGAAAAGAACTCACTGAAATTTTAACAGACAGATTATCTGGAAATATCATGCTATGTTAAGCAGTCCATAGGACAGTGAATATTTTTAATGTGTTAATATTAGGGAATAAAATATATTTACTAAGGTGAGATGATCACTTGAGGCCAGAAGTTTAAGACTAGCCTGGGCAACATGGTGAGACTGGTTTCTACAAAAAATGTTTTTAAAAATTGGTTTAGTGTGGTGACGTGTGCCTATAGTCCTGGCTACTCAGGAGGCTGAGGAGGAAGAATCACTTGAGACTGGGAGCTTTAGTTTACAGGAAGGTATGTTGGAACCACTGTAGTCCAGCTTGGGCAACAGAGCAAAATCCCATCTCAAAAGACAAACAAACAAACAAACAAACAAAAAAGCTTGTTAAAATCATTTTTTTTTTAAATATCATGGAGAAAGGAGTTTCAATTCTTTTTTACACCTATATGTTGTAAACATTAATTCAACATATGGTTATAATGTATACCTAATAGTCAAATAAGCACAGGTTTAAAGATCTCCCAAGACCTTATTGACAAAATGGATCATAACAAGTTCAAACAAGCTGTTACAGCCTACTGGGCTAAAACCTCTCTTGTTATTGATTTATAAAGGTTTTTTTTTTTGAGACGGAGTCTCACTCTGTCGCCCAGGCTGGAGTTCAGTGGCGCGATCTCCACTCACTGCAAGCTCCGCCTCCTGGGTTCACGCCATTCTCCTGCCTCAGCCTCCCAAGTAGCTGGGACTACAGGCGCCCGCCACCACGCCCGGCTATTTTTTTTTTGTATTTTTTTAGTAGAGACGGGGTTTCACCGTGTTAGCCAGGATGGTCTCGATCTCCTGACCTCGTGATCCGCCTGCCTCGGCCTCCCAAAGTTTTGGGATTACAGGCGTGAGCCACAGCGCCCGGCCATAAAGCTTTAAGCACTACTGAAAAACAAAATATAGTAGTATTTCAAAAATTCTTTATAATGGTTTACATATCACCTCTAGAATAGTAAGTAACATAGATTTTTTAATAGTATATACATGCATGAAAAGTTCGTTTTTTTTACACTGTTGTTGTAATATAACAGTTCAAAAAAAAGGAGCTGTAGTTGATTTCTATAGCTCCATGAAAAAGTTGAGAACAGTATAATGAGGATTAGAGTTTTGTGCCAATCGCAATAGCCTAATTTTATTGTATTTCAGACTATATTTCCTCTCAATAGCCTAATTTTATCATATTTCAGAATATATTTCCTTTCAATAGCCTATTTTTATTATATTTCAGAATATATTTCCTTCAGTTCAAATATTTAACTTTATAGCTAGCAAAAGCACAGCTGAAGGGAAAATACCTTCCATGCAGAAGGAAAGGATTTTCATTTATAGAATTCTAAGCTTAAAAATAGGTTCAAAGATGGAGCTTTTAACCCACCATATTATTTTAATTTTAGGAACATAATTGTAAAGTATCTTTAACTGTTCTAAACAAACTTCATAATATATTGTTTTTTCTATCTTTATTGAATTAAATATAATTTTTGAATATGTGAACATTAACATGGTTATAATAGTGAAATTCATAATAAAAAAGGTGAACCGAGAATATGGTTGCTCCCTCTCACATGCGTTTTATTTCATTTCTACTCATCCATGCCTCTATCACTTTCATAGGTTTGTGGTTATTTGTCTTCTTTTTAAAAAAAATTACCAAATATATAAAAATAGACATACTGTTTGGGGATTTTTTTTGGCAAATTTCACGTAATAATATATCCTCAAAGTCTCTCCCTATCAGTTTATTCAACCATAGTTTACTTAACTAATTGCATATGTGAGCAAGTAGAGTTTTTAATCTTTTCATTTTGCAATAATAAATAATGGCACAATTAATAAACATATATATGCAATATTGAAGGTATATTATCTGGGCAAGTCTCTAGAAGTAAAACTTTAAGAAATAAAACCTTTAAAAATAAAGTTATAATTAACTTAAATTGGATTTTTTCTTGCCTATGTATCAGAAGAAGTTAATTGGTTAACATTCATGTATGTATACAATAGATTGTATAAAAATCTGAAAATCTGTGCAGTCACTTTGGAAAGCTGATTGGCATTATTTACTAAAATAAACTATTCTTTTAACTATGATCTAGGAATTATACTCCTAAATAATGCCTACTATATAGTCCACATAACATATTCTAGAATAATCATTCACATTGAAACAGATTAACAACTAGAGAAAAAACAAATTCCCATTGAATAATTACAACTATCTAATTGTCATATCTCTGGAAAATAAATACCATACAGCAATAAAGACAAAAACATTGTTGCTATATGCAACAGCATCCATAAGTATTAAAATAAATTATTGATTGAAAAAGCCAGACACAAAATAATGATGAATGATGTCACTTACATAAATACTAAAAATAACATTGTACAAAAGTTGCAGTCATATAATGTAGTCAGTATTTTGGAAAGAAAGAATGGAATGGTGATTGGGAAGGGGCAGTTGGGACTACTAGTATGTTATTAGTATTCTATGACATTATGTGTGTCATGTTTACACTGAGAGAGGAGACCACTCCTCATATTGTCTTATACTTAATTTCTTGTTTACTGAAAAGGTAGAAGTTGAAAGAATAAGCAGAAGTGAAATTCATAGTCAGACAAACCAGCACCACATTTCGGGCCTGGTAGTTAAAATTCAACCCCTGACCTCACCACTTGTGTTATCTATAGATTCCAGACATTGTATGAGGAAGCATTGCGAAACTCCCTGTTCTGTTCTGTTTCGTTCTGATGACTACTGCATGCAGCCTCCAGTCACGCACCCCTCGCTTGCTGAATCGATCATGACCACCCTCCTCATGCAGCCCCTTTAGAGTTGTGAGCCCTTAAAGGGGACAGAAATTACTTATTTGGAGAGCTCAGTTTCTAGGACGTGAGTCTGCTGATGCTCCCAGCTGAATAAACCTCTTTCCTTCCTCAATCCAGTATCTGAGGGATTTTGTTTATGACTGCTCCTGCTACATCTCTTGGTTCCCTGACCGGGAAGAGAGGTGATTGACGGAGGGTCGAGGCAGCCGCTTAAGTGGCTTTGGCCTGCCCTGTGGAGCATCCCTGCGGGGGACTCAGCCCAGCCTGAGTGATGAAGACCCAAAGAGCGCTCCCAGGTAGGCAACTGCCCTGGTGGGATGCCTCGCCAGAGCAGCGTGTGGCAGGCCCCCGAGGAGGGATCCACGCAGCAGCTGAACACTGGGAAGGAACTGGCACAAGGGGTCCAGACGTCCAAAACTTGGTAATACTAGTCTTTGGAATTTGCCCACTCCATTTGAGTGGAAACGTGGCCTGATCACCCACGACGTGCCCATGTCGGTACTTCGGTTTTGGTCTTAACTTAAATTGCTTGGTATTTGGTTCTGGTTTTGGTTTTGACTTGGCTCGGGTTTCTCGATACTCAGATTTTGGTTTTAATTATTAGTTGTGTGTGTGCCCTTTTACTCGTTCTTCGTTGTGTGAGGTGTGTGTGTGTGGTGAGAGTGTGAGAAAAACATGGGTCAGGTGCAAAGTAAGCCCACCCCATTAGGAACTATGCCAAAGAATTTCAAAAAGGGATTTAATGGGGATTATGGAGTTACTATGACACCAGGGAAACTTACTTAAAACTGTGTGAAATAGACTGGCCAGGCTTAGAAGTGAGTTGGCCATCAGAAGGAAGCCTGGGTAGGTCCCTTGTCTCGAAGGTATGGCACAAGGTAACCTGTAAGCAAGGGCACCCAGATCAGTTCCCGTATATAGATTCCTGGTTACAGCTACTTTTAGATCCCTCTCAGTGGCTAAGAGGGCAGGCAGCAGCAGTACTAGTAGCAAAGGGATAGTCAGTTCAGGAAGGTTTTCACTCCACCTGCTGAGGGAGGTCGGCACCTAAAGTCCTATCTGACCCGATGCCCCATGACTCCTGGCAGGAGATGGCACTGATGGTCCCCCCTTACTGAGAAGGAGGGCTCCCCACTCCTGAGCCCATAGCACCTACACCCTCGCAAGACATCCACACCCCTAGACCACCCAGAGTAGACAAAAGAGGAAGTGAAGCTGCAGGAAATCTTCTCCCTTGACAGCCCACTTATGACCTAAGACTGGAATCCAAACACCCCTGAGGGAGCAGCGATGTACTGGGGAAGATGAGGACAGGCACATGGTGGAAAGACGTGCCTTTCTGTATCAGCCTTTCACTTCTGCTGATTTCTTAAATTGGAAAAACAATACACCCTCTTATACTGAGAAACCCCAGGCCTTAATTGATCTGCTCCAAACCATTTTACAGACTCACAATCCTACCTGGGCTGATTGTCACCAGCTGCTCATGTACCTCTTTATTACCAATGAGAGGCAAAGGGTACTCCAGGCAGCAACCAAGTGGCTGGAAGAACACGTCCCAGCCGATTTCCAAAACCCTCAAGAATACGTAAGAATTCAGCTGCCAGGAACAGACACCCAGTGGGACCTGAACAATGGGCCAGATATGGAAAGGCTAAAGCGGTACAGAGAGGCATTATTAGAAGATCTAAACAAAGGGGCTCAAAGGCTACAAACATGAATAAAGTTTCTGAAGTTATCCAGGGAAAAGAGGAAAGTCTGGCACAATTCCGTGAGAGATTGTGTGAGGCTTACCATATGTACACCCCCTTTGATCCAGACAGCCCTGAAAATCAGCACATGATTAACATGGCCCTAGTTAGCCAAAGTGCAGAAGATATTAGGAGAAAATTGCAGAAACAGGCCGGATTTGCAGTTATGAATACATCACAGTTACTGGAAATAGCCAATCAAGTGTTTGTGAACAAAGATGCAACCAGCCGCAGGGAAAACTGTAAAGAAGGCAAACGTCAGGCCCGGCGAAACACCGACTTACTATCTGCGGCTGCTGAAACCTGGGAGGCAAAACCGAGCCCGGACAACCCCTGCAAAGTAACTCTGAGGAAGATGACAAGCCCAGCTCCAGTCATACCTGGAAGCTGACTGGTCTATGCACGGCTGAAGCATGAGGAAACTCATCGTGAGACTCATTTTTCTAGAGATTTGGACTTGTATAATAAAAACCTCGACTGATTTTCCCCAAATGGAAGATTGCTCCCAGTACCTCCATCAGGTTACAGAGGTAGGGAAACAAACTAAGACTATCTATTCCATAGTTATTATGAATGCTTGGGAACTTTAAAAGGAACATATTTGTATAACAACATTCAATACAAAGTGTGTAGCCCAGGAAATGACCAGCCAGACATGTGCCATGACCCCTCTGAGCCTCCCATGTTCACAGTTTTTGAAATAAGGTTAAGGACCTCATTTCAAAGAGATACAAGTAAAGTACTAACTAGGGTAGAAGAAAGGGGAGTTCCTAAAAACATTATTTTAAAGTTTGATGCTTGTGCAGTCATTCATAGCAAGAGGTTAGGAATAGGATGCGGATCCCTCAATTGGGAAAAAAGCTATACACCAGAAAATAAGTATATATGTCATGAACTAGGAAATTGTGGAGGTTGCTTCTACTGGTCTTGCATCATTTCGTCTACTTGGAAAAAAGATGAAAAGACCTCGTCAACCTCCAGAAAGGAAAAAGTAACTCTTATTGCACTAGTGGAAATTGCAACCCATTAGAACTAATAATTGCTAACCCACTAGATCCCTTCTGGAAAACAGGGGAATATGTAACCCTAGGAATTGATGGGACCGGTCTTGATCCTGGAGTCCATATCTTGATATGAGGAGAAGTCCAAAAATGCTCTCCCCAACCAGTATTTCAAACTTTCTATGATGAACTAAATGTACCGGTACCAGAAATTCCAGGAAAAACTAGAAACTTGTTTTTGCAATTAGCCGAGCATGTAGCTTAGTCTCTTAATGTCACTTCATGTCATGTTTGTGGAAGAACTGTAATGGGAGATCAGTGGCCATGGGAAGCCCGAGAATTAGTGCCTACAGACCCAGTTCCCAATGAATTCCTGGCCCAAAAGAATCATCCTGATAACTTCTAGGTCCTAAAAACCTCAATAATTGGACAATATTGCATAGCTAGAGAAGGAAAAGAATTACCTACCCTGTAGGACAGCTCAGTTGTCTTGGGCAGAAACTGTATAATAGTGCTACCAAAACAGCCATTTGGTGGAGTTCAAACTTCACTGAAAACAATCTATTTAGTAAATTTCCAAAGTTGCTGACCATGTGGACCCACCTGGAGTCCCATTGGGATTAGACAGCTCTCACTGGATTATACTGGAGGTGTGGGCATAGAGTCTATGCTAAGCTGCCTGACCAATGGACAGGTAGTTGTGTTATTGTTACTATTAAACCATCTTTCTTCTACTGCCCATAAAAACAGGCGAACTTCCAGGCTTCCCTGTCTACGCTTCCTGCGAAAGGAGAAGCATAGCCATAGGTAATTGGAAAGATGATGAATGGCCCCCTGAAAGAATTATACAGTACTATGGGCCTGCTACGTGGGCACAAGACAGCTCATGGGGATACTGGACCCCCATTTACATGCTCAACTGAATCATATGGTTGCAAGCTGTCTTAGAAATCATCACTAATAAAACCGGCCAAGCCTTGACTTTACCAGCCTGACAAGAAACTCAGATGAGAAATGCTATCTACCAAAATAGACTGGCTTTCAACTACTTGCTGGCAGCTGAAGGAGGGGTCTGTGGAAAATTTAACCTTACTAATTGCTGTCTACACATAGATGATCAAGGGCAAGTAGTCGAAGACATAGTCAGAGACATGACAAAGCTGACACATGTGCCCATGCAAGTGTGGCACGGATTCGATCCTGGGGCTATGTTTGGAAAATGGTTCCCAGCGATAGGAGGATTTAAAACTCTTATAATAGGAATTATAGTAGTGATAGGAACCTGCCTGCTACTCCCTTGCTTGCTACCTGTACTCCTTCAAATGATAAAAAGCTTAATTGCTACCTTAGTTCACCAAAATGCTTTAGCACATGTGTACTATATGAATCACTATTGATCTGTCTTGCAGGAAGATATAGGTAGTGAGGATGAAAGTGAGAACTCCCACTAGAGAGTGAGGTTCTCAAAGCGGGGAATGAGAGAGGAAACCATTCCTCATATTGTCTTATACTTAATTTCTTGTTTACTGTAAAGGTAGAAGTTGAAAGAATAAGCAGCAGTGAAATTCATAGTCAGACAAACTGGCACCACATTTTGGGCATGATAATTAAAATTCAACCCCTGACCTCACCACTTGTGTTATCTATAGATTGCAGATATTGTTTGAGGAAGCATTGCGAAACTCCCTGTTCTGTTCTGTTTCGTTCTGATGACTAGTGCATGCAGCCCCCAGTCACGCACCCCTCGCTTGCTGAATCGATCACAACCACCCCCCCTCACACCGCCCCTTTAGAGTTGTGAGCCCTTAAAAGGGACAGAAATTACTTATTTGGAGAGCTCGGTTTCTAGGATGTGAGTCTGCTGATGCTCCCAGCTGAATAAAGGTTTTTCCTTCCTCAATCCAGTATCTGAGGGATTTTCTCTATGACTCCTCCTGCTACAATACAAATGTAATTATTTTGTAATTATTCATTGGCATATATATGCATGATCTGTATACATTTGGATATTGTATTAAATTACAATAAATAAATTTATTTTAAAAAGAATGGAATTTCTAGATTCAGCTCCGAAGGTAAAGAGTTTACAAGTCATCACTCCCAAATAAATTATGTTTCCTGAACCTTTCAGCCAATTGCAGTTGCAAGGCAAATAATCACCCTGGAATCTGGCTTTCCAGATTTAGAGCATTTGGCAGACACTGCTAAGATCTGATTACCTGGAGCAGAAGCTGCTAGGACCATAAAGTGACAACAACACTTGATTTTTGAAGATTTTCTAGAGGCTGAACTATGGGCTAGCTTAAAAGTGAGACTTTTATGGTGGCCACAGTCTTAGGAGGCCCCTACTCTTTTTTTTTGTTTGTTTGTTTTTGAGACGGAGTTTTGTTTTTATTGCCTGGGCTGCAGCACAATGGTGCAATCTCAGCTCACTACAACCTCCACCTCCCAGGTTCAATCGATTCTCCTGCCTCAGCCTCCTGAGTAGCTGGGACTGAAGACACCCACAACCACGCCCGGCCAGTTTTTGTATTTTTAATAGAGACAAGGTTTCAACACATTGGTCAGGCTGGTGTCAAACTCCTGACCTCAGGTGATCAACCTGCCTTGGCCTCCCAAAGTGCTGGGATTACAGGCATGAGACACCGCGCTCGGTCAGGAGGCCCGCTACTCTTTCCTGAGCTTTACCTCCAGGAACTCCATAAGGTCTTCAAAATGAAGATCCCAGAATGATTCCCTTTTGACGGGAAGAATAGTCATTGAGAGAGTCCTTCAGAAACCTCTGCATTACAAAAGCCGATTTTTCAGTAGAAAAGACTTTCCTAGATTCTTATCACAACGAAGGAAGAACATTCCTTCAACTGTAGCCTCCTCTTACTCTCCAGTTCCAGCTGAATGGGGAAAACAGCTATACCACTGGAAAAAGAGTTGTGAAGGTCTCACCCCAGACACACAGGCCCCATAAAATACTGAAATTAAATTATAAGATTCCCTTCCCACACCGCTGTCAGAGCAGCAGGGGTAGAATGGATCCTCATAATTTGGAGATTTTGTATTTGTTCATTTTCCTTCTTGCTAAAACATACTTGTAACCTCTAACTCAATCCTCTCGGAGCTTTTATAATCACATCCCATGCAGACATGCAGAGTGCTGAAAAATTTGAATCACCTGACATATATGTCCCAGCTGAGGTGGAACAAAGTAAGAGCTGAAACAAGAAGCTCTCATACTTTAAGCAAATGTCCTTTTTGTGGTCTAATTAGTGCTACATTTAAAAAATCGTTGGTGATTTTTGTTGTTATTGGTGATGGTGATCTCATTATTTAAAATGGCCCACAAGGGAAAAGATGAAGTGGTGTCTAGGGTTTCCAAGTAAATATAAAAAGGCTGTGATGTGCCTTATAGAAAAAAAATATGTGTTAGATTTGTTTCATTCAGGCATGAGTTATAGTACTGTTGGTTGTGAGTTCAATGTTATGCATCACAGTATGGTACAACCATAAAAAGAAAGAGGAAATTCACCAATCTGTACATGAGGCTTATCTAAAGAGTGCTAAAGTAACATCTACAGTGTGTGATAAAGCTATTGAAAATATGCAAAAGTGGCTAAGTGTGTGGATTCATGAGATAACAATAATAAAAAGAACATAATGGACAGCGTCGTTTTGAGGTCAAAAGCCAAAGAAATGAACAATCATGCTACGCAGGATGAGAGAAATGCTAAACCAGTCTTAGCAAGTACCAGATGACTCACACATTTCAAAAAATAATATAGCACAAAAATGTTAAACTTATAGGTGAGGCAGTTTCTGCAGAATACGAGGCTGCAAAGTAATTTTTTTTTAATCTGCTAAGTGTTACATGGGAAAAGGGTTATGTGAAAAACAGGTTTTCAACCTTGATGACAGTGGATTTCTTTTTAAGGATGATAGTAAATGGACCTATATAACACAAAAAGCATTTCAGTGGGTGAAAATGTGGTAAGAGGCTCAAGGGAATTTAACTCTGTGTTTCCTTTAGCAGCAATGGCACAGTATTTGTTAGAACATAAACTATGGTGAATAATGAGACATCCATCTGTATATTAATAGCAGATATGGCTGAAAGCGCTTCAAGAAACAGGCTGTTTATAAGGGAGGAGTGCTCATGAAAGTTAAAGGAAAAATAACAAAAACAATGATGCTGCACAATTGAATGTCTCTGATACTTGTTATATAGCAAATATTAAGTACAGTCAAATTCCTATCTAGATTAACACAAACTCTTTTGCTGACCTATCTACCTCAGTTTATATGACCTAATACATTATATTTGGCTTTCAACAAAAAATACCACAAGGTGAGAAAAAAACACACTAAGAAGAGATAAGGCAATCATCAGAACCAGACTCAGAGATGAAACAGATGGTGTATCAGACAAGAATTAAAAACACCTCTGATTAATGACTCCAGGGTTCTAACAGATGAAGTAGACATAGTGAAAAAACAGATGAATAATATATGAGAGAGAAGGAATAAAATAAATAATAAAAACTAGAAGAAAATTAATGAAAGTCAAAACAGAAAGATAACATAAAATATAAATGAAATCATAGGCTGGTTCTTGGCTGGTCAAGAAAATCAAAATAAAAAGATAGAAGACACAAATTATAAACATCAAAAATCAAAGATCACCTATCATTGCTTATTCCCATTAAAAAGATGATGAAGGGATACTAACGAACTCTGCCAAAATAGTAGAACTCAGTTGATACGGTTAAATTCCTTGAAAAACATCAACAACAAAACTACAGAATCTCTCACAAGGAGAAACAGCTAATTTTACTAGTGCTATATCTATTAAAGAAGTCACATCAATAGTTAAAAACGTTTTTAAAAAAGCACCAAACCTGGTAGTTTCACTGGTAAATTTTACCAAACATTTAGGAAAAAAGTGAATAAAGCATGACCAAGTGGGATATACCCAGCTATTCAAGCTGGTTCATCACTTGCAAATCAATCAATTCAATTCAATCCACCACATCTAAGTGTTAACAAAGAAAAACTCTATCTATCTATCTATCTATCTATCTATCTATCTATCTATCTATATAATATATTATAAATATATATTAGCTCATCAAGTGATGTAGAAAAAATATATATGTAATATATATATGATCATCAAATGATGCAGAAGAAGTATTTGGCAAGAGCTAACATCTATTATTAACAACAACAATAAAAAAACACTCTTGGGACACTAGAAACAGAGAAACTTCCTCATCTTGATAAAGAGCACCCCTCAAAACTCTACAGTTTATATTTAATGGTGAGAAACTGGTCTCCCTCCCCCTAAGATCAAGAACAAGGCAAGAATGTCTCACAGAACACTTATATTAAACATTGTATTGTAAATCTTTCCCAGCACAATAAGACAAGAAAATGAGATGAAAGATATACAAGTTGAAAATGAAGAAATAAAATTGCATCTATTCACAAATGACATGACTATCTGTAAAGTATCACAAAGAATCAACAGCAAAATCCTGGAACTAGGAGGCAACAGCAGCAAGACTACATGACACAAGGATGATATGCAAAAGTCAATTACTTCTTTATTAGCAAAAAATGATTGGAATTTGAAAAAAAAGTATCATTAATTAAATCAACCAAAAATGAAATATTTAAGTATAACACTAACAAATATGTATAGAATTGATACATAAAAAATTAGAAGACATTGATGCATTCAATCAAGGAAGTTCTAAATAAGTGGAGAGATATTCCATCTTCATTGTTTGAAAGACTCAATATTGTTAAGATGACCAATCTTACTAATGTAATTTATAGATTCAACACATATACCAATCTAAATGCAGGCAAGATATATTTTGCAGATCCTGACAAAGTTATTCTTAAATTTATATTGAGTAGCCAAAAATTACTGAAGAAAAAGAAAAAAATGTGGAGGAAATATAATATCCATTTTCAATACTTGCTATAAAGCTACAGTAACTAAAACAGTACCATATTGCAAAAGAACAGGCACACAGAATAATGGAACAGAATAGAGCCCAAAAACTGATCAATGCAAATGTAACAATGAAACTTTGACAAAGGAGCAAATGCAATTCAATGGCAAAAGGGCAGTTTTTCTTAATAAGTGGTGGTAGAACAATTCAAAGTTCAAATGCAAAAAAAGAATATGAACACAAACTTTACCTTTTCCAAAAGTTAACTCAAAATTAATCATAGATCTCATTGTTAAATAGAAAACCCTAAAAATTCTAGAATGAAACATTTGAGAGAAACTACGTGAACTTGATTTGGGTGACAATTTTCTAAATAAAACACCAAAAAATGCCCGTGAAAGAAAACAATTTAATCAGTTGACCTTTATTAAATTAATAACTTCTGCTCTGTGAAAGACAGAAAACAGTAACAAAAAAAGCAAAAAAAAAAAATCAAGACTGGGAGAAAATATTTGCAAACTACATATCCATTAAAGGCCTTGTATTTAAAAAATCAAATTAAACTTTAAGGAAATTTTTAAAATTTAATAATAACCCAACAAAAAGCCCAATTAAAAATAGGCAAGAATTCTGAAAACCCACATTTCCAAAGATGATATAAATATGATAAATAGGTATATGAAAAGAAGCTCAACAAAACTTACCATTAGAAATATGCACATCAAAATAAAAATGAGATATCACTATAAAATATTCTAATAGCAATTTTTAAGACTATACTAATTGCTCATAATATGTGGAACAACAGAAACTGAACTCTTATTCATCGTCGGTGGGAAGGCAGAATTGTACAGACACTTCAGTGGCCAGTTTGGCCATTTGTTATGAAGCCTAGCACAGCTTCACCATACAACTCAGAAAGCTAAGTGAAACAAGCAAGTCTGAAAGTCTACCTACTGTATGATTACAATAATAAGACATGTTGCAAAAGGTGAAACTATAAGGATGTGAACAGATCAGTGGCTTCCAGAGGATCAGATTGGGCAAGGTGGTTGAATAGGTGAATGGGAGTTTTTATAGTGGTAAAACTATTCTGTATGATCTTGTGTGGTGGTACATAATACTAGCATTTGTCAAAACCCATAGATGTTTAGAACAAAACAGCAAACCTTAATATATTCAAGATAAAAATAATTTAGGAGGTAAAGGATTCCAGGATGCAAAACAGACTGTGACCAAAGCATTAAACTATATTAGAGTTGTATTGTGGAACTTCAATGATGAGGTGGATGAAAATGGTGCTTTCTTAAGTAACTTTGGAAATGACTAAAGGCAAAATGACTAAGTAAGACTGAAGGCAAAAGTACTGCCTGTAAATACTGTACCCTAGTTGATAAAGATATTTCTCACTGTTGTATAAAACTAATAATACTGAGACCACCATATATATATGTGTATATGTAAATATAATGAGATCAAAGAATTAAGTTAATGGATAGCAGGTGGTGAAAACTGGTATCTCACTATAGGAGTTTAAAGTTACAGATAAGCAAGATGAGAAAGCTGAAATGATTGATATGGTAATGAATTAGGGCAATCAGTATGAGCTCAGTTTATTTTAATATAGATACAGATGATAGATGCGGACACTTTTTAAGATAGCTACCTAAATACAGGTTAGAATTTACCTGTATATTTCTTTACCCTGTCAGCTAACGAAGGGACCCCATTAAAAATGATTATAACTAGCACCATGGTCTTGGTTTCTAATACCATTCTCCAATAAAAGAAGATAGAGTCCCTTGGAAAAATAGCTAGTTCTAGAATTGGGGCACAAAACATATAATATAAGCCCAGAGGTTCTTTCTGTTCCACAAAGTAAAAAAGTACTAAAAACAACCAAACGATAACAATGGCCAAAGCTGGGACAGTTTGAGGAACAAAATAAAGTACTATTGGATAACAGCTCAAAGTATATTCATCAATCCATACTAATATAAATAAATGATTGGATAAAAATAAATGAGGAGAAATAGAAAAAAATTATGTTGAGTTTCAAATAATTTATGTAGAATCTTTACCCTGAATCTGGTGGAATATAACCCGCCAACACACACTTGTTGAAGGGGGCTGTATACGGTGACTTTCTTTCAAGGAGTATAGTATCAAAAGGGAATCTGGAAAGAGTAAGTTAATGGTGGATAATCCAGACAAACACTTCAGCAGGGTAATCAAGTTAAAAATTAACAGTAATGACATTTTGGGAGGCCAAGGCGGGCGGATCATGAGGTCAGGAGATCGAGACCATCCTGGCTAACACGGTGAAACCCCATCTCTTCTAAAAATACAAAAAATTAGCTGGGCATGGTGGTGGGCACCTGTAGTCCCAGCTACTTGGGAGGCTGAGGCAGGAGAATGGCATAAACCCGGGAAGCGGAGCTTGCAGTGAGCCGAGATCCCGCCACTGTACTCCAGCCTGGGGGACAGAGCAAGACTCCACCTCAAAAAAAAAAAAAAAAAAAAAAAAAAATTAACAGTAATGAGTCATTCTAATAATATATTTGTGCATCCTCAATATCCATGATGAGAATGGCACTTTACCTCCATGGTTTTCTGCCTAAAATTCCATAACACTAATCTGATCATGACAAAAATATGAGACAGGTCACAAGTGAGGGACATTCTAAAGCTGCCTGACCAGTACTTCTTAAATGTCAAAATCATCAAAATCACAGAAAGTCTGTGCAACTGTCACAGCCTATGAAAACATCAGACATGCCTTAGTATCACTTCTGCCATACTCGATTACAGTCACAGCAGTTAAAAGTCTGCCCAGATTCAATGGGAGGAAGCATATACCCTAACACTAACCAGGAGGAGTGTCAAAGACTCTACTGCTATTTTTTTAAACATCCACACCTACATATGCTCTCTGATTCTTCATCAGCTTCTATACTTTTTTGTGTGTTCTGCAGCAATGAAGTGTGCAGTTTTCTGCTTTCCTCTGGATCTCTCTTCCAATATATACTTATCCTTTTCTAATATATTCTTATCCTTTTCCTCAACCAGCTGCCTTTTGTTATTCTTTTTTAACACAACTCAAAAGACTGTCAGTGGTCATTGCACATCATTTCATCTCAAAATAAGATACACTATGCCCTATAAGAGAAATCCCCCCTTTATTACTTTTTGAGAGAGTTTATGACCAAGGACAGCTTTATCTAAAACCACTCAATTCGTGAGTCAATGACCAGAACTACCTTGAACAAGACCCGGAAAGGGTGATAGAATGCGGAATGGAGTAATTTTATTGTTTCTCTTATCAAAGGAGATCTTTGTGTTTCTGTGAGTCTTTCTAGAATGCTTTAACTATATACTATATAAATCTTTTAGCAGCTTCGTCAAACTTTTGGTTTATGACAGCAAATCAACAAAAAATAAATGTCTTGCTTTAAAAAGTTTTATGAGCACAAGTCAAAGGCCATTTAACTAAAACAATATTGAAAACAATAAAATGTAAAGCAGAACAATCTATTTAATATCTTTTTTTTTGGATTGACAAAGATATTCCACATTTGAATAATCTATAGACAAAGAAATGTATTTGAGGTAATGTTAGCACAACTATTTTTTTGGCTTTCGAAAGAAAATGAAGGATCCAATATTGTATTTTATATTAAAATAAAACCAATCTCCTTAACAAAGGGAATAATTATCTTAAAGAGGACTTTAAGTGATTTTTTTTTCAAAACTTCAAGTTAAGAATAAATTAGAACTATTCTCTATTCCTATTGAAATGATATCATAAAAACCTTACTCTTCAAAAATTTAATTAAACTAAATTGGACATTTGCCATAAAATAGATACTACAATAATCAGTTCATTTTCACTTTTCATATTAGAAGTCTCAAAAAACCCAGGAGATAGCTATTATAATCTTCATTTTGCAGATCATATTACTAAGCCTTAAGGGTTTAAATAACTTAACTGGTATGGTGTATCAATAAGGATAGAAGAAGAAATTATATCTATCATAGTCCAAAACGGTGGAAAAAAAACAACAACAAAAACAAAACACCTGGCTGGGCACGGTGGCTCATAGCTGTAATCCCAGCACTTTGAGAGACCAAAGCAGGTGGATCACCTGAGGTCAGGAGTTCGAGACCAGCCTGATGAACATGGAGAAACCCCATCTCTACTAAAAATACAAAATTAGCCAGATGTGGTGCATGCCTGTAATCCCAGCTACATGGGGGCTGAGGCAGGAGAATTGCTTGAACCTGGGAGGCGGAGGTGGCGGTGAGCCGAGATCACACCATTGCACTCTAGCCTGAGCAACAAGAGTGAAACTCCGTCTCAAAAAAAAAAACAAAAAAAACACAAAAAACCAATAAAACACCTAAGAGTAGATATTTTAGATGTTTGACCAAACTGGTAGGTAAGAGAGACTCAAATTTTATTATAATTTTATTTGGATAAATAAGGAAATGTGACTTTTCTTATATACAGTTATTAGAAGATCAAACAGATTGCATAAAAGTAAAGATACTAAAGTTCAAAAAGTTTAATTAATTTGCTGAGTACACATATATCTTGTTAGTTGCTAGGCCAAAACTGGACCCAAATCTCATTTCTCCCATGCTGCAAAACTCTTAACTGTTTTCTTTATCATAATATTCTATTCATGTGGAATTTACATCACGCTCCTTATACAATCACTATAAAACTTATCTATGGCCCATCTAGATCTCCCCTACTCCGCAGGTCATTTCTGTAATTCTACATATAAAAGTGACTTTCAAGAACACTTATTCATAATACCATCTGATAGTGTGTTTACAGTAATTTGCTCTGTATTATTCTAACTAATTAACATAGTGACATATCTTTTATAAGCTTGATAATTTTAGTAAGCTACAGGCTAAATATCACCAGCTTTTTTTTTTTTTAATCAGTGTGCCTTGTCTATGGAAGCTTGTTAATGCAAACTAACAATTTGGGGATAGGAAGTAATCTTAAATTTCAGTTAAAACTGGCAAAAATTGTCTCAAGTAAAATATGCATTAGTTCCTAGAAACAAAACCCTACCCCAAGACCAAAATATATTTCCTCAAGAATAATAAGCTTTATTACACAATGTTATTAAAGATTTTTTTTAGAAATGAAAGTGTGCTTCTATGTGCCCTTTAGTTCTGCCTTTAAAATGTATTCAATATATTTATTTTATGTATTGTAACAATAGTATTAATTACATTAAATTAGGAATCATATATTTTGGACTTATTTCTAAAAGTATGCTTTTTGTTGTCATTGTAATTAAATTTTAAAAACACAGATTGTTTATTTAATGGATATTTTCTTGCCAGAATTCTTTTGCTTAAGGATTGCACTGAGAACAAGATGTGAGCAACTTTCATCTAGTGCAAATATTATCTCACGACCACTACTGAAACTCTTCTCGAGTTAGTTTTGTGTTTCAGACAGATAAACCTATAAACAGATGAATAGATCATTTAATTATCTAGCTTATCTGCCGCACTAAGATCTTACTACATAATTCGTTTAAATTGGTACACATATGATGTCAGGCACTACCAAAACAAAATACCTAATTTAAATATATTAGAATAATAAAACATATTATATCCTTTCATTACCATTCTCAATTGGAAAAAATGATTTAGTGTTTTATTTGCATTTATGGAAAACAATGCTTGGGAAAAATTAAGGAATGCAGACAATCACTTTACATGTGCAAGGTTAATGCAGTGTATTATTTTCTTAAAATATATTTTTTGGATTAAGCAAGTCTATTTGCCAAAGTTCAATGTTGTTTTGTTACACACACACATAGACACACACCACATGCGCACACACACACACACACACAAAGTTTTGACAATATTTCCACTAGCAGGTGTTTCTGTATCAACAATACAACCTTTGAAATTTACATGACTCAAATATTATTTGATGTTTAGTATTGTTTTATTCCAGATTATAGCACCGCATCCCTGCTAATCCCTGAAAGACTTGGTAGTCATAGTGATGGTTGGAGGATAGCTCTAAGCTGTTTAAATCATCCCAAAATCTGTGTTTTTTCTTTCTGTCCAATTTGACTGATGTCTTGCTCCTTGCTTCTATTTGCATATGGAGCTCAGTCACTTTCCTCACATTCTTTAAAACTACATAGAGGGTTAATAAGCACATACTTCATCTTGCACCATACAGTAAATAAGGTGATAAGGTTTTGTTCTGTAGAAGCTTTACTGAAGTCACAGATAATGAAAATTTTAATTACAACACAACAGAAAATATAACATAAAATTGGGTGTTTTGATGCTCTACAATCATTTTCAATCCACTATTTTTATCCTCCCACAACATTATCACTTCTTTCTGCAAAAACAAATTACCTCCACTACCAGTGTGATTTCCCCTAAAAAAATTCTTTTGAAAAATAAACTAAATAGGGCAGGGAACAGTGGCTCACGCCTGTAATCCCAGCACTTTGGGAGGCCAAGGCAGGCAGATCACCAGGTCAGGAGATCGAGACCATCCTGGCTAACACGGTGAAACCCCATCTCTACTAAAAATACAAAAAATTAGCCAGGCGTGGTGGCGGGCACCTGTAGTCCCAGCTACTCGGGAGGCTGAGGCAGGAGAATGGTGTGAACCCGGGAGGCGGAGCTTGCAGTGAGCCGAGATCACGCCACTGCACTCCAGCCTGGGCGACAGAGCGAGACTCCATCTCAGAAAAATAAATAAATAAATAAACTAAATAGAAATGAATAGGAAGTGTGATGGTTAATACTGAGTGTCAACTTGATTGGATTGAAGGATGCAAAGTATTGCTCCTTGGTGTGTCTTTGAGGATGTTGCCAAAGGAGATTAACATTTGAGTCAGTGGGGTGGGGAAGGCAGACCCACCCTTAATCTGGAGGGCACAATCTAATCAGCTGCCAGCGAATATAAAGAAGGCAGAAAAACTTGAAATGGTGAGACTGGCCTAGCCTCCCAGTCTACATCTTTCTCCCATGCTGGATGCTTCCTGCCCTCCAACATCAGACTCCAAGGTCTTCAGTCTCAAGACTCAAACTGGCTCTCTTTGCTCCTCAAGCTTGCAGACAGACTATTGTGGGGCCTTGTGATTGTGTAAGTTAATGCTTAATAAACTCCTTTATATCTCTCATCTATTTATCTATGTATGTATGTATGTATGCATGCATCTATCTATCTATCTATCTATCTATCTATCTATCTATCTATCTATCTATCCTATTAGATCTGTCTCTCTAGGGAACCCTGACTAATACAGAAAGCTTCCATTTTCCTAAACAAAGCAGTTCAGCTCTGAAGAAAATACTCTGTGCTTGCTGTTTCCATTCACATATTGCCTAGGTCCAATTTTTTTCCACACTTTGATAGGCTATCGGGTGTTTCCCTAAAAAAGCAATGTTCCTCCATTAATAGATCCCAGCTTTTAAAATACTTTAAAAATGCTTTTCTCCATTGTTTGTATTGAAGAGTACATTATATCTGTGACTATATTGATGGTTAAATTAAGTATATTGTTTCAATAAAATTTATAAAGAAAGCATTAGTCACAGGATCCATTTCTTTAAAATACAACTAAATTTAATCCCACTATTAGTGATTAAACATGATGCCTACTTTAATTGATTTGTCTGGGTTTGCTGAATCTTCAAATATTTCAACTAAATTTTTTCATGTATATCGAAATATATCTATATGTTCGTAGATGGAAGCCAACAGGTTTTGATTCACCAAATAGTATTTTAAGGAAGAAAGAAATGGCTTAAATCCCTACTCTTGGTATGGAAAAATGTGGAAGTGTGTATTTTAACATCGAAATCAAAGGAGTACTCTGAGTTGAATGAGAAACAAAGTATAATATATATTCTTTCTTGCATTTTAGCACAGCATCCTTTTTACACAACATATTTGACTACCTGTGATTTATGCAGCACAATAGCTTTCTTATGACACTTACGTTAATCTTTTTTCCCCTTTCCATTACCTGAACATATCAGTATGTTTTCTTGTTGAAATAATTTGGAGTAGTAATTTGCAAATTTCTTCTGACAGCCCTTAAGGTACAATAAATTTCTCAAATCAGTAGGAGCTCTTGAAATGTGTTTTCAATATCTCTGCTGCAAATGAAACTAGCGAGTTACAAATGTGCAAGTGCACAGAAAATCAGAAAGAATGAATTTTTCACTTATACCGAATTGGATGTTTCCTTAATTATTTGTAACCTAGGGCCGTAAAAAAGTTTCTCATTTTAGAATTTGGTTTTACAACCAGGATTTTTTGTTTATATGACTGTACTATATTTAATGAATTTGAATCCATAAAAAAACAGGACAAACTTGACCCCAATATATACCATTTCTTTCAATAAATTATAAGATTTTACATACATATAATATTAAATCAATATGTAAAACAATTTTACTGAATACCCATGGGATAGAATAACAAAAATATTTAGTCTAATATAAATTTTCACAGGTATTAAAGATTTACTTCTGTGACTGATGATGACGATGGCAAGAGCAGGTGGCAGAGAGTCTAATTGCTGCAGAGTTTCTCCATGATAAAATATTTTATATCCTCTATATCTTTAAAATTCTACCATTATGATAGATTTTATTTTTGATGTTTTAAAAAGCATTATAATATTTCACATTCATGACAAGTGCACTTTTGCCTCCAGGGCAGTATGCTGTAATTAAACTGAAGGTCCTGAAGACAGACCACTGGAGTGCAAATCCTTGCTTTTTACTAATTAACTTGGGCAAGTGACTTGGTTTATTTAAAATGCAAAAAACTATTTCTAAGATTGGCAGCACACACAAGAAAATCCAATATAACAGTGTCTTAAATACTGGCTACTTTTCTCTCACGAAGATTAATTCTAATGGCCAACGATTCTGAATTTCTAGGAAGACTTGATTAAGTCAACAAAAATTTAGTCTCCTATATGTCTATCTCTACTGCCATCTTCAGGTTTCCATCCTCAATGCTATATGATGGGAACTGGAGCTCTAATAATGATGGTTACATCTTCATTTCAGGGTGCATAAAGGTAGAAAAGGGAAGGACAGGGACTATAACCTAGTTTAGCCATTTGTTTCCTTAAAGAAACTTCCAGTTGGGCGCAGTGGCTACACCTGTAATCTGAGCACTTTGGGAGGCTGAGGCGGGCAGATCACGAGATCAGGAGATCGAGACCATCCTGGTTAACACGGTGAAACCCCATCTCTACTAAAAATACAAAAACAAAATTAGCCAGCTGTGGTGGCGGGCGCCTGTAGTCCTAGCTACTCGGGAGGCTGAGGCAGGAGAATGGCGTGAACCCGGGAGGCGGAGCGTGCAGTGAACTGAAAACGCACCACTGCACTCCAGCCTGGGCAACAGAGTGAGACTCTGTCTCAAATAAATAAATAAATAAATAAATAAAAATACAAAAGGAAAAAAAAAGGAACTTCTAAGTAATTTCCAGCTTTCATTTATATCTCATTGGCCCAAACTTATTCACTTGACTATAGTTAGCTTCTGCTCCATTTATTATCACTGATTAATCACCTCAAACTTTGTAGAATAAAAGAACTACCATTTTGTTATGTTTGCAGGAATTTAGAAAGGATGTGGAAATAATGGCTTGTCTCTACTCCAAAATGATTAATGCCTCAGCTAGACAGACTGAAAAGCTAGGAGTAACTTAACGGATGTAGGCTGAAATAGTCTGAAGTCATCCTCATTGATGTGTCTTAGGAGTAAACATCCAACATAAAGCACAGAAGCTGAGTTCTTTGCTAACCTAGACTTGAACATCACACGGTATAATTTGAATGCAGCCTCTTCCTGCACGCATACATAAACCTTTGCAGATTAAAGAGGAGTAGTGGCATATTTCCAGAAAATCATATTTTGTAGGAGATACTGTTTGTCATCTTTGGAAAATTCAATCACCTGTCTTTACAACTGATTCTCAGAAAATCTAATCCTTTGTCTGGGTGCATTTTACCCCTGTAAAAATTGTGGTTTGGCTGCCTCTATAAAGATGAAAGGTTATTCAGCAGAGGTCTTTGAATGACCTCTGTTAGTCCATCTATAAAATAAGCAATATAATAGTATCCACCTCTAAAAGTTATTATCAACTGTAAGTGAAATATTGCCAGTTATCACTTTGGGGACGTTGTAAAGAAATATGATGACCTCTGAGGATTCCCCACAGCCTGGTGCTTTACTCCACGTGGATTCCCCATTGCTCAGGATACTTTCAATGTATTATCATAAATTATTGATTCCCAGCAATTTCATATCATGGCTCACACAGAAAACATAATAATCCGTGACAAAAATTGATGTGTCAAAGGTTGCTCACAGCCTGAGTTGCCAGAACAAAGAGCTCTGGGTCACATAGGCCCAACTCAGTTCACCTGTCTGCTGAGGAAATCAATAACTCTGCAAAACTTTAGCACACTCTCCACTGTTATCAACCTTTGCTGGGCCAAGAACCTCTATCTTGTAAGCTACTTCATATAATTTTCCCTTCTCCCTGGAAGTTAATGAGCTACTCCATCAGATGAAAGATTTAAATTTTAACCAGAAATTTATGTAATCCTGAAAGCACTTCAAGGTTTTGTGTCACTAAACTCTAGTTAAGTTTGAATCTATATTCCATTTCCAATGAACATCATTTTGCTTCCCTAAGATTTAATTCTTCTGGGTTGGGTAGGATTAGGTCTTTACAGTTCTGTAGAAATCCCTTAAAGTAAGTATCACATTTTCTTTACTGAATTGGTTTTTTCTTTCAAAGAATTTGCTGCATCTCTTATGTGTCCAGCTCTTTCCATTAACTGTCATAGAGAAGCCCACATTTAACGAGATTCTACATTAAACATTCTATTCTAAGCAGCTATTTTCCTCTAACATAAGTTTCCTTACTAAGAGGAATTTTGGCTCCAGTTATTCTGTTACCTGTAATACTTTACAGAGAAATTTTTTGAATGAGAACAAGTTGTGTCAGGTGGAAAATCACCATTTTGCAATGGTAATCTTCAGGAAAATATGAGGCAAGCTATCACGGAGCTCCTGGAGTTGAAAGTCACACACATCTCCTTAAGATTTTGAATTACATTGTCTACTGAATCAATTTAAAGAATAATATAAATCAATAGCAAAGAAATGGGATAGGTTAACACAGTTAGAATAGGGCACATGTTGGGTGGAATGACCACAATGTACCCTGAGTTACACAATATTCATATGTCCTGTGTCTCTTACTCTCTCTCTGCCACAACATCCTTCTCTGTTGATAATGTGGTTATGAGAATCAAAGGTGAGATTTGAGCAAGGGGATTCAGCACAAAGAGGATGCCTGGAGCCAAGTATACTAGCTCTATTGGAAGGATGTGCAGCCAGTATGCCTGTTCAGTAAATATACCTTGCCTGTGATTTGCAGAGCAGCCATGCTTATTAACCACATTTCTGCAGTAGAGCACACAGGAGTTCCACATTGGATCATAATAAATGTCACCAATGGGTGAGTGATTTAGGGATAATTTCACTGTCAAACTGAAGGGGGTATGATTTGTGCTTATTAATATTTTAGATTTACTGGTTCCTTCCATCCCTTTCTATCCATAATAGAACTCTTGCTTTTGCCTTTATCTACACCATTTATTCTATTTATCTTTTACTTTATATTATACTTTGCTAACTTATTCGTAACAATTTTATGGATTCTTCCTTTGTCTCATAAGCTATTTGCTTGCTCACTCTGTATGCTTAATACATCCTATGATTTTTACCCATTCTACTATTTTTCATCATCTTTAGCAGAATTGTATATTCTTAAATAATAGAGCACATTGCACTTTGATAATACAACTGTTTGAAACTCTGGCTATGTTTAATGAGGTAGAACATAGACACCACAAGGATTCTGAACTCTAGATTGCTCACATTCCATTCTGAAACTCATCAGCACTCATCTTGTTTCAGTTGCCATTGAAACCCCGTGTAATTACTTTTCAGTGACTGGTGTTAGGGATAATTTGTGTTCTGCAAGGACACTTCTCTGGTTTCTGGTCAAATAGCTCCTTTAAAAAAATTTTTCTTGCCCTATTGTGAAGTTTTCAAGAAGATTCAGACATCCCCCAAGGTAGTCTATAATTCCAGATGACCAGTAGCTCTTGGAAGAAGACTAATTTCCAAGAAGACATTAGAGAAAATACAAACATCTTTTTTTGCCAGAGACAATTCATTTATTCTAATACATTTGTTGATTATTACTGTGACCCATGTACTCTTGTAGGTGTTTAGCATAGTTCGATGAATAAAGAAGCCCCTGTACTTCAATAGGTAGAGACAGAATTGATGCATGCCTGTCAGATCTCCATTTGTGAGGGATGTAATTAACTGCCAATTACAGATATTATGCTCTAAAATTAGTCATTTGTGCCAAGGGAATGCTTTCTGTTGTTTCTCTGTGCCAACGATTGAATAAGGCAAGGGTGTTAAAGGTGATCTCATTCAGGAGGGTGATATGGTTCTTCTTTGATGGGACATTTTGATGCAAGAACTTTACAATAGCCTTGTCAAGTCTCTTAGGTCTGTATAGCAGGCTAAGTTGCTTCATCCTTTACTTTGTTCTTTTTATCCTTTGCCCAGGGCCAACTGGCATCAAGGTCTGACAACTTTTCAGACTCCCCCAGTTCCCTTCTGTTATCCCTCCAAGACATTGTCCCCGGCAGGTCTCTTGCATGAGTAATTTCATCTTGTCTGCATCTCAGAGAAGCTAGATTAACTCATAGAACAATGGAAATAAACAATGAAATATATGTAATATGTTACTTCTTGATAAGATCTATGGAGAAAAAATGTGAAACAGGAAAATAGAGATAAATAAAAGGTAAGTGGAATTGCTGTTTTATAGTATTTGGGCAGTGGAGGTTATAGACCTCAGGAGGTGAAGCAGCAAATATGCAGTTACCCCAGGAGGGTTGCATTCCTGACCCTAGACCAAGCCTGTCCAACCTGTGGTTCACAGGCTACATGTAGCCCGGGATGGCTTTGAATGTGACCCTACACAAATTCTTGAACTTTCTTAAAACATTATGAGGTGTTTTTTTTGCAATTTTTTTCACAATTTTTTTTTTTTTTTTTTTTAGCTCATCAGCTATCATTAGGAATGTTAGTGTATTTTATGTGTGGCCTAAGACAATTCTACTTCAATGTGGCCCATGGAAGCCAAAAGATTGGACACTCCTGCCCTAGACTTTGCATCTTAATCTTTGGGTATTGCTGTGATACACCAAATTAGGGGCAACATCTAGAGGAATAAAGACAATATATTTTTTTCCTATTCGTGGATACATTTATCCTATTCATATTACCCCATGGTGAAGAAGGGCCATTGAACAATATGGATCAAAGCTAAATAAAAGCACCAAATTCACATAGCCTTAGAGAGAATCAAAGAAGAGATATCTAATAGAGGGTAATGAAATTATGTAAGACAATATTGTAAGTTGTCTTCTAGATACTGTGATTAGAGTTAGGAAACTTTATTGAGACCATAGTAACTTATGATAAATGAAGTCACTGGAAATGATTTAGTTTGCATACAAATAGATGGGCTAGTCTGTTCACAATGGGGGTGTTGCTTACTTAGGTATACAAATAAAAGATTTCTCCTTTAAGTCAGAGGTAGACTATCAAGATATTGAAACCTGGATCTACTATGTAGATAAGTTACTTAATTGATTTTGTTCTTATTTTTCTCATTTATATAAAAATTGAATTTATTTTAAGTGATTAGACAGTACTTGTAAAGAATTTAGAACTGTACCTGGCATATTATAAGAGCTAAACAACTATTAAACCAAGTGAATTTTAAACAACCATGGAAAAAAAGATATCTCAGCAATTCCAAAAGCATTGAAAATTATTGTTTATTAAAGAGCTATAGTTAGGAGTATGCAACAGATTCTTTAGTTGAATTTAATAACAAAGATTGATTCAATTATTGATGAAGTTCTATTTTCACTTATGAGAAACTCTGAGAAGTATTTTATGGTATATTTGTTTCCTTTGACTTTTATTTTTTTGAGATGTCACTGAAATCATATTGACTTAAGTACTGTGTGGATGGCATTATGTTTGCAATAAAATAAAATAAGACAGTTTTTATTAACTACATGAGTCATAGTGATAAAAGAGCATGAGTATCCAGCATTTTAATTTCTCATTAGTCATTCACAGAAACATTACTTTTATGAAGTCCTCAAATAAAATAGCTCCTAAAAATAGTTATAACCAAGAAAGGGGACTTGTAAAGTGGAAAAAGTATAAGTTACTTGAGTTACCTCTTCAGTACAAGGTTATCTTGAATATATATTTATAGCTTGAGAAGCAAAGATAATTTGAATTGAATAAATATTGCCACTACTAATTTGAAGTATTAAAAAAAGAAATTAAAATTTAGCATTATTTATCCTTTGCAACATCCTTGCTATAATATCGAAGAAATTTTAATAAAAAAAGAGCCATTACACTGTGGCACAATTTAGCCTCTATTTATGGCCATGGACAGATAGCCTATTCTTTTACTAATTCCACATTGTCTTAAATATTGTGGTTTTACAGTAAGTCTTAAATTCTAGTAGAACTTTGCTCTCCTTCAGTAATAAGTTGGCTACTCTGGGTCTTTTGCCATTCATATTTTTTTTCTTTTTCTCTTTTTCTTTTCCTTTTTCTTTTCTTTTTTTTTTTTTTTTCCTGGAGTATAGTGTTTTTATTTTTGGAGGAGATGAAGTCTCACACACTCTTGCCCTGGATAGTCTCGAACTTCTGTACTAACGCAATCCTCCCACCTTGGCCTCTCAAAGTGCTGGGATTACAGGCATGAGCCACTGCACCTGTCCCAGTTCATTTTTAAATTGTTTACACAAAAAGTGTCAATTCCCAAGGAGGCGGGGAAACCTGAGAGTCATTTAGTTCATTATTAATGAACACACCATATCTACACTTAATAACTCAAAAACAACCCGCCAAAAGAAAAAAAAAACGCTTTAAGTTTTGCTATGGAGAGTCCATTCTGCAAAAACACAAACTGTGCCCGTAAGTAAAGGCTAAATTGTGCCATATTGTGATGGCTCTTTTTTTTTATTAGGCAACTACATCAATAGAACAGAATATTAATCTATAAACTGACCCACATAAACATAGTCAACTCATCTTTGATAAAGGAGCAAAGATAATTCAATGAAGAAAAAATAATCTTTTCAACAAGTGGTGCTGGCACAACTGGGCATCCACATGAAAAACATAATAATCTGGAAACGCTTCACAAAAATGAGCTCAAAATGGAACATAGATCTAAATGTAAAACCAAAAATGTAAAACTTCTGAAATATAACATAAGAGAAAATCTAGATGAGCTGGGGTATGGGAATGACTTTTTAGATATAATATTAGAGGCACAATCTGTAAAATAAATCACTGACAATCTGAACTTAATTAAAATAAAAACTGCTCAGGAAATGAAATGTTAAGAAAATGAAAAGAACAGCCACAGACTGGAAAAAATATTTGCAAAAGACTCATCTGATAAACGACTGTTTTCCAAAAATCTACAAGCAACTTTTAAAACTTAACAAGAACAGGAACAAAGATGTTAATAAATGGACAAAAGACCCAAATAGATGTCTCATCAAAGAAGGAATATGATGGAAAATAAGAATATGAAAAGATCTTCAACATCATATATCATTAGAGTATGGCAAAGTAAAACAACCATCAGATATCATTTTATGCCTATTAGAATGGCCAAAATCCAGAACACAATACCAAATGCTGATGAGGATGCAGAGTAATAGGAACTCTCATTCATTGCTGGTGGAAATGAAAAATGCTATAGAAAGTTTGGAGAATAATTTGTATAATTTGGCAGTTTACAAAATTAGACACAATCTTACCAATACAATCTAGCAATAGCTCTACTTAGTATTTACTCAAATGAGTTAAAAACTATGCTCACACATAAACCTCCATAGGGACATTTATGAACACTTTTTCATAATTGTTGAAACTTGGAGGCAACTAAGATTCCTTTGGTAGCTGAACAAACTGCTACAAATAAACTGGCACACCCAGACAATGGATTATTTTTCAGCACTAAAAAGAAACGAGCTAACAAGCCATGCAGAGATATGGAGGAATCTTTAATGCAAATTACTAAGTGAAATAACGCAATCAGAAAAGGCTACATGCTGTATGATTCAAATGATATGACAATCTAGAAAAGGAAAAACTGTGGAGACAGTAAGAAACTCAGTGGTTTCAGGGGAAAAGAGGAGCCGTGAACAGGCAGAGCAGAGAGGATTTTAGGACAGTGCAACTACTCTGTATGGTTCTACAGCGGTGCATACTCATCATTATACATTTGATGAAAAAAAAACATTGACTATGCAACACCAAGAGTAAACACTAGTGTAAATGATGGACTATGTATGATAATGATGTGTTAATGTAGGTTGATCAACAGTAACAAATTCACTCCTGTTGTGCTGAATGTAGATGATGAAGTTTGTGAATGTGAAGGAGCAAGTCTTATATAGGAATTATCTGTATTTTCCACCCAGTTTTGCTGTGAAACTTAAAGTGTTCTAAAAAAATAAATTATATTTTTTAAAAAAGATCCGATCTCTCATCTGTAATTTCTAAGTCCCAAAGGAAACTGTTGTTTTTATATGAGTAGGAAAATGATGCACTCTCATAATTATATAATGATTTTCTTGTAAAAACTGTCAAATATCAATGAAAGCAATAATCTATGTCTTTCAACTTTTAATAAAATGGATCAACCGCAGCAAGATGGATGAGAAACAAAGAAAAAATATTTAAATATATTGTATTAGAAATATTAAAATGAGACACTTATGCACATATCCTACACAAATCATTTTTATAAAGGCACATTTTGTGGTGGATATACCCTAATGAGCCACACCTTTGAAAAGTCTTCTCCCCTGATGTCAAGTAGAAGCAGTCACTTCTAGCTAGCAGAATAGGGCAAAGGCAAGAGAATGTTGCAAATGTAACCAAAGTCCCAAATCAGTGGATTCTGAGTTAATCAAGAGGAGATTATATTGGATGGGTCCAATTCAAACAGGTTAAAGTTCTTAAAAGAGGGATTGCAGCCCTCCTAAGGTGAAAGATCCTCTATCCTACAGTTGCATTGAAAAAGCAAGCTGCCGTAAGTTATTCATCAATAAGAAAGTGAATTTTGCCACCAACCCAAGAAACCTGAAAGCTTAACTTCCCCCAGTTAGACCTCTTTTGACAATATGCCTCCGCACATACCTTGACCACAGCCTTTGGACACCCTGAGCAGAGGAACCAGGTAAAGCATATACAGACTCCTGGTTGATGGAAGCTGTAAGATAAGAAAATGTGTGATGTTTTAACCTAGTAAGTTTCTGGTAATTTGTTATGCAGCTGCAGCAAACTAATACAATTATTAAGAGTATAAGAGTGATTTATGAATAATAAAAAAAAATTCCAACAAAAAAATAGCCTTTCAAAAACCAAATCTATAGTCTAAACTTTTCCCCTGACAATGTACATGTTCCACATATTATTAAAATCTAATTTTAGGGAAATAGATGGGATAGAGATAGTCTTATTTGTTATATAGAAAACTATGTATTATTTACAAAATAAAAATTTAAAGCTTACACTAGTACAATTTACCCTAGGAATGCAAAATAGGTTAATATTTTTAAGTTATCATTTAAAATCTCCACATTAATTGATTATAGGAAAAAAAAAAGAAAAACTCTCAGTAGATCCAGAAAACGCATCTAAGAAAAACGTACCAAATGTGATAGATTATAGCAGCTTGATAAACTTCTCAAAAATCCAAGCAAAATCATCCTTAAAGAAGGGAAATGCAGTCATTTTCCTACTATACGCAAAGTGCTAGCTTGCCCACTAATGTAACTAATAATCTACAGGATACTGGAAGTCTTACCTGAAGAAATACAACAAAACAATTGAGTAACAGAAAGTAGAAAATGAAAAGAAAATGGTAAAGTTTTAATATAAATCTCATAATGATGCAGAAACTAAAAGAAAATCAATCTTTAAACTAAGATGTATTTAGCAGAGTAATTGTATCAAAATATAAAAGTAGTAGCATTTCAATGAATCAACAATAACAAATAATTAGTATGTTTTAAAATATGAAAGGAAACATTTAATTCGATGAATATATTCATATATTATATGAAGCTACAAAAAGTTTTCAAAACTTAATGGATAAATTTGTTAAATGTTTTTGAATATTAGATTTGACTCTTAAAATTTTAAAACCTGTGATGTCAAAAGCTCAATAATCTTTTGACCATTTATTAATCAAATTATTAGATTTTTTTAATATTGAGTAATTTTAGCTTCCTTTGTATTCTGGGTATTAATCCCTTGTCAGATGAATAGTCTGCAAATATTTTCTCCCATTCTGTTTGTTGTCTGTTAACTTTGTTGATTATTTCCTTTGCTGTGTAGCTTTTTAACTTGATGTGATCTCATTTGTCCATTTTTGTATTTCCTGTGCTTGTGGAATATTATTTGAAAAATATTTGCCCACTCTAATACCTTGGAGAGTTTCCCTAAAGTTTTCTTTTAGTAATTTTATAGTTTGAGGTTTTAGATTTAAGTCTTATTCCATTTTTATTTGGTTTTTGTATATGGCGAGAGAAAGGGGTCTAGTTTCATCAATATACATTTCTCAAAAGAAGACATGCAAATGGCAAACAGTGTATGAAAAGGTGCTCAACATCACTGATCATCAGAGAAACGCAAATCAAAACTACGATGAGGCTGGATGTGCTGGCCCACACTTGTAATCCCAGCACTTTGGGAGACTGAAGCAGGTGGATTGCTTGAGCTCAACAGTTCAAGACCAGTCTGAGCAACATGGTGAAACCCTGTCTCTACAAAAAAAAAAAAAAAACAATAATTAGTGGGGCATGATGGTGTGCACCTGTAGTCCCAGATACTTGTGGGGCTGAAGTGGGAGAATCATCTGAACCCAGGAAATCAAGGCTGCAAGGGAGCCCATGATTGTTCCACTATGCTCCAACCTGCCCTACAGAGTGAAACCCTGTCTCAAAACAAAGAAATAAACAAAAACCAAAACTCCAATGAGATATCATCTTATTCCAGTTAAAATGGCTTTTACTCGAAAGACAGGCATTTACAAATGCTGGTGAGGATATGGAGAAAAAGAAACCCTCATACACTGTTGATGAGAATGTAAGTTAGTACAACCACTGTGAAGAAGAATGTGGTGGTTCATCAAAAAAATAAAAATATAACTACCATATGATGTAGAATCCCACTGCTAAGTATATGTCCCAAGGGAAGAAAATCAGTATATCAAACAGATATCTTCATTTCCATGTTTACCGCAGCACCATTCACAATAGCTAAGATTTGGAGGCAAGCTAAGTGTCCATCAACAGATGAATAGATAAAGAAAATGTGATCGTACACACAATGGAGTACTATTCAGCCATAATAATAAAAAGATGAGATCCTGTCATGTGCAACAACACGGATGGAACTGCAAATTATGTTAAGTGGAATAAGCCAGTCACAGAAAGACAAACTTCACATGTTCTTACCTATTTGTAGGAGCTAAAATTTAAAACAATTGAACTCGTGGAGTCAGAGAGTAGAATGATGGTTACCAGAGGCTGGGGAAGAGTAGCGAAGGGTAGAGGAGAGCTGCACGAGAGTGGGAACAGTAAATGGGTACAAAAATATAGTTAGATAGAATGAATGAGATCTAGATTTGATAGCATAACAAGGTAACTACAGTCAACAATAATTTATTGTGCATTCTAAAATAAAAGAGTATAATTAGAGTTTTTTGTAACACAAAGAAAAAATAAATGCTCGAGGCAATGGATACCCCATTTACCCTGCGGTGATTATTATCTATTTTATACCGGTATCAAAATATGGCATGCACTACATAAATATATGCACCTACTATGTACCCACAACAATTAAAAATGAACCAGAATAATAATTAATGTTAAAAAAATTTTTAAAAACTGGAAACAGATATTTACATATAACAAATGACGGCTGGGGGCGGTGGCTCATGCCTGTAATCCCAGCACTTTGGGAGGCCAAGGCGGGTGGATCACCTGAAGTCGGGAGTTGGAGATCACCCTGACCGACATGGAGAAACCCCGTCTCTATTAAAAATACAAAATTAGCCCGGTGTGCTGGTGCACACCTGTAATCCCAGCTACTCGGGAGGCTGAGGCAGGAGAATCGCTTGATAAAATGGTAAAATTGGTAAAATTTGAAGTGCTCATTTCCTACCCCTATCAAGTATTCTATAAGGAGGCACAAATTCAATGTGGCATTGTTTGAAAAATCAAATTTGGAAAGAATCTGGTTAGAAATGGAGAATGGAGGCCGGGTGCAGTGGATCATGCCTGTAATACCAGCACTTTGGGAAGCCAAGGTGGATGGATCACCTGAGGTCAGGAGTTTGAGACCAGCCCGGCCAATGTGGCGAAACCCCTTCTCTACTAAAAATAGAAAAATTAGCCAGGTGTGGTGGCGGGAGCCTGTAATTCCAGCTACTGAGGAGGCTGAGGAAGGGAGAATTGCTTGAATCTGGGAGGCAGAGCTTGCAGTGAGCCTAGATTGGACCACCGTACTCCAGCCTGGGCAACAGAGCAAGGCTCTGTCTCAGAAAAAAAAAAAAAAAAAAGAAAAGAAGGAAAGAGAAAGAAAGGAAGGAAGGAAGGAAGGAAGGAAGGAAGGAAGGAAGGAAGGAAGGGAGAATGGAGTAGGAAATAGGACATAAATGGTAAGCCTATATTAATGTGTGTATATTATTCTGCCTTTATACTTTTCTGGATAATTATCTTACCCCCAATATACTTTCATCATATAATTTACCTGAATGATAATAATAAAATCCTTGCAATGAATTTAAGCAGCCACATATATTAGTGATACTCTGAAAAAAATGTATCTGCAAATGGAAGATTAAATGACTTTATGAAAGCTCAAGTCTCAAGATTTTCATTATAGAAATGAAACACAATTTTTCTTTCAAATAAAAAACTCGCATTCAAGTTTGAGGAAATAAGCATATGTTATTAGAATGTAAAGCATAGCAAGTGATAAGTGAGAATACTATGAAAACATGACAGAAGAAAATATGTTAGATTTGCTCAGGAAGAATAAAGGGGATAAAGCTTAAGCTGAATTTTAAAAGGTAACAATAAGATATTACTCAAGATAGGCGATTAGAATGAGAAGAACAAATTTCTAAAAGAAAACCTGCAGGAAAACCTAATTTTGAGGAGCACAAGGATAGACATAGATATGCCAAAGAACTATAATTTATTGTCCCTTTGTCATGTGCCTGGCCATGTACTAGGCACTTTACATGTATTTCTTTCCTACAAAAGTCTTGTAAGTATATATTAGAAGATAAAAGTATTAAAGAATTAGAGAATTTGAAAGGGTTAAATAAGAAACTCCTTATAGACACAAATATAAGCCTTTCCTGACTCCAAAACTCCTGTTATAAAAACTAATGTCAAAAAACACTATGAGTGGCTTCATACAAGGCAATAAACAAAAACTTCCAAAAGGATTACAGATACAATACAGAATTGAAATGAAAATTATACAATAGAGTGCAAATTAGAGAGTGGCAGGTAGCATTTATAGTGTCACTGAAATAGGATAGAGGAAGTCAGTATGTGTTCAGTTGCAGAATGATTGGGGAGTGAAGAGCCAAGGTTACTAGGTATACTATTTTAAATGACTGCACTGTGAATGAAAGCAAATGACAGAATGTTTACTAAAAAAATTTTACATGCATTTTTAATCTGAGAAAATTTTATGGATTTTGAAAACTATTTTGTGGTCTATCAACATGGTACTGGAAGTCATCGTGTGATAATAAAAGACATTTTTAAAAAGACAGTGGCATTAGGATTGGAAGGCAATAAATAAAACTGCTCCTTCTACATATAGCATATATAGGATTTTTCAAAATTATAGATACATAATAATTAGTAAGGAAATTTAGCAAGGGCAAAAATTCAATGTAATTCTCACTATAAGGAAAAACATAGAAAATAGAAGATAAAAATGAAATGTTTCCAATAGCATTAGAAAGATAAAATACATAGTAACATATCTAACAGAAGACGAGCAATAACCTTCCAATACGAACTACAAAATGTAAAAACTGTCAGTTAAAGACTCTCTAAACAAGTACACTATTCAAGGTTCAAGGTTGGGAAAAGTCAGTATTGTGAACATGTAATCTCTCCTAATTAATATATTGATTTGATGCAACTCCAACAAAAATCCCAGCAGGTTTCTTGGCAAAACTTGATAAGTTGTTTTTGAAACTTATATGAAAAATAGAGCCAATAATAGTTTGAGAAATCTTGCAGAAGTATTAAAGAAGCTGAAGAACTTTTATTTTCAGATATAATTATAAAATATACATATATAATAAATATGATAATATACAATTAACTCAGAAATAGACACCTAGACAAGAAGAATATGATAAAATGCCAGAAAAAGGCTTATGGAGTCTTTTATGTGACTTACGGAGTCACATAAAAATGTGATATATATTGAAATGGGGAAGAATTTATTTTTGATACTGAGCCAATTAAATACCAAAAATATAAATCGTGACTCTTACATCATTGTATTTACAAAACTCAATTCTCAGTGCATTGTAGACTTAAATATAAAAGACAAATACTATTTTCTAGAAGAAAATATATTTCGATCTTTATGATCTAGGAGTGAGCAAATATTTTTTAGGCAGGACAAAAATATATAAGCCATGTAGTAAAATATGAACGTTTAACCTACATTAATCTTAATGACTTTTATTCATCAAAAGGCACCATTAAAAGAATGAATAGACAAATCACAGACTAATTTACAGTTTATATTACTGACAAATAACTCATATCCAGAATATATACAATATTCTTACAAATCAATAAACGACAGTCCACCAGTTTGCTACAACTGCAACAAATAACCACAGAGTGGCTTAAACAACAGAAATGTATTGTCTCACAGTTTTGGAGGTTAGAAATCCAAGATCAATGTGTCACAAGGTTGTTCCTTCTAAAGGCTATGAGGAAAAAAATCAGTTTCATGTCTTTTTCCTAGCTACCGGTGGTGGGCTGGCAATGTTTGGCATTTGTTGACTTCTGCTAAGGCATCTCAATGTCTTCTTTAATCTTCACATGGTATTCTCGCTATGTGTCTGTGTATCAGAAATTAAATTTTCCCTTTCAATAAAAGCATCAAGTATATTATATTAGAGCCCACCCTACTTCAGTATGACCTCATTTTACCTAACTACATCTGCAATGACCTTACTTTCAAAGAAAGTCACTTTCTGAGGTTCTGGGTGCTAGGAACTCAACACATGAATTTTTGAGGAACACAATTCAACCCATAACAGTCAGACAATTCAAGAGATCAAAAATGCAAACACTGGAAAAGATGCCTACAAAGTGGATCAGCTAAAACACAGGAAAACATGCTCTACCTCATTAGTCAACAGAGACCTTCAAGATAAAATCACGATTAAATTTTAGTACACAAACACTAGAATAAATAAAATAAAAAAGACAATAGCCAATGTTGTTAGACAATAGCCAAAAAACCCTGAAAACTACACATTTGTAGTAGATCACAAACACACACCCACACTATTTTTGTATTTTCATATAATAAAATATTTCATAACAATGATGAAAATTAATATTGACTGGATATCTCACTAAATAAAAAATGCCAGATGCAAAATAATCTATACAGTAAAATTCCATCTTGCACACTATACACAAATATACAAAGTATTTAGTGTTGAACATCAGAAAGATTATCAACTTGGAGAATTTTAGTGACTTGGAGGGAAGCTGAGGGTAGCTTCTGGGGGCTAGTGATGCTTTATTTCTTGATATAGCTGATGGCTATAAGGATAATTCATTTAATGAAAATCCATCAATTTGTACATTTGCAATAACTTCTTTAAAGTTTTTGTATGTATATCCTCCTTCAATTAAAATTACATAAAATATTGGAAAGTTATTTTACCATAGTGCTCAATATCACTTGCAAGAGTCTCTCCAGATAAAGTACGTCTATATATTCAGTTTCAGGATAAGTCTGTTTGAAATGAATAGATCATGTTTTTAATAAGAATATGAAAAAGTATGTGAAATAAAATGTTTTTTAAAAAGTTATTTCAGTGCTTTAAATGCAATAAACTTCGCAATTAAAAATTATACAATTTTGCATATGGTCTTACTTGATTTTGCTTATCTTAGTGTGTCCAGCATGGTGTATTTGCAAGTTGTTCAAATCCTTTAGAAAAAAAAAACACAAACACAACTATAAATCACTGGAGTCACACTGACATATCCATAAATATATTTTATTTATTTTCATAACCATCAGTATCATCAGTATAAGTAATATTATAATATATAGCAAATTTTAAAATATAGTAATATTTCAGTAAGTATAATTCTGGAACTAAGTGAAACCTCACCTTAAAAGTTTACTTATTTATTTATTTAAATAAAGTTCAGTTTTGCATAATTATTTGAATGAGGGTTCCAATATACTGATTACATAGCATATAATAAATTCCTACATGCAAGGCATATAATCATTTCCAGCATTATTAAAAGTTTTTAGATTTAATCAAAATTTGCTTCTATATTGGGCAGTAGAAAATACATTCAGGCCTGGTTGTGCCTTAAAATATTTGCAAATAAGACTTGAAATCATATTTGGGTCAAAACTATCATCACTATGAATAATAGAAAAAAAAACCTTAAAGACAGCAATCATAAATACTTGGAAAAAAATGATATTTTGCTTCTTTCATAGATCATGACTAACAATAATTTTTTTTTATATTTTCATGATGAACCTGCTTGTGATTTCAGATGTTTTCTTAAAAAATATTTTAAAAAATAAATATCAGTTATTCAGTTGACATTAAAATAAAATCATTATTAATTCAAACTTAAGGATGTCAGCAATGTGGCAAAGAAAAAACCTTGACCCCCATTGCTCCAACAGAACTTTCAACTAGCGACTATCTACAGACAGAACATCCTTTTGAAAACCTCAGCATCTGGAAACAAGCCTGAGACACCTGTGTGGTGTGCAGAAGTAAACAAAATCTAAATTTGATGGCTAAGAGGAATGGTCTCACTCTGACTGCACCCCCACCTCCCCTTCTACCAAAGTAGCATAGCACCAGATAAAGATTTTCCTGGACTCACAGTTTCTATGAGGGGAAAAACGAACTTGAAACAGTTATCTGACTTCACTACCATTCTAAAAAACTTCTCAGGAAGTCCACTGTGGTCTCACTTAATGAGGAATACTAAGAGAAATGGCATGGCTTGACCACCCAGGAGTAAAACAAAGCAAATGACAAGGATTTTGGTGTTACCACTGCATCCTGCAAGCTGTAGCACTTGGTCAGAGGCATCAATCAACCTCTTAGCTCACTCACAGAGCTAAGCTTGTCACCTTTAAAAGCACAGTAGGAAACACAATCTAGCTCACATACAGTGAGCCCTTAGACAGCTAGTCTCCCCAGCCAACTCCAGAACCAACAACAAACCTGTCCAATCAGGAAGACTCATGTCTTCACAGATCTCAGAGATGTGAAGGAGCTACACATGCTTGATGTGGGAAGGTAATCAGAGGTGCCACATGGCCAAAAAGCCTGGCCAATGACCCCGCCCAGGCAGACAGATTCCCATCTTTGCAGATTTTAGAGAAGCAAAGAAGCCAGACTGGCTCGAGCCAGGAAGGCAAGTAGGGACGACAAATAGCCCACAAAACAATCCCAACCAGGCAGAGAGACTCCCATTTCTGTACATTTTGAAGAAACTTAGAGGCCAGTCCTGCTTGATCTGGGAAGTCAAACAGCCACTGAACTAAGCCAAAAGCCCACTCCACAGCTCCACCCAGACAAGGAGGCAATCTCAAATTGTGTGTTTCTAAGGAGCACAGCCTAAGCTCCTGCCTGTTCAGAGTAGTGACTCCACCTAATCTTAGAGTCCAACTTTCAGCCCTGCTCAAGTGCAGATTTCAAATAGCAAAACTGCCCATCCAGGGAATATATATGTTGCCGGGTCTAACCAGAAGCCATTGAAGTATGAGCCAGCATACCACCTAACAGCAGAGTCCAACCAATGGTCTCACTGGTCAGCAGAACCCAGTTAGTAACCCCATTCAATATCAAAGCAAAGGCAGTGACCCAGCCAACTGGATAACTTATAACATACTCTGCCTCTCCAGGATCATCACCAGCTGAACCTTCCAGGACCACAGCCTAGACTAAATAGCTCTATGTCTGCTAATATATCTGTGCAGGACCAAAAAGGGACTTGTCACCTCACATATGAAGGTCACAACATAAGAATACAAAGATTATGGAAAATCAGGGAAGTATAATTTCTCAAAAAGAAATAAATAAAGCTCAAATAATGAATCCCAAATAAATAGAGATCTATGCAAAGACTGATCAATAATACAGAATAATATTCATAAGGAAGTTCAGTAAAATTTAAAAATATACAGATGGAAAATTTAATGAAGTTTGGAAACCAGTATTTGAAAAAAATGAGAAGATCAGTAGAAATCCTAGAAATGAATAATACAATGACTGCAATAAAAAATGTAATAGAAAATTTTAACAGAAGAACTTATCAAGTAGAAAGAAAGAATCAGTAAGCAGAAAGGCAAATTTTAAAGTATCCAGTCAGAGGATAAAAAGACAAAAGAATAAATAAGAATGAAGAAAATCTATGGGAATTATAGGACACATGTAAGAGATTGAATGTTTTTATAATAGAATCAACAGAAGAAGACAAAGGAAAAGGTCCAGTAAGCACATTTAAAGGAATAATGGCTGAAAACTGCATTAACCTGTGATAGATACCAACACACATATATGGGATGCATAGAGGTCTCCAAGAAAATTAAACCCTGAGAGAAATACAACAAAACATAAAATAATCAAATTATCAAAAAAAAAAGAGACAAAGAAAAAATTCTGAAAGCAGCCAAGAGGTAAGAAACACATCATATACAAAAGAGTGCCAATATAACTATCAGTGGATTTCTTAGCAGAAACCTTACCAGCCAGGAGGTTGGTGGGTTGATATATTCAAAGTGCTAAAGGAAAAAAGCAACCAAACTGCCAGCCAAGAATACTGTAGTCAGCAAATCCATCCTTCAGATGTGAAGGAGATATAAACATTTTTCCAGACAAACAAAAGCTGAGGGAGTTTTATTTGTTTTTTAACTCCAAATCTGTCTTATAAACAATGGTAAAGGAAGTTCTTCAAGCTGAAAGAAAAGGATGCTAATGAGTCACACATACACACACACACACACACAAATATTTTGAAAGTATAAAATTCACTGATAAAAATAGGTGCAGAGTCAAATAAAGAATACTCTAATACTGCAATGATTGTGTATGAATCATTTATATCTCTAATATAAAGATTAAAATACAAAAATATTAGAAATAGTAAAAATTAAAATAATTTAAGAAATATGCAACATTAAAATATGCAAATTGTGACATAAAAATTCAAAATATTGGAGGCAGTGAGGTCAAATTGTAGAGTCCTTTTCTTAAAACATTAAGGTCAGAGTTAATAACATCTCATATATATAACAAGTTATTTTAAGCTGTTATATCTATGAGATGTTATTTGTTAGCTTCATGTTATCCACAAAGCAAAAACCTTTAATAGGTACATTAAGAATAAAAATTAAAAAATCAAAACACACTACTAGAGAAAATTATTTAACCACACAAGAGGACAGGTAAAAAGAAAGAATCTATAAAACAATTTGAAAATTTTTAAAATGGCAGTAATACATCTGTACCTATCAATAATCATCTTGCATATTAATGGATTAAACTGTACTATTAAGAGGAATAAAACCCAGTGTTTTGCATGTCCCTGTAGTCACAAATACTCAGGAAGCTGAAGTGGGAGGATTGCTTGAGGCCAGGGGTACAAAGCTGTAGTGTGAAGTGATTGTGCCTGTGAATAGCCACTGCCCTCCAGCCTAACACAGAAGGAACCCATCCCTAAAATGATAAACCAATGAAGATCATGAAAAAATAAAAATAAAAAGAGTGGATCAATGGATTTTTAAAAGACCCAATGATATGCTGCCTACAAGACACAAATAGACTAAAAGTGAAGGGATAGAAAGAAATATTTCATACAAATGGAAGCCACAACACAGTGAGAGTAGCTGTACTTATATCAGGTAAAATAGACTTTGGATTTTACAAAAGAAGCAGAAATGAAGTTCATGACATAATGATAAAGAGGTCAAATCAGCAAGAGAGTATAACAATTGTAAATATATATGCACCTATCATTGGAGCACCTAAATATATAAAGAAAATATTCATAGAGCTAAAGAGAGAAATTGACTATGATACTAAAATAGTAGGGAATTTCAACATCTCACTTACAACAATGGACAGATTATCCAGTAAAATAAATTATAAAAATAACATCAGATTTAAACTACACTCTAGATGAAATGGGCCTAACAGACATTTGCAGAACATTCCAACTAAAAGGTACAAAATATACATCCTTCTCTGTTGCACATAGAACATAGATCAAATATAGATATATATTTGACCACGAGACAATATATTTGATCATATATTTGACCATATATTTGACCATGAGACAAAATGAAATTTAAGAAGATTAAAATTACATCAAGTATCTCTACTGAGCACAATGGTATAAAACTAAAAATCAATAACAGAGGAAATACAGAAACTTTACAAATATGTAGAAATTAAACAAAATGTTCCCAAACAACCAATGGGTAAAGACATTAAAAGGAAAATTTAAAAATGTTTAAGACAAATGAAAGTGGAAATGAAACATATCAAAACCTATAGAACACAGTTAAACACATTTCTAAGAGGGAAGTTTCTTGCAATAAAAACTTACATCAGAAGGAAAACAGATCACAAATAAACTACCTAACATAGCACCTCAAAGAACTAAATAAAAACACACTAAACCCCAAATTATTAGAAGAAAATAAATGATATTCAAGAGGAAACAAATTGAGACAAAAAACTAAACACAAAATATAGATAAAATAAACAGTTGCTTTTTTAAAAGATAAACAATATTCAAAAACTTTGGTGACTCTGAGGAAAAGTGAAAGACAACTTAAATAAATAAAATCAGAGATAAAAAGTAAGACATTAGAATTGATATTATATCAGGATGATGCTGGCCTCATAAAATGAGTTAGGGAGGAGTCCCTCTTTTTCTATTGATTGGAATAGTTTCAGAAGGAATGGTACGAGCTCCTCCTTGTACCTCTGGTAGAATTCGGCTGTGAATCCATCTGGTCCTGGACTTTTTTTGGTTGGTAAGCTATTGATTATTGCCACAATTTCAGAGCCTGTTATTGGTCTATTCAGAGATTCAACTTCTTCCTGGTTTAGTCTTGGGAGGGTGTATGTGTTGAGGAATTTATCCATTTCTTCTAGATTTTCTAGTTTATTTGCATAGAGGTGTTTGTAGTATTCTCTGACGGTAGTTTGTATTTCTGTGGGATTGGTGGTGATATCCCCTTTATCATTTTTTATTGCATCTATTTGATTCTTCTCTCTTTTCTTCTTTATTAGTCTTGCTAGTGGTCTATCAATTTTGTTGATCTTTTCAAAAAACCAGCTCCTGGATTCATTAACTTTTTGAAAGGTTTTTTGTGTCTCTATTTCCTTCAGTTCTGCTCTGATTTTAGTTATTTCTTGCCTTCTGCTAGCTTTTGAATGTGTTTGCAGAGACACAACCAAAAGAGAGAATTTTAGACCAATATCCTTGATGAACATTGATGCAAAAATCCTCAGTAAAATACTGGCAAACCGAATCTAGCAGCACATCAAAAAGCTTATCCACCATGATCAAGTGGGCTTCATCCCTGGGATGCAAGGCTGGTTCAACATTCGCAAATCAATAAATGTAATCCAGCATATAAACAGAACCAAAGCCAAAAACCCCATGATTATCCCAATAGATGCAGAAAAGGCCTTTGACAAAATTCAACAACTCTTCATGCTAAAAACTCTCAATAAATTAGGTATTGATGGGATGTATCTCAAAATAATAAGAGCTATTTATGACAAACCCATAGCCAATATCATACTGAATGGGCAAAAACTGGAAGCATTCCCTTTGAAAACTGGCACAAGACAGGGATGCCCTCTCTCACCGCTCCTATTCAACAGTGTTGGAAGTTCTGGCCAGGGCAATTAGGCAGGAGAAGGAAATAAAGGGTATTCAATTAGGAAAAGAGGAAGTCAAATTGTCCCTGTTTGCAGATGACATGATTGTTTATCTAGAAAACCCCATTGTCTCAGCCCAAAATCTCCTTAAGCTGATAAGCAACTTCAGCAAAGTCTCAGGATACAAAGTCAATGTACAAAAATCACAAGCATTCTTATACACCAATAACAGACAAACAGAGAGCCAAATCATGAGTGAACTCCCATTCACAATTGCTTCAAAGAGAATAAAATACCTAGGAATCCAACTTACAAGGGATGTGAAGGACCTCTTCAAGGAGAACTACAAACCACTGCTCAATGAAATTAAAGAGGATACAAACAAATGGAAGAACACTCCATGCTCATGGGCAGGAAGAATCAATATCATGAACATGGCCATACTGCCCAAGGTAATTTATAGATTCAATGCCATCCCCATCAAGCTACCAATGACTTTCTTCACAGAATTGGAAAAAACTACTTTAAAGTTCATATGGAACCAAAAAAGAGCCCGCATCACCAAGTCAATCCTAAGCCAAAAGAACAAAGCTGGAGGCATCACGCTACCTGACTTCAAACTATACTACAAGGCTACTGTAACCAAAACAGCATGGTACTGGTACCAAAACAGAGATATAGATCAATGGAACAGAACAGAGCCCTCAGAAATAATGCCACATATCTACAACCATCTGATCTTTGACAAACCTGACAAAAACAAGAAATGGGGAAAGGATTCCCTGTTTAATAAATGGTGCTGGGAAAACTGGCTAGCCATATGTAGAAAGCTGAAACTGAATCCCTTCCTTACACCTTATACAAAAATTAATTCAAGATGGATTAAAGACTTAAACGTTAGACCTAAAACCATAAAAACCCTAGAAGAAAACCTAGGCAATACCATTCAGGACATAGGCATGGGCAAGGACTTCATGTCTAAAACACCAAAAGCAATGGCAACAAAAGACAAAATTGACAAATGGGATCTAATTAAACTAAAGAGCTTCTGCACAGCAAAAGAAACTACCATCAGAGTAAACAGGCAACCTACAAAATGGGAGAAAATTTTCGAAACCTACTCATCTGACAAAGGGCTAATATCCAGAATCTACAATGAACTCAAACAAATTTACAAGAAAAAAACAAACAACTCCATCAAAAAGTGGGCGAAGGATATGAACAGACACTTCTCAAAAGAAGACATTTATGCAGCCAAAAGACACATGAAAAAATGCTCATCATCACTGGCCATCAGAGAAATGCAAATCAAAACCACAATGAGATACCATCTCACACCAGTTAGAATGGCGATCATTAAAAAGTCAGGAAACAACAGGTGCTGGAGAGGATGTGGAGAAATAGGAACACTTTTACACTGTTGGTGGGACTGTAAACTAGTTCAACCATTGTGGAAGTCAGTGTGGCGATTCCTCAGGGATCTAGAACTAGAAATACCATTTGACCCAGCCATCCCATTACTGGGTATATACCCAAAGGATTATAACTCATGCTGCTATAAAGACACATGCACACGTATGTTTATTGTGGCACTATTCACAATAGCAAAGACTTGGAACCAACCCAAATGTCCAACAATGATAGACTGGATTAAGAAAATGTGGCACATATACACCATGGAATACTATGCAGCCATAAAAAATGATGAGTTCATGTCCTTTGTAGGGACATGGATGAAACTGGAAACCATCATTCTTAACAAACTATCGCAAGGACAAAAAACCAATCACTGCATGTTCTCACTCATAGGTGGGAATTGAACAATGAGTACACATGGACACAGGAAGGGGAACATCACACTTTGGGGACTGTTGTGAGGTGGGGGGAGGGGAGAGGGATAGTATTAGGAGATATACCTAATGTTAAATGACGAGTTAATGGGTGCAGCACACAAACATGGCACATGTATACATATGTAACAAACCTGCACATTGTGCACATGTACCCTAAAACTTAAAGTGTAATAATAATAAAATTTAAAAAAAGAATTGATATTATAAAAATACAAAAAATTACCAATATATAGGATAATGCTAGCAGAAACAGATAAATATCTGGACACATGCAACCTATCAATATTGTATCTTGAAACAATAGAAAATCTGAACACAGCTAATAATGAGCACTAAGATGTGAATAAGTAATAAAAAGTTTCCTTTAAAAAAAATTACCTCACTGCTGGATTCTATAAAACATTTAATGAAAACATAATACCAATTCTTATGAAGCTATTTCAACATATAAAAGGAGAAGAAATACTCTTAAACTCATCTACTGAGCCACCATTACCCTGACACCAAAATCAGTCAAGGACACAAACACACAAACATACACACACATGCACATGCACTCACACCAAACTAAACCAAAACAACCGCCTACAAGCCAATCAATATTCCAAATGAACATGCATGCAAAAATCCTCAAGGAAATACTAGCAAAACAAATTCAACAGCCTATTAATATTAAAAAGATCATTCAACATGATCAAGTGGGCCTCATCCTAGGAATGCAAGAATGGTTGAACATAAAATATGAAGATCAATAAACATGATACATCATATCAACAAATGAAGGACAAGAATCATATTACAATTTCAATAGATTCAGAAAAAGGATTTGACAAAATTCAACATCCCTTTATAATAAAATTCTCAAAAAGTTAAGTATAGAAGAAAAGTACCTCAATCTATCAAAGGCCATATATGATGAACTCAGGGGTAATATAATAGTTGAAAGCTTGCCCTCTAAAATCTGGAACAAGACAAGGATGGCCACTCTTGCCACTTGTAGTCAACATGGTATTGGAAGACTTAGCCAGAGTAATCAGACAAGAGAAAGAAATAAAGGGAATCCAAATTGGAAAGGAAGAGGTTGAATTGTCTGCATAGGTGGCATGTTCTTATATATATAGAAAACCCTAAAGATTCCACCAAAAAACTGTTAGAACTAATTCACAAATTCAATATAGATGCAGGATACAAAATCAACATACAAAAATCAGTAGTGTTTCTGTACAGTAGTAGCAAACTATATGAAAAAGAACTCAAGAAAATAATTCCATTTACAACAGCTACAAATAAAATAAAATACTTAGGAATAAAATTAGCCACAGAGGTAAAAGATGTGTAAAATAAAAGCAAAAAAAGTGATAAAAGAAAATAAAGAAGATACAAATAAATAGATATTCCATGCTCATTGATTGAAAGAAATGATATTGTTACAATATCCACAGTACCCAAAATGATATACATTCAATGGGATCTTTATCAAAATATCAATGACATTCTCCACAGACACAGAGAAAGATACTCCTAAAATTCATATGGAGCCACAAAGGACTCTCAATAGCCAAGGTAACCTTTACCAAAAAGATCAAAGTTGAAGTCATGACATTTTCTGTCTTCAAAATATATTATCAAGATAGAGTAACTAAAACAGCATGGTGCTGGCATCAAAATAGACACATAGACCAAAGGAACAGAATAGAGAACACAGAAGAATTCCATACACTTACAGTGAACTTACTATGGACAATGGTGCTAAAAATGCAAAGTGGAGAAAGGTACTCTAATCAGTAAATGGTTCAGGGAAAACTGGAGGTCCACATGCAGTGAAGAATGAAGATAAACCCCTAGGTCTCACCATAAACAAAAATCAACTAAAAATTATTAAAGTATTAAATGTGAGATCCTAAATGGTAATATTACTATAAGAAAACATAAAAGAAACACTTTATGACACTGGTCTGCACAAGAATTTTTTGGATAAGACCCCAAAAGCACAGGCAACAAAAGAAAACATAGACAAATGAGATTACATCAAGCCAAAAAGCTACTGCCACAGCAAAGTAAACAATTAAGAAAATGAAGAGACAACCTACAGAATGCAGAAAAAATGGCAAGCTATTCAGCTGATAAGGTTTTAATATCCAGAATATATAAGAAATTCATAAATAATTCAATAGCAATATTTTTAAAACAATCAAAAGATCTGAGTAGACATTGCTTAAAAGAAGACAAGCAAATGGTCAATAGATATATCTTAAAATGCTCAACATCACTAATCATTAGAAAAATGCAAATCAAAACCATGAGATATCACCTCACCCCAATTAGAGTAGCAATTATCAAAATAAATAAATACTCGTGTGGATGTGAAATCAGAGAAATTCATACATTGTTAGTGAGAATGAAAATTAGTACTATTATGGAAAGCAGTATGCAGGCTCCTCAAAAAATCAAAAAGAGAAGTCCCATATGATCCAGTAATCCCACTACAGGGCACATAGCCAAAATAAATAAAGTCAGTCATGTTGACTGCAATACTATTAACAAAAACCATCACAGAGAATCAACTTAATTGTTCATCAACGGATAAATTAATAAAGAACTTGTGGTATATATACCCAATGGAATACTATTAATCCATGAAAAAGAATAAAATCCTGTCATTTGCAGGAACATGAGAGAATCTGAAAGGCATTATGTTAATTGAAATAATACAGGCGCAGAAAGACAAATACTACATGATTTCACTAATATGTGAAATCTAAAATAGTTGAACTCTAATTCTCTTAGAAGTAGAGAGCTAAATTGAGGTAACCAGAGCTATGGGTGTTGGGCATTCAGGAGATGTAGGTCAAAGTATATTAAATTTCAGTTATATAGGAGTAAGTTCTGGTGTTTTATTACACAGTGGAGTGACTATGGTTAACTCTATATATTTCAAAATAGTTAGAACAGGGAATATTGAATGCTCTTACCACACAGAAATGATAAATGTATGAGGTGATGGATATGCTAAATAGCCTGATTTCATTGTTACCTAATTTATACATGTATCAAAACATTACACTGTACCAAATAAATATGTCCAATTATGTCAATTAAAAATAGAATAAAAACAAACAAGAGAAAATTACTGAACAGTCAATCTTTTAAAAGTTTCATTTCAATTACATTAGTAAAATATAATATTATATATACACATGCTTTTGTTTTTGTAGTTTAAATCTTTTGTTATATAAAAATGAATGTAATAAAATATTTCATAATGAAGAAAAAAATTATGTACCCAGAGTTTCCCAATTTATTGTTCTATTCCAGATTAGGTTACAAATAGAATTAAAATTATAATATACAAAAATATTAATATATATGTATACAGACATGCAAATATGTATTTGTGCTATATGTATATTTTATATATAAATATAAGTGTATATATACATGTGTGAGTGTATATTTGTTTATATACATGTGTACATAAATACATATATATACACATAAATACATATGTATGTATACATAAATATATATATGTATACATAAATACATATATATATGTCTTTTCTTAAGATGAAAATGCACCTTCCCAAAATAGATATACAAAGTATAATAAGCTAACTTATCTTTGAGGATAATCCAGTAATCCCACTACAGGATATATACCCCAAAAAAATAAAGTCAGTCTGCTGGGCGCAGTGGCTCATGCCTGTAATCCCAGCACTTTGGGAGGCCAAGGCAGGAGGATCACCTGAGCTCAGGAGTTTGAAACCAGCCTGGGTAACATGGTGAAACCCCGTCTCTACTAAAAATACAAAATTAGCTGGGCATGGTGGCACATGCCTTTAATCACAGCTACTCGAGAGGCTGAGGCAGGAAAATCACTTGAACTCAGGAGGCAGAGGTTGCAGTAAGCCAAGATCGCACCATTGCACTCCAGCCTGGGCAACAAGAGTGAAATTCTGTCTCATAAATAAATAAATAAATAAATAAATAAATAAATAAAATAAAATAAAGTCAGTCATGTTGACTGCAGCACTATTAACAGAAATCATGATAGAGAATCAACTTAATTGTCCACCAACGGACAAATGAATAAAGAAAATGTGGTATAAAAATACCACATAATACAAGTCAATTTTGTCAGGCTCTCAAAGACTTAAATCCTTTGGGCATGGTGTTGGGTAAAGGGAAGAAAACCAAAATTGACTTAAAGCATAGCTGGTATTCTTAATTCTTCTCACTCCCAGAGCCACTCTTTTGCAGCTTATCACAAGATTTAACTTTATAAACATTGCTTTCTTCTTTCAGGTATTCCATATTCTTCTTATCTTTTGCTGGAAATCTGATAAAATGGGTTATTTCCTGAGGTGAAGGTAATCTGAAGCTATTTTTTTCCTGAATTATCTGTATCTACATCAGTACTGTCTTAATAGATGTAATTTTTTATTGGCTAAACCTTTTGAGCAAAGTAGTATTAGGAACACCAGTGAGTTGCCTTGGGTCTTATTTACTCCTGTTTTGTAGCAGTATCCTAGTTCATGCTTGATAATTAGATTTATTCACTTTGGTCACCCTTTTCAGTTTGTTGGTTCTTTGACATGAGATTTTAAAAATGTCCGTGGGTGAATGCGGAGTCAGGAGTTTATTCTCATAAGTATCGATATATTCTGAGTATTAAATGTCCTTTCTTTATTGCAATGCTTCTGGCATTATTCCCTTTCTTTTTTTAAATTTTATTTCATTTTAAGTTTCAGAGTGCATGCGCAGCATGTGCAGGTTTGTTACGTAGGTAAATGTGTGCCATGATGGTTTGCTGCACCTATTAACCCATCACCTAGGTATTAAGCCTGGCATGCATTAGCTATTTTTCCTGATGCTCCCTCACCTCCCCAAGAGGCCCCAGAGTTTATTGTTCCGCTCCCTGTGTCCATGTGTTCAGCTCCCACTGTAAGTGAAAACATGCAGTGTTTGGTTATTTTATTCCTGCATTAGTTTACTGAGAATAATAGCTTCCAGCTTCATCCATGTCCCTGCAAAGGACATGATCTTCCTTTTATGGTGGCATAGTATTCCATGGTGTATATGTACTATATTTTCTTTACCCAGTTTATCATTGATGGGGATTTAGGTTAATTCCACATCTTTGCTATTGTAAATGGTGATGCAATGAACATATGTGTGCATGTATCTTTATAATAGAATGCTTTATATTCCTTTGGGTGTGTATACCCAGTAAAGGGATTGCTGTGTCAAATGGTATTTCTGGTTCTAGATTCTCGAGGAATCACTACACTATCTTCCACAATGGTTAAACTAATTTCCATTCCCACCAACACCATAAAAATGTTCCTATTTCTCCTCAACCTTGCAGCATCTGTTTATTGACTTTTTAATAATTGCCTTTCTGATTGGCACAAGATGATATTTCACTGTGTGGTTTTGATTTGCATTTCTCTGATCATCAGTGATGTTGAGCTTTTTTTCATATGTTTGTTGTCTGCATGTATGCCTTCTCTTGAGAGGTGTGTATTCCTATCCTTTGCCCACTTTTTAATGGGATTGTTCATTTTTATCCTTGTAAATTTGCTTAAGTTCCTTGTAGATACAGGATATTAGACCTTTGTCAGAAAGACAGATTGCAGAAATGTTCTCCCATTCTGTAGGTTGCCTGTTCACTCTGATGATAGTTTATTTTGCTGTGCAGAAGCTCTTTAATGCAATTAGATCCCATTTGTCAATTGTTGCTTTTGTAGCAATTGCTTTTGATGATCTCATCATAAAATCTTTGCCCATGCCTAGGTCCTGAATAGTATGGCTTAGGTTTTCTTTTAGGGTTTTTATAGTTTTGGGTTTTACATTTAAGTGTCTAATCCACCTTGAGTTAATTTTTGCCACAAGAGAATAAAATACCTAGGAATACGGCTAACAATTGAGGTCAAGGACCTCTTCAAGGAGAACTACAAACCACTGCTCAAGGAAATCAGAGACAACACAAACAGACAGAAAAACGTTCCATGCTCATGGATAGGAAGAATCAATATCATGAAAATGGCCATACTGCTAAAGTAATTTATAGATTCAGTGCTATATCCCCAACTACCATTGATTTTCTTCATAGAATTAGAAAAAAACTACTTTAAATTTCATATGGAACCAAAAAAGGGCCCATATAGCCAAGACAATCCTAAGCAAAAAGAACAAAGCTGGAGGCATCACGCTACCTGACTTCAAACTATGCTACAAGGCTACAGTAACCAAAACAACATGGTACTTGTACACAGATCAATGGAACAGAATAGAGAACTCAGAAATAAAACCACACATCAACCATCTGATTTTTGACAAGCCTGACAAAAACAAGCAATAAGGAAATGATTCCATATTTAATAAATGATGCTGGCAGAATTGACCAGCCATATGCAGAAAATGGAAACTGGACCCCTTCCTTATACCTTATTACCTCTCATGGTCTTACAGAATGCCTATGTATCAACTTGTAATCTCATAGGACCACTTTCCTTAACTTACGGTAAAGGAAATATAACAATATGATTACATGCACAGGATTTATTGGTTTGAACACATGATTAGGAAGAGCAGGCTCAAGTAGAATGATGGGATGATATGCCAGAGATTTTAAGAAATCGGATGTGGTGACAACTACTCCTTAGTGAGAATATCTTGGTCTGAGAATTGGGTGGAAGACAGGGGCAGGAGCTCTCTCCCAATTACAACTAAAGATATAGAAGATATTGTAAGATATATGTAAGATACTGTTTCTTCCAAATCTTGAATCAGATTAGGACATCTGGAAGTTTTGGTACTCAATGGATAAATATTTCTCCCTAGAAAAGTATTCACATCTTCAGTGGTTTGGAAGTTGAGGCTGACTTTTCTTACCCACCTGCCAACAGTTTTGAGATTTATGCCACTGAACCAATAGGCAGAAAAAGAGGTCAGTTTTCTAACTGGCCGAGGTGAATAATTCTAACAACCAAGCATGAATTGTTGGTCCATATACAAAGTGACCATGTGATAAATATTGAGGCTCTCCATGGACACTAAAAATAGACCCTTGCTCACCATGGATAATCTGTTTACCCTCATTGCTAAGTGCCTAACCTACCAACATACAGCCCATATAAAATACCACTTTTCAGAGGTAATTCCAGCCACCTGGAAACAAGTTGCTTGTGTTGAACTGAATAACCATGGAGACACAAAGTAATACTTAGGGTGCCTGGGGAATAGGACACCTAGATACCCATAGGCTACTCATCAAAGGCCGCTGAAAAATTGCTATTCTCCCTGAGTCACTGGGTTTCTTCCCCTTCTATATTCCAGGGATATTCCGAAATTTGTATCTCACTGACTAAAGTCCCATCTGAGTTGAGAATTTAATTAACTAAGCTAGCTGACAGTTCCCAGGTACTTAAAGTATTTCCTAATTCTGAGTTAGTTTATCCATATCAACACATTTGGCCTGACTAGTTTCCCTCTAGAGCAGTTAAATGAAGCTAAATTATGTGTAGTATTTATACTTGCCAAACGACTTAATCTGTCACCTGCTTGCCTCTACACCCACATTTCATCCTATGCCAATTAGTGGAAAACTTAGTATTAATTATGCCATTTTCAGTGTTCAATTTGCACAGGTAACACACTCAGAGGGAGTCATTTCAAATGCCTTAATAAAGCAACACATTTATAAGGGTATAGGCAGGGATGGTGAGGTACCCTGGGGCTAGTGGTAGAGCAGAACTGTTATCCACAAATATCCAAGATGCACTAGCTAGTATCTACCACAATTGTTTCATGTAAGAAGCATTATCTTTTTAATCGCTGTGTTTATTTGTATAAAATAGAAACGAAGTTTAACCTTATATTTGTAAGATGTATTATAGCAAACCATAAACAGAAGCTGTTAGCACAAATTTGTAGCAGCAAATGTTAAGTTCCTTCTGAGTTGCACATAACCCATATATCAGTGACTTCAATAAGTTAGTTATTTTTCCCTCATAATAGTCAAGAGCCAGGTGGTCTAATGATGATAAAACTTCTTAGCCCATGAAGTTTTTAGAGATTGATACTCCCTTGTGCTAAACAATTTATCCCTTATGAAATACATGATCCAGAGCTCCAGGTACCCCATCCTTATTCCAGGCGATATAAGAGAGAAGAATAAAGTGTTCGAATTGTCTTTGACAAAGGATCCTTAGAAGATTCCTTGTAACACTTCTATGCCAGAACTTAGTCACAGGCCAGACTGTATGCAAGACAGCCTAAATACTGTATTTTTAGACTTTGGTGGTTATGTTCACAGGTAAAGGGTTCTTACAATAGAGGAAGTGAAAACTTTTACTGGGACTCACCTAGTTGTCTCTGTCCCACAACACTGACAATTCTAGCATAGGCAACATAAGTGGGAACAGGGAAAGATCTGAATAAGAATTTTTGAGTTCTATGGTTGACTCAACAAAGCCATTGAAATGTTGTTTATAAATCAAAATTTAGGGGAAACATTTAAATGCAAATTATATATTACAAATTTATTTAAACTTGAAATAGGGCAATTAGAATCACTACATTGTTAAAATTGTTGTGAAACATGAACTAAATGTTTGATTTTTTCCATTGATATACACGATTTTTCGTTGATATTCCTTCTCATTGATATTGAAACCATCAATATATTTTTCATAATGAGGTGATTTTCTGCTTCACCAAAATTCCACATTGTGTGCAAGTAAAAAGCTAACTTCGTCTATGAAAATTAATATTTAACATAGTTTATAAAAATGTAATTATTTGAAAAATTCTAAATGATGTTATATAATACCATTATCTTGACTATTCAAAATATAATTTATACAGTTTTGATAGTGAAAAAATTAAAATAAATCAGCAACATCTTCATGTTTTAAGAAAATAGTATATACTGTACAAAATCCTTAATGCATTTCAAATTATTAAAAGCATATTTTCAACTTTATTTCTAACATGGTCACATATGTCCTTAATTATCCTAACATTAGATAATAAAATTCAGAATTCTAGTGTTTTTTGGTGTTTGTCTGTTTTTATTTATTTATTTGTTCACTAATTATTTTCAATTGAATTTTATTTCCCAGAGGAAAAAAAGGTAAACATTATAAAATGTCACATAATAACATTTGGGGCATATTTAAAAATCATAGACCTACGTCTCAAAGATCAAGTTTATTTCATTTAAGGGAAATAAATAAACGCTGCAAAGAGACGTTTTTGAGATATTACGGAGGCACTCAAAATCCACACACTATAAAACCATAACCTTGGATAATGCTGTAAATATCATTACAGCATAAATATGAAGCAGCCATAATTTTTCAGTGAAAAAGTATAATATTTGATTGTACATAAACACTATTTTTCATAAGACAATGAAGAAAACATTGTATTTACCAAGTTAGAAACAAAGTGTGCTTTTTAAACAAGTTATCACCATAAAGTTGGAAAAAATGAATGAATAAAGCAGAGAAATTTCAGGTAATAAGAGACATTTACTCAAGTACTAAAGAAGAAGTCATCCATCATATTAAAATAGTACAGTTACATGAAACAAAACTGGTCCATATAATTTTCTTTGAAATGTGCATGACAACATTGAAATATGTAAATCTCTAAAAATACAATTCTGAAGTTGTTTAGAAAAAATGACCACCAAAGTATAACAAATTTGAATTACAACATAATTTGTAATATAATTCATGTGTAGAAAAATTTACAAAACAAAAAGTATTAGAAAGAATTTAGAAAGTCAGACATGATTTTGTGCAAGTGTTAAGTATTTGCTTAAGTGTGATTCAAAAAACCAATTTAATTAAATATAAAGCTGCTTTATCTTTCAAACACAATAAACTCACACCTACAAATTACACACACACACACACACACACATATATATATTTTTTTTAAATTTAAGGATAGTGCACAATGATTTCTGAATCTTCATATTTGGGGATGATGTTCCCCTTCTAGTGTTATTCTTTTATATAATCTTCTTCAGGAGTACTATTCTCAGAAATTAAATAATATATACTTATTAACACTCACCTCATTAGTATCGATGGTAATGATATCCAGTTGATAAAAATTGGCAAATCCATAAATGAAAAATCTTTTTATAATTCGGGGTTAGCAGTTTTTCTTGTCATTCACTGATTACTGCATTCATTTTGTCATATGCTCTCTTAGCTCTTAATCTATCCATAGCACATTCATTTATTTAAAAGCTTTTCTTAAGTGTCTATTCTATACTTAGCCCTATATGCATAAGCATTAAATATTTTGCTTATGTGCAGCAATTCAGAAAAAAGTCCCCTGAGTATCAAAGAGGGTGGTAATCAATTCTACCTATATCCACAAAAAAGAATTGGACTCAATAGTAATTTTGGAAGCTGTCAGTTTGAGATATGATAACTATTGCAGAAAATGCAGGAAAATAACAAATAAATATGAATGAGCAATAATGCTGAGTAAATAGACTGTAAAAATGGACACATTTTCACCAGCATTTTTATTTTTATGGAAATATTAAGTGTCCTCTGTTGGAATATGTTGGATATGAACAGAATATAGAGCCAATTATTTATCTAGAAATTGCAAATACCAAATAACAAAATGAACAATAAAACAGTTATATAAAATATTTGTATATATTAGAATATGAATCTAAAATATAAAGAAAACTTTTTAAAGTCTAATTTTGTTTTCAGAAATGGCTTTTGTTGACTTACAAGTAATGAATACAGGAAAACAGAAAAGGCATATGACTGCAAATTACTGAATTTAACTGAAAATTCAATTCAGTGTGATAATAATCTGTTGCTTCATACTTATTAAAATTTACAGAATTTTAAGACACTACATCTTCTCAAATTCCCTGTTTACTCTGCACTTAAATTCTATTCTAGCAGCCAATTTTGATAACTTTTTGGGTAATTTATGCTATTTCTCTATAAAAATGGAACCTTCGTTAAGAAGTAGATATCTCTGATAAAGTGTAATTTTCATTCCATTGATAGTTTCTTCCTTTTCCTTGAGGTTGAAACTACTTTCCTGGTAGACATTTTAAATTCAACTCAATATCTTCAAAACTCCTCTATGTTCTGGCACAAAACACCATGCTTTCCTCTGTTGCCTTTTCAATGTTTATCATTGTCATTGATACTGTTAAGGATTACAAACTTATCATTACACCAGCCTTAAGATGATACAATGGAACAATATATTTTAAATACAGTATCAAATTAAAAAAAAACAGACAACTAAATGAAAAACAGTAACTCACATTTGCCCTTTAATGTCTCAACTTCGTTATTTTGGCTTTGAAGAATTAAGGATCCCTAGGCCTTTTATTTTATGTCAAAAGACATGTTTTAAGCTCCATTTCATGTTCTATTCACTGTATTCAGGGACTTGTTTGCAAAGTATTTTTGGAAAATATTCTTTATGACTGCAACCTGTTGAATTGTGTCCTTCAAAAATTTGGATGTTGAAGTACTAACCCTCAATACCACAGAATGTAACCTAATTTGGCTGTATGATTGTTGCAAATGTAATTAGTTAAAATTAGGTCATACAGGAGTAGGGTATGACCCTAATTCAGTATGACTAGCCTCTTTATAAAAGGGTAAATTCGGACACAAACATGTGTACAGGGAAAACACTTTGGGTACATCAAGGCAGACATTGGAGTGATGCTTCTATAAGCCAAGGAATGCCAAGGATTTCTAGTGAACCTCCAGATGTCAGGAGTTAGACATAAAACAGATTCTCCTTCACAATTCCCAGAAGAAAATAACCCTGCCAACACCTTGATCTCAGGCTTCTAGCTCCCAGAATTATAAGACAATACATTTCTGTTTTCAAGGCCACCTGGTTGGCAATACTTTGTTATGGCAGCCCATAAAGTAGAAAATCTAGAAGAAATGGATAAATTCCTGGACATGTACACCCACCCAAGACTGAATTGAATCCCTGATAGACCAATAACAAGTTCTGAAATTGAGGCAGTAATAAATAGCCTACCAACGAAAAACAAACAAACAAACAAACAAAAAACCCAGGACCAGATGGAGTCACAGCTGAATTCTCTCAGAGGTACAAAGAAGAGCTGGTACCATTTTTACTCAGACTATTCCAAAAAATTAAAAAGCACTGACTCCTTCCTAACTCGTTCTATGAGGCCGGCATCATCCTGACACCAAAACGTAGCAGAGATATAACAAAAAAAGAAATCTTCAGGCCAATATCCTTGATAAACATTGACGCAAAAATCCTCCACAAAATACTGGCAAACCGAATCTAGCAGCACACCAAAAAGCTTATTCACCACGATCAAGTAGGCTTCATCCCTGGGATACGAGGCTAATTCAACATATGCAAATCAATAAATGCGATTCGTAACATCAACAGAACTAAAGACAAAAACCACACGATTATCTCAATAGATACAGAAAATGTCTTTGATAAAATTAAACATCCTTCATGCTAAAAACTCTTAACAAACTAGGTGTTGAAGGAACATATCTCAAAATAATAAGAGTCATATATGACAAATCCACAGCTTTTGCCTATCATACTGAATAGGCAAAAGCTGGAAACATTCCCCTTGAAAACCAGCAAAAGACAAAGATGTCCTCTCTCACTACTCCTATTTAACATAGTATTGGAAGTTCTGGCCAGGGCAATCAGGCAAGAGGAAGAAATAGTGAATTAAAAGGAAATCAATCACACTCTGGGGACTGTTCTGGGGTCGGGGGAGGGGGGAGGGATAGCATTAGGAGATATACCTAATGCTAAATGATGAGTTAATGGGTGCAGCACACCAGCATGGCACATGTACACATATGTAACTAACCTGCACATTGTGCACATGTACCCTAAAACTTAAAGTATAATAATAATAAAATAAATAAATAAATAAATAAAATCATTTATAAATTGTAAAAAAAAAATAAAGTAAAAAAAAGGAAATCAATCTGTCTTTGTATGCAGATGACATGATCCTATATCTAGAAATCTCCATCAGCTCAGCCCAAAAGTTTCTTAAGCTAATAAGCAAATTCAGCAAGGGCTCAGGATACAAAATCAATGTGCAAAAATTGCTAGCATTCCTATAAACCAGGAAAAGGCAAGCTTAGAGCAAAATCAGGAACAGGCTTTCATTCACAATTGCCACAAAATGAATAAAATACCTATGAATTAAGTTAACAAGGGAAATGAAGGACCTCTTCAAGAACTACAAACTACTGCTCAAAAAAATCAGAGATGACACAAACAAACAGGAAAAATGCTCATGGATAGGAAGAATCAGTATCATGAAAATGGTCAGACTGCCCAAAGGAATTTATAGATTCAATGCTATTCCCATTAAACCACCATTGACCTTCTTCACAGAATGAGAAACAAACTATTTTAAAATTCATATGGAACTGAAACAGACCCTGAATAGCCAAGGACGTGCTAAGCAAAAGGAATAAAGCTGGAGGCATCAAACTACCTGACTTCAAACTATACCACAAGGCCACAGTGACCAAAACAGCATGGTACTGGTACAAGAACAGACACATTGACCAGTGGAAAAGAATAGAGAACCCAGAAATAAGACCACACACCTACAACTATGTGATCTTCGACAAACCTGACAAAAACCAGAAATTGGGAAAGAATTCCCTATTTAATAGATAGTGCTGGGAGAACTGGCTAGCCACATGCAGAAAATTGAAATTGGGCCCCTTCCTTATACCACAGACAAAAATCAACTCAAGATGAATTAAAGATTTAAATGTAAAACCCAAAACTATAGAAACCCTAGAAGAAAACCTAGCCAATACCATTCAGGTCACAGGCACAGGCAAAGATTTCCTGATGAAGATGCCGAAAGCAATTGCAATAAAAGCAAAATTTGACAAATGGGATCTAGTTAAACTAAAGATCTCTGCATTGCAAAATAAACTATCAACAGAGTAAACAGACAACCTACAGAATGAGAGAAAACTTATGCAATCTATCCATCTGACAAAAGTCTGATATCCAGCATCAATAAGGAACTTAAATTTACAAGAAAAAAATTTTTTTGAGTAGGCAATGGACATGCACAGACACTTCTCAAAAGAAGACATACATGCAGACAAAAAACATATGAAAAAAAACTCGACATCACTGATCATTAGAGAAATGCAAATCAAAACCACAATGAGATACTATCTCACAACAGTCAGAATGGCTATTACTAAAAAGTCAAAAAAACAAACAGATGCTGGTGAGGTTGTGGAGAAAAAGGAATGCTTTTATACTGCTGTTGGGAGTGTAAATATGTTCAACCATTGTGGAATACATTGTGGCAATTACTCAAAGACATAGAGGCAGAAATACCATTCAACCCAGCTATCCCATTTCTGGGTATATATACCCAAAGGAATATAAGTCATTCTATTATAAAGACACATGGACATGTATGTTTATTGCAGGACTATTCACAATAGCAAAGACATAGAATCAACCTAAATGCCCATCAGTAATAGACTGGATAAAGAAAATGTGGTACATGTACACCATGCAATACTCTGTGGTCCTAATAAGGAACGAGATCATGCCCTTTGCAGGGACATGGATAAAGCTGGAAGATATGGATAGACATGGATAGAGCTAGAGCTATCCTTAGCAAACTAATGCAGGAACAGAAAACCAAATACTACATGTTCTTACTTATAAGTGGGAGCCAAATGATGAGAACATATAAACACACGGTGGTGAACAACACATACTGGGGGCTATCGGAGTGGGGAGTAGAAGGAGGGAGAGGATCAGGAAGAATAGCTAATGGATGCTGGGCTTAATACCTGGGTGATGGGATGATCTGTGCAGTAGATCAACATGGCAAACGTTTACCTATTGATATAGTTTGGCTCTGTGTCCCCACCGAAATCTCATCTTGAATTGTAATTCATGTGTCCAGGGAGGGACCTGTAATCCCCACATGTCAAGGGAGGGAGGTGATTGGATCACGGGGGCAGTTTCCCCCATGCTGTTCTCCTGATAGTGAGTGAGTTCTCATGAGATCTGATGGTTTTATAAGCGTTTGGAAGTTCCTCCTTTGTTCGTCTCTGTCCTGACACCTTGTGAAGAAGGTGCTTACTTCCCCTTCACCTTCTGCCATGATTGTAAGTTTCCTGAGACCTCCCCAGATATGGGAAACTCTGAGTCAATTAAACCTCTTTCATAAATAAATTACCCAGTCTTGGGTATTTCTTCATATCAGTGTGAGAACAAACTAATACACCTATGTAACAAACCTTCTCATCCTGACCATGTACCCCTGAACTTAAATAAAAATTGGAAATAAAAATTTTAAATAAATTAAAAATAAAATCCTTTAAATATATTTCTATTGAATCATTTATAGAGATAACATATTAAAATATTAGAATTTAATCAGCTAACACCATTATTTATGCTTCTGCAGTTTATGTACAGTTTTATCTATTTATTAAACCTTTGTCACAAGTGCTTATTTTCAAATGTCATAAATCATTCTGCATAAATATCTGTTAATTTATATTTTTATTTTTAATAGAAAAACAGCATGTACAAGTGTGTATGTGTGAATACACAACTATATATATATATAATATAGTTAGAATTAACTATATATAATTAGAATCACAGTAATTCTCATGGAAAGATTTTTCCCACAAATGGCAATGTTTGTGAGAACAGATTTCTCCAAACCGTATTCTCTAAAGTACTAGACATTTCAAGGATTCATACAGGACTACCACACAAATATAAACCCTGACTATGTTGTTGCGACTGACTGTAATTTTATTTACTTTTCCTTCGTCGAGCAATCTGTTTTCTTCTTTTTCTAGAGTAGGAGTTTTTCTGATTATTGATATTTGTCAAGATTAATCTTATAATGTTGTTTTTAAAAATTCTTTTAATTTGAGAGTCCCTTAAAATCCATTGTTTAGAATTTATCTCTAGGTTAGAATTGAGAATATTTTCTAACTTTGATGCTAAAACTGACTTCTAGAAAATTGTTTCTCTTTACATAAAAATTTTTCTTACATTTATTTAACTTTCACATCTTGTGTCTTTAAACATTATTTAGAATAATTAAACATTTTCTTACCAGCACTCCTACAATAGTTTTACTACTCTTTCTTGCCTACAAGTCTATTTCAATGCTACTTTGCCCTGGCTTAAAATGCAAATATGAATTTGAAAGTAAGTGATATTTAAATTTATGCAGTTATTAAATGTTATAATGTTTTTTGTTGGTAATATTTAATAGATTAACATACTTATATATCCATATGTAATTCCAGAAATACCTAATTATTTAGCATAGAATTTTGGCTTCCAAATTTAACATGATATTCTAAGTCCATAAAACTGACTCCCCTTTTCTCTAATTTTCTACATAAATGACCAAACTAATATAATAAATACAATACTATCAGTCTGTGATATTGCTAGAAACAAGGAATTCATCTATATATCAATATTCCCACAAATGTGATATACAATGATGGTAATAAAACCAGAATGAGTTTTGGGGACTACTAGACTTCACTGGGGAGAACTGGGGATTCCTAAACTTTGGTCTACCCCATTGGGGAACTGAATAAAATTTAAAAAAAATCTGCCAGAGCTCCAGGCAATGAAGCATAAAAAGAAAGAGAGAAGAAAGGAAGTGCCCTCTGACAGAGGATCCAGCTTCTGAGGAAATCACATGGAGCAATCGACACTTTACCAGTGTCAGGATGAATGAATGAGGGTAGTAATAACGAAGCAGGCTTCTAAGAAGGCTAGCAATTGGAAGGAAGGGTACTGTCACACTGGTTCTGATATCCTAATGAGCTATGAATGAAAAAGATATGCTTAGGAAATAACTGAAAGAAGACTAAAAAGTAAGTTATAGAGCTTAAATCAGCCTAAAATATTGAACAAAAGTTTTCACTCTGTAAGGGCTAACAAATGTGACCATAGTCAGCAATTTCACAGAAGGGAACTGAACTTATATTCAGAACAGACAACTTGTTTTTGTTTTTTGGGGTGGGGAGAGAAAGGGTGCTAACAGCTATAAAAAAACAGAAACAAAATACATAATAGCTCAGTACACCAAAAGAATGTTTTCTTTTTGTTTTGTTTTTTTGTTTTTTTGTTTTTTTTTTTTTTTTGAGATGGAGTCTCGCTCTGTCGGCCAGGCTGGAGTGCAGTGGCGCAATCCCGGCTCACTGCAAGCTCCGCCTCCCGGGTTCACGCCATTCTCCTGCCTCAGCCTCCCGAGTAGCTGAGACTACAGGCGCCCGCCACCACGCCCGGCTAATTTTGTTTTGTATTGTTTAGTAGAGACGAGGTTTCACCGTGTTAGCCAGGAAGGTCTCGATCTCCTGACCTTCTGATCCACCCGCCTCGGCCTCCCAAAGTGCTGGGATTACAGGCGTGAGCCACCGCGCCTGGCCTTGTTTTTGTTTTTAATTGTGTAACAGTGGATGGTGTATGCCTATGTTTTCAGAACATCTCTCCTGCATTCTCCCATGTCCATTCAAGGAACTAGACTGCCAGAGACCTTTGTATATCCCACACATAGTTTCCAAGTTTGTCTTGGGAGTTTTATTCATTCTAGCCAACTAAGGGGAAAAGAACTTGGGGAAGTTGAAAAGAGTAATTTTAATGGGTCAGAATTTTCACAGGCATGCATCCCTTCCCCTCTTACTCCATTGGTTTAGTCATATTGCCACACTTAACAACAGAAGCTTGGAAATGTAGTCAATCTGTCAACTCAGAGAAAGCAGAAGATTTTAAGCTCAGCTAGCAGGTTACAGCACATTACTTTCGTGAAATTGCAAGAAAACTTGAAAAAAATGTTTAAAACCTCTAACACTTTTGATAAAATGTTATGTATAACAAAAATTCGGAAAAAAATATTAATATTAAATGTTAAGATCAAAAAATAATTTCCAACTTAGAGAAAGACCATCAGAACACAATTAAGGCTGCCAATATTATATAGAACTATTTAGAAAAGAAAAACTTTTGTATTAAAAAAATTATCTTCATGAATTATACCAAAAATCAAAGGAAAATGATAGATAAAAATCATGAAAATAAATTCTTAGTATCTGTAGGTATATTAAAATGAAAATAGTTATTTACAAGCTATACTTTTCTAGTTGATAATAATTCTAACTAATACAAGGAAATAAGGCAAAACATATCTAATTTATGATCTGTGCACACACACACACAAACACACACACTTAATCATCGTAAAGAGATGCTAATTTTATTGTTAAGGTAAAAATGTTTATTCATTATTCTCATAGAATAAGAGGAAAACATTGTACTTAGTTTAATAATACTTGGATAAAAATCTACTTTAGCAGTTATCTGGATATATAATTATCACTAAGGAACTCTGGGTTTGCTTTGTCATCTATAAAATTGTGATTAATGATAACCAACCTTTAGGATCATTGTGATATTTGAATGAAACAGTCAACATGAAAATATTTAGTAAATATCTTCCATTAATAAATATTTGTTGAAGCTAACATATTTCTCAATAAAAACACATTAATTTTTCCATCAATTTGTGAAATTTCTACCTATAAAAGAGAAATTAAAGCTTACTAGAATTAAATTCTATGGCAGTTTGTTAACAAATGTTTAATACAGTTGTTTCACTAGTTTTAATGTGCATCATTAGTTGATAACTGTCAGCAGGAAGTGTTTGAAATTATTTTAGGAGTTACATTTATAAAAATGTGTTTTTGAGATCTCATATCTCAGGCTTTAATAATAAATGACAAATACATTTTTGAAGCTTTGCTTTGAAATAAGTTTGGCATTTGATTATTACAGTAACTATGTTTTCCTTTACCATTTAATCATTAATTTTTTTCCCTCAGATTATTACAACATAGCTGATTTACATGAAAACTCGGGGATATATTTCCTTTATCTAGCTGCAGCTGTGTTACCACCTTAGAATGTTTTCTTATTTCATTAAATTGGAAAATACATCCCCAACCTACTCTGAAAAATTCATAGTAACTATGCTTTTGCATAGTATTCAGGAATGTGAAGTAAATTTGATGTTAAAATTTTATAATTGCCAGTTATAAGGTAGCTGGATATAATGTAAGTATATGGTGTGTGACTTGATGACTAGGTAGAAAAATAATTATTCAAGGTTCTGAATTGATTTCATGATCATTTATTATGCAGAAATAGGAAACTAATAAAAAGTTTTGGTACTTAAAACAGAGTGCTACTGAAAGAAATACATAAAATGCTAGAGTGGCTTTGGAATTGGGTAGTGCACGAAGGCTGGAAGAATTCTGAAGAGTATGGTAGAAATAGCCTGAATTACCTTAAACAGATTTTTAGTAAAAGTATGGATTACTGAAGATGTTGAGGAGGGCTCAAAAAAAGAAAGGAACACGAGAGAGAAATCCTAAACTGCCTTAGAGAAAGCACAAATTGTCACGTGAAGACCATTATCAGAAATTAGGACTTTAAGAATACTGCTGTCCGGGCGCCGTGGACCATTCCTGTAATCCCAGCACTTTGGGAGGCCAAAGTGGGCGTATCACGAGGTCAGGAGATCGAGACCATCCTGGCCAACATAGTGAAACCCCGTCTCTACTAAAAAATGCAAAAAAATTAGCCAGGCATGGTGACGCGCACCTGAGGTCCCAGCTACTTGAGAGGCGGAGGCAGGGGAATTGCTGGAACCCGGGAGGCAGAGACTGCAGTGAGCCAAGATCGCTCCACTGCACTCCAGCCAAGCGACAGAGCCAGACTCTATCTCAAAACAAAACAAAAAAAAAAGGAATACTGCTAGGGAGGGCTCAGAAGTCATGAGGACATCCTATTCCAAACTACAGGAAGGAGTTTGAGAAATGTGGTTAAGAAAGCTTGGCAAAATTGCATCCTACAAATATCAAGAAAGCAGAACTTTTAAGTGCCAAACCTCAATATAAGTAAGAAGTCTTTCAATAAAGTGTTGAATATAATGCCTGGCTTCTTCTTGCTTACAGTAAAATGCAAGGAAAGAGAAATATATTAAGGTAATAGTTATTAGACAAAAGGCAACCAGGTAGAGATTTTGGAAATTTTAGCCTGTTCAGATAGTAACAATACTAAAAGTATGATATCCCAGCTTAAAGTGTGGTATAGAAAAAAGGGAGCATATTTCTGTACAAGTTTTTTCCTGAATTTTTGGACAGATCAACATGTCAGTATGTTTATGCACAATAGAGGAAGGGTGTGCTTCAAAGTTCTTCTTAATCAAATCAGAGGAAGCTTAAGAGCTTCCCACAGCCATCTTGACTAAAGCCAACAATAGAAAAAATATTACAGCAGGAATATGTCTGGAAATGGATTTTGTCTAAGAGGGTGAAACCCAGTGCAATTCATGCATGGCCCATGATTTTCTTGAATTTTTCCCATCAGAAATCCTTCCGTTTGGGACTGAAAAGGACAGAGAGAGCACAGAATGGAAGAATCCTGTTGGACCCCCAAAATTATACTGGCCAGCGTAGGCTGATAAACTAGTTAGTTCGAAGCAGGTGGTAATTTCCATGAAATATGACGGATGACTCAGAGGGTAGAAGCTAGAAATCAGGGGTTAGAACTAAAAGCCTAGTAGTCAGAACCAAGAGTTCAGAGAACGTAACTGAGAACCACAAAGGATTCATCCCAAGCCTGAAACCCAGTTGAAGAACTCTAGCTTGAATTTGCCCAGTTGATATTAAAACTATGAAAGTCTAAGATACTATGATGAAGTCAGTGTAGTCAGAGCAAGAAATATTGGGGCCAGGAGAGTACAAAGGAGAGGAGTTCATGCTTGCATGTATGAGGATCAAAACTGTTTCAAAGACTTTTAAAAATAACCCCGCAATCAATTCTCTCACACCCTTCATGCATCTCATGCTTTAAACAGCTTGCATATTTTGCATATGTACACGTTTCTACGACAAGATTTATCACTAGGCATTGTATAGGCACGTAGCAACTCCAGAAAGAACATTTTCCCAGTAACAGCATCTCCACCAATGAATTACAATGTACTGATGGCATCTTTGACTTTGGGCTTCAAAAACCAATAAACTCTGTTTCCAAGCAGCTTAAATAAACTCCTTTTTTGCCAGAAAAAGTAAGGAAGAAAGAAAGAAGAAAGAAAGAAAGAAAGAAAGAAAGAAAGAAAGAAAGAAAGAAAGAAAGAAAGAAAGAAAGAAAGAAAGAAAAGAAAAGAAAAGAAAAGAAAGAAAAAAGAAAAGAAAAGAAAGAAAGAGAAAAGAAAAGAAAAGAAAGAAACCTTCCCTTTACCCTCCCTGCTTCAGATGCATTTGTGGCTTGCTATATCTGTGCATCCCAGAATACAATACTTTCTGCTTATTCTCTAATAAAATCATTATTTTAAAATACATTTTTCTCTGATATGTTTTGTTAAGTTGACAGATTCTTTGAATCAGAGAATTATTTTTGCCTTCTACATACTCCATTTTTTGAACTGGAATGTCTGTAAGGCTTATGCTATGCACATATCACCACGTTATATTGAGAATGTTAAGGTAAGATAAATTATTCCTTTAGTGTCCTGAATTCACATATGGAGAAGAATTACATTTTGGGAATCTTTACTTAACAGAGTATATTCAAGATTTTCAATGGTACTTGATTTAAAAGATTGGAAAACGACCTCTAAATGTTTAGAGCTGATGAGATTTTGAACTTCGAACTGATATCGTAATAAAATAAAAAAATTGAGAACATTGAGAGGAACATAAACATATTTTGCATATGGAAAATAAATACTCATTAAAAGGAGCATCATAGATTAGCACCAACCTATTTCATGTTTAAAAATTTTATTGAAAACATAATTTTCTATTCTATTGGGATAAAAGCAATTCACATTTTGAATTTTTAAAATAATTATCTTTAATATCCCAATGTTTAGAGCTAATTATGTTCAGTTGTATTCTTTTTTAAACATCTAAATATTAGTAATTGGACTTGAAAGTTAGTTTTGATATTTAGTCCTTCTCAAAATGTATCTCTAACCTAGAATTTTTGTGAATGTCAAATTATTATAATGTGAATGTTTCCTGTATAATTTCTTTAAAGTTAATTTTCAAATACTGGTCTCAAAATTGTTAGTTGTTGCCTAGTTTTTAACACGTCTAATTGTTGTGAAGTCATCTCAACATTCGTCTATGAGAATTGCCATACCTTTTTACAAATGGATTCCATGATATTTCAACCAAATACTAAGAAAAATAAAAAGATAAAGCCCTTCTATCTCAAATCTAACTACTGCCTAATTTCTGTCTTCAAGTAAATGGCAGTGAGAATCACTATGAAGTGTAGTGAAAACCCTCAACTTATGTGTGGTCTGATTCCTGTATTGGTTAAGATATAAGCATAGGGTGCTGAAATGGATTCTCAAATATATGTCTCCTTATCTCTCACATGACAGTCTGGAAATAAATGAGGGTGCTGGGATGGGTAAGTAGTTTTACTCCATTTTTTCTTCCACCTTCTTGCTTCATCATCCTAAGATGTTATACTATTCATAGCCAAAGCTGTTAAAACTTCATCCCTAAATTCCAGCTGGTGGAAATAGAAAAGAAATGAAATGGCTAGCTAACAAGTCGTCTGGCATTTGTACCATTGCTTGCACTCACATTCTACTGCCAAGAGATTAGTCACATGGTTAAAGTTACTTGTAAGGCTAGGTGTGAAATGTAATCTTCACAAAACCACGTGCCTCGATAACCTTCCAAAACTATGAAAAATGGAGAGAATAGATTTGTGGAGGGCAGAGACGGGGATCAACTAACATTCTGTAATAGTCTCCATAACAAAGCAAAGCAATTTCAATATTTCAGTATTTATATTTTCCAACCTCTGAGAAAAACTATCTGGAGTGGCATCACATATGGAATTTGATAGACTATCCAGGCTCTGAGTTGCTAACATCACAAACCGAAGATACACTGACTTCATCTTCGTCACAACAATTTTTATTCTTGATTTTCACGTTATCTTTTGGAAAAAAACATGTGCATACATTTCTAGCAAGGGGGAAACTGTGGTTCAGACTTGTGGTAAAACATTCTTCTCACCGTGCCAGGGCTTAATGATACTGAGAGACCTAAATGACATTTCTAACACTGACATCTCAGTGTAAAAGTGCATGACCCAAATTAGTGAATTAGTATTGGTTTATATTTTCCATAACTGAAGGATTCATTCTAACAGTTCTCAGAGGAAAGAGAGCATGTGATTCTAGGAGATACGCCAGGTTTTACTATAGCATGCACGATTTCTAGCTTCATTATATTTAAGGTCCAGCCTGCAGAGGCACTTTTTGACTCAGATTAACTAAAGAAAAAAAAAAAACAATTTTGATGACATAAAGAATTCCAACCTCTTTCTATAGAGCCAATAAAGTAATAATAAGGTAACTATCCTTTCTGATTGCTATGTTTCAGTCTTTAAATTTTCTGAACAGATTATTGATGAACTGGTAGTATTGAGGTAAATATGCTATTCATTTTTCTCTCTTTCTTCAAACATGAAATTAACAAAACAATCATTGAGATAAGATGTGCTTTAAATATTGTTTTTAAAACAATTTAATATAGATGGAGAATATGCCCAACCCATGTAAAGTTTATTTTTACAAGATCACAATGGTAGTATCACATCTGATGAACTGAAGGAATTATTCTTGGTATAATGGGTATTTAATGTGAAAATAAATTCAGATAATTAGAAAGATTAAAATAATCTAAATTTCAATTATGATATTCTGCATTTTCATTATTGTTACATCTATTTCACTCACTTTTATAGGAAACTACTGCACAAACAGGACAAATAGACACAACATATGATAATGCAATAAGAAATATAGACATAGTCCTGGTGAATGCATATGTATGTATGTGTATAGTAGTATATGTGTGCATTCTTACATATCTTCAAAATAAAACACCATTCAAATGTGAAATTATGTCCTTATGCCTTGTTATCCATTACTGACTCTACTCAAGTAGAATATAATCTATCTTTCATTCAGTCTTTACCCTACTCAGCTTTATATAATTTGAGCCCATTCTTCACCATAAGCCACACTGACATTTTCATGCAAGCCCAATGAAGATTCAAAGTTGCTCCTGGTGTAAAAATTCTGTTTTGATGTGGGCTCAGTTTTGTGTATGTACTGGAACTTACTGAGCTCAAATTGGTATGGTCTTTTTAGCTCATCCTTGCTACATGGCTACCAAACTGTCCTTTACTTATACTGCAAATCTATACCTCAAAGGCCTAATTGACAGTGTTTGGAAGAACGATGAAAACACTATGTTCATGAGGCACTGCTGCAGTGGTTGTCAAACTAGTAGCTGTGTGGTTTTCATATCCTCACCAGGATTAATGGACGCCAATCACCACAAGTAGGCACCTATGAACAGCCAACTCAGGATGTTTCACGAGAAAATTACAGCATGTTGAGCTTCTAATCTAAGAATATATTATTAAAAGGACAATTTCTCTTTGGGGAGCAGAGTTTTCTTAGAGAAGACTCTTGGGTAGAATTTAAATAAGGTCCCCCAAATGTTTCCTCATGGCTAGGAAATAATACAGTGCTTTCAATGAAAATAGAAATTGATGTGCTGTTGAAGCTGCATAAAGTAACTGTTATGTAGAAAGATAAATCTTTAACCTGTAATGGAAAGGCTAGCAAAAATTAGGTAGACTCATTCAAGCCAAGCATTTTGTAATATATTGCTTAAAAGAATGATTAAATGAGTTAATAACTATAAAACATTAACATAATGTTTACTGTGTTCCAGACACTATTTTGTATGTTATATATATACATATATATTTATGTATTATATATATTATATATTACATATATTTTATATATTTATACACACACATACACTTAAGGCTCACATTTCAAAAGATGCTCTTAAAAACATTTTTCAAGTCTATAAAAATACAATAAAAATATAATCATCCATTGTAGAGCTAATGCACACAGGCACAAGTGAAGAATATTCATTGAAGAAACTTTATAGTCAGTTTGCTACATTTTTACATATAAAACCTTATGGAATTATGGCTGTCATACACATCAGTGTTAAAACATTCATTTATAATCAGTTAATATGTGGCCATGAGCAAATTCAAAAATGCTGCTAAGACTTCTAGATAAAATCAATTTCATAAGTTTGTTAAATTATTCTGATTTGAATATGCAACTGATTTTCCAAATAAGCTATTGCTTCATTACATTTAATATCTAGTCTCAGAGCCACTTTTGGATTCAGATTAACTAAAAATAGAACAATGTCGATACTGTAATGCACTTCAGCCTCTTCCTATCGAGCCTAGAGAGCGAAAATGAAGTAGGTTATCTTTTCTGAATGCTTTGCGTCAGTCTTCAAATTTTCTGAAGGAATTCTTGATTAAATGGTAGTATTGGAGTAAATCTTTTTCAAAGAAAAACATATGATATTCAGTTATTAGTATAGTTTTAAATTCAGTAGACATTTTTGTTAACTCAAATGAAGGCTTTGTAAGAATGTACACAGATTATACTTTATGTACATGTTTTTTCAAAAAATTGGATTGTTTGAGTTACACCATAGAAGTGAATAACAGCATCAACAACTCTATTAACAGTCACCAAAGAAAAAGGGGCAATTTTTCAAACAAACAAAAAACAATACACACATACACTCCTTAACATATTTAACATCTATGAGGAAACATAAAGAGGTCATGTGTAAACTCATTATTCAATGACATGCCTTAGAATATAAAAACACTAGAATATCATAACCATAGTGAATGTAATGTGAAATGCAAGTAAAAAGACTAGTTTTAAAGAGTCAGTAAAATGAAATGTCATATTGAGCTTATTAGCTTATTAGATAAGTGCTATTGTTTTATGGCAACTTTCACTTGTTATCACTTCTTTTGGAAAGGCTAATTATATGCGAGTTTGATAAGTGAGATTGCTTTATAAACTTAGGGAGGCAAGTTTTTTTTTTCTAAAAGAACCTTTTGTATTTACAAAAAGGTATTTATTGGTATTATTTATAAATCCAATATTTTATGGAAGAAAAGTTAAGTTTTCTGCAAGTCCTACTCAACCCCACCCTCACCCTTCTATAAATACACAAAATAAAATATGTAATGGCTTGGGGACACCAATCTTTTTTTTCTCTAGGCTTACATATGCATATATATATATATACACACACACACACATATATATATGCATACCTATATGCATGTGTACACATTTACATATATATGTGTATATGCATACTTACATATATATTCATATTATACAGTAGCTACACCTAAACATTGTACCGCTGAATTATGCCACATAATGTGGATGGAGTATAACCTATTTAATAATTTGCTATTGACAGAATTTCTTGTTTTTACCATTTATTTTAAAATACTGTTATTCAAGAACTGCATTTCCTTTCAGGATACCAGTATATTGCTACAAATACTGACTTGGTGCAGCTCAATCAACACCTGAGAATAGCTTGTCCAATAGACTTTTTGTACCAGTTCCCTGGTCCTTGCTGTTGGTGGCTTCTCACCCTTGACCTTCAAATCCGTATATTACATTTCTCTTCCCATTTGTTATGAATTGTCTCTCCAATCTTACTCTATTCTTACCCAATATTAGTTTCACCGGATTTCCCCCCTCAAAGTAAATTTAGTTTCATGTATATCTTTACATCTTTGTTTCTGATTCATGGTGAATTCAGGTGAAGGAAAAACAGCCCTTGATCTAAAAATGAGAGAGAAGAGTGGGAAATAAACAAAGTACAGCCACAGTATAACCAAGTACAACCATCTCTATAGTGCTGATCTCAATGTAACACATAGGTACATTCACTTACCAAACGTGTCTTGATCCCCCCACCAGGTGCCAGGTAGTGTCCTCAGGGGTTGGGATGCACTGGTGAACAAAAGAAAAGTCCCTGCCTTCTTGGAGTTTCCATTGTATGGTAGAGAGACAGAAAATGATCAGATACTAAACAACCAAATGAATTACATTCACAGAGGAGAAAACGAGACAAGAGTTGCAAGTATGCCAAAAACCATTTAATTTTAAACAATGTTAGGGCAAATCTCAGTGAAAAGCAAATTTAAGCAAAAACTGAAAAATGGTGCACAAGTCACCCAGGTTTTTACATGGTAAAAGAGCATTCTGGACAAAAACCTTAAGAAACGAACATACTTGGATTTTAAAGGAACACCAAACCGACTAGCATGGCTGGAGGAGTGAGGAAGAGGGAGATGAATGGGAGGGGGTTAGAGAGATAATAGAGTTCCTAATCACATAGAACCTGGTAGAATATTGAAATCAGGATTTTTATCTCAGTGAAATGGAAGGCGTTGAAGGGATTAGGACAAAAGAGTCCTTTAAAGAAATCACTAGTTCGAGAATACATGGTGACAAGAAAGAACTGGGGAGACCATTTATATGATTATCTCTAATCTAATGCAAGATGATAGTGACTCAAATCGTGTTTGCAGCCATGAAGGTAGTGAGAAGGGGTTGAATTCTGAATATACTTCTCCAAATTCACATAAATTGATTTCAGAACATACGCAAATGTAAAAACATAGAAATACAATTATAGTTTCTAATATCTAATATCATTTACTTAGAAATTTAATAACAAATCAAATAATGATCTCAAGGTGTTAGAGTACACACACACACACACACAATTTTTTTTCTGACTTTATGCATTTTTTAACCAGTCTGTGAGTTAAAAAATAAAGCAGTATTTACCCCAAATTTATTATTAGAATGTATTCTTATTCTCTCTAGATACAATATAAAGAAAACCCCCATGCCTGTAGACATTAGAAATTTTAAACACATTTAATTTATGCCCTACCAAAATACATTTAATGAATTTAAAGACATATTAAATATTTCTTTTGCTTGATAATTAAAACATTTTAAAATCATCATTCTCCCAACTGACACAACTGTTAAAAAGTAAAAACTGAGTACATCAATGGTTGGGTAGACAGACAGACAAATAGCAAATGTAAAAAAACAAACAAGCAAAAAAACTCCAACAGATATAGTACAAGAAGGTGATAGTAGAATTCTATCAGAACTGATCATTAGCATTAGACGAATTAGAAGAATTTAGTCCAGAACTAAATAGCCTCTGGATACATGTTTACAGCTTCTTGGCCAGACAGCTGGTGTCCTGAGATGCTACTTCACTGCTCTTTTCTAGCTGGAAGTTGCATCCCATCATCCCAGGGCAGTAATTAGTGCTAAGGCTGTGTGTAAGTGACAAATTTGGGAATGTTTTAACAAATTAGCATTTAACCTTCTTTTTTCTAAAAAAAAAAAAAAAATCCTAAGCAGCTAAATGATTTTCTTACGATTCTGTAGCAGAAATTTATAAAGAATTTAATGTGGTACATGCTTTAGTGAAATCAGAAGTACTGAGTTAAACTGGAATTCAGTTTACAAATAGAAGCTACAGAAATGTTTTTTCTTTCTCTAAAATAAATGCCTTATGTGAGACAGCTCTACACCTTATGGTGATTTTTTTAGATCAATGTGGATATTAGAAAAAAAAATTGTAAGGGAAATGCATATGAAGTTATTGGCCTTAAACTCTATTAAATTTTCTCTAGTGGAAAGAAGATAGGTAACAGATGGTAGGAAAGGTGGTGAATAGACCCCATGCAGCAAATGAAAATGGAAAATTAAGAAAAGAAAACAAGCTCAGTGGAAAGAAAAATAAAGAGGGATGGGAGAGTTATTTTACTTCAGCCACATAACATTTTTGTCTCATTCTACTCCCAAGAGAAATAATTGCTCTTCTTTTGGATTTAATACTATCGCAGAGATGATAAGTAGAAAATACAGAGAAAAGCCACAGTATTGTTCAAGACAGTTTTCCTTATAAACTCCCAGAAGTATGCTTTATTTATCAAATGTCACACCTTGTCTTGACAAGGTACAGATAATAACCATAGTTTGTTCTGTTTCAAGGTACAGTGTGCATACTAATTACAGGGATGTGTTACACTTTACAAAGCTAGGTTTATACGAAACAACAAAAATAAACATGCAAGAATGGAAACGTACTACTGTCTATTAAAGTGCCTGTTAGGCTGAGTCAAATTAACTTTCAACTTCTCCCTGTACATTTTTTAGCCGCAATAATGTGTTTTCTTCTTTATATATACAAAATGCAAATTTAAATCCAAGAGATTTTTCATCATTTTTTGACTGATACTTATTTCCAATTTTTATATTTTTATATTCGAAGATTTTCATGTTGGCTGTTGTCATTCCAAAACATGCCAGTTTCTTCATGGCAATTTCAGAAAACTTGCCCATCCCTTTGTTTCTTCATCTCTCTAGATCCTTAAGAGTATCCAAAACTATTAATTTTGTAATTATAGCTGTCTTATACTTGGCAAATTCACCTATTCATCTCAGGTGACAATCCCCATATTCTGACCAATTTTTTTCTTTGCTAGTTTATACCTTGTACATTTTATACCTTGTACATCATTACATTCTAATACAGAATGTAGATACTCCTCCCTTCCGAAATTCCAATTATATGATAAGGAGTAATTTGTATTAAAGATATATCTCTATAACAAACTATAGGAAGCAAGAGAAATGTGATTTTGATAGGGAGCTTTAAAACAAAAAATGACTACACTACCAGTTGTTTTACAAAACTCTAAGGTTCAAGTTCAACTTTAAATGTATTTAAATATCTATTAATTTAAATGTGTATTTAGGGCATAACAATTATTTTAACATTTTTACTCAAGTATTATGCTGCCAGATCTTGAGCTCAAACAACTTTAAAAAATGCCTTTTATGGGCCGGGCCCAGTGGCTCACGCCTGTAATCTCAGCACTTTGGGAGGCCGAGGCGGGTGGATCACGAGGTCAGGAGATGGAGACTATCCTGGCCAACACGGTGAAACCCCATCTCTACTAAAAATACACAAAATTAGCTGGGCGTGGTGGTGGGCGCCCGCAGTCCCAGCTACTCGGGAGGCTGAGGCAGGAGAATGGCGTGAACCCGGGAGGCGGAGCTTGCAGTGAGCGGAGATCGAGCCACTGCACTCCAGCCTGGGCGATAGAGCGAGACTCCGCCTCCAAAAAAAAAATGCCTTCTATGTATTAATAAGAACTAAATAATCTGTATCTATTAAAATATTATAGTGCTTTCAGTCATTTGTTCTCTCTTCACACACACACAGACACAGGCACACACACTAATAATACTTATAACTTTAGGTTATAGAAACTTTCTGGTAACTGGTAGTTGCTACTGAGATTCAAGGTACTAAATAGAGTCTTCATATATTGCAACTATTGAATTTAAGCATTACATAATCAAAATGACTCTTGGGATTTCCTGTCCTAAGTAGGTTACAGTCATTTAGTGCACTAGGTAGGTACTTGGGGAGATATAAATATAATCAAACTGCAATCAAATTCTCACAAATTGAATTATTAATGTAGATAATATATGTATACACACTCAGAATAAACTAGAACAGAAGTTTAGCTCCAAAGCATAAATATGGTTTTAGGGACATTCAAGAGAAATTACCTATGTGTTCCTGCATCTAAAATGCTGTAATGAAGAAATATGAACTTGAATTTGAAGGATATACAGAATTAAAAATTCTGCAGTAATTCTTAAGGACTTGGGTCAAATGATATGTCACAAATGTTTCTTTGGTTTCTCCAGGATAGAGATAATGTCTAACTTTTTGTGCCTCAAATAGCACATATAGGTAAACCCATTATAATGTTTTCTATAGAATTTTAACTGTTTGTTTTACTTTGGTCTCCAATTTCTATTAGCTCCATGAGAGCAAATATTATGTTGTTTTCATCTTTTCCTTTTCATGTTTTTATAGCATTGAATTACTTTATTCTTACTTCTGCTAAATTTATTCCATATCCACTGGTTTTGTTTTGGTTTCTATTACATATTAAGTAAAGTTTAAACTTTTGGCCTGATATTTAACACATTTATTTTTTCTAGAGATAGGGTCTCACTCTGTTGCCTAGGCTGGAGTACAGTGGTGCAGTCATAGCTCCCTGAAGCCTCAAGCTCCTGGGCTCAAGTAATCCTCTGGCCTCAGCCTCCCTTGTAGCTAAGACTACTTATTTTTTTTCTTTTTTTATTTTCTTGTCTTTCTTTCTTGTCTTTTCTTTCTTCCTTTCCTTTTCCTTTTCCTTTTTTCCTTCCTCTCCTCTCCTCTTCTCTCTCTCTCTCTTTCTTTCTTTTCTTTCTTTTTTTTTTAAATAGATGGGGTCTCACTATGTTGCCAAAGCTGGCCTCAAGCAATCCTCCCAACTCAGACTCTCAAAACTCTGATTTATGCTTTTTAAAAATTATGTTGATTAACTTCTATTCATGTGCTTTAGGGGTGCTGAAACTTGTGCACATACTAAGTAAATTTTCAATTATCTTTTGAGCATTTATGTGCCAAAACACTAAAATTTTTCATGTATTATAAATAAACTATATGGCTAAAATCACAATGCTATAAAAATATGAGAAACTTCATGCATTCACTCCATTATTAATATCTAAATTATGTGATCATTTGCAAAATACACTTTTCTTGATTGAGTAACCATTTAACACTTATTGAGAATTCATTGTTATCAGTGATAAAAATTGGGAAACTTTGGTAAGCAGTTTGCAGCATATCACTGGTCCTCTCTCTTCTAGTCTTGATTTGTATTTTATTTGACAATCTCCAACTTCAGAAAGTTCATGTATTTTTTTCTCTATCTTACATTATGTTGAGCAAGAATTTCATTAAGTGTAGTCTGTATCATTTAATTTGCTGTATGAAATATGGAAGTAGATATTCAGTGTTCTGTGGTTTCTAATAGATCTCAGCATTACAAAATTGTGAATATTTGAATAAAATATTGCAAATTTAACCGCTTTTGACTCTTCAATTTGCTTCCAAAGATGACTAGCTGACTAGCCTCCCATGAATTTTACAAAGCCTAAAACAGTGTCATTTGACAGCATATTTGAAAATAGCACTATCTTTTTCTTCAGTCATAGACATATAGATGGCATCCACACGGTTATATTCAGTTATAGATGCATACGCATATATGTACATTTAAAACCAAGATACATGTCCAAAGGTCAGATAAATCTGAAAGTTGTATTGACAAGAAAGCGTCTTCTTTTTCAGCCAGTTTGGCTGAATTTTTTGTCTTTGTAACTAGATGATAGTGATCATAATTAAACCTCTTTTATAACACAGGACCATGAGTGCGTGTGCATTTAATGTTACTTTTTAGGATACTAATTTTGGACATTGTGTTTGGCCATGTATTGTACATATCTGCATGAGAAAAGGATATATTTTTGGCTAAATTTATACTTGTCTCAAGCATGCTCTGGAGGCATTACTTTATTTTTACCTCAAGAAAATCAATGACATTAATTTGTTTGCTTCTTATTTTTCTTTCATATTATAATATTATTGAAAGGCAAAAATAAAATATTATTTATAAGGCAGGAATCCTAATTATGTTCTGAGTACAAGGTATCTATTAAACTAAGGCCCTAGGAACAAAAGCATGGGGCAAAATTTCTGTAATGCAATTGATGATAATAATTGTTGAATGACTATCCTTCAAGAATAACATCTAATCATTTTGACAAGGCTGTCATAAGAAAGAATAATACAATATTACAAAACAAAGATGTTTCTTGAAAGAAGAATATCCAGGCAAATTTTAAACTATTCATGAAAAATAAATTGCAATTGTTCATTCAAGTGAACATCAAATTCTTTTCAAATCATTTTTTTGCTTTCAAGTTTAAACTTTAGTAAACTTTACTATTACTGCCTTTTTAAGATGAATTACCAACAAAATTTCAAGGGAAAAAATGATAATCCCAAGCTTTTACTCAGAAAACTTTCTGAAATATTTTATTTTGGCAATCTACAAAAGCAAAATAAAGTATGCTATTTTATTAAATGTGAACAGAAAGTTGTGTACATTAACATGATGGCATTTTCACAAATTGCTAACATTTTTTAGCAATCCTCAGCAATATACTAGATGAGCTCAAAATAATACCATCAAGCCAGTGCTGAAAAAAGTTAAACATTTTTCATGATTGTTACTGCTGTTCCATTAGGCATTCTGAGTCAATCCTTTTGTACCCAGTTATTTGCTGTTTTAATAGTTTGATGGTATTTGAAACAAAGTACAAACATGCAGCAGCAAAGCATTAAAAATATACAGACATTTTTCATTTAAAAAGAAGTTATGTTAGATCTGTATAATACATTTTTTATATATTTTATATAAGAATTCTATAACTTAAAAAAGTCTGAATACACATTTGTTTTGATATGTCTTAAGTCATGCTTTTTCCTTTTTATTTTTCTTTACCCATAAGCATCTTTTGAATTTCCTAAGGCAATAGGATCAAATAACGATTTATTCATACATTTGTCATAGTTCAAACTAAGAAAAAACATTCTTGGTTCCCCTATTATAATCTTGAAATGAGTTCATATGAATCCCCTTAGGAGTCATAAGAATTCATTCAAGTTATTTTTACATTGGCAATACATTATGTAAAATATCCAAAAATTACTGAAATTAATGGTGTGTATTCGTGGTGTTTTCTTGACAATATTGAAATGCCAACAAGCCATTATAAAAATTAAAAACATAAAAAGCAAAAGTTTAAGTCCTTTTAATATATTGTTTGAGTAAGATTTATTTTAACATTAATGGAATCTTCTATGTTATAGAACAAGTTGAGCAACCGCAATATTTTTAAATTATTTCCATGATTGGCAGAAATACTAGTATATTCTCTTTCTAATTTTTTTTCCCAAACCATATCACTTTTGGACATAACATTTGGTATCACCTTCAGAATTTCAAGTAGATATATCTTGTGATTTCACAATTATGAGATTGATAGTGAATTTATGAATGATTTAAAGAAAAATTCAATTGCATATGTCTAGGTTTTAAATATGTAGTAATATGTCTTAGAATTGTTACTAAAGATTTCTGTGTTCCTTTAACGATGGAGGGCTTAAGAATATAAACTGGAACCAAAAGAGTTTCCATATCCACATGAAGAAAAATCGTAAGAAGTAAGTGCTGTGCTATCCGCTTTTTGTCTCTCCAAATGCACTCTCCATTCGTCTCTGCTTTGTGCCCTGGGACACTGACCTGCACCAAAAGTCTCATTTGCTCCCTGATGTGTTTGGCCATTGGAGAGCAGCAGCAAGAGATCAGAAGTTAGGAGAAGAGTGAGATTGGGATATTTATTTCTTTGTTCTTATATGAGTGAAAACACGGCCTTCTTTTTGATCCCAAAGAATAAGAAATAGGATTTAATAAATACTTTGAGTGACAAATGACCAGTGAAACTTCTCAACTAAATACAGCAACTCAAGAGAAAGACAAGATTCAGGGAATGATCCTACCTTCTCTTTTTCTGGAGAGCCTAAAAACAGTCACCAGTGAATTGAGAGAATTGGGTTGAGAAAGTCTGTTAAACTAGCATTGAGAGTAACAACTAGGAAAGAATTTTGAATTTATTGGCACATGAAATTGATTGAAAGCAGAAAGAACTCTACTGAAATATTGAGAGAATTCCATTGCTGAGAAATCACCAGCTTGTACTAAAAATGCTTTGAGTAAATAAGACATAAAACAAACTTCTGTTTCTTCCTTACATATTCAGGAAGGGAGCTGTAAATGTTAACTGAATCCGACAAGTGCATATTCCAAAATGTCTATTTTAGACATGACCATAAAGAGTAAATGAAAAACCTCCCAGAATGCAGAGTCAATAATCTTGGACAAAGTATTCTCCTATCCCCAAGAGCAGATGAATGAATTAATAAAGGAACTTTACCTCCTCTCTCAGGCAAGAATGTTGCAATGCCTGCCTTGTAATATTTGGAATTTTAAAAAATTTTATTAATGTTATTTTATTTGAGTTCTATAATTGTATATTTGGAGCTAGGGAGACACCTCTCACTCTTGCTCACATTCTCCAAGAATAGCTATATCTGGGTCTGATAAAAAGATTACATATCAACTAGACATATTCCTGTATTTCAAACTGAATTCAACGTTGGAATGGGACTCGGGTTTGATTCCCTTGAAAAAACTGATGGTGCTTTAAGGGACAAAGAATGAAATGAGCTGCATAACTGATCAGTAGAGGGACAGAATGAGGCAGAAATATTATTATTAATTATAAAGCCATTTAAATTTTCTTTCTGGATGTATGAAAAACTATACTACTTACCACCCTTTCTTTTAGACAAGACCATAAATCTGGTTCTGGTCAATATAATGGGGGGAAAGGTGGTGTTCAACACATCCATACTGTATTATAGTTCTCTAGAGAAACAGAACCAATAGAAAACACACACACAAATACACACACTCACTGCCATATATATATATATATATATTAATATCATTAATATATAATTATATATAAAATATATATATGGCAGTGGTATATATATATATACTCACACACACATATACACATATATAGTATTTTACTATTTAAATATTAATATTTATTGTAAGCTAGTCCCTTATAATATCTATATACATAGGGAGAAATTGATTATAAAGAAGGAAACTGCTCATAAGATTATGGAGGCTGACACATCCCACGATTTTCTGGGTGATTCAACAAGTTAGAGACTTAGGAGAACTGATGGTTCAAAAGCCAGCTCAAAAACCAGCAGACTTTACACACAGGAAAAGCCACCATTTCTGTTCTGTTTAAAAGCAGGAAACTAGCTGATGTCTCAGTTTGAAGAGTCAGCCATTTTATTCTACTCAGGCCTTCAACTGAGTGAATGAAGCCTACCTATATTGCAGAGAGTAACTTGCTTTACTCAGCCTACAGATTTAAATGTTTTTCTCATCCAAAAACATGTTTACAGAAACACTATGACAATGTCTGGCAAAATGTCTGGGCAGTACATGACCCAGTCAAGTTAAAATATAAAAGTAACTTTTACATATAATTAAATATGAAATGCTCTTGAATAGCCTGACATCTCTCTGCTTCCCTTCCTTTCCTTTGATATGGTGAAGCTAGATGATGAAATGGGTTCTGGTATTTGAGCCGTTACTTGAAAAGTCTTTGCTATGGTCTGCATGTTTACATCCTCCCCAAAAACTAGTATGATGAAATCCTCACCCGCTAGATGATAGTATTAGGAGGTGGGATCTTCAGCAGGTAAGCAGATCATATGGGCAGGGCCATCATGAATATGTTTGAGCCTTTATAAAAGAAACTTGAGGGAGCTCATTTAATCCTTTCACCATGTGAGGAGACAGAAAAGGCGCCCTCTATGAGCCAGACGGCAAACCCTCACCAGAAACCTAATCTTCCTTGATCTTAGACTTCCCAGTATCTACAACTCAGAAGTAAATTTCAGTTTTTTATCAGCTACTTAGTATATGGTATTTTTGTCAAAGCAGGTCAAACAAGCTAAGACAGCCTCTTGACCTACCAAAGACAGAGAGTATGAACAGGTATTAAATGTTTGCCTATGGACTAAACCAGACTATTTAACTCCAAAATAGAACTGAACTAAAGAAGCAAAGTCAAGGTCTCTCTGACCTTTCTCTCCTCCTAACTAAATTATCTGTCTTTCCCAAAGCACAGAATGAAGATTTATGAAGGGACCAGTCCTGCTGAGGAGGAATACAATGGTCTTTGAAATTTATTAACCAGAGAAGATTAAAACTCATATCACAGGAAGAAAGACTGAAGTCTTTCCACACACCAGGAGAGATATTTTTCACAAACCATCGTCTGTTCTGTGGGCCCAGCAGACTTTGTCCCAGGGCACTGTGTGCTCTCCAAGCCGACTGAATTCCCCTAAAAATCTTTTATTACTCCTCTAAAGTACTTCCTTATTTCCTTTTCACCTTTTGAAACTTGATTTTTAGGGACTGCCCAGAGGGCAAAGGGGAAGTTTTCCTTTGGCCTCTCCACCTATTAAGTCACTGAAATATTGTTGTTTGATATTGCAGCATGCATTATTATTAATTAAAACAACTAAAACTGCAATAGGATATTAGAACATTTCCAATTCAGTATGAGCTTTAACAATCTTCTACAATAATAGGGAGTTATAAAAGTGAACCTTTCACTAAAAACACCAGGAGAGAACCCTTGATGTTTTCACTGGATTCAAAAACAGTCAAGATAAGAATACTGAGCTCTAAATCCTGACTCAGGGTGTACAATTCCAGTAAATTACAGTCATATTGGATTCAAAGCACTTCTGTTTGACCAGATCTGAACCACAAATGCTGGGTGAATCAAGCTGGATAAGGTTTAGTAGATAAAATATAATAAATGATAAAAGAATATGTACAAATATGAGGAAATATGAATTTAAAAAAACAGAAATTGACAGAATTTTTTTTAAATTCTAAGGAAATACATCAGAAATACAGAAGGAATATTTAAGATTTAAATAGTACACTGTATTTTATAAGAAAAACATCATAATGCTTTAAGCTTTCACTACTGCAATACAAATATCGGAAATCTAGTGGCTGATATAGTCAAGATTCACGAAGAAATGATGCAACAAATGACAATAAAATTCATCAAGCTGCAGTAAATTTATAAGTAAAGTTTTTTCAAAGCCACAATTAAAATTTATCCAGTTTTTTAATCCTTCAAGTGAAGAATGATCTGAATGCCAAGACTAATTGAGGAACACATATTGATCTTAAAAAATTGTTTTTAAGTGACAAGTACTCATTGATAATATTCATGATTAAACCAGGCTTCAAATAGAGAAATGAAGATTTTTTGATGAATCTATCACTTTGTGATGGATGTTGCATAAATGTATCCTTAAAAATACAAATGCATATAATATATGATACAGTAAATATATATACAAAATATATATATTGAGTATGGGCTAATGTTTTTAAGAGTTTATTTTTTTTTAGAGCAGTTTTAGGTTCACAGCAAAATTCAGAGAAAGGAACAAAGATTTCCATATACTCCCGCCCTCACTCATGGACAGCTTCCCCCATTACGAACATCCTCTATCAGAGTGGTACATGTGTTACAACTGATGAACCTACAGTAACGCATTATAACCACCTAAAGTTCATGGATACATTAGGTTCACTCTCCGTATTGCACATTTTATACGGTTTGGGGCAAGTGTATAATTATGTGTGTCTATCATTAGGGTATTTTACAAAATATTCTCATTGTGCTTCACTTCTTCATTCCATCCCCTGAACCCCTGGCAACCATTGATCTTTTTTGACTGTCTTCAGAGCTTTGCCTTATCCAGCATGTCATGTAGTTGGAATCATACAGTATATAGCATTTTTAGATTGGCTTCTTTCACCTAGGAATATGCATTTGAGTTTCCACCATGTCTTCTTATGACTTGATAGCTTATTTCATTTTAGTGCCAAATAATATTTCATTGTCTGGATGTGCCACAGTTTATTTATTCATTCACTTACAAAAGGACATCTTGGTTATATTCAAGTTTTGGCAATTATAAATAAAGTTGCTATAAATATCCAGCATGTAGATTTGTGTGTAGACATAAACTTTCAACTTATTTTGCAAATACTAAAGAGTGAGATTGCTGGATCATATGGAAAGAGTATGCTTAGCTTTGTAAGACACCACCAAACTATCTTCTAAAGTGTCTGTACCATTGTTCATTTCCAGAAGCAATAAATAAAAATCGATGTTCCACATCCTCACTAACATTTTGTCTTGCCAGTGTTGTGGATTTTAGTCATTAGAAACCACCAAGCTGTCTTCAAAATGGCTGCATTTTGCGTTAAATTTTGTGAAAAGTATTAAATCTGCGTCTACATTCATGTTTTACATGCTGATGTTCAATTGTTCCAGCACTATTTGTTTCAAGATTATCATTGGTCTATTAGGCTGCATTTGCCCCTTTGCCAAAGATAAGTTGACTAGATTTATATGTTTATTCTGAGGACTGTCTAAATAGTTCATTGCTCTGACTATCCCTTCACCAATACCACACAGTATTAATTTCTGTAGTTCCATAATTAACCTTGAATTTGGGTAGCGTCAATCTTCCCACTTTGTTCTAATTCAACATTGCATTGTCAATTTTGGGTTTTTGCCTTTTTATATAAACTTTAGAATGAATTTGCTTGTATCCACAAAATTACTTTCTGAGATCTTGTTTAAGATTGCATTGAATCTCTAGATCAAGTTGGGAAGAACTGACATCTTGACAATATTGAGTCTTTCTATCCATTAACACAGACTATTGATTTAGTTCTTCTTTAATTTCCTTCATCAGAGTTTTGCAGTTTTTCTCACATAAATCATGTACATATGTTGTTAGATTTATATCTAAGCATTTCATGTTTTGTGGTGGTATTGTAGTAAAAGTTGTGTTTTTAAATCTAAATTTCAATTATGCATTGCAGTTTACTTTAATCAGAAATACAGAATAAATGTTTATATCTGGATATGAAAATATAAGATACATATGATTAAACATATTTCCAACCAATAATTCCTTTTTTGTAGTTTTAAGCTCAAAAAACAAACCGGATAATAAGAATGTGATACCTAATAAGGAATTTACATGAAGTTTGGCTCTAAATTTATGGGTTTAGAATTTCTTTGAATGTTAAATTCCAGTTTCTAGACAGTTTGCAGGGGAATTATGAAGAAGGTAGAGCAAAGGATAAATCTGTATTTTCTTTGTTTGACTAAATTTAGAATGCCAGTGCTTTTTTCAACCTAGAAAAACTACTTATTCCAATTTTTTAATTAAATGCCTTTTAAAATTCAAATACTATATTTAGAAATATATAATGAGAATTTTAAAACATGATCAGTGTATCATAATTTTTAAAAATATGTTTTACTCATATGTTAGAAAATCAGAACAATAATTGTCAATAATTAAGTGTATGGATTCTGATATTACATGAAATTGAACAGTAGTAGGCAAAATTTGTTTATTCTTCCAGAAAGCATGATTACAAAGGGGTACTTACAGTAGTAAGTCATCGTATTTAGTGTTAAGATAAATCAAATGGAATCTTAAAATGTTAGAGAATGGCCTATTTAAAATGTTCTTTTCTCCTTTCTCAGGTTTGAACCAACTTTTCTGCCTTCTAGTAAATAAAAATTGCCACAAGAAAAACCTCAACCCTCTAGAAATTTAGAAATGTGAGATGTAGAATGCCAGAACTCTCATATGAAAATCAAATTGAAACAATTGACCTAATCTAGAATAACTAACAAGATTCATCAATAAATATTTAAATAGCCACAAAGACTGAGAAAGTATAAGCGATTCTAGAAGAAATTTGACTTCACATATTTAATAGCATAAACTCTATAAACTAAATAAACCACTAGAATATTTTGAAATTCAGTAATTGTATAGTATTATTAATAATGTATTGTTATTTTGCAACAATTTACTTGTAAAATCTGCTAGTGCAAAAAAGTAATTATATTTTAAGAATTCAGAATTTCAGTGTAAGAAAAAAATTCAATAAAACAACTTTCCTACTACAATCACAGTGAAAATCACAAAAAGTAATATGAATTCATCTATAAATTCACATTTAAATAAAATTTTAGAAAGTATAAAGATATACTTTCTGTATATGTGTCACTGAAATGGAAAGTATACTAATATTTTTATCACAAGCTACCTTAGATCTCAGATTTATATCTCTAATACAAGTTCTATTAAAAGAAACTGGTTCTCCTTGAAAAAATGGCTGATTTTATGTCTGGAGTTGAGACAAATTGATTTTTGAACATTTTGTTGTATCAGAAAGAAAGCAGCTTCCAAGACTTAATGGAACTGCATCAAAAGGACAAAGAAGCCAATCTAAAGTGGGCTGTCACTGGATAAGCTGAGAGACATGAGCATGAAAAGGGGAGTATTGGCTGAGATCAATGATATACAGTAATTCTAAAAAGTCATGAGTCTATAATGATATAAAAAGGAAAAGTTAACATATAGTCATTGTGAATACAACAGAATGTTTCTGTTGAGTTTTGTTATTCAATCTTCTTGATATTATTTACCCATTTATTTTATCAACTTTGAAAACAATAAATTAAACATACCATTTAGTAGGAATTTTCTCTTCTCAAAGACATATAAAATATCCAAATTTAATTACACATAATTTTATGTAACTTTGAACATCAATAAATGCGCAATTCTTTTGGTTGCAATGTTTTGAAAACTGCATGTCTTAGGACATCCTCAAACACAAAGATGTGGAAAATACATTACATATTTTAGAACTTATCAACTTAAATGGTAATTGCAGACTTCTAGTCCTCCACAGAAGAGTCAGGTGAAGTATGTAACTCAAAATGAGAAAATTTGGCTAAGTAATTCCTCCTTGAACTGACAAACACTTTGACATCAAATTGCCACAAAAATAGGTGACCTGAGACCCTTCCAATTCTTCTGATTTTATAGTCTGCAATTTATAGGACTGTGGTGTACAGGTTACAGGAAATTAGCATGAGAGGGCTGATGAAGATTTCAAAACCTGGAGAATATTTTGCCGACACTGTCAAATATTCACCTCTATTCTAAGTTTCCTTGTTAGCTTAACAGTGGCTTCTGGGTCCATACTGAACTTGATATCCCCTAGGCTCTATCTATTTGGAAGACTGGATCTATGGAAAGGGATTATAGAGAAAGCATTGCTTATTACCTAGTGCCTTGTGGAAATTTCTGAACAACCTTCATGCACATACATGCATCTTACTACAAATTGTTCTACAATCCATCAGACATCCATAGAAAAACGATAACCACATCAAAATAAGATGGGTCTGAATTGTCCACAAATCATACATACCACTTATAATCAAAAGTTGGGAAGAAAACCCCCAAATTTTCATCACTCCATAACTTTTACTTAGAAATTTCAAAATGGTTTAGCTTGTAGTGACTATTCCTGGTTGAGTAAACACCACAGTGAAGTCATAAAAAATAATGAGAGTACCCAAGACACAACTGAAGGTCATCTGGCATGAGTTAGAAAACTACTGACCTAACATTGGCAATAGGATCCATAAAGTTTTATTTTGTTTTTATTTGTAGTTTACTGCTCCTTACCTGGCTCTCATCACGTTCATTTCTTTCAAGTGTCTCTTAACAATGATGGCAAAAAAAGTTTTTTAAAAGGGAATATTTGGAAAGGTATACGTTCAGCCTCATAAATATATAGGTATGAAAGTTTAGATTTGTACAGCCACAGAAAGAGTGCTATGATGAAAGCAGCTAGCATAATCCACATAACTTCACATAATACATTCTAAAATTTAAATAATTAACGAGCAAAAAAATTTAATTTACTGCCTCAATGTCATAGTCTCATTTGTTCTTCAAAATGAATATTGTGCCTCTCCTTTATTTAAAATGTTTATGTGCTTCTCCTTTCATACATACACCTTATTTTGTTACTAACTCTTCTGGTTTTAAAGTATGTAGTGGATTTGTTTTCTAAACATATATTATTGCTTTTCTGAAGTTTGTTTTAATATAAGAACAATTACTGGATTGGTAGGATATCTTGAACTGTATACATGTATAAATAGAGCACTAGATGTGTTCAGAACTCAAGCTTGGAATTGTTGCCATGTTTTCTTTCTGCACGCAGACTTTTTAAAAATCAGCAAAATCTATATTTCAACAAACTAAAAAAATAAGATATAGTGTTGTGGTCTGTGTGGGACTTCAGCCTGAAACTTAAGCTTATATTTAGAGACAGCTTGAGGACACTCAAAGAGCCAAGTAACAAAGGTTCCAAGAAAGACCACCTTTGAGCTAGTGACTGAATCTGCAACATCCACATTTCTTGGTGAGACAGAAATGCCTAGTCACCAATATAAGGTCAGGTATTAGATTGAGATATATTTTGTCTGGGAGAATTGGTTTCTGATTTATGTCTCAACTCAATATACCCCTTAATGCACATATATAAACATTATCATACTTACTGTGTAATGCTATTACATGTAGGAGATGTTTTACCACCAAACATTGGATCATTTTACCTGATTGTGTATCTGTTTCACACTAAAGTTTTTATCAGAAATTTCCATGTATAGCATTTTCATGACTTTGAATTAATGACTCATATTTTAGGATTTAGAATTCACAGATATCTGTTTTTAGTCTTTCAAGCCTTTCCACGTACTTTTAAAACTCAATCCCACCTTAAAAATCAGACTGTAAATGCCAAGAACTGCCTACACAAAAAATAAACATTGAACAGAGCTGAAAACATTTTTTTCAGTATTCTGTGCAAAATAAATCCTGGTATGTACCGTGGGGGAAAAAACATAACATTCTTTAAGAAGTTATCAGGAAAAATACATAGAATGACAGCTTGCGTCACTTCAGTAAAGTAGGGTGAGCGTATCTTATGTGCTATTGAAATATGCTATCATCTGTGTGATTTTCTAACTTATCAGCCAAAAAAGTATGGCTTATTATGAAACTGCCACAAAAATTGTTAAGCTAAAAAGTATGGGCTTTTAAAACATCAAATTCACATACAGTTTCTTTGTTTCTTCAAAACCTTTTCATTGCTAGGTTGACATTCTGTCAATATATATTTTTTGTAGAAAGTGAATAAACTAGATCTAACTTTAAGATAAAATCGTTTGTTAAATTTTAATTTTTGAAGATGCAGAAGATAGTACAGTAGACTACAAAATAACGATTTTTTTCACTTAAAAAAGTTAAAAACCAAATAAATTACTAATGAAGTCCTCTTGTGATTAATAAAACAAATGTGTTAATATTATTAAAATACAATGTCTCCCTCCTATTATCTATAATAACAAACAACCAAAGGAAATATAGGCAAAATATATAAATAGGCATTTCACAGTTTTAAAAAATTGTCTAAAATTCCAAGGATGCTGTTTTTCTAAAAGTAATGTAAATTAAAGCAATATTGTGATATGCCTTTTCATTATTTTTGACAAAAATAAAATTCTGACCTATAAAAAGTCTATAAAATCTAGGTTTGAGTCATAATTCTAACGGACACAATTCCAAATGTCACAAACTTGAATGCTGAAATATTTTAAGATTAAAATCCCTAAAGTTTAAAGCTCTAAAGTTTAAAATTCCTAAGGTCTAAAATTCCTAAGGTCTGAAATTCTGAAAATCACAATCGCAGGATAATTGCATCATGTTAGACAGACGATTCCTTTGTTATTGTCTTTATTTGGGAATTAAGTATGTTTTAAAGAGATGCATATAGCTGCCAAATTGACAAGGGGTGGATTTGATTTTAGGAGTCAACGTGACTGGCTTGAGGCTTTTATCAGGAAACCTGATAAAGTATTATTTTGAGTGTCTGCTAGGATGTTTCCAGAGGAGATTAGTGGGTGAGTCTGAGTGAACTGGGTGGGGAAAATCCAGTCAGCGGGGGGCCCCGGGAGAACAAATATAGAAGGTGAACACGTCTCTGTCTGAGAGCTGGGACAGACTTTCCTTTTTCTGCCTGCACATCAGAACTCCAGGCTCACTGGTCTTTGGACTCTAGGACTTATGCCAGTGGCCCCTCGGGTCTCAAGGATTTTATGCAGAGCCACACTACCAGCATCCAAGGGTGTCCAACTTGTGGAGTCTTCTTTCATATATCTATATACATATCCTATTCGTTCTGTGTCTCTGGTACACCCTGATTAATACATATTTGGCATTGGAGGAAATTAACTATCATTTCTTCTTACTGTATTCCTTACCACACAATAGGAGAGAACAGTGAAATTGTTCCCTCACCAAAAGGCTGTGATAAGTAAGTATACGAGGCTACTTAATGATGAAAGATAAAGTCTAAAAGCTGATTATTATTGGTACTGAAAAAGCAGAAAATTGCTTAATGCAATGGCCAAGTAATAACCAGACTTTCAGATGGACAATAAATTACTTACAAACTGTGTAGACCACAGCCACCCTTCAATACAAGTGCAGAGTGCTTTGAAGATCATAAAAGTAAAAACACCGGAGAAAAATACAAGAAATCTCCCCTGCCAAATTATTCAATCGTGTACACCTTCTGCCTCTTAACATAGAACCATGCTTGCCTTCCAAAACTCTCTTTGTCAGAGAATAAAAAGAATTTAACAAGCTCAGTGACGTTGTGAACTGAAGACACTTTCAGATATTGAGGTTCCTTCAGTGACAAAACACATTAAATGAACAACTATTCCTTCTTTGAGGCAGAGTCTCGCTCTGTTGAACAGGCTATAGCACAGTGGCATGATCACATCTCACAGCAGCTTTGACCTCTGGGAATCAAGTGATCCTCCCACCTCAGACTCCCAATTAGCTGAGACTACAGGCGCGAGCCACCATGCACGGCTAATATTTTCATATTTTGTGGAGTTGGGGTTTTGCCATGTTGCCCAGTGTGGTCTGAGACTCCTGGGATCAAGGGATTCTCCCACCTCAGCCTCCCAGTGGTGGGATAAAAGGCTTGAGCCACTTTGCATAGCCATGAACTATTCTTTTTTTTTTTTTTAACTTTTAAGTTCAGGGGTACAAGTCAACGTTTGTTACATAGGTAAAGGTGTGTCATGAGGGCCTGTTGTACAGATTATTTCATCATCCAGATAGTAAGCCTAGTACCCCTAGTTATTTTTCCTAATCCTGTCCTTCCTCCCACCCTCCAGCTTCTGAAAGGCCCTGGTGTGTGTTGTTCTCATCTATGTGTCCATGTGTTCTCATCAAAAGAAAATGTGGTACATATGCACCATGGTACGCTATGTATCCATAAAAGAATGAGATCATGTCCTTTGCAGGCACATGGATGGAGCTGGAGACCAGTATCCTTAGCATACTAACACAGGAACAGTGAACTATTCTTGATTACAGAATTGACTGTTGAAAAAGAAAGAGGTTTGTTTGTTTGTTTGTTTGTTTGTGACAGAGCAAGACTCTGTCACCCAGACTGGAGTGTAGTGGCTTGATCTCGGCTCACTGCAACCTCCGCCTTCCGGGTTCAAGTGATTCTCCTGCCTCAGCCTCCCCAGCAGCTGGGATTACAGGCGCGTAGCACCACGCCCGGCTAATTTTTGTATTTTTAGTAGAGACAGAGTTTCGCCATGTTGACCTGGCTGGTCTAGAAATCCTCAGGACCTCAGGTGATCCGCCCGCCTTGGCCTTCCAAAGTGCTGGGATTACAGGTGGGAGCCACCGCGCCTGGTCGAATATAGAGTTTTTGTACTTAATATTAAATCTAACATAGAAAAACTGGCAAATGCTTCACTCAGGCTAAGGGATGGCACTTTCTAAACTGTCCCCACTGTTTTTTTAATCAACTATATACAAGTCATGCCCCTGTTGGATCCACAAATTCTATAACTTATTTGCTTGTTTATGTATTAATGACTGGAACAAATGAAGCACTTTATAAATGCTTATTTGAAGATCTGGTGGACTTTACAGAAGAAAATGCATTTCATTTGAATCCCACACCATCATGACAGATTTGGAATTGGGCGTGGTCAAGGATTTTAAAAGTGGATTTCAAAGTGTTACCAATAACGTTAGTTTTCCTCCATTCAGCCCAATACATTTGGCAGAAAATGTAGATGGGTGGATGAGCCACACAAATATCACAACAATGAAAACCTTAGCTTAAAACTGTGTCATTTGCCTGCATTGGAATTCCTTCCAGCTGAAGACATTCTAGGAACTTTCAAAGCTTCATTTGCCTGAAGAAGCCACTCAACTTACTGACTGGTTTGAAAATAATTATGTGCTTGGCAAAATAAGAAGACACTTAGGCAATGGCACTGCTATCCAATCACCAGCACTGTTTCTGTCAAACCTGTGCTCTATATGAGTGCAAAGCAGAATGGATTTCTGTGTGTCATCAAACAACACAGAGCCATGGAAATACTTCATAGAGAATGTATATGTTGGTGTATATAAAATCATAACTGAATTTTAAAAAGAGCAATGCCAACTAGAAAATGAATGTAAATGTATTCTGTAAGGAGAGCACTGTTCTAAAAGACTAAAAAATAAAAGCAGCTATTCATCATGAAGCAAAACTTCAAAATAGAGTTGGTCATCATGAAAGTTAGTCAGGTCTTAGGGACTTTGTGTAATTGTCCATGATCTTTCCTTGTAATACACTTCTTTTCATATGTAGAATTTTCTTTTCGGTTTTTAAGTTTTTTTTTCCCCACTATTTTAAATTGTTAGCATTTTGGTTTATTTGCTTTCTGAGACAGGATTTCATTCTGTCGCCCAGACTGGAGTGCAGTGGCACCACCATCGAGTCCCACTGTAGCCTTGACCTCCTGTGTTCAAGCAATCTTCCCACCTCAGCCACCCAAGTAGCTGGAACTACGGGCACACACTACCACACCTGGCTAATTTTTCATTATTTTTATTGTTTTAGAGACAAGGTCTTGTTATGTTCCCTAGGCTGGTCTCTAACTCCTGGACTCAAACGATCCTCCTCCCTTGGCCTCCCAAAGCATTGGAAATTGCAAGCATGAACCTGTTTTTATTTATTTTTAAATTTTTTAGCAATTCACAATGGTATGTATTTCATCTTTGCATCATTTCCAGTACTGCAGGTATAAATTCTGTAGAGGCTTTCAGAGAGTTTTAACTCGCTTTATGCAATTTTCACAAATTTGACTCTGGAAAAGTGTCTTATCACAATATTGACTTTGTGTGTAAGCATTGTGTGTGTGTACATAAAAATGTTGAATCATTCTCAATAAATGAAGATATGTCCTTTTTGTACATGTGCATTCTTGAAAGATAAAACTTCTCAAGATCTAGACTCTTCAGATGATGGCATATGTGATTGTGACCCATCATGGTTATTGATGATGCCATCAAAGACCTTTACATTGTTTATCACATTTCAGATCAGTCATCTGAATATAGCTGGATGCACATGATTACCAACCATAGTGACATACATTTATATAATTTGCTTTTTGACCTATTTCTTTATTAATATGATTTGTCTGCTCATAACTTATAGGCATGTGACTTTCATTTGTATAACTAAGTATGCTTACAAAATATAAAGTTATTATTGCCTATTTTATTGTGTAAAATGGCCTATGAAGAGTTCTGTCATGTTTTATATGTTTCCCAAATAAATCCCATTTAAAAATGAAAATAAAGATATTTTAAATAATTCTTATTAATTTTTCTAACATGGTATTTTCAGAATTTTGATCTTTTGGAATTTCAACATAGGGAATTACAGTATTCAGGATTGTGTCTTTTGGGAATATGATGGGCTCCCATAAAATTCAGAACTGGTCATGAAGGAAAGAATCAGTATTTTCGTGTATGATTGTTTCCGTTGTAAGGTTGTACTGAGGTGGGATTTGGGACTCAAACACTGGACCAAATTGAGGACTAGCTAAAACAGTGCCTGGTTGTAAGCAGCTTTCTATAAGACACACCCACCAGTGTGCCACATCAGTTTACCATTGCCATAGCAATGCCCAGGAGTTACCGCCCCTTTCCATGGCAATGGTCCCACAACCTGAAGTTTACCACCCTTTCCCTGGCAATTTCTGCATCAACTGCCTCTTATTCTACATGTAATTAAAAGCAGGTATAAACATGACTGCAAAGTTGCCCTAGAGTGCCACTTGCAGCAAACTGCCTATGGGGTATCCCTAGTCTGCAGGAGCAGTCATGGAGCAGTAACACGGCCAGAGCTTCAACACCCCTGAAGCTTAACACTGCTGCTTCAATAAAGCTGTTTTCTTTCACCACTGACTCACCCTTGAATTCTTTATGGGGCAAAGCCAAGAACCTTCATGGGTTAAGCTCCACTTTGGGGCTCACCTGCCCTACATCAGTATAAACATTTGGAGATTAATTTGGCAGTGTCAGCCTTAAAGTATTCATATTTCCTTTGTTCCAGCAATTACACTTTTTGAAATCTGTCTGACAGAAATACTACAATTTCTCCCATTCATCACATAATTTAAACAAAGCATCCAGATTATGATCATTTGGTTATGAGTGTGCCTAAGCATTTTTATATTCTTAAGTGTAATTCTATTCAATTATTGATATGGCAATACTGAAAAAGGGTCAATTCCACTTACAGAGTTGTTCCTGGACCTTATTAAATTACCGAAAACTCGCTCTATACACTCCCATGGCAGAAACAAAATTTAAATACACTCTGTATGGCATTTTAATATGTATTAAAGTTGTAATTTCATTTATGCAGATGATCAAATTTCCATATATTAAATGTATGTCTTACATTGTATTTTAAAAGAATGTCAAAGGAAACAGAAAAAACAGACACAAAAACAGGCTTTGTAGCACATGAAGAGATCTTCCACTTTCTTGAAGAGCCACAAACTCAAAGATTTTAATGGTACAAAAGTATCTACTCCTAGAAAGTATAACAGTTCTTCAGGTTTCAATGTTTCTTTCTATCTAATTTAAGCTTTCGAAAGAGAATCTGGAAAGAAAATGAAGGCTTAAACCAGTCATTATGAATAAAAAGAATCATGACTTTGAAATCATAACATGCTATACATTAAGAAGTAGTTCCTTGAAAATTCTCAATATAACTGTCTCTCAGTGTTTATTGTATTTTGTGCCAGAATTTCCATATTTTAATACAGACTGAAAATCTGAATTATTTCAAAAAGAGTCAAAAATCTCATTTCATTTTTGTGGCCCTTCATTAGCAATCCTATGCATAATTTCTCCAAGTTTTCTATAGGTGTGGAGCAATGTGCAGAATGCCTTGATTTTCTTTAATGTTAGGATTGATTTTTCCCTTTAGTGATACTGTAAAAGTTTATTATTGTATAAAACTATTTGATATATTAATTCTATTAATATATTAAGCAGAATATATTTTATTTTGTTTAAAATCTGTTAGATTAATTTCACTAGGCTGAAACATAGAGTGCCACTCCCTTACTCCCTTTTTACCACCCCCTCCAATAATGAAGCGTTAACAGCTTCCTCTCAGCTTCCTTTGTGGTGTTTGCCACTACAGCTATTTATGACACTTCAAGCAATGGCAAGAAAGAAACACACTATTTAAGCTCAGGCACAAACTGTTCTCATTCTGAAAATATTAACAGTGAAAGTCATTCAGCTGGGAGCCCATACTGATTTCTAACCTTGATCTTATTTATTATGACACCAATATGCTCTTGTCAAAAGAAATAACAACCTATATTTTATATATTTAAAAAGGTCCAGTTCAGATGCTTTTGGATCCATGCTGGGCTCTCTATCACAGATTTTTTTTTTTTTTATAATCCTCACAGCTTTCCTGTCTTGGGATTTATTATTATACAAATAAAACATAAGGGTTATTTATAGTAGAATCTGAAAACTAATACATCATTTCCACTTTATCGTCTCATATTTGTAATTTTCTATGTGATCATGTTATTATTTAGCAGCTTCAGTATAGTTTCTAATCAGGATCACAAAAATTACGTTTGTCATATGCTTAAAATTTCACACGGTTACACCATATTTTCTTTCTCTAAATATTATTTATTGCACTTATATCTTGCAAACTTATTTGATTATTGCAGTTAAAAAAACAAACCTTCCACATGTGTCATGAAACATATCCCCAAAATTCTGTATTCTAGGGATTAGCAATCATTCACATTTATTACATAATTGACTGAGAAGCTTATGATTTTGCTTTACTGCACTATGATCTCAAGCATTCCACAAGGATATTTTCATTTCACAAAGTAATTCAATTCTAGATTACTATGTTTGGTACCTAACTGGTTTTTCTTTAGCTATCATTTAATCTCTTCACACTTAAACAAATTCTGACCTGTATTTGGTTATGCAATGTTGTATCATCTTTGTTCTCTTAACACTGTCATGAAGCACATTACCTTGGAGGTAATGTCTATATTCCACATTCAAATGGAAGATAAATTTAGTTATTAATATTGTTACTTTGAGGGCCATAGGGAAGGAAAATGTGTTACAATATATGAGTGGCCTCAGTGATTATTTCAAATGTTCTGTATTACAAAAATTGTGTGTACTTTTGTCCATCAAAGGTTTAAATCTCCACATCAATAATCTTATAATAACATTTAACTTTTCTCCATCTTTTTCTTATTGCATAGATAGCTGTAATATGGTAATAAAATCTCCAAAAAAACTGAAGAATACTGAAGAATGTTAGACTAAAAATTTCATAGTTACATTACCCGATTGATAAATATATTAAGAAGTTATTTTAATTGTCATACCCCACAGATGTTTATTTAAATTATAAAATTCTTAAATTACTCATCTTGTTAAATGAATCAATTTTTTCTTTTTTTTTTTTTTTTTTTTTGTGAAAGAGTCTCACTCTGTCACCCAGCCTGGAGTGCGGTGGCACAGTATCGGCTCACTGCAAGCTCCGCTCCCAGGTCCAAGGAATTCTCATGCCTCAGCCTCCCGAGTAGCTGGGATTACAGGCGCACACCACCATGCCCAGCTAATTTTTTGTATTTTTAGTAGAGATGGGATTTCACCATGTTGCCCAGGCTGGTCTCAAACTCCTGAGTTCAGGCAATCCACTTGCCTCAGCCTCTCAAAGTGCCAGGATTAAAGGCGTGAGCCACCATGCCCAGCTAAATGGATCAGTTTTAATTTTAATATTATTCATTTAGAAATTATATTACTGATTATAATTTTATTTTGTTATTATGAATAAATAAAATAAAATTTAAAAATCAAACATTTTGAAACAAATCACGATTGGAGATGTTCAAAGGATAATGCAGACACAAAGTGAAAATGCAAATCAGGCCATCACAGGTTCTTACGGTGTTTACAATCTATAGGAGAAAAGATTTAACCTGAATGGAAGCAATATGTGACTTCTCAGAAGAGATGGCATAAAATCTATGTCTTTAAGGGCAAATAGACTTTTAAGTGGAGAATATGATCTAGAAAAAAAAGTATTACAAATAGAATAAATAGTATTGGAGAAGCATAGAGTTTTAAAGAATGTGATAAATCTGGGGAACATGAGAAATGTCCTATGGATATTGCCAAAGGTAAGGAGAAATAAATGATAGGAGATAAAGTGATACTGAAATATTGATGCTATTTGGAGGAGGCCAAGGGAAGGGGCTTGGACTTCAGCCTGGAGGTTAATGGAAGTTTAAATAGGAAAGGACAAATTCATAAATGATTTGTAGGAAAAAACTTTGTTGTGTATGTGGACAAACTGAAACACAAAAAGACTTATTCCTTTCATCTCACTCTATGTTGGCTGTTCTGACTTCCTAAAATAACTAATTACAATACTAATCATTTTTAAATGTAACAAATATGCCATAAGATAACAGGTAATTCTTGAATAGGTAACTAGTGCTAACCATTGTCCTAAAAACTTTATACATATTAAAACACAAATCTTACAACAAATCTTTGAAATGGGAATTACTACATACTCATATAATTACTATATACTTATTTTGCAGTTGCAATTGAAGCAAAAAGTTTAAGTATCTTGTTCTAGGTTGCATAACTAGGAACCTGAATTATTTAATGATTTTCAGTGTTTACATAATTCTTAAGAATGCTACCTCTTTGGAAATCTTACACATGCTAAGTATATTTTTAAACATCTATATTAAACAAAAATTCTGAATAACTTTAACCTTAAATATCTGTTAGCTTATACTGGAGGCATTTATTTATCTGAAAAGATAATTCTGTGAAACTTGTATTGATATCACTGCTATATATATATATACTTTTAGTTATGGTGTAAAATAACAAAGTTATTTTCCTATATTCTAAGAAACAAGTTTAGATTTAACTGAAAAGTAAATTTAATTTTTTTCTTTTTAAATTCTATGTAATTCAACAATACATAATGTTGGTAGGTTTTGATTATTTTTCCATTGCTATGTTGATCTTCATTTTTATTGGCTTATTATTTTAATTATGTATAAATAAATGATATTAACCTTTTGTAACATATGCTGCTAGTATTTTTCTCTATTTATAATTTTGCTATTATATTTATAATTTTAATTAATACACGTAAATTAAAGTATTTGAAAATGAAGTCAGAGGGATAAACTTTTACCATTGACTTTTGTGTCTTTTATTTTGTGTTTTAAAAATACCAATCACAATCCCAAAGTATATAGATATTTATCTCTATTTATCTCAATAAAAATGATACAGTTAATATTATCTCGTCCTTACACCATTTGAACAATTCATCTGTTTTCTAATGATTTACCCCATTATCCATCTAACTCTTCTTAGTTCATAATGTAGAACCTGCTCATCAATACTTTCTCTTCTTCTTTTCCCACTCCCTCAAATGTAATGACTAATCTACATCTTTCTATTGAATGGTATAAAGTATGTTTTATCCATGTTGAAATTCTTACAGCATTAACTATTGTTATTTATTAACAAAATCATATTAAAATCCTTTAATTTTTACATACATTAACTTTATGAATACATTACAAAACACTGGAAGGCAGAAATTTTGATGTGATAGTCTATAATCTCATAGTCAAGCACATAGACTTTGTTTCCAGACTCCCTGATTCTGCAAGCTGGCTCTGTAGCAAAGTGGCTGTGCAACTTACTAAACCTCCACCTGCTCCTGGTGTCTTACCTGATTACTAGAAAAATAATAACACAATATTAAATGAATCAGTACATGTGAATCTTTAAGAAGATTTTTTGGCATATAGTAAGCACTATGTAAAAGTTAGCTATCACTAGATTTGATATAAATTGCAAGCTTTTAGTAACCTATTTAATTTATTGCAGTACAAAATACAACTTTATTCAGTGACTAAAACCTATGTGGAAGCTTCAAAGTTTTTTCTTCCAAAATTCAGATACAAAGAATTTTGAAAAATACACACAGACTTGCTGCTGAGATCAATAACAAGGCAAGGATGTCCATTTACCGCTTCTTTACAACATCATACCGGAAGCCCTCACTAATCCGATAAGACAAGACAAGACATATAGTTACAGATTGGAAAGAAAGAAAACTATCTTCAGATGTAGACGACATTATTATCTATGTAGAAAATATAAAAGAACAGTCAAAAGACTCCTGAAACTAATAAGTGATTATAGCAAGGTTGCAGGGTACGTGATTAATATACAAAGGCCAACTGCTTTCCTATTTACCGGAAATGAACAAGTGCAATTTAAGAATAAAAATAAAATACCATTTACTTTTGTACCTCCCCAAAATAAATCCTTATGCATATATAAGTTTAAGAAATGTACAAGATCTATACGAAGAAAACTACATAACTCTGATAAAATTCATTATAGAAAAACTAAATAAGCAGAGAGCTATTCCATGTGAATGGATAGGACAACTCAATATTGTTAAGATGTCAGTTCTTCTCAACTTGATTGAGTGCCATCCCAATAGAAATCGTAGCAGGCTCTTTGTGGGTATCACAAACTGATTCTTCAGCTTGTATTGAGAGACAAAAGAGGAAAGTTAGATGGCAAATTATTAAAGGAGAACAAAGTTGGAAGACTGGCATTACCTAACTTTAAGATTCATTATTAAACTAAAGTAATCATGACAGTGTGGAATTGGTGAAAGAATGGACAAATATATCAATGGAACATAATAGCCCAAAAATGAAACCATACAAATATCATCAACTGATATCTGACAATGGAGCAAAAGTAATAAAAGTGATGAAAGGGTAATCTTTTCAATAAATGGTGATGGAACAACTAGACCTTCACACGCAAAAATATTAATCTAGACACAGACCATACACCTTTCACAAAAATTACCTCTAGATGTATTTTTCACACACCTAAATGTAAAACACAAGACAATAAATCTCCTAGAGGATAGCATAGAGAAACTCTATCAGTTGTGGCATGGCAGTGACTTTTCAGAAACTACTCCAAAAGCATGCTCCATGAAAAAAAATAATCGATTATTTAGATTTGATTAAAATTAAACACTTATGCTCTGCAAATAAAAATGTCAAGGGATGCCTCCAGCTTTGTTCTTTTTGCTTAGGATTGTCTTAGCCTATATTGTAAACATATAGGCTCTTTTTTGGTTCCATATGAAATTTAAAGTAGTTGTTTTTCTAATTATGTGAAGAAAGTCAATGGTAGCTTGATGGGGATAGCGCTGAATCTATAAGTTACTTTGGGCAGTATGGCCATTTTCACGATATTGATTCTTCCTATCCATAAGCATGGAATGTTTTTCCATTTGTGTCCTCTGTTATTTTCTTTAGCAGTGGTTTCTAGTTCTCCTTGAAGAAGTCCTTCACATCCCTTCTAAGTTGTATTCCTATGTATTTTATTCTCCCTGTAGCAATTGTGAATGGGAGTTCACTCATGATTTGGCTCTCTGTTTGTCTATTATTGGTGTATACGAATGCTCGTGATTTTTGACATTGATTTTGTACCCTGAGACTTTGCTGAAGTTGCTTATCAGCTTAAGGAGATTTGGGGCTGAGGCGATGGGGGTGTTCTAAATATAAAATCATGTCATCTGCAAACAGAGACCATTTGACTTCCTCTCTTCCTATTTGAATACCCTTTATTTCTTTCTCTTGCCTGATTGCCCTGGCCAGAACTTCCAATACTATGTTGAATAGGAGAGGTGAGAGAGGGCATCCTTGTCTTGTGCCGGTTTTCAAAGAGAATGTTTCCAGCTTTTGCCCATTCAGTATGATATTGGCTGTGGATTTGTTATAAATAGCTCTTGTTATTTTGAGATACATTCTTTCAATACCTAGTTTATTGAAAGTTTTTAGCACGAAGGGCTGTAGAATTTTGTCGAAGGCCTTTTCTGCACCTATTTAGATAATCATGTGGTTTTTGTCATTGGTTCTGTTTATGTGATGGATTACATTTATTGATTTGCATATGTTGAACCAGCCCTGCATCCCAGGGATGAAGCCAACTTGATCATGACTTCAAACTATACTCCAAGGCTACAGTAACCACAACAGCATGGTACTAGTACCAAAACAGATATATAGACCAATGGAACAGAACAGAGTCCTCAGAAATAACGTCCCACATCTACAACCATCTGATCTTTGACAAACCTGACAAAAACAAGCAATTGGGAAAGGATTCCCTATTTAATAAATGGTGTTGGGAAAACTGGCTAGCCATATGCAGAAAACTGAAACTGGACCTCTTCCTTATGCCTTATACAAAAAATAACTCATGATAGATTAAAGACTTTCATGTAAGACCTAAAACCATAAAAACCCTATAAGAAAACCTAGGCAATACCATTCAGGACATAGGCATGGGCATCAAAAGCCAAAATTGACAAATGGGATCTAATTAAGCTAAAGAGTTTCTGCACAGCAAAAGAAACTATCATCATAGTGAATAGGCAACCTACAGAATAGGAGAAAATTTTTGCAATCTATCCATCTGACAAAGGGCTAGTATCCAGAATCTGCAAAGAACTTAAACAAATTTATAAGAAGAAACAAACAACACCATCAAAAAGTGGGAGAAGGATATGAACAGACACTTCTCAAAAGAAGACATTTATGTGGACAACAAACAGATGAAAAAAAGCTCACCATCACTGGTCATTAGAGAAATGCAAATTAAAAGCACAATGACATACTATCTCATGCCAGTTAGAATGGCAATCATTAAAAAGTCAGAAAACAACAGATGCTGGAGAGGATATGGAGAAATAACAGTTTTATACTGTTGGTGGGAGTGTAAATTAGTTAAACCATTGTAGAAGACAGTGTGGCAATTCCTCAAGGATCTAGAAACAGAAATACCGTTTGACCCACAATCCCCTTACTGGGTATATACCCAAAGGATTTTAAATCATTTTATTGTAAAGACACAGGTACACGTATGTTGATTGCAGCTCTGTTCACAAAAGCAAAGACTTGGAACCAACCTAAATGCCCATCAATGATAGACTGGTTAAAGAAAATGTGAGACATATACACCATGGAATACTATACAGCCATAAAAAAGGGTGAGCTCATGTCCTTTGCAGGGACCTGGATGAAGCTGGAAACCATCATTCTCAACAAACTAACGTGGGAACAGAAAATGAAACACGGCATGTTCTCACTCATAAGTGGGAGTTGAACAATGAGAATACGTGGACACAGGAAGAGGAACATTACACATTGGGGCCTGTTTGGCGGTGGGGGGCTAGGGAGGGATAGCATTAGGCCAAATACCTAATGTAGATGACGGGTTGATGGATGCAGCAAACCACCATGGCAAGTGTATACCTATGTAACAAACCTGCACGTTCTGCACACGTATCCCAGAACTTAAAGTATAATAATAAAAATAAAAAATAAAAAAAATAAAAATGTGAAAGGAATGAGAACACAAGCCAAAGACATGGGAATGTTAGGCAGCAGAGAGGCTCTTCCTCTGCAGTTGGTCAGTAGAGTTCTGTGGTGTAGGGGAAGAGAGTGATGACTCCCTCACGTAGTCCGCTTCTGGGCCTTGGAGGAATCTCCTCCGATTACTGACTCTGTGCCTAGGTTTATTTTGCTAGGTTTTCTGGCCCACGGGGTTCACTAAGGCAGAGGTTGGTTGGCAGACAAGTCATATCCTTACCCATTGGATGCTGGGAGGGAGACACATGCTTGCTCCTCAACCAGCCTGCAAAGCTGGGCACCTCACCTCTCAGTGATCTGAAAGTTAGGGCTTCTCTCTGCCTGGGTACTGCCCAAGCCAACAAGTCCTCGTTGGCTGGGATCTGCAGGGGTGTTGTGGGTGGGGGTCACCTAATCTGCTGTCCGGGTGCTTCCCAGGAGAACACAGGGTTGCGCATGCAAATTCAGGCAGAAGCAAGATTGCTGGGCTGGAAGCTCTAGTGAGTGTGGTCCATTCGTCTGCTAAAGACGGGGATGGGTGGAGCTGTTCACCCTGCCCTCTGGGTATTTCCCAGGGCTATAGGAGGCTGTGCTGCTCAGCAGATTTCAGGGAGAGTTAAGGCCCTTAGGCTGGAAGCTCTAGCAGGCGTGGCTTGCTTGGCTAGGAGAGGTGGGGTTGGTCGGAGTCATCCCCTCCTGATATTCAGGGATTTCCTGGGACAACAAGAGACTGCACCTGCCGGATGAATTCACTCAGGGGCAGGAAAGCTGGGCTGGGAGCTCTAGCGGGCGTTGCCTGACTACCTCACTGTCTGCTCTCTGAGGGATGTTTCCTGGAACAAGTGGTTGCGCCCACCAGCTAAGTTCAGGCATACGTGGGGCTGCTGGCCTGGAAGCTGGCGCTGAACCCTGTGCATGTGTAGGGTGGAGGGGCGGCTGGCGGCTGGAGGGAGGGGAACAATCCTGCTGCTCCTGGGCACTGTGACTGCAGTCTCTACTGGGGAGATGGCACTGGTGCCTCTGTTCCAGGGTCCAAGGCTTGTGGAGGTCCCCTTGGACTTGAGAGCTGCCGCTGCAACATTTCCGGTGGCTCTCTGCCTCAGTTTAGAAGCTGGGGGGAGGGTGCAGGGAGGCCGGCGGGGGGAAGGGGGGCGGTGGTGGGGGTCTTCCATTCGCAACCTTACACAGGTTCCCGCGGAGAGTGTGAAGCCCTCAGGGGCCTCTTACTCACTCACCCTTTCCTGTGTTGGGGAGCTTCTCCTGGCTCCGCGTTTATCCCAGACAGGCTGCTGCCCAGCTGCACTCCTCTCTGTTCTCTGTGTCGGCTTGCTGCCTTGATCGAGTCCGACACGGTTTCTTAGATATCAGCTTGTAGGGTCAGTGTTCACCAGCCCTTTGTCTCCTCCCTGTGAGAGCAGCGCGCAGGAGCTACTTCCAGGCCGCCATCTTGACTCAACCCCTCTTAATGATTCCTGTGTCTCCGGCTTTTAGAACTGAAGCAGTTATAAGAATATAGACATATTCCACTCAGTCGGAGTGTTCATAAAGGTGTTTATTTTGTTTGTTTATTTATGTATTTATTTATTTATGTAATCCCTGCAGGATAATTCTAAGTTGGTTTACTGACAACTATACGGTAAAATATTTATCTAATGCATTTGTCTTTCTTTAGTACCTTTTCTCCATGTAGTTTTGTTTGAGATAAAAGACAGACTCTCCCAGTTTTGAGGTAAAGCACACCTTAAAAAGAAATTGTTTTAAAACCACAGACTTCAAGCTGGTGTGGAAATAAAATTCTTGTTTTTAAATTACACTACTAAAGATTTAGATTTTTTTGTGTGATGAAGTCTCACTCTGTCGCCCAATTACCAATAAATATATATAGTAGTGAAGCATGCCCCACATGAAATGTAGTTGATATAACATCCATAAACTTTTGCTTAGATGAAAAAGAAAACAAAATTTAAGAATAACTTGATTATTTGAACAAGTCATAACATCAAATAACTGTAGATGGGAAAACCTGGGCTGTATTTAAAAAGAATACGTGCTGGGCTGGGCACGATGGTTCACACATGTTATCCCAGCACTTTGGGAGGCAGAGGCAGGTGGATTGCTTGAGCCCAGGAGTTCGAGACCAGCCGAAATTACAAGAATTAGCCAGCGTGATGACACACTCCTCTAGTTCCGGCTACTCAGGAGGCTACTCAGGAGGCTGAGGTGTGAGGATTGCTTGAGCCTGGGAGGTGGAGGTTACAGTGAGCCAAGATGGCACCATGGCACTCTAGCCTGGGTGACAGAATGAGACCCTGTCTCACAAAAAAAAAATAAATAAAAGGAGAGAGAGAGAGAGAGAGAGAGAGAGAAGGAAGGAATGAAGGGAGGGAGGGGGAGGGAAGGAAGGAAGGAAAGAAAATGAAAAGAAAAGAGAGAAAGCAAGCGAGCAGGGAGGGAGGAAGGAAGGAAAGAAGGAAGGAAAGGAAGGAAGAAAGGGAAGGAAGGAAGGGCATACATGTATGCTTTGTAAATTATGCTTTTTAAAAAACAAACTATTAAAACTGTAAAGTTTGCAACTATCTAGAAATTTTAGGAAAAGTTACATATATATATATACCCTGTATTCAGCACTACTCTAAACAGTAGTTTTATATCAGAGAACAATATAGACAGAAATTTCTACATTTACAAAGCTTACATTATTGCAGGAGATAAATAATAATACACGTAATTGTAGACTACATTTTATAATGTGCTAGAAAATGTTAGGTATTATGTCATTGAGGTACTTGCATCTTTATTTTCCAGTATTTTACTCAAGAGACAGCTGTATATATGTTACTCCAATAGGCAATGCCTTTATTCTTTTTCAGTTGGAAGTTCTTATTCTATTGGACTATTTTTTAATTATATGAGCACCAGAAAATTCATCTGAAAACACAATCTAATTATTTTAGTTATTTTTGAAAGGCAGTATTTGTTTTACAGTCTAAGGAGCATCAGTTTAAATCTTACAAATATAATACAATAGACAGAAAGTTTGGAAAATGTTTTACACTACACAATTTTTCTATATTCAACAAAATATATTACACCTTTATTAGAACACTATTACTTGCACATATTTCAATGCAATGTAGTTATTATTTTTCTATTTCCTTCCCCAGCGATATTAAGCACCATACTATATCTCAGCAACATGCATATGTTTGAATGGAGTTCATGAAAGGTAAGAGGAAATAGGGTGGAAATGAACCACTACCTCCTGATCATAGTGTTTGGTGTTAAGAAGCTTTAAGATGTTATGAAGCTTTAAGAACATCTGTTTGGTGTTATGAAGCTTTAAGATGCTTCAGCTTAACCTAATTTCCACTATCTAGAGACATTAAGAGTATTTTAAACAATATTGAAAACCAGACACTTGATTACTTCATCAGAGGGGTTAAACAGTGACAATCTGGAGGTGTACAAATAATGCCACTCCATAATTATTGGACTGAGATTGGTGTTGTAATGCAAATAATAAGATTATATCCTCGGTTAAATTATATAAAGCATGGTAACCTCCATTAAAATGTCACCATATCCACTCATATCACTAGTTTGAAAATATGTGTTTTCAATTTGATTACACAGAATATATTTTATTATAAAAATAAGTAATAAATTAGCCTAGAGAAAGGAATATTTTATTATTGGCACAAAGTCACAGTCAAGGAATACTACTTCATTAGTACTTAGTCATCAAATGTTTTATGTTATTTAAGACTCCCTTGAAAATGCAATGCAATTGGTACAGATTTTTACTTACTAAGTTATATATATCACCATCCTGTATAAATATTAACACATTTCTGTATTTTCTTTAGGCACTCTGTGCTATATGCAAATGGAACATATTTTTCTCTCTTAATATTTGATTCTTTCTGTTGTGGCAGACAGACCCTAAGGTTTTCAATCTCTTGGTGTTAAAGCCTTTGTGTAATCCCCTTCTTTAGAATGTGAACTAGATTTGTGACTTGCTTCTAACTAACAGAATATGACACACATAAAGCAATGTCACATCTGTGATTACATTACACTGTGTAAAACTGTTCTGCTAGCTCTCCTTGTCCTGTTGATCTTTAAGAAGCAAACTGAGATGTTTTGGTGAGGGTCTGCTTACGAAAAAGGTTACGTGGCAGAAAAAATAAATGGCTAAGCACTAAAGGTGGCCTCCATTTGACAACCTTTATGGATCCAGAGCCCTCAGCCACAGAGCTTCAAGAAAACAAATTCTACCAACAGCCTACACGAGCTTGGAAGTGAGTTATTTTGCCATTTGAGACTCCAGATAAATACACACCTTTGATAGCAGATTGTGAGACCCATAGTATTTTTCTGTATTATGAATATATAGTTACCACTGTTTCACCAATGTGCTGTTTTTAGAATCCTGCTAAACAATAAACAAAAATTATTTTTATTTGTGGCTAATGAGCAAGAAAATCTATAATACAATCAAATAGGTGTGTACTTGTTGAGTCAAAAGACATGAATTTGAATAGATATCATCAAAATAGTCTCCCCAAATTAGGATTTAATTTATCCTTTTATCATAGTGCAAAGAATTCATGGTCCAAAGGATATTTAACCTCCACTACCTTAAGAACTCAAAGTTAGCACTGCCAACAGACAATGGATTTTAGAGACTGCCCTAGATTCATTGCCAATGTTATCTCTGAAAATGAGATTTAGCTCATGACACATATAACACACCATTCATCTGCATGATTCATTCTCCTTCAAATAACTCAATTTGGGGTGGGTTTATTTGACTGACAAAGAAAATATCATAGGCTTGTTGTTGAATTACAAGTAAAGTTAGTAAAGTGAATATCTACCATGATTTGTTTCTTTAGTAAATTGTATTGCAATGTTGTATATGCCCAAAGTATAAAGTTCACCAAAAAAAGGCAAATGTCCACCCTATATTAATTTATTCATTTATCTACCAAAGCAATTCTAGACCTGTTCTAGCATGTTAGTTATATATATAGACTTAGGTATGCCCCAGAGTATTACTGCTATAAAGAACTACCTGAAACTGAGTAATTTATGAAGAAAGAGATTTAATTGGCTCACCGTTCCACAGGCTTAACAGGAAGCATAACTGAGAGGCCTCAGGAAACTTACAGTCATGGTGTAAGGTGGAGGGGAAGCAAGCACATTCTTCACATGGTGGCAGGAGAGAGAGAAAGAACGAGGGGGAAGTTCCATACAGTTTTAAACCATCAGATCTCCTGAGACTAAACTCACTATCATGAGAACAGCATGGCGAAATCTGCCCTCATAATGCAGTCACTTCTCACCAGATCCCTCCACCAACATTGGGAGATACAATTCAACATGAGATTTGGATGGGGACACAGAGCCAAACCATATCAGGTATATTTGCAAGAACACTTTACAGAAAATAAAAAGGCCAAGAACAATGCATTGAAAAGTTACTGTATCTGCGGAGGTAAAGGAGGCAAGCATAAAGCAGTCTTTCTAGAAGTGCGCATGAGAGGATTAGCAGGGAGGTAGAAAAGATGCCAGACCAAGGGGAGGATAGCTTATTTGTTTTTATGTATTTTGAAAAGTGATACTCTTGTATAATTCATATGCTTAGACTAAAGTGTCCATAGGCAGAGTGAAATTAAAGGCAAATATAGATTCATATGTGGAGAAAGGACCTGCTAGAAATGAGAAGATAAATGTTTCAGGTGTATATATCAAGAGGGAAAAGAAACTTCTTGTTTCAGGGGAAAGTTTACAGACAAAAAAAAGTAGATATATTTTTAAAGTCCACACTTTCTGAGTTGAGAATGGAAATAGAAAATGACACTCTGACAGAGAGAAAGGTATACCTGCCCAGAGATACAGAGAGCATGCCAAACTTCATGTAGGGCTAGGATATGTTGAAAAATCAAACCTCATGTTGAAAACTCATCCCCAGTGTTAGAGATGGGCCCTGGTGGGAGGTGTGTGGGTCATGGGGATACATCATTCATGAGTCTTGACGCTGTCCTCACAATAATGAGGGAGTTCTCCCTCGGAGTTCACATGAGATCTCATTGTCTAAAAGAGTGTGGCACCTCCCCGCTCTCTCTCTTGCTCCCCTCTTTCCACGTGAGACCGTGGCTCTCTCTTCACTTCCTGTGATGATTATAAGCTCCCTGACACCCTCACCCAAAGCTGAGCAGATGCCAGCACTATTCTTGTAGAAGCCTGCAGAATGTGAGCCAATTAAATGGCTTTTCTTTATAAATTTTCCAGCCTCTGTATTTGTTTATAGTGACACAAATGGAATAACACAGGCTATTTTGTATTTTTATTTCTTTGGGCATAACTGCTTTATACTTACTCTTTTTCAGTTTTTTTTCTCCTGAAGAACTTTCATTTACTACATAAAATAGGAACAGGCATTATTTCCTCAGAAAAATCCTTCTTCTCTTTTTTTTTGTAACATTAAGTAAGATAGATCCCACTCCATGTTTGTTCTCTTTTTCACAATGCTGTATATATCTACTCATATATGCATATATTTTGGTATATATAACTGTCTACATTTTGAAAAATACTTTGGAAAAATATTATGGAAGTTTCACAAAAAAAGAAAAATAGAATTACCATCTAATCCAGCAATCCCGTTTTTGGGTATATTCAAATGAATTGAAATAAGTATGGTGAAGAGATGTTTGCACTCCTATATTCACTCCAGTATTATTCACAGTAGGCAATATTTGGAAGAAACATAAGTATCCATCAGCAGATAAATACATTTTTAAAATGTGATACACACAGAAACACATAGATACACACACACACACAAACACAGAGAGACAGAGAGAGCATGGAATTCTATTAAGCTTTTAAGGTTTGCAACAAAATAAGCAAATCTGGAGGATATTATGCTAAGTAAAATAAGCCAAACACAGAAAAACAATTATCACATGATCTCACTTATATGCAGAATTAAAAATTTGAATTCATAAATGCAGAGAGTAGATTTGTGGTTACCAGAGCCTGAGGGATGAGGAGGACATGGATGGGAAAAGGGAAAATTTTGTTCAAAAGACACAAATTTCAGTTAAATGAGAGGAATAACTTCTGGTGATCTATTGCGCAGTGAAGGGACTAGAGTTGATATTTATGTATTATATATTTCAAAGTTGCTGAGAGGAGATTTTAAAAGTTTTCTCACTGCAAAAAACAATGGTAAATATGTGAGATAATAAATATGTTAAATTTGTTAGCTTGATATGGTCATTCCACAGTGCATCAATTTATTGAAGCATCACATGCCACACCGTAAATAAGTAAAACCATTTTTTGTTAATTAAAAGTAAATTGCTTAAAATGTGAAAACTGCTTGACCCTTTAATGTTTTGCAGCCTACATTGTAGAAATAATCTAAGGTATTACTGATAGGTGTTATCTAACTTATGTATATATTTTACTGTAAGAGAAAGACAGTTACCCATAGAAAAAAACAACACTGAACTTGGGAAGACTTCAACCTCTTCACTCTCCAACCTCCACTCCCTTCAGAGGTAGAATTTTTCTGAAAGGATCAGGAAAATGTATTTTCTCTGCACAATTTTCTCTCCAAGAAAAGCATACTAAGAATGTTTGCTTCTTATACTCCACATAGCCATCATCTACCACAGTCATTCATCTGGACTTCAAGTCTGCCCTGCTGGGAAGTAGGTCACCACCTCTACACTGGGCCACTGTCAAGATCCAAAATGTGCTAAAACTTAGTCACCACTCTATTTGGTAGCAATCCAAAGTGGACCAAAACATTTCCTAAGTAATACCAAGGTCAAAAATATAATGTCGATATGTCAAATTTTGATCTCTGTGAGTGGATACTAGTAAATGGAGAGTTGTTATGAGTAGGATGAGAGGAAAGTTGTTGGTTGTTTCATAAAAGCAAAGAAAATTAAGGAAATAAAAGTAAGCCATCAACAAGTACATGTCCAGCATTAGGAGACATACCTAATGTAAATGACAAGTTAATGGGTGCAGCACACCAACATGGCGCATGTATACATATGTAACAAACCTGCACGTTGTGCACATGTACCCTAGAACTTAAAGTATAATAAAAAATAAAAAAAACAAGTACTTGTCCTGTTTAATTTTTAATGTTTTCCTGAAATACGTTAAATGTTGGCCACTCCCTAAAAGAGGAAAGGGCCCTCCCTCATTATAAAATTTATAGCATGGTATAATACAAGGCTGAAAAATGTCCTAGTAGACCTGTTTTTAAAAAATATTAATGTGCCACTTTAGGCAGAAGGAACATGATCCTGGAGGGAAGCATAAGTATGTAGACAGAAATAAAGAACAATAGAGATGGTAACAATACAAGTAAATTAATATTTAAGAAGAAAAGAACCAGCTGATCACCCGTAAGTGTTAAATACATAGAGAAATAAAATTAATTTTTAAAATCACATAAATGGTGAGAGGAGTAAACTGTTTTAAGGTCATAATATTATCTGACAAGTTGTAAATTTTCTTATTTATACATGGGTATAATATGTCAAAGATTCATGTTGCTGGGATAATACAGTAGTTAAAAAATGTATATTGATAGTAACATAGGAAAAATGGAAAAATTGGAATTAAAAAAACTTGGTTAATCCCAAAGGAGGTAATATAGTAAAGAAAAAACAAAAGAGTTGAGACAAACAGTAAAGAAAAACGGTCTACATAAACTCAAATATAAGAAAGAAAACAATATATGTCAACAAACAAAATATTTCAATTAAAAGGCACAATTTATCTTTTCTACTTTTAACTTCAATTTAAAAACACACACGGTAAGTGAAGGGGAAAGGGTAGGAAACCTGGAAAAAAAGGTAGAGATTTAAACAAAGTTTAAAAAACAACTAATAGTGTTAAATATTATCAGCAAAGTACAATTGTATGACAGGAAAATTTCCGTTTTTTAAATTTGTATGATGTTGGATATTGTATTAGTCTGTTTTCACACTGCTATAAAGAACTATCTGAAACTGAGTAATTTATGAAGAAAGAGGTTTAATTGATTCACAGTTCCACAGGCTTAACAGGAAGTATAACTGAGAGGCCTCAGGAAACTTACAATCATGGTGGAGGGCGGAGGGGAAGCAAGCACATTCTTTCTTTTTTTTTTTGAGACGGAGTCTGGCTTTGTTGCCCAGGCTGGAGTGCAGTGGCTCGATCTCGGCTCACTGCAAGCTCCGCCTCCCGGGTTCACGCCATTCTGCTGCCTCAGCCTCCAGAGTAGCTGGGACTACGGGCGCCCGCCACCACGCCTGGCTAATTTTTTGTATTTTTAGTAGAGACGGAGTTTCACCGTGTTAGCTATGATGGTCTCGATCTCCTGACCTCCTGATCCACCCGCCTCGCCTCCGAAAGTGCTGGGATTACAGGCGTGAGCCACCGCTCCCCGCAGCAAGCACATTCTTCACATGGTGGCAGGAGAGAGAGAGAACGAGGGGGGAGTTCCACACGGTTTCGAACCATCAGATCTCATGAGACTGAAATCACTATAGTGAGAACACCATGGCGAAATCTGCCCTCATAATGCAATCACTTCCCACCAGATCCCTCCACCAACATTGGGAGATACAATTCAACATGAGATTTGGATGGGGACACAGAGCCAAACCATATCAGATATATTTGCAAGAACAGTTTACAGAGAATAAAAAGGCCAAGAACAATGCATTGAAAAGTTATTACTGTATCTGCGGAGGTAAAGGAGGCAAGCATAAAGCAGTCTTTCTAGAAGTGCGCATGAGAGGATTAGCAGGGAGGTAGGAAAGATGCCAGACCAAGGGGAGGATAGCTTGTTTTTATGTATTTTGAAAAGTGATACTCTTGCATAATTCATATGCCTAGACTAAAGTGTCCATAGGCAGAGTGAAATTAAAGGCAAATATAGATTCATATGTGGAGAAAGGACCTGCTAGAAATGAGAAGATAAATATTGCAGGTGTATATATAAAGAGGGACAAGAAACTTCTTGTTTCAGAGGAAACTTCACAGAATAAAAAAAAGTTATATATTTTTAAAGGCCACAGTTTCTGAGCTGAGACTGCGCCTGTAATCCCAGCACTTTGGAAGGCCCAGGCGAGTGGATCACGAGGTCAGGAGATTGGGACCAGCCTGGCCAATATGGTGAAACCCTGTCTTTACTAAAAATACAAAAAACTAGCCAGGCGTGGTGACATGCACCTGTAGTCCCAGCTACTCGGGAGGCTGAGGCAGGAGAATCGCTTGGACCCAGTAGGCAGAGGTTGCAGTGAGCTGAGATTTCACTACTGCACTCCACCCTAGGCAGTAGAGGGAGACTCCGTCTCAAAAACAAACAAACAAACAAAAAACACACTGCTGTCTATTGGAGGGTGGAGGGCAAAGGATGGGAGGAGGGAGAGGATCAGGAAAAATAACCAATGGGTACTAGGCTTAATACCTGAGTGTAACAGTCTGTTTTCACACTGACTTAATATAAAGAAATACCCAAGACTGGATAATTTATAAAAGAAAGATGTTTAATTGACTCACAATTCCACATGGCTGGGGAGGCCTCAGGAAACTTATAATCATGGTGGAAGGTGAAAAGCAAGCAAGGAACTTCTTCACATGGTGGCAGGAGAGAGAAGTGTAAGCAGGGGAAATGACAGATGCTTATAAAACCATCATTTCTCATGAGAACTTATAAAAGCATCATTATCACAAGAACAGCATGGGGAAAACACTCCTATGATCCAATCACCTCTCTCCCTCAAGATATGGGGATTACAGGTCCCTCCCTTGACACATGGGAATTACAATTCAAGATGAAATTTGGGTGGGGACACAGAACCAAACCATATCACTGTGTGATGAAATAATCTGTACAACAAACCCCTATGACTCAAGCTTACCTATATGACAAACCTGCACATGTACCCCTGAACTTAAAAGTTAAAAGAAAATAATAAATAAATAAGAAGACAATGTAAACTCTCCATTATTCTCTAAAAACATCATCTTTCTACTGATTTGTTGTTTATTCTTTTTGCTATGTAGATTTCCCAAGATGTGATCAAAAGATTTATAAAAGGCACAGTTACATATTTTTAATGACAAATGATACTGATATTCAAAGATTTTCACTCACACTAGACTCAAGATAATAAGAATTCAATTTCTTGGAACTATCCAGATTCCAGTCTCCCACAAGAAAATGCAATTTTTTACTATGAGGCTTGCACCATGCATGATGATCTCACTTTGGCCAGTCTGTCAGTCACTGCACACTTGAGATTCTGGCCATGTTACCTACTCATCACACATAAGTAACTGGCATAAATAACATAATCCTGACACAGTACTGAAAATTTACTGTGAGCCTGGGAGAATCAAAGGTCAATATCTTTGTCAGGCCATCCCTGAGCAAAACCAGTTTCAACCCTGCTGGGGGTTTATTCTGTTAAGCTTTCTCATTGTCTTTTTCTAAGCTCCTCCTGGAATCATTGACCAACTCTTGGGTGCTCATGCTTTGCCTGACTTATCAAATACCTTTTAAAAAGCCTGTTAACTTTATCCCTAACCCTATTTTAAACCTACACTTCTATTTTGTGGAATTAAAGTAATTTAGTTCTTCTAAACATGGACTACTTGCTGATTTCTTGTTCCTGTTATCTTCTCTTTATCCTCCATCCTTTATTTTGCTGCCAGAGTATTCTTGGTTACACAAGTTCTATTCATCCTATTTCATCGTAACTTGTCTGACATTATCTTATTGTCTGGAAAATAAATTTTAAAATTCTTTTTTCCTGAATATGGTTCTCTTTATATCAGCTTTCAGTCTGCTTTCCCATTTTTCCATTTTTACTTCTCACTATACTCCTTCATCTTACCGATGATCTGTATGAATTTGTGTGAAATTGAATACATTTCCTTTGTTAGAAATCAGCTGATATTGTAACAAATTACCTTTCCAATATTAGTGTTTTAACACAGTTTATTTCTGACTCATATAACTATACTGGGTATTTATCACACCATGTTTACTAAACAGAGGCGTCATGCAATCAAGATCCTTCCATAATGGAGTTCCACTATTTTCTGTGGCTTCAGAGTCTTTCGATTCCAGAAAGGCCATGGAGAGGAGTAGAAGGGAAGTTTTATGCAAGGGGCTGGAAATGTCCCCAGGCTAAAACTCGGTAATATGGACATATCCAACTGCCACGAGGCTGGAGTATACTTTACTTGTGTTGGGTACCAAGGAAGAAAAAGAATGTGGTATCTGTGAACACATTGCTTTTTTTTTTAAATCACAATGCCATGTTCCTATATTCTTTCCGTGAAATACCCTTCTTTAATCTTCTCTTGATATCTTGGTATCATTCAACATCCTACTTTGTCATTTTCATCAAGCTTAAGTGCCTTTTATCTTCCCTAGTAAATAGCATTATTCCTTAGGCCAAGTATTGCCAGTCTTTAATTCCTCAAATAATTTAGTCTATTTATTTACATGTAGTAGATACAAAATAAAAATATTTATTGAATTTGTTAATTATTAATTATTCCTCCCTAGAACCCGAATTTCGCAGGCATACCAGAGATATATTTGTTCCAACTAATTATTTTTATATGTTTGTTAACACCAAAATAATTAGTAAAGGCAAAAATTTTCAATACATCTGGAACAGAATAATTTCTTAATTATAATATGTGTTTCTCTCAGAAATGAACTGGCTACTAAACATTTCATAAGGTACTTTGAAAACATCTCCATTCATTCTTGTTCCAGTTTTTTAATTACTTCCTGCTACTTTTGTTATCTTCAGTTAATTTAATTCTCAACATATTGCAGCAATTATTGCTGCCTACTCAAGCACATTTGTAAAATTACTACATATTATGAATAGTCATACTGATATATTAAAGCTGAAGTAAAATTGTCCAGCAAAGGACTTGTACCAGAATAAACATTTGCCATTAGACTACTGTCTTGTACATAAAACAAAGTGGTTCACTCTGACAGACTAATACACACACACAGGAATATTTATATCTGCACAGTGATAACTAAAGTATATCATTCTACATGTGTCAATATTACTATATCCATTCAGAGTTTCAATAAAATATTATTTAGTTAGTGCCATAACACTAAATTTAAATAAATTTAAAATTGAGAAAATATTCATACAAATCAAAAACAAACAAATAACAAAACATGCCTTGAAATGTAAACAGGTAGGTGTTTTGTGGACTGTACTGAAGGATTTAAACATGATTATTAGGAAAAAATATTTATAAAAGATATATTATAAATATAAGAATTGTGATGGCCAGTAAATAAAATTAAGTATACAAATACTCACTGTTTGAAAAGTTGATTTTATAACATCATGATGTATAAGTGATTACTTTAAAGGAATTTGATGAGTCTAAGGAAATTCACTGGAACCATTAATAGCAAATGGTTTTAATCTTACCATACTAGAAGAAACATTGTGTGAAACTTCAGAAAAGTTTGGGAGCAAAATGTAGAGAATCATATATCATATGTTAAGCTTGTTTTCTTTTCCTATTTGTTTGTTAATCAGTGAACATTAAAAAGTAGATATCATTGAAAAACATCATATTAGTCCTATCGCTATAACAAAATACCATAGATGGGGTGGCTTACAAATAACATAAATTTATTTTTCACAGTTCTGAAAGCTGGATATTTTAGATGTCAGCATGGCTTGATTCTGGTGAGGGCTCACTTTTTGGTTCATATGTAGCTATATAATTGTTGTATCCTCACATAGAAGAAAGAGGTCTAGAGAACTCTGGGGTCCCTTTTTATGGGCAATAATGGTGTTCATGAAGTCTCCATCTTCATTATCTAATCATCTCCTAAAGACCCCTTCTCCTAAGACCATCACATTGAGGGTTCGCATTTCAACATTTGAATTTTGTAGGGACTTATTTAGTCTAACACAATCATTAAACATAGAAATAAAACCACATCTGTGTTTCAGGTGGTGAGGGGCCATTGGTGGAAAAAATGGGAGAGGGGGAAAAATAAAGAAAAGCCTTATAAATATGGCAATTTTAATAAATTTTCAATACAATAAATACGAAATCAATATTTCTGTTGGCATCAATAAGAAATTATTAGTCCAAAAATGGCAATATATATTGAAAGAAAAATTGTAAGTTGATGATAACTCTGAAATTGGATTCGATCAGCACTAACTTTTTTTTTTTTTTTTTTTTTTCTGAGACAGATTCTCACTCCGTCACCCAGGCTGGAGTGGTGCAGTGGCACCATCTTGGCTCACTGCAACCTTTGCCACCCGGGTTCAAGTGATTCTCCTGCCTCAGCCTCCCGAGTAGCTGGGATTACAGGCTCCTGCCACCGCATCTGGCTAATTTTTTTGTAGTTTTTAGTACAGACGGGGTTTCATCATCTTGGCCAGGCTGGTCTTGAACTCCTGACCTCATGATCCACCGGCCTCAGCCTCCCAAAGTGCTGGAATTACACGCATGAGCCACTACGCCCGGCCAGATCAGCACTAATATTTTTAACTGGATACAAAGTTGGGAATTAAGAACAAGTTTTGGTAGCGAAAAGAGTAATTATCACTCTGTTGGTCTTGTTGAAATGACTTTAGACCTTCAAGACGGAACTATCTGGCAGGTTGTTAGAATTATGCATTTCTTCTCAACGCAGTGAATAAACTGATACTAGAAGTACAGTTGTAGAAGGGATCAGAATAGCCTTTAATTAATTTAATTGTTAGAATAGATGGAATTGCTAGGGAAAAACAATTAGAGCAAAAAAAAAAAACTGAGGGTGGAATTCTTGGAGAAACTTTTTTAGATTAAATTTAGAGTAAAATAAAAGGGTGTGGTACCCTGAACTGCTATGTAAATTTCATAGCACCACATAGTTCTCTGACTAGAGATATGAAAGTGGAGGTTGTCCACGGAAGATATTTCAAATGTGAGGGAAAAAAAGGTAGAAAAATAATGTGTCTCTTTTTAAATTTGTCTTTTATTTGCGTGATATAACGCAAATACAAACTGGTTTTTAAATGTTCTAAAGTAATATACAATGATACAGACTACAGTAGCTAAGCATACAGCCCAGGAACAAATTCCAGTTTCAGCTGTCTTAGTCTTGTTTTTGTAGTCAAATGGTTAGCTTTTACAAATCTTTATTTTCTGAATTATAAAACAGAGATGATGATCACATTGATCTCAAGCAGTTGACCTAAATAATTTTTATAATGTATAGAGTAGTATTCTGAATGTTTATGTCTATGATCATTCAAAAGTGATCCTTCAGTATTGTCCTTCAATATCCAAGTAGGATTCCACACTCAGTATTATTATATTCCTTTTTAAAAACTTTTATTTTAGGTTCAGGGGTACATGTGCAGGTGTGTTATACAGGTAAACTCGTGTCATGAAGTTTTGTTGTACAGATTATTTCATCACCTAGGTATTATGCCTAGTACCCATTATTTATTTTTCCTGATTCTCTCCCTCATTCCACCCTCCAACCTTCAGTAGGCCCCAGCATCTGTTGTTCCTCTCTATGTGTCCGTGTATCCTCATCATTTAGCTCCTTCTTATAAGTGAGAGGATGCAGTATTTGGTTTCCTGTTCCTGCATTAGTTTGCTAAGGATAATAGCCTCCAGCTCCATCCATGTTCCTGCACAGACATTATATCATTCTTTTTCATAGCTGCATAGTATTCCATGTTGTATATGTACCACATTTTCTTTATCCAGTCTATCATTTAAATTTATTCCATATCTTTGTTATTGTGAATAGTGCTACAATAAACATATGTGTCCATGTGTCTTTATAATAGAAGGGTTCATATTCCTTTGGGTATATACTCAGTAATGGGATTGCTGGGTCTAATGGTATTTCTGTCTTTAGGTCTTTGAGGAATCATCACACTGTCTTCCACAATGGTTGAGTGAATTTACACTTCCAGCAATAGTGTGTAAGTGTTCCTTTTTCTCTGCAACCTCACCAGCATCCTTTTATTTTTTTTTTTTATAATAACCATTCCGGGCTGTGCGCAGTGGCTCATGCCTGTAATCCCAGCACTTTGGGAGGCTGAGGTGGGCAATCATGAGGTCAGGAGATCGAGACCATCCTGGCTAACACGGTGAAACCTCATGTCTACTAAAAATACAAAAAATTAGCTGGGTGTGGTGGCGAACGCCTGTAGTCCCAGCTACTCAGGAGGCTGAGGTAGGAAAACGGTGTGATTCCGGGAGGCAGAGCTTGCAGTGAGCTGAGATTGGGCCACTGTACTCCAGCCTGGGTGACAGAGCGAGACTCCATCTCAAAATAATAGTAATAATAATAATTCTGAGTGGCATGAAATGCTAACTTATTGTGGCTTTGATTTGCATTTTTTTGATGACAGTGATTTTGAGTTATTTTTCATGTTTTTTGGCCACATGTATGTTCTTTTGAAAAGTGTTTGTTCACGTCCTTTGCCCACTTTTTTATGGGGTTTTTTTTTCTTGTAAATTTGTTTAAGTTCCTTACAGATGCTGGATATTAGACATTTGTCAGATGCATAGTTTGCAAAAATTTCCTCACATTCTGTAGCTTGCCTGTTTAGTCTGTTGATAGTTTGTTTTGCTATGCAGAAGCTCTTTAGTTTGATTAGCTCCCGTTTGTCAGTGTTTGCTTTTGTTGTAATTGTATGAAGTACTTGTAATTGCAGCACCAGGAACTTAAACAAAGAGCAGGATTTAAATTTAGTACTTCTGGTGCCACGGTTCATGTTTTTCCCATCTCACACATACACAAGACACACAGACACAGACACACAGACACACACACACACACACCCCTACTTGCACTGATCTTCTTTAAATGACTTTTGCTTGAGTTTTTCTTATGTATTCTCCCTTCATCTTTCATATCTCAACTTAATCACCTACCTGGCTAAGCAAAATAAAATTTTCTAAAAAAAATCAGAGCATGCTGCTTATCTACTCATAGTACTTATCACAAACTATATATTTCTTACATGATTTTTAAATTGTTCAATTATTTAACTCTTCCACTTAAAAATATCATTAAAAAGGAACAAAAAATATTTTGCCACTACCTATACACAAATCTAGCACAGAGTAGACAGTATTTTTTGTTTCATGAATAAATATAAGCATGAGGGGGAGGTTAAATTATCCTTTGGTATATTTCATTTTCATCCTTACCTATTCAACTTTTCCTGTATCCACTCCTTTTGTCATGAGACTATGTAGACCCTCCTATGAAAAGAGGAAGGTATATTTTCTCTTCATCATTTCTTAGTGTGCAGCTTGTGATTTGCTTGGGCCATTAAAATGAGGCAGATCTGACAGCCAATTCTTATCCTAGTTCTTAGGACGCCTTGCAATTTTTCATTTTCAAGTGAAAGCTATGTGCCATTACCTTAAATAATTTTAAAGACATACTTTTTGAAGGCATAGTAGACTTCTCAATTCTTGCCTAAGTAACTAGAAATGTGGAGTTACCAGAAATTGAGTTGACAAAGACTATCAAAGAAGTGGGTTGGAAGGTGGGGAGCTCTGGAGCTCTAATTTGGGAATATTATGATTGATATGTCTATTGTATATACAAATAGAAATGTGAAGAAGGCAGTAAGATACAGGGGCATTGGAACTATTTGAGAAAGATTCCATTTTGCCTTTACAACTTCTCCTAATAAGAGTTTTTCATTTGTTTACTATAAATTAATAGAACACAGGTCAGCACATTTTAGCTCATGGGCCACAATAATGTGTAATTATTATAACTTAGAAACTTTTGATCCATACTGCCTTGCTAGTAATAGATGGAGCAAGACTTCAGTTTAGGTCTTTTTTATTTCAATTTTGTGTTTTCTCTGTATCTCCAGAAGTTTGAGTAATGTGAACTGTTTATGGTTGTTCCTACTGTTGTTGCAGTTGTTTTTGTTGTTGTTACCATCCCCCACACTATTGCCCATATGTCTTTGAGAGACATTTAGCCACCTGAGAAGTTTCTGTGATGATCAGGGTTGAACTTTTCTATCTAACTCAAACTGATGGTCTTCACTTGGCTCAATGGCGTCTCTGCCCTAGTCCTTCCTATTTCACAAGGTAATTTCACCATGAGAATTTCACATGGTAATTCTCCACGAGGATAGCAACCTATCCCTAAACCTTAGCTTTGGTGAGCTTTGGTGATCTGACTCAATTTAAAAGTGTTTCTGGCCCATTTTATGAGGCTATACTTTGTTTCCACATTTTCTCATTTACAAACAACTTTAATGACCAGTCTCATTTAGAACTAGGACCTAACACCCTTGGAAGTATGGACATTGAGGTTTTTTTTACACTCCATGTGTCAAGGCCCATCTTGGTCCTAGCTGAAAGCATATTTAAATTTGGAGGCAGCATAACATAAAAGAGAAAGAGTAGGGGAAACCACCCACCTGTCAGGACTGTGGGAAGTTTAAAAGTTAAGGACATATGGAAATTCACAGGAATTGTGTTGGTCATTTTAACTTTTTTCTCTCCTTTGCTTCTTGTGGACTTAGTTTTGTACTGTTTCCTCAATTTGAAGAGTAAAGATGGTGCTCTTGCTACATTGACTAAACTGCACCAGCCCTGCTTGGAAATTGCCAGGCTTGACCCAATTGGGGAATGAACAGTATGTTGCAATAAAATTTACTATTTTTAAAAGGGAAATAACCAAAATTATGGTGAGAACAGAGTGAAAAATTCTTCACATTGGGACTTATATGAATGACAGTGTGCTTAAAATATTTTCACCAATTATTCTATTATTATATTATTGTAAATAGAGTAACAACTAACTCAGTCCTGCATATTTCTTCTCCCAGCTAGGGAATTTATCTATCTCTAGTTTCATTGTAAAAGTCCTGCTAAACTTGAAGGTAGAAATGGGTTTGTTAGTGGAAGATGTTTTATTTTAGCTGACACTTTCTTTGTACTCAAAAAAACAGGCTTTCAGGCATGAAAGTTATACTTTGACCTTCGGTGAAAACTCAAAGCCCAAACATAATAAAAAAAAGGAAAGCCTAATGAAAGGAATAATAGCCTCAAGCACAGTTATGAAGTCCCTGGTGACTGCATAGTACCTGTAAACACCAGAGAAGGCTATAGATGACTTTTGTGTCTGTGTTAAGTGCCACTTGAAAATTGTCATCAATTCAACAGATAATAATAACAGGATGATTGTGTTGGTATCTACCATGAAAAAAAATTTTTTTTAACCTAACCACTCTCTTTCTTCTACCTTTGATGGGATATCATAGGGAGCACTCTTTTCCTTTACCCTGCCAATCTCAATCTTTGTTGAAGTACTTCAGGCAAATACTAAACTATGAAAATACAATGTAAGGAAGAAAAATGCATTCATAGCTTTAAAAATAATTTAAAAATTATTGTTAGGCTATCTTTTACTTCTAAGCCTATTTCATAAGGATACAAACAATGTGTTTTTGATATTTCAGAAATTTCCTCCTTAAGAATGAAATATGTTTATAGATAGTGCCGCTTTATTTATTCATAACTCATTCTAGTGCTTACATACTTAACTCGGAGGTTTTCTGTGATTAAAAATATCTTACTTCTGGAAGAAATAACTTCTATAAAATAGATTATTCATAAAGCTTATCTCTAAATATTTTTTCACTGATTTTTACAATACTATATACCTCTGGGTATTTTCTTTTACAAAGCAAACACATATCAACATTTTGATATTGGAAAAAGAGAAAAGCTATGTGTGATTGAAACAATTAGATATTTAGTATGCACTTAGGAATATATTTATATACTTGTATATATGCATATGCAAATGAAATTTTAAGTTATTAGAATGAGGCCTAATTTAAATATTAGAATCTTACTTTTGATACAGATGAGTTAGAGATCTTTAATCAATGCAAAGGATGTGCATTTATTATTAAAGTAAATATATTATGTTAAAATTACTTGACATAGGCATTATTCTATAGACTTAGTAGAAGTATACATATGTACATAATTAATATTTATAAATCTCAAAGGCATAGCTGTGATATATCTCACTTCTGCACTCACAAGTTTCCTTCCTAACGTATTGTGCTAGCAAAAATTATTCACAAGAAGAGGTTCTTATCTCTACCTTGCATAATTGTCATCTCTAGGAACCTTCTCTAGAGTACTCCCATTCTGTTCAGCACACAGTCTACTCTAGGGGTGCCCTGAAGGGTCCACAACATGTTCCCATAGTATGAAACCCATCTGTTCATGCAAATCCTGGAGGTTACCACCAAATCCCTATTTGCTCCCATCGCTTGCTCTTTTACACATTGCTCATTTCAGCCTATTTCTGCATAAAAGCTGGAGTTTTATTTAAATTCTGATATTTAATTTTAGTTTTCTTTTTTTTCCAGCAAGTTAATTTTCATTGTTTTTGTTTTATTTTAACATTAATTTAACCAAAATTTGGATATTTCTTTTTATAATGCTGTCTTACTTATAGGAGCTTTTATATGAATAAATATAATTGTGTCACATATGTTAATATTTTTCAGAATTTCAGGAGTGTGCATTGTGTCCAGGCCTCTAATAACTTAAATAGATAGATAGTATTCAAGTCACTAGTGATTTTAATAATTTATCGGAGCTACTGCAGTGAGAGGTTGTTACATAAATATCAAACTAAGATTGCCATTTTAAAGTAGAGGATGCCATTAATTTGTTCTCTTTAGTGAACAAAATTCACGAATTAACCACTTTAAAAGATAAATATAATAGAATTGATTTTATTTTAGATAATAAAGTTAATGTTTAGTATTAACTTTAATAGATTTAAATATTAATGTATATTTTAAAAAATTTGTTTATTTTACAAACATTAAATCCATTATGTTTAAGTCACAATTTAGTCTTAATTTATAAATTTAAAAGAATCACAAGTTGTAGTAAGAACCATGTCATTATGACTTAGGGTATTGATTTTTTACAATTTTAAAAGATAACAGCTATGAAGTAAAAGGATAAAAACATCTTTTTGTAACATTAAATTGCTATTTCTGTAGCTTTCAAAATATGATACACATATTACAGAGATATGTATTGTTGGGCTGTACTTTTGAGTATTTTGCCTGAAATCTTTATATTAAAGCAATTAAATCTTTCCAAATCGTCCCACTAAAATTTGACTATCCATATGTTACAGGAATGGGGGCGGGAGTGACATAAGAAAATCGAAGGCAAGTTAGATTGGGGCCAAGTTGGGAAGATAATTAAATTTGATTCTAAAGGTATTAAACTTCAAGTTTTATACATTAAGAAACTAGGGTTCCTTTTTTCCTTTTTTGAGGAGTGAAGTTGCATGATCAAATCTGTGCATTCAACATGTAAATGTGAATGCAATTTGCATAGAAAGTTGCAATACATACTCTCTGCAGTACAGAGAACTGGATGATGCTATTGCAGTAAAGAGATATCCTAAAACTGGCATTAAAAATTTCAGAACTCAAATTGTTTTTAAAAAAATAATGCAATGATTGTTCTTTATTTTGTTATAGAACTTGCCCTTGACTGGCTGGGCGCGATGGCTCACGCTTGTAATCCCAGCACTTTGGGAGGCCGAGGCGGGCGGATGACGAGGTCAGGAGATCAAGACGATCCTGGCTAACACGGTGAAACCCCGTCTCTACTAAAAATACAAAAACATTAGCTGGGCGTGGTGGCGGGCGCCTGTAGTCCCAGCTACTCAGGAGGCTGAGGTAGGAGAATGGCGTGAACCCGGGAGGCGGAGCTGGCAGTGAGCCTGGATCGCGCCACTGCACTACAGCCTGGGTAACAGAGCAAGACTCAGTCTCAAAAAAATAAATAAATGAATAAATAAAAATAAAAATAACTTGCCCTTGACTGAAAAGAAAAGGAAAACCTTAACATCTTTTTGATGTTGGTAGTATGACCTGTCATACAAAATTAAAATACAAATAATAGAAACCTGTGCAAATAATAGAATAGCTAATATATACTAAAAGCTGTGTGACAGCCTACACACTTTACATTGTTGTTTCATTTAATTTTTACAAAAATCTTTAAATGATGTATAATATTATCGCCTTTGCTATAGAGGTTAAATAAATTAAATTGATGATTATAAAAGCCAAGCTACTTATCAAAGGTATTTCCAGACATGAATTGCAATGTCCATATCTGGTCTTACTTGCTTTCAAAGTCCATGCTCTGTCACTTTCTGCTAAACTGTCACCTTGTAATTTCCTGAGACTTTAAATGGCCTAATGATAACAAAGGCCATAATTTTATTCCTTGTCACTTCGATTTTGAGTACTTCACAGAATAGTTAAAACTGATTATGCTGGATGCACTAATTCAACAATCTCCTTACATTTATTTCTTTCTATATATGTTTTTATATTTGCGAAGCTAGACTTTCTTTCAGATTTTACTGGTCCTGTTGATAGATCAATGTTTTCCTTTGCCTTATCAACACTTAATGCAGGATCATTTGAACTAAAACAAACTTATTAATACTCCAAATTGGTGTAAAGTAAAACTAAGTAAAACAAATAGCATTTTTAAAGCAAATCAAACCTTGTGGTATATCTGTCTCTGACACATGGAAGACAAAAGGGTATAATATCAGATCAAAGATATACAGTTTGAAAGAGCACATATATCATACCTAGTTTTGCATAAATAACAAGAAATAAAACTGTAAGTGTCCTTTTGGCTGGAGGTAATATGTTTATCTAAAAGTGAATTTAGAACCTTTTGTTCATTCTCTGAACAATTCCGAATCGTATTACATCATTGAAAGTGAATTCATTTGCAGGAAACTACTCTCTCATTAATACTAGGACTAATTACGTCACTAAAATTTCCTAAATTTAGTTTTTCTTTTACATAAATATATCCATAAGCTTTCCTTTCCTGAGTCTCAAGGGTTGTCAATTATCCAGAAATATATTTTCTTCTGAGATGGTATCAGGGTCCAGGATAACTTATCAATATTTCTTCTGGTCTTCACAGTTCCTAGCATTCAGGTAGTGAGCATAATATCTAATAGTTTTTCAACCCTTGCTCCGTTCCCTCTTTCCTTCCCAGTAGTCTCCAGTGTCTATTATTGCCATCTTTATGTGCATGAGCACCCAGTCTTCAGCTCCCACGTATAAGTGAGAACATGTGGTACATGGTTTTCTGTACCTGCATTAATTCACTTAGAATATGTCCTGCAGCTGCATCCATGTTGCTGCAAGAAACATGAATTTGTTCTTTTTTTTATGGCTGCATAGTATTCCATGGTGTATAGGTACCACATTTTCCTTATCCAATCCGCAATTGATGGGCACGTAGGTTGTTTCCATGTCTTTGCTATTGTGAAGAGTGCTGCAATGACCATAAAACGGCACGTGTTTTTTCTGATAGGATAACTTGTTTTCTTTTGGATATATACCAAGTAATGGGATTGCTGGTTTGATGATAGCTGTTTTCAGTTCTTTGAGAAATGTCCAAACTTCTTTCCAAAGTGTCTGAACTCATTTACATTCCCACGAACATTGTATGAGCCTTCCCTTTTCTCTTCAGCCTCACCAGCATCTGTTGCTTTTTGGCTTTTTAGTAACAGCCATTCTGACTGGGCTGAGATAGTATTTCATTGTGGTTTTGATTTGCATTTCTCTGATTAGTGATGATAGCATTTTTTCATGTTTGTTAGCCATGTGTATGTCTTCTTTTGAGACGTGTGTGTTCATGCCTTTTGCCAATTTTTTAGTAGGGTTATTAGTTGATTCATTTAAGTTCCTTATAGATTCTGGATATTAGACCTTTGTCACATGCATGGCTTGCAAAAATTTTCTCTCATTCTGTAGGTTGCCTGTTTACATTGTTGATAACTTCTTTTGTTGTGCAGAAGCTCTTTAGTTTAATTAGGGCCCATTCTTCAATTTTTGTTTTTCTTGCAATTGCTTTTGAGTACTTAGTAATACATTCTTTCTCAAGGCTGATGTCCAGAATTCTGTTTCCTAGGTTTTCTTCTAGGTTTCTTCTAATTTAAAGTCTTACTTTGAAATCTTTAAACCATCTTGTGTCCAGTTTCATTCTTCTAAACATGACTAGCTGGTTATCCCAACATCATTTATTGAATAGGGTGTCCTTTTCCCATTGCTTATTTTTATCAAGTTTATTGAAGATCATATGGCTGTAGGTGTGCAGCTTTATTTCTGAGTTCTCTATTCTGTTTCATTCGTATATGTGTCTATTTTTGTACCAGTACCATACTGTTTTTGTTACTATAGCCTGATAGTATAGTTTCAAATCAGGTAATGTGATGTCTCTGGCTTTGTTCTTTTGGCTTAGGATTGCTTTGGCTATTAGGGCTATTTTTTGACTCCACAAGAAATTTAGAATAGTTTTTTTTTCTAACTTTGCAAAAAATGTCATTGGTAGTTTGATAGGAATAGTATTAAATCTGTAAATTGCTTTGGGCAATATGGCCATTTTAACATTATTGACTCTTCTAATCCATGCATATGAAATACTTTTCCATTTGTTTGTGTCATCTATGATCAATCATTTACTTCCTTTAGTCCATGATTGTATTCATTTTTAGGCAGACCACCGCAGAGAGAAAGTTACTTTCTCTCTCTCTAAGAAGGTCTGTCATCATTTGTTTTGGCTTTTAGCAGCTCATCTTTCATATCTTTATTGTAATTTTTATCATTTGTCTTTCTCCATACGATCTCCAGTTTCCTTATCGGTATACCTGAGATCATTATTTCAGAGTAGTATTATTGATTGAGTGGCATAATGAATAGCTTGCATATAATAGCTAGTATATTAAACTGCTTTTTATTAAATCCAAGATGTTTTTTAATATTTTTGAAACCAGAAATTGTCTAACAATACTGAAATATTTTACTTAGTTTCAAAAAATAGTTTGTGCATTCAATAAATGTTACTGATCATTTCTATTTCCTATATGCTCTCAAGGAAATTGATGTGAATCACTAATATTAAGAAATAAATTTCTCATGAATAAAAAATGCTACTTTCAGATTTCTCTAAAGTAACATTCAATATCAGAGCAGACTAAAGTAAGGTCTGTAGATTAGAGTTTTCTTTATTTTATTTTATGGCATCTTATCAGAGGACTAAATCTAGGACTCCTAAGGAGATTAGAGTAGACGATGAGACAAATTGTGATCATCTACCATTAAAGAGCCAAATAGTTTCCAGTTAGAAACACTAATGAAATAATTGTTCCAATTTTGGGTGTGGGGGGCTGGCAGATCACAGGTGTAGCAATAAGATAATGCAATCATGTATTGGCAATAAATCTTCCAAACAAAATTTTGGAGGAAAAAAATCTATCAATCAACTAAACCAAGGCTTTTGATTTTTCAAAGAGCCAATGGATAAAATCAAGTTCGCTTATAAAAAGTCTAACCCCAAAATTTGGAAACATTGAGAGAACTGATGTGGTAAAATATCTTCAGTATCAGCTTAATTGTGAAGCTTTTAAGATGCCAAGTCATTTTTGACTTAACAGTTCATATATTAATAAAATTTGAAAAATTTTCTCAAAATTTAATGAACCCTGGCAATAATGCTTCCTTGAGTGACTCTAATATAATAAAAAGCAAATCCACATGTGACAACTCAAACCAAGTAGAAGGAAGAACTGATTGATTCTATCTAAACAAGTGATGATTCAAAATAAAGACCTTGGAAACGAGGACATTTCTAGTATCTTTGTCATTGCTCTTGTGGAATTTACCTAGTGACAATAGGTTAGTAATTTAGATCCTTTTTTATGGTTCACATGAGGAGATGAAAGAGTTAACAAACTTCTGCCTTTGGGCCAAATCCAGCTTTCCACATATGATGCTTTTAATTGAGATATGTCACATGACATAAATTTTATCCTTTTAAAGTGTGCAATTCAGTGGTTTTTATGTACTAATAAAATCGTGCAAATACCAGCAATACTTTATTTCAGAATATTTCCATGACCCCAAAGAGACAACGTGTACCCATCAGCAGTAACTCCCTGGTTACCCACAAACCTGGCAACCTATTTTCTGAATTGGTGGATTTGACTATTTTGATCCCTTCATATAAATAGAATCACACAATATTTAACCTTTTGTGCTGGTCTCTTTTACTCAGTATAATGTTTTCAACTTGCCTCCATATTTTAGCATGAATCAATTCTTTATTACGTTTGCTAGATGAAAATATTCCATTGTATGGAAATGTTGTGTTTTGTTCATTCATTTATTAGTGGATGGACATTTGTTTGTTTATACATTTTAGCTATTATAAATTATGCCGCTATTAATATCCAAATATAAGACTGATATAGTTAGGCTCTGTGTCTCCACCAAAATTTCATCTTGACTTGTAATCCCCATAATCCCCACATGTTGATTGTGGAACAGGTGGAGATAATTGAATCATGGGGGCGGTTTCCCTCATGCTGTTCTCTTGGTAGTGAGTGAGTTCTCATGAGATCTGATGGTTTTATAAGGGGCCCTGTGAAGAAGATGGCTGCTTCTCCTCTGCCTTCCACATGATTGTAAGTTTCCTGAGGCCTCCCCAGCCATGCAGAACTGTGAGTCAATTAAGTTTCTTTCCTTTATAAATTGCCCAGCCTTGGGTATTTCTTTATAGCAGTGTGAGAACAAACTAATACAAATACTTTTGTGTGGATATATGTTTTCAATTGGCTATATATTTAGAATTGGAAAGACTGAATCATACTGTAATAATGTGTAATTGTGCAGAATTGGGAAAACATATTCCAAAGAGACTACACTATTTTACATTTCACACCAGCAAGGTAGGATAGTTCCAAATTCTCCACAACCTTGCCAGGAATTGATATATCTGCCTTTTTTAAAATAATAGTCACACTAATGAGGTGAAGTGAGATTTGTATTTCTTTAATGGCTAATAATTTTGAGCATCATTTCACTTGCTTATTAAGCATTTGTATATATTTTTTGAACAAACGTCTATTCAAATCCTTTGCATAATTTTATTGGGTTGTCTTTTAATTGACTTGTAAGAGTTCTTTGCATATTCAAAATATTAGACCATTATCTTGTATATTATTTACCAATTTTTTTCCAACGTTGTTGGTTGTTTTTGCATTTTCTTGATAGATTCCTTAGAGTACAAAGTTTTAAAATTTGTTGGAGTCCACTTTATCTATTTTCTCTTTTGTTGCTTCCACATTCCATGTCATATCTAAGAAGTTGCTGCATAATTCAAGATTACAAAGAGTTATGTCCATATGATTTACTAAGAGTTCTGTTTGTTGGTTTGTTTTTTCAGATAGAGTCTTGCTCTGTCACCAGGCTGGAGTGCGGTGGCATGATCTCGGCTCACTGCAACCTCCGCCTCCCAGGTTCAAGTGATTCTCCTGCCTCAGCATCCCAAGTAGCTGGGACGACAGGTGCGTGCCACCATGTCCAGCTAATTTTTTGTATTTTTAGTAGCGATGGGGTTTCACCATGTTGGCCAGTATGGTCTTGATCCCTTGACCTCATGATTCGCCCATCTCAGCCTCCCAAAGTGCTGGGATTACAGGTCTGAGCCACCACACCCAGCCTTACTAAGAGTTTTATAGTTTAAGCTCTTATATTTGGGTCTTTGATACATTTTGAGTTATTCTTTTTTGCATAGAATGTGGAGTATGATGTCCAACTTCATTGCTTTACATGTGGATATACAGTTGTCCCAGCACCATCTGTTAAAAAGGTTTTTCCTCACTGTAATCTCTTTATACCTTTGTCAAAAACAATTGCTCATAAAAAGTAGGTTTATTTCTTGATTTTCCGTTCTGTTACACTGCTCAATTTGTCTATCTTTATGCTGCTATCACAAAATTTTGTTTATTGTATTTTTGTAACAAGTTGTGAAATCAGAAAGTATGGATTCTTTAATTATATTCTTCTTTGTCAAAATCGTGTTTGCTATTCTTACTCTTATGCATTTCCATATAAATTTTAGCATCAACTTTTCAAGTTTTGAAAAGAAGCCACTTGGATTTCTATAGGGATAGTGTTTAATCTGTATATCAATTGAGGACATACTACCATCTTTGTAACTTTCAGTGTACAATTCTTGCACTTATCTATTTAAATATTCTTATATATTTTAATTGTTTTGATAGTGTTACAAATGATATTGTTCTCTTAAGTTCATTTTTGGATTGTTAATTACTAGCATATAAAAATACAATTGATTTCTGTATATTGATCTTTTATCCTGCAGCATTACTGAACTCCTTATCAGCTCTATAGTATTTTTATTCTGTGTTCCTCATGTTTGTTTACAGAGAATATCATGTCTCCCTCAATGGAGATAATTTTGCTACATCCTCTCTTACCTAGATTTATTTATTTATTTATTTATTTATTTATTTATTGCCTAATCGCCGGAACTTCCAGTAAAATTTGAATAGTAGTGGCAACAATGAAGATCCTTATCCATTTCCTGATCTGTGGTGGAAGATTTTTAATATTTTATTATAAAGTATGATAATAGCTGTGGGGTTTTAACAAATGCCAATTTTAGAATGAGGATGTTCCTCTCTAGTCCTAGTCTTCTGACTGTTTTTTTAATTATAAAAGGTTGTTGGATTTGGTCATTGAAATGGCTATGGGTATTTTTTCTTTTTATTCTAGTAATATAACCTACAACACTGTTTTTTGTTCATTTTTGTTTTATTTTGTTTTGTTTTGGTATGTTGAACCAATCTTGTTTTTTAGGATAAAACACACTTGACTATGGTGTATGATACTTTTTATGTGCTGCTGGTTTCAGTTACCCTGCATTTTTTTCAGAATCTTTGTGTGTTTAGTCATAAAGGATACTGGTGTTCTTTTTTTGTAATGCTTTTGTCTATTTTCAGTATTAGGGCAACACCAGCCTCATAGATAAAGTTAGGACATGTTCTGTCTTATTCCATTTTTGGTAAAATTAGTAAAGGATTTATTATAAATATTCTTCTTTTTTTTTTTTTGAGACGGAGTCTTGCTCTGTCACCCAGGCTGGAATGCAGTGGGGCAGTCTCGGCTCACTGCCAGTTCCGCCTCCCAGGTTCATGCCATTTTCCTGCCTCAGTCTCCCGAGTAGATGGGACTACAGACGCCTGCCACCACGCCCAACTAATTTTTTTGTATTTTTAGTAGAGACGGGGTTTCACCATGTTAGCTGGGATGATCTCGATCTCCCGACCTCGTGATCTGCCCGCCTCGGCCTCCCAAAGTGCTGCGACTGCAGGCGTGGGCCACCGCGCCTGGCCATTATAATTATTCTTTAAACATTTAATAGAATTCAGCATTGCTAAGTTTTTATTTGTGGATATAGACTTGTTATAGGTTTATTTAGGTTTTTCTATTTCTTCTTAAGTCAGTCCTGATAGTTTGTGCCTTTGTAGGAGTTTGCCTATTTCATCTAGGTTATCTAATTTGTTGGCAATGGTGCGCTCATACTATTCTCTTACAATCCTTTTTTGTTTTTTTTCAGGTAAGTAGTAGCGTCACCTTTCTATTTCTTGACTTCAGTAATTTGAGTCTCCTATTTTTTTTTGTATTCAAATCTTTCTAAAAGATTGTCAATTTTTAAAATCTTTCTGAAGAATAAATATTGTTTCATTGATTTTTTAAGTATTTATTGATTTATTTTATTTTAATTTATTTTATTTTTTTGAGGTGGAGTCTCACTGCATCACCCAGGGTAGAGTGCAGTGGCGCAATCTCGGCTCACTGTAACCTCCACCTCCCGAGTTCAAGCAATTCTTCTTCCTCAGCCTCCTGAGTAGCTTGGATTACAGGTGTGTGCCACCACTCCTGGCTATTCATTCATTTTTAAATTGTATTTCTATTCTCTATTTTATGGACTAAAATAGAGCTAATTGTTAACATGTACCTCCTTTTCTTTCTTCTGTATTCAGTTCTTCTTTTAATAGTTTTTTAAATTGGAGGTCTCATTATTAATTTAAAATAATTCCTGTTTTTTAATGTGTGCATTTATAGCTATACATTTCCCTTTTAGCACTAATTTCCATACATCTTATGAGTTTGGCATGTTGTGTTTTCATTTTCCTTCATGTCAAAATATTTTCTAAATGCTGTTGTAATTTATTTTTGATCAGTTGGTTACTTAGTAGTTTCCTGTTTAATTTTCACCTATGTATGACTTTTCCAAGTTTCCTCTGTTATTGATATTTAATTTTAGTCTTTTCTGGCTGGACAACATATTTTGTATGATTTACTTTTTAGATTTGCTGAGTCATGTTTTATTGCCTGTTTATTCCATATGCATTAGAGAGGAATGCGTATTCTCCTGTTGTTGGATGGAGGTCGCTACAGATGTGTATTATAACTGGTAGGCTTATGGTGTTGTTTAAGCCCTCTTTCTTGACATTCTGCTATTTGTTCTATTCATTATTGAAAGTGAGAGGGATGTGTATTAGAGATGAATGTGTATTCTGCTGTTTATACACATCTACAAATGTGTATAATGACTAGTAGGCTTATAACGTCCTTATAAGTCCTCTCTTTCTTGACATTCTGCTATTTGTTCTATTCATTATTGAAAGTGGGATATTAAAGTTTCCAGTTATTGTTGTTAAATTGTCTATTTCTCCACTCAATTTTATTAGTTTCTGTTTTACTTATTTTGAGGTTTTGTTCTTAGATGCTTATATGTGTATAATTTTCTTATATCTTCCTGAGGGATTGACACTTTTGTTATTATAATATATTTCCTCTTTATGTTATTATTATAATATATTCCTCTACATGTTATCTCTAGTAACTTTTTTTTTCTAAAGTCTATTTAGTCTGATATTGTTATACCCACCTCAATTCTCTTTTGGTTTTGATTTTCATAGTATATATTTTCCATACTTTTACTTTCAACCTATTTATGCCTGAATCTAAAGTGCATTTGTTATAGAGAGCATATAATTGGATCACTTTGTAAAGCTCAATATTACAAACCGTGACTTTTAATTGAAATTTTAAAATCATTCACAGTTAATTCAATTTTTAATGAGATAGGATTTATGCATACTACTTTTCTCTTTTGCTATATATCTTATGACATTTTTGTCCCTCTTTTATTACATGACTTTCCTGATGAAGTGCTTGATGCTTTGTGATATTCCTCATGTCACTGTTTCTGTGTTTAATTTTCTTCATTCAGATGTATTTCTGCTCCCCAGAAGGCTGATTTTAATTTGTCTTCAAGTTTGCTGAATCTTACTTTTGCCATCTCAAATTAGTTATTAAGAAATTCTAGCATGGTTTTTATAAATTTTAATTATTTTTTTTAAAAACCCAGTATTTAAATTTATTTTTGTAAAATAATTTCTCTCTGTTGCTCTTCTTTATTTGGTGGGAGATTATTCTCATGTTTCTGTTTTTTAGCATTTAGCTCTTTGAACATATTTAATAACTAATTTAAAGTCTTTGTCTAGTAACTCCCATGTCTAGGTCTTCTCAGTCTCTATATTTTTTCTCTCCATAAAATTTAAATCAGTGTAACTTTAGGACATATAGGTTTGTTCCAAGGTAAAAAGTTTAATTTTACTCAAGTCCAGTTAAAACTGCAAAGTAAACATCAAAGGGAATAATCAAATGGATGGTTGTTAGTCTGTACTTCAAGGCAGAGGCCATTTTTGTTATTAAACAACCAATATTTTCTTAACTTACGTGTTTTATTTTTCAGAATGGGTTCTCTCCATATTATTAGTTTTGGATTTATATATGTCTTACTTTCATGAAGGTTCATTTAAATGGATGATGTTTCTTAATTTGGTAGTTCAAATTGTTTATGAACTTACAAACAATTGAGCTTAACATATTTCCAACAGCAATATTTCTACTTGATTTTATCATTTATTATGGATTCACTTATCATGCATTTTAAGTGTGACTCTAAATGAATGGGAAAAATTTTAAAATTGCTACAGTATTCTGCAGATTATTGCTATCTCATGACATTAATACAGATGTAATGCAAATCAGTTTTAGACATTTAATTTCACAGTTGTTTTTTTCAACTACTTTATTTGCTATAATAGATTTTTTTAAATTAACTGTGACACTTCTTAAACTTCTTGGTCAAGATAACTTTAAATTATTCAACATTATTGAGACTCCAAATACATTTTAAGTGGCTATATGCATCAATATTTACCATATTGAAAATTAAAATAATTTTGTAAAATATTTCTGTTAATTTAACAATAATGTACCCATTACATGTTAATATAAATAAAATATATAAAAATAAGTATATTTAAATATAAATATTAATAAAAGTGTAGAGTCATTTTCCTTTTTTCAAAAGTCTGACAATAAAAAACAACTAGATTATCAAATCTACTGTATTTTAATATTTTGTGATGTCAAAATTCATGTAGCCTTCAGAAATTCTACTTTTCTCTTTTGAGAGAATGAGAATGCAAAAGTAAATAATGGCTTAGTATTATTATGCAAATAGTTTTGAAAGTGGTGAATGCTAGAAGTCCCTAGACTACTTTTTGAGATATCTGACTTACAGCAATACAAATTCTACCTTTGCTATTTTTTCTTACTTTATTCATTCTTATTTTCTTACCTATTTATTTTTTGTTTGTTTTTAACTTGGTTTAGCATTGAAGTCTTGCACAGGCTGGAAGTGATCCCACTGCCTGACAGCAAACTTCCTAAACCTTTTCATGAACCTTGCTAGAACTGACATGAAACTGGAGATTCATCATCTGTGGATGTCAAGCCCAAGGAGACTTTTTGGACTACCCAGGGACTTACCTGATAGAGATCACTTTTAGGAAAGATATTGATTTATGGTGTGTGTGTGTGTGTGTGTGTGAGAGAGAGAGAGAGAGAGAGACAGAGAGTAATTTTGTGTGTATCTGAATTCCAGATTAATTGCATATTTCCAAAAAGTGGAATATGCATATACCATTTATTATTATAATCTAGTGTTCTAAATTGTATTGAAGTGGTAGAGAAGACTTAACACTGCTTGCACAGGTGCTCCATAAGCAAAAAATGAAATGTTTGTAGCAATTATTCCCAATCCATATCCCTCTCTCATTCTGTGTCTATTACCAATAATCTGTGTCTCTCATAAAAGGGATATAAATAAGATAATTTCAACAGCAAGCAACAAATGTACTGTGAGAATTACTTTAGAAACTGCACAGCCTTGAGGCCACATGGAAAGAGTCAAGATAGACAAACACAATCAGTTCAGCTAAAATACTTTTTTTTGAAACTGCAAATTTGTTCCTACATGATTGTTATATTACAGAAAACTCTGAATGTAATGGGAGTTATTTGCTTGCTTATGCATGATTTAATTTGCAAGAAAGACTAGGTGAACACAGAAAACTACACCCAGCTGAATCAAACTATGTAGGAATATAAAATGTACATAACTCAAACATCACCAGCTTCTTAAGTTTCCCACATATGTTATCTTATAAGGTTATATTTTATTATGCTTTCATGACTGTGAATATATATATATATGTGTTCCTAAATCCCAAACATACTTAAATGTCCTAATTCAAAACCTCCAAGCAGTGGGAAAGTAGCAAGTAACTGGCGATACTATCTATTTTACAAGGATAAAAATGCAAAACAGAATTTTATCATACTTAAAATATTTTGTTGTGAAATTTTCATACATTTTTATAGGTTTGTGTGTGTGTGTGTGTGTGCGCGCATGGGCTCACATGCTTGTGTGTGTCCTTGTGTGTGTGTGTCTATAGGCTAGGGCTTTCTAAATTTGTTTCCCTTATATACATACCCTCAAATGTTTTGAAAAATACTCAATAGATAATGTTCTTATTTGAGACACACTTTTATATTTGGTTTTCATCATATTAGTGACTCCTGATTAGAGGAGATGGGCTTTCAGCATTTCCAACATGTTAACAATAGATCCTCTCTTCTTCTCTACTGATCCACAACTGTCCCATAATATTATGGTTAAAATCAGTGGATACTTATAATGAGATAAAATCAAAATATGTCATTGTTTTTGTTTGAAAAGAAGTGAAAAGTTTGTACTTTTCCATAGCTTTTACTAATATTTCTAGCTGGTTTCCTAATATGTTACACACACACATGCACACACACACGCACACACACACACACGCACATACACATGTATAGGAAATCAATGAGCTGTCAATAAAGAGAGGTGACACAAGTCAATATTCTTGACTTATTCTCCTTGCTGTTGCATTTTCCCATTGCCCTCTGAGTTTGAACATATTTCAGAAATATTGGATTGCCTGACACACACAATAATTATACCATATTGATTTATGTTAATGTTTATCCTATCTCATTCTGAAAATTAAAATGTCTTCCAACCACTCCCAAATAATAAGCAGGAATAATGAAAGTAAATTAATAAGTTGAGAAAACAAGAATTGTTAATATGACTGAACACATCTCTATTCTTTTATCATTACTCCCTCCTTGACAAAAAGAGGCACACACATCAGTACTCACTCCAAAAGATAGCCCAGCATGCATGGATTTAGTAAAATTAAAATTTACTGTAAAATTTAGCTTTTCTCACACTTTGTATACTTTATCCTACTTGTTTCTTTCTCCTTACCATGATTCTGTTTCGTGTCTTCTGCATATTGCTAGGTACACAATAATCAAAAATAATTATTTGTCAAATGAATTATTGGTCACTCATGTTTGCCCATTCCCTTGAACACCTAGTGAAAAGAGACCAATTATTATTATAATTTTTTTCTTTTTCTTTATTTTATTTTTATAAAGAGCAGGACTCTAAGGCTGGGATGGCATTTGGGCTAGGTAAAAAAGAAAATCTTTGGTTTTGTGTACATAAGTTTTAAAATACGTTGTACAGTGGTTTTTTTTTGACACACACCATGCGTTACAGGATCCGCGTTATTATGTTTGTGTTCAGTAACTGTCTCTCCTGTTCACATCCAGTATATTATTATAATTTGTGAAATATACCTTCTGATTTTCATATTCTTTTTAGTGTGTAGCTAGTTGCACTTTCTAGCAAGACACATCATCTGATTTTCTGAGCAATGGACACTACATTTAGCAAACATTAGTGCCTCCATTCTTCAGCTTTTCTTCAAAGTCAAGGGCCTTTGTTAAATCCAATTAAGTTTGTAACTCTGGACAATAAAAATGTGTAAAAATTTCAACCTTAACCTTATTTGAACTGGTCTTATGCCCTTTTCAAAATAATCATTGAACTTCCCTAGAAATCATTTCAGTAGTTGTATCATAAGCTAAATAAAAGACTTCAGGTTAAAATTAATAAATGACTAGAGGCATAATAGAGTGAAATGATAAACAATATCAACTTGAATGTTGAGTGGGTTTGAAAATGAAATTCAGAAAATGTGGAGACTACTACTAATATGAAACTTCCATTTTGGGCTAAATATTACTGATAACCTATTTCTTGGGACATTCATTTCTTTAATCATTTTTTTCTTTCCATTTAATGTATTTAATCAACCAATTATGCTGCATTTGGGCTTTTTTCTTTGTCAAGTTTAGGTTGGGCCCATATAGGAAGTAATGTTTAATTATGGCACAAGATCAAATTAAAATTGCCAGTCAAAAGAATGTGGTATTTCACAAAACTTTTACATGTGTTTCCAGTTATATGGGGATGTAATCAAGGACAGATTGGTATGCAGACCCCTAGATGATTGAAAATTATTTGTTATTGGGATTGGAAACTCTAACACTTGTGCTGTCACCAGAGTGAGTGACACTTGTATGGTATAAAAAAGTCTTAAAGACTCAAATATCACTTTGGGACAAAAGCATAAGTATTCTGCTGTTAATAGCAGAAACTATTTTGTCCCTAAACTTTTATTTTTCAGATAAAGCAGAACTTTCAATAATACAGTGATGGCCATGCAATCAATATAAGACAAACCATATCAATTTTAGCTTATAGGAATAATTAGCAGAATTATTTTGAAACCAAATTCCAGAACAAATTAGATATTTGGGAAAGGTATGTTGATATCCCTATGCAATTCATTTTTTTCCTTCTATTAAGAAAAGACGTATTTAAAGTTTGACTCAGCAAGTCAATACTGGCAAAGCCTGGGCAGTATATTTCATTCTAATTATTTCATCTTTATAGTAGATACATTTCTTTGTCTCACTGCCACCTTGGTGGGTCACTTGTCTCATCAGTCATTTAGGCATAACTATGCTTGTTAAGCAATCATCAGAGTAAAATCGATACTAAGCAGTATGCCCTCTACATTGTACAAATGACGATGCCATAGAGCAAATCAACACAAAACTTGATTTCCTGGCCTTAACTTGCCTTTCAGGGTAAGGCAAGTTGCCTGGGAGTTGTGTGGTACTAGGTTCCCACTCTCCTTGTCTTTATTCATGGCTCCGGACACCACTATATGTCATCCACTCATATTTACCATGCATTCCCAGGTTCCTGACATTGCAGTAAGTAGTTTGAGATTTACAGGTTTTATTTGCTCCTTGCCCTTAAAAGGCAGTTTAATGGGATGAACAAACACAAGCAAATAGATTATATTGCTAGGTTTATATGCTCAGAGTAGGAAGTAAATAAACAAGAACAAAACCAAAGAAAACATTTACCAATGAAAGGTGAGAACTGGCTAAGGCTTTTTGGTACATCTGAACTACCTAGGAACAATATATAGGTAGGATTTTGACATGAGATAAAAAATGCTCATTTCCACAGCCACATATAAGCTATTTGTTTAATACATGGAGCGACAGAATAGGCTTGAAAGCATACTTTTTCTAGGCAGAATGAACAATTCATTCATATTTAAGCTAACAGTAAAACAAAAACATAAATGATCAATATCATAAGGCTTTTGAAAATAATTAAATTATATATAAGACTTTGGAAAATCAAATATCTCAAATTCAAGAACTACATCAAACACTGGTCTTCTCTTCTGTCTCAAATATTCTGTAAAATTGAAGTACAGTTGACCCTTGAACACTGCAAGAGTTAAGGGAGCCCCTTAACACAATAGAAAATGCATGTATAACTTTTGACTCCTCAAAAGCCTAACTTCTAATAGCTTACTATTGATGAAAAGCCTTACTGATAAATATACACAATTGATTAACATTTATTTTGCATATTATATGTATTATATACTGTATCCTTACAAGAAAGTAAGCTAAAGAAAAGTTATTAAAATCGTAAGAATGAAGAAATATGTTTACTATTCATTAAGTGAAAGTGGATCATAATGAGAGTTTTCATCTTTGTCATCTTCATGTTTAGTAGGCTGAGGAGGAGGAGTAGAAAGAAGAATGGTAGGTCTTGCTATCTTAGCGGAGCAACAGGCATAAGAAAATCCATGTATAAGTGGATCTGTACAGTTCAAACTCATGTTGTTCAAGGGCCAAATGTATATCTCATTAACTCAGGGGAAAAACTTGATGTGAGTAGAAAGTTAGAAGCAAAAAGAGTACTGGCATCCAATTCTTCTTTGGGGATCTTGATGGGATTAAACTCTTTTGATGACATTCCTTCCTGTCTTCTCCATTAATTTGCTGTTCCTTCTAATCTCTGCCTCTTCATTCTCTGTTTTCAAAACACACTCCAATATCATTATTTTAAACTTAAGTGACATAAAACACGTTACATAAAAATATGCTTCTGAGATATAATTTCTAAGAATAAAATTATATAGAAATTAATTTAAATTATATTTAAAATCTGTGGTCTAGAGACTGACAAACTTGATAATACTAGTTAACTCTACCACCTACCTGTTGTATGACCCTAGAAAAATTGTTCAACTTCTCTGACCTCTCTTACCTCATGTGTAAAATGGTAATTTTCAGAATACCCTTATGTTATGGTTGTTTTGATAATTAAGTGTATTGATTATAAGAAATGAGAACAGAACAGCGTTTGGCACAAAATAAGCCCCTAATATATGTTAACAATTTGTGATATTATTACTATATGTAAATTTGGTGATTATCATTGTATAAAATATCATCATAGCATATATTATGTTGTCATTCATATGATATTAACTACATATAACATATCACCATAGATCAACAGATATTTTCCATGGTAATATCATGGAAAATATTTTAGACATGATGCCTATTAGAAATCAGGCATTCTCAGGTTTATTTTCATAAGCCAGATAGGTGGAACTCTTTTGCAATGAAATCCCTCCCTTCAAATTCAGGGGTATTGGGTAGAAGTAATAGTATTGCCATGGCAGGTTGTAGGGTTAGGAAAGAAAATCCTTGGGTGTCTAAAAATTGGCAATTTATTATACTTTTTTTATGCAATACAAGGTACCCTAACTACTCTTGGTACATCTGCATGACTAGTGCTTTCCTTAGTGCTCAGAAAATTTACTCATGGGTCACTGTAATGGACTCTTCAACCTTCATACTACCATCAAGACCATCGAGTTTCTGCTTCCTCCTATCCATTCTGTCAAACTGTGTTAGTTTTTCTGATCATTGCAACAACCCTAAATCTAGACCCATAGAGTGGATGATTCTTTCTACACCATTTTTCCTTACAGCTCCAAAGCATTTCTCAAAAATAATATTACATTATATTTATTACAACAGTGATGCATACTCCTACCTGTAATAGTATGTATACATGCATTTAATGTTTTCTCTATCACACACAATGCTGCAATGAATAGCCAGGTACCCTGATCATTGTACACAGAAGCCAAAATTTCCAGTAAGTGTACTCCTAGGAGTTTTTTAGGTAAAATGTAGCTATTCAAATCTTCAATTTGACTAATTATTGGTAAATTTCTTTCTGAAGTAGTTGTAATATTTACTTTTATACCTTCGATGTAAATTATATTGTGCTTTGAGAATCTCAGGCTAATTTAAATTCTAGTTAAAATATGGCATAAATAGGCCGGGTGCAGTGGCTCATGCCTGTAATCCCAGCACTTTGGGAGGCCGAGGTGGGTGGATCACGAGGTCAAGAGATCGAGACCATCCTGGCCAACATGGCGAAACCCCGTCTCTACTAAAAACACAGAAAAAATTTTCTGGGCATGGTGGCCCATCTGTAGTCCCAGCTACTTGGGAGGCCAAGGCAGGATAATCTCTTGAACCCAGGAGTCGGAGGTTGCAGTGAGCCAAGATCACGCCACTGCACTCCAGCCTGGTCACAGAGTGAGACTCCGTCTCCAAAAAAAAAAAAAAAAAAAAGGCATAAATAAATTTGTGAATAAAGGTGAATAAAGAAAGATTCAGTAACATAGATATGGTAGAGTGAATTAATGTAAGGTTTTTAATGTCAAGACCATAAATTTAGATTTTGCCAGCTAGGCTTCTGACATATATAAATTTTTCAGGGAACATATTATTTTTTAAAGTTGACATAAAATGAAAGTGAAAAAGGCAGATACAAAAGTTTATTTTAAAAATACAGTTACTAAAATCCAGAGAGGAAATTAAAATAACCTTGGCAAATGTGGGATTGTGCAGTAGACATGTGTGGAACATAACGTTGCAAATAGACGTGGTGTTGGTGATAGTGAACATGATCGATTTTGAGGACTAACCTTTGTTATCATCAACCACGTCAGTGTGGTAGTTGGTTTTGTGTGGTGCCTTATTTCCAATATCTTATTTTTTTCAGATATGGAAACTGAGGCTCACATATGCAAGAGTACAAAGAAGAAAGGAAGGAAGAAAAAATTCTCCAGAATAGTGTCTATATGATATCAGATAAATGCTGTTGCCATTGACAGAGATAAGATTTGGAGAAGAGGTTCAAATTTGTATATAGTGAATTTAGTTTCTGAGAGGATATGTTTCGTTGGTTATCAGAACATCTATTCAATTTCACATTGAATGAGTTCCCCTAAAGGATTTAGATGTGCTTATTCATACTTGAGCATTCTTATTGTAGCAGAAGTAGAATCATATTTACTTTTAAGAAAGATTATCCACAGTTCGCTGTTTCTTATCAAAATATTAACAGCAATCAAACTAGAAAGCTGAGTGAGCAAAAAAAAAAAATGAAGCAACGGCACATGAATAAAAATTTTTAATATCATATTTAAACATATAGAATTATGTCCTTGAAAGGCCTATTTATTCCATTTTGGATTTATTTATATTTTTAATTCATATTCTTGACTTTAATTTAAAAAGCTCATTTTCAGAAAACAGATTATCTGATATATTATGTGTGTGATTGGTACTACTTTCTTCACACTGTTAACTTTTTAAAGTCATTATGTTTTTTTCTAGGACCGTTAATAATACGACACATTCAAATGTACTGTTACATTCACTTAGCATGAAGAAGTCACTAAAAACTGCAACCTGGGGTAATCTACTAAAGCTTATTTTCCTTTATACAGCTGACACACACACACACATATATATGTACACATATACAAATGTTAAATGTTTATATGTTAATTTGGCCATCTACCTTTATTATTATTGACTTTTGGCATAGAATTTCGCCTAAGCATTTCTACTTTTAAAAAGGCAATGAAAGAGCTTTTTAATTTTTATTTGACTTATATTTTTATTAGATAATTAGGCAATTTCCACGTATACCTTCATGTTTTAGGAATAATTTGACATGCTCACGTTTGCTAATCCTTAGATGTGTTTTCCACATTGGTCTTTTATTCAATTTAATCATTTCTCATTATACAAAAATTAACAATGTAATTTCATTTTTAAAATTATTTCGTTCAGTATATGTATTGGGCTATATGCTAAGCATCTTCCTGGGCACTGAAAATAGATGAGTCAATAAAACTCTTTACTTAATGGATTAAGTTTTTAACAGAATAGATAAGCCATAAATTATGATACAATGTGATACATTTTGAATTAGCGATAAACACAAAATACATCATGGAGGAGAGAATTGAGTCGGCAGCTAGAACTGATGGAACAAGTAAAAGAAGGCATGGAGCAAGATTCAAATATGCTTCAGCAATAACACAACCTTTGTGCCATCACTTATTTCTCTAGTGTCCAGCTTGTTGCCTCAGAACCCGTGTCCTTGAACCAGATCTTTATTCAAATGAATTTGGCCTGAAAGATACAACCTCTTTGTCACCTTTAGAGTGAGTAGCATGAGGAATATAATTGAAGGCATCTATCTGCCATAATAAATAAAGGCTTACTGTGTTAACCATCACACAGGATATTTAAGTTAGTTGTAGGAAAAAAAAAGCTGTAAAAAATTCTTAAATACCAGATTCTAAAATATGTATTTTTATTTAATAGCATATATTTGACAATATTTATATAATTAATATAGAAGAAAGATTAAATACCAGTGGTTAATATCATGTAAGCAATAGACATAGGGCAGACTTCTTTGAATGAGAGTGGGGAGAGGTATATCATCATGAATGATGGTAGACAGCCATACTCAGAGGCTGAAATAATCTTACAGCCAGCCTAAAGTAAGAAAAGAGAAATGGCTCTGGAAATTGAAAGAATTTTATTTCACTTTGAAGTTTACTTATAGGCAACTAAGCATATATAAGAATTCTTGTTACATAAACTAGAATTTATTTTTGTTATATAAAATTACTAAATAAATGTAAATATAGAAAATTAGGACCGAATAGTGGAGGAACTGAAATATGAACCAAATGTTAAGATTAAATGTATTTGCTGTCACTTAGTAAGTGAATGATAAATAACATATAGCAAATAATTGCTCCATTGGTTTAATTTAATCTTTTAATTAATATAGATACAGGGTTATTTTTTGCTGTTGCGTGTGTGTGTGTGCACATGTGTGTATTTTATGAGTAAAGAGAAGATAATGGAGAAGTCAAATTGAAGTTTGAGACAGCCTTTTTCCTTCCTATTACAAGAGCATATGGCAGAAGGCAAAATGCATTTAAAACAAATTGGTCTTTATTTTATATTTATCTAGTAGAAATAGATTCATTATAAAACAAGAGCTTTAGACTGACAGTCATGAGTCCTGGGTTTGATTTCAGACTTGATCACAAATTGGTTATATTATTTACATTCAGTTCTTATAATTCAAATAAGTGGTGTGGATGTGGATTAAATCCACTTGTGTTTTTATATTCGCCTTTGTTTTTTAGTAAATGCTATGGTTTCAGACCGCACAATCTGAGGACTATTTGCATTCTGACAGTGTTTCAGAAGACTGAAAAGGGTCTGAGCAACAAAGAAATAAATCTTTAATAATTGAGTTCAGAGACCATAACAGGTTGCAGGGTATAAATTTTGGGTAGTTGGCCTTCCTGGTGCCCATAAAATAGTACCTTATAGATGGTTTCTGTGTCCTGCCTACTTATTAAGGTCATTCCCAATAATAAAATGAAGCTGGGAACATAAGTTAACAGAAGCAGTTGCAGGCATTTGAAAGACACTTCTAGGGATGTATTTAATACAAATCACTCTTCAGTTCAGTCCAGCAATGCAATTATTTTTGTCTAAAACCTCTTTATTAGTAAATAGCCAAATAATTTTCCATTATGACATTAAGGGAAAGTGAATACTAAGATTTTATTGAAAAGTCCTTTATATTGAAAAAAAACCAGAAAAGTCTGGAAAATAATGTTTCAAATAACTGTGAAACCACCATTCTGTATCTACTCATAAATTTTCTATATTTTCTCTCAAATATTAGCAAAGCAATCTTTGCATATAAAACATACCCATTTTACTTAAATTTTTCAAGCTATTACATTCTTTTTTGAAAACGCGGAAACGATTTGAATCACTGAATTTGCATACAGGTATTCATTCCTTATCTTTACATTTAATTATAAAATGATTAGAAATAGATCCATGCACAAGTAGAAACATAACATATGATACAGTAGATATTACAAAATAGATTTTAGTAGGCTGAAATAATCTTACAGCCAGCATAAAGTAAGAAATGAACTGTACATTAAATCATATTTGGATAATAGTATTGTTGGTGGTTAGTAGATAACTACCATATAACATTTATTAATTTAAACTTTATTATAATCATATTTTTGAAAACAAATCTTTAAGATTATTTAAAATATAAAGGAATAGTAAAAAATAATACAACTAATTTATCTGTTTGTAGTCGGAAATAATGTCTTAGACAATTCACAAAAAAAAACATTTGCACAAAAAGTGATAAATGTGATCACATGAAAATTTGAAACTCAATCCAGTTTTCAAAATTAGTTTTATAAAAATGATTTACATGTATTAAAAACAAATTAAGGGAAATGGAAGTCAGGTAACACACTGAGTCTTTTGAATATTTAGTAACAATCACATAGAATAAATCTACTTTTTCTTTGTCCAGTAAAAGCACTGTGAAATTCATGAATTTTTAAAAATTTCTCAGAACACTATTTCTCTATAAAGTGTGTCTAATGACATCAATCTCACTGATTACTGTAAGATTTAAATGAGAGAAGATTTATAAGGTGACTGATGTATCTTAATTCTCTCTCATCCAGATGGGTGCCATGCAAAATACTGTTTAGAGGTGTTATAATTTCTGGTTTTTTTTTTTTTTTTTTTTTTTTTACCTAATAGCTTCTTGAACCAAGGACATGTATTTGCTGCTCTTTTAGTCATGTCTACTCTTGAAGAGTCCTGGCTCCCAGTTAAGAAGCTGTGTGATTTTTCCAGGCCTAACCATAAGCAATCACAAAGGCCTTACCTGACAAGCCTCAGGAGAAAAACTACCTCTCCAAACTAGCTAGTGCACAGCCACTACATTGCAGTCTCCAGAGAGTGTGACAATAAAAATCTCAGGCCCGCTGGTAAGCCATGCCCTTGTAAGCATCGACATTCCTAGCCTAGGTGTCTCTATTTCTAGGTATCTTCATATGAGGCCATCTGTATGGCCCTCTTCAGGTGCTTCTGCTAAGACCTCCTTATGGAGGGTGAAGTGGGGACAGAGAAGATGAGGGAAAACCGTGAATGCCCATTTCCTTTTTTTTTTTTTTTTTGAGGTGGAGTCTCGCACTGTCACCCAGGCTGGAGTGCAGTGGCACAATCTCAACTCACTGCAACCTCTGCCTCCAGGGTTCAAGCAATTCTCCTGCCTTAGCCTCCCCAGTAGCTGGGATAACAGGTGTGCACCATCTCACCTAGCTAATTTTTGTATTTTTAGTAGAGACGGGGTTTCACCATGTTGATCAGGCTCGTCTCGAACTCCTGGCCTCAGGTGATCCACCTGCCTCGGCCTCTCAAAGTGCTGGGATTACAGGAGTGAGCCACCATGCCTAGCTGAGCACACATTTCTTTACTGACTCAGTACTCAGTGCTTTTCTAATCCTAACCCTTTCCCATCATTTCCCCCAAGCATAGCATCATAAAACTGCCACAGCATTTGTTCTGAATTCCCTCTATAGTGAAATAATCCTCCCGCCCCCATCCATGCTGATTAAAGTGACTCTGAGTCTCTATGGAGGGAAATGTAACAGGGGGAGTTGTTGCTTTTTCTGGTTTAGATTCATTCTCATACCATTGCAGTAAACAATTAAAGCCTTATTGCTTTCAGAGTTATTTTTTATTGCCATTACATTCTTCCTATTGTCCCAGGACTCATAAAGTTATTGTAAACTATCTTAATTCATTGTGCTGCAATAATAAAATATCTGAGACTAAGTAATTTATAAACAACAGGAACTTGTTTTTCAAAGTTGTGGAGACTGGGAAGTCCAAAGTCAAGTCACCAGCAGGTTCAGTGTCTGGTGAAGGCTGCTTTCTCTGTTTCCAGGATGGCACCTTTAACATTGCATCCTCCAAAGGGGACTGGCAGTATGTCCTCACATGGTAGAAAGAAAAGAAGTGGCAACTACATCCCTTTGAGACTTCATATAAGGCGTTAATCCATTTATGAGGATGGAGTCCTCATGACATAATCACCTCCTAAATGCCCCACCTCTTAATACCTTTGCATCAGGAATTAAATGTCAACATGAATTTTGGAAGACACACAAACATTCAAACCATAATATAAACCTTCTTATTGCTCTTTCTATAATAAAACTTAGAACCACAGTATCAAACTAAAATACAAATACACACTAAACTGTGTTAATCTCATAATAATAGGAGACCATCTGGAGTGGCTGCTGCAAAGATGCTGGCTGCAGTGGGGGAGGCATGGCCAGGACTGCACATTCCACAAGACTCAATGGAAGCTAGGAATACATGGGAGCAATGACCACTTCTGAGTTAAAGGAGTGGGGGGTCCCTCCATCCTGGATGCAGCTCATGCTCCCAATGCATGCTCCAATTTTGGTGCAAAGTTGAGGCTGAGCCCAGGCACTGTTGTGACCTGGCTGGGTTTGCATGTGCTTGGGACAGCAATGACATGCCAGTCCCCTGCTGCCTCAGCCCCTTCCAGACTTTGGGCACCAATGAGCAAGGGAGGGAGGCAAAGGGATGACTGAGGGCAGCTGAGCGTGGGCCTGCAGGTGCCCCTAGGCACAAACAGTCTGGACACCGTGAGTGCCATGGATGGCAGGTTGATGGCAGCAGGAGGCAGATAGGCTCCTGGGCAGAAAGGGGTAGGTCCACTGTGAAGCCTCACCTTTAAGCCGGGGACAGCCTGAAGCCACTATGTAAGATGCCCCTTTGCTCTTCCTTTATCTTCTGCTATGATTTTGAGGCCTCTCCAGCCATGTGGAACTGTGAGTCCATTAAATCTCTTCCCTTTATAAATTACCCAGTCTTGGCTATATCTTTGTTAGCAGCATGAAAATGGACTAATACAATCTCCTTTGACTACTCCCTCACAGATGCACCCAGAAACAATACTTTGCAACCTCCAATCCAATCAAGTTCACACTTACTATTAACCATCACAGGACCATTAGAAGGCAGACTGTCTCCAGAGACACAGGTCACTGGGTCCAGGAGACCTGATGGGTCCCAGGGCTCCTCTCCCACCTCTGATGGTTCAGATTTCAAGGGAGGAAGGTGGACCTCCTCCTGGACACCATAGCAGACTTTCAGTTTTCCTCTCTAATCTGACCCCTCCACTCCTCTCTTAGTAGGACCATGGAGGGCATCTCAAGAAAAAGTTTAATCCAATATTTTCCCCAACCCCTTAGTTATAGTTGGGGAGACCTCTAGCTTACCATCCTTACCTTTGTTCTGTTCCTCACCATAAGGCGTCTTTGTCAAGGACTCCTCTATTCTGAACTCCCAGAGGATTACCTACTCCCCTAAAAGTTATTTCTCTTTTAAAGTTTACCGGCCCTCATACAAGATTCAGTTTCTTTCACCAGGATGAGACAGCTCTAGCCACAACATTGTTTTAAGAATTAGTCTGTTTTACTTCTTATTTCTGTTATTGTTGACACTAGATTTTTTTTCCTTCACATGCTTAACCTCCTGGTAAATTTTGTTTCTTCTCATCTAGAGACCATCAAACTTCAAGGAGTCACACAACTTGAGCCTTGGCTCCCTTTTTACTGAGGACCCTTAGATAGGCCTCTGAGAAAGATCTAACTGCTGTTTTCTCCAAAATAATGCCCCCTGTCAGCAGTTAAGAGCGATCATCATCTTCATCCCTAATGGCAGTTGGATGTACCGTTTCAGAAGAGGAATTTATGGCAGCAGCAGCCCATCTGCTTCAAAGACGCTGACTTCAGCAGGGAAGGCGTGGCCGGGGCTCTGCACTCCAGGGAGCCAGGGGGAGCGGGTAACAAGTGGGAGCCACACCCGCTTCTGAGTTAAAGGGGCGAGAGCCCCGCCCTCCAGGACGCAGCTGCAGCCATCCAAGCTTGGCTGCGGACCCAGGCATTCCTATCAACTCAAGGGCCTGGGAAGCTCCTCTGACCCTGCAGGCTTGGAAGTACCTGCTCCCACTGCCTGGCCTCTCCCCACTCCCGGGGTCCTCTCTGATTTCAGAGCAAAGTTAAAGTCAAGCCCAGGCTCTGTCGCAACCCCTCTAGGTGTGCTTGCACTCAGGACAGCACTGACACACCAGCTCCCTGCTACCTCTGCCCCTTTTGGACTTTGGGCACCAAGGAGCATGGGAGGGAGGCCGAGGTGGGGATAAGGGCAGCTTGGCATGGGCCTGCAGTTGGCGCTTGGCATGAACAGCCTGGGCACTGTAGGCAACGTAGCAGTAGGTTGATGGCAGCAGGAGACAGCTCCTGGGCAGAAAGGGGCGGGTCCCCAGTGAAGCCCCACCTTCAAGGCTGGGCCAGTCTGAAGCCTGGGGACTGGGCTGTCAGTTCTGCAGACCGGAGTGAGAACTTATGATGGATTTTCCGGCCCACCAATAGCTGCCCGTGAACTACAGGACAACCTGCCTGCTACTCACTGTGAGTCTCCCCTCCACTAAAGGCTGGACACTGTCGGGACGAGCTGCCTGGGGAAAGGAGCTACCCACTTCGGGTCCCCTGAGAGCTATATTGTCACTCAGTAAAGCACCTCTTTTCCTTCCTCACTCTCTAGTTGTCCGTGTACCTCATTCTTGGACGCAGAACAAGAAGGCGAGACCCCCCAAATGGTGAGACAGGAAGAGTTGTAACACAGAGGGCTGAAACACGTCCCTCTCCCCACCTCTTGCCATGTTGCAGGCGATCAGAAGAGAGAAGGTGAGAAGAGCTGCATTCCTTCGGGGAGCCAGACTTAGGAGCTCCCGAAGCCAGGGCTGTGACACCCTCTTTGGGGTTCTGCAGTTCCTGATATATCCAAGCTTCAGGGTCCAACAGTGTTGCCCAATGCCTGCAGTGCAAGGTGCTTGTGGTATGTCTGGTCCAGCCGCAGCAAGGAGCCAGCACCGATGCCAGCACCTGGAGTTGCCTGCCCCGCCATAGCTGGCGTGCCTGGCTGTGCACAGTGGCTGGTCCCTGCGCACACTCACTCACACACCACTTGCTGCTCCACGCCTGGCTTGCCCTTGGCAGGCATGGGATCTGGGCCAAGAGTGAAAGCCGAATGCAGCCTGCCAGGCTGAGTGGGCTGAATGAGCCCAGTGGGCCTGAGCAAAACTCGGGCAAAGGCGCCACTGACCACAGAGGTTTTCGGCTAGCAAAGGCACATTCTAAGGATCCTGTGACAAGAGGACCCTACCTAGTAACAATAAGATATCACTCTCCATCAATCAATCAATTGATCTATCAACAAACCTATCATCTATCAGCTATCATCAATCTGTCTCTATGTCTCCATCTACAAATTTATAATTATATACTTATTTTCTTTTATAAACTTCTCTATACTTTCTGAAATTTCTTCAGTGATTTTGTTATTTGAGTAACCATCTTAAATCTTATTTATAACTCTAACACACACATATAGACTGTATAAAATTTAAAAGAAAATCTATAAAATTTAGAGTCAGAAAACTTTGGTGTGAAGTGCATATTATCTGTCCCTGTCATTTTCAAATTTGGAAATTTTTCATAGACCTACTAAGTCACAGCTTCCTCATCTAAAATATTGAAATAATGATATCAACTATCATATATAATTGAATAATTAAATAAAAAATCATACAAAGTTTATCACCATGGAGGTTCAGAGTGTTATTTCCATGCAATGCCATAAAACTAAACACATATCTTATGAAAACAGAGACATATATGTAGAAACAAAAACACTTTTTATGATATTTTATTTCCTAGTGAGTACCTTCACATCAACTCTAGATGATCTAGTTGGCTTGGCCTTGGATCTAATTCTGTGTAAGTTTGAACTTCTGGAGAGATGAAAGTGTAAGAGTTCAGAGAGGTAAGCTACTGAATGATTCCAAACCTTGGTCAACTTACGGAGGCCTACAATCAATGGTTTGTTTGCGCCAGCAGTGCCAATGAGTAAAACAAGGAGGCCAACATGAATATGTGATTACTCGACCAAATAACTACACATGGTTCTCAAACTATGTGCCAAAGCATCCTGGGGCATCATGGAAAATTCACAAGGGTGCCCTATGGTATTTAACATTTTTGAGAGAATTACTGCAACATTTGCCAGAAACTGTGCATATGACGATGATTAAATTGTTTAGACCTAATATGTTTCAGTTATATTTTTCTTTTTGTCTAAGAGAAACGTGAAAAAAATAATGAAATGCTAAGGGTGTTGTGCACCAAAAATAGTTGATGTAAAAAGTGTCCCCATAAGAAATCACATATGTACAGTCATACAAAACCATGCAATAGTCTGGGCAAGGTCACTGTTTTATATCTAGCTCTCATTATTTTTCTCTTATTTTCTCATATCTTATTCTGACTCATGATGTGCTGCCACAGTTTCTCAGATTTTCCTTCAAGGTGGGACTACATTGATCACATATGACTCTTCCTGTGATGGTGGTCACACCAGTTGCCCGCAGTATTTCCCATTAAAATGCCATCATCATGAGGTGTGGTGTAATTTTGTTAGATAATTTAACCCCACTTGGTCAGTTTCATCCTGTGATGATGACTTTATTTACTCTTGGGATATTTTAAAAAGTAAAAAGGACTCTAAGAGTAGGCTTGTTTCCTATTAATTTTTTTCTCTAGCTTTTCATTTTAAAGTCGAATTCTAGTTCTTTCTCATCAAAACCTGCCTGTTCTATTTCTTTTGAATGTATTAACTTTTCAAATTGACACATAATACTTGTACATATTTATGGGGTACATGTGATATTTTGATACATGCATACAATGTGTAATGATCAAATCAGGGTAATTGGGGATACTCATTACCTCAAAAATTTATTATTTCTCTGTGCCTTTTCTTCCTTCTGTATCATAGATCCACTACCCTCCCATTCTAACTTTTATCAATACTTTATTTTCAAAATGTTCTGTTTTACATATTTTTTTCTATAGAGTCTGTCTTATTATAAAATAAGTAATTTTGTAATATTTGTCTTTCTTACTGTATATACTTTTCCACATATATTATGTTGCTACTGAACTATAATGTTAAAAGTAATGACTGTAATATTTCTTCATAATAAATTTCATAAAGTATAAAATGGACAAATCATTTCTTTTCAAAGTAGTCATCCTTTTAACCAGGCCAAATTCCTATATTCAAAAAAAAAAGAATCTCTTAAATTCTGTAGATATTTTATCTGTTTAATTTTTTTAACCTGTTAAATAACTCTCTAGCCATTTCCTACTTTGAGATTTATTCTGTCCTCTAGTAGTTGTAATGGGCAATTACTGTGTAGTTTTCTCTGTGTCACATCCCAATGTTTCTTCTACAACAAGCTCTATTTACTCGTGAATGGGTAATTGAATAAAGGATTCAGCCATTTGATAGGATCTTGTTCTATAGAACTCTCTGACCCAAGAGGGGTCTACATTGACTTTTTGAGATTTCAATGCCCTCCTCAAATTTGGTTTTTAGCATCACTCTTACAACTCTAAGAACAGATGTAAAAGGTGTTCTCCTGTCCTTAAAGAAGTCAAATAACAGTCACACATCCCTTGTCATCTTATTCATATCCAGTTATTACTTTGACCCAGCCACAGCATACTCTCAGTTCTCTGCACAGCAGGGCTTAATCCAGGCAGTCCAGTATTAGACCTACACGTTCATAATAATGTTCTTGTGTACTTGATAAAAATGCATCACCAGAAATTATCATGCACAAAGTGTATTTTGTGATTCAGGAATTCAAACCAGCTTCTTTGGACATATGTCGAAGGGCACTCAATTATCAAAAATGTCCAGTTATGCCACTGACAAGGCTCTCAAGTGTGTTCCATCCTGGATAGAGAAAGTCTAAGTTATCATAGTAATCCACCTGTAAAGACCAAACCAGTCACCCCATATGAGGGGAAATGACCACAAGACTTTTTAAAACTGATGTGGTAAAGATTAGAGGTAATTGGTCTCCTGGCTCTGATCCTGTTCTTTCTTTGTGTGCTCTGGTTTTACTTTCTGGTCTAGTAATTTCAAGGAGATGTCAAGGCAATGTCAATTCCAATTATGGACAAAAGTAGAACTATTTACTATCAATATTATGATTCTTACTCAACAGATCTTTTAATCCAAAATGTAATAGTATCATAAATATAGTAGAACTTTTCAACTTTAATATGCTGCAAATAATAATGAAATATCATAATTAATATTATCTTTTGACATTCATATAACTTTTTATTAATGCTGACTTCAGAGGAATCCTCATGAAAGTGACCTGAATTTCATTTAAATTTTTATTTATTTATTAGCTCAGGTTGTAAACACATTGCAGAATAGCAACCTATTTAAACTATGTTATACGTTACTACCAATATTCAGACAAAATTCTGCAGTAATTGAGATTCCACTCTTGCCTCTGTAAGCTGATATTAATAGTATGACAATTTAAGAAAATAATATTGGTGTATGGACATGAATAATATATTACTAATAGCATCAAATACTCACAGTTAACCATTAATAATCCACAGTATGCTGAGGGGGAAAGAGGGGTATATTTGCATTACAAATGACAAGATAGGTAGATTCTCAAAGCTTTTATCAAGCTGGTAGAAATCTTCTAAAGCCTGGTATTTGTACTAAATATTTTTTACGTATTCCAAAATTTATTAGCAACATTAAGAATAGATAATACTAAGCATTTTAAAATATGCCAAAGGTAATTTTGGAGAGTGTTCTACATTTAATAAATACTAACTTTAAAAAATATATAATGTTAAAAACTTGAATTACTTGGCAGTGCCTTTCAAATTCAACTAAAGAAAATATTGATGATCTATAATTATTATTTATTCATAAGGTAAAGCTTCCAAAGTAGAACAGACAATAGCTGAGTCTCTGCAAACATTTAGGCAATTTGAGGGGGTTGGGTATAGATAGCAAGGTATGTGCAAAAGCTTTTTTGAATAAATATAATTACTTACAAAGATACAACACTCTTTTACATACTGAAACTATTAGTTTTAGATGAATAGTGGTCTATTCATAATCTTCCATTGTTAGTTTTGATAACCTGATGAAAGTGCCACGTGTTTATATATCCATATATATATGGATATATATATATATGGAGAGATATATATATATAGATGATAGATGATAGGTAGATAGATGATAGATGATGGATCTTGCTACTTTTGAAATATTGTTTACTGTCTGATAGTTTCAGTGTTTTAATATACCTATGTTTTAATCACTAAATGAGTTAAAATTCAGAAAGAAGAATTGATAGTAATGATGACTATCGTATTATACAATAGTTTGACAGTGCATCTCTAATCTATATAACGAAGAGAGGACAGCAACTTTAACAATGTTTATAAACATTGGCAAAATATAATAAATTATTTCTCTTGAGATACAACTCAGAAATTATGAAATTTGCTTGAGAACAGATTTAATTAACAGTACAATATAAACAGTAATATATAAAATAAACAAAGCTTCTGTTATCTACAAAACTGCTAAATTGTGTTTTGTTTCTTCAAGGCTGATAAATTTCAAAATCATGTTTTGCCTTAAAGCATATGATCACAAATAAATTTTCACAGTAAAAATAACAAGTTTGCACCACAGTATCACGAAGACATATAGAAAAGCTTAGTCATTTAAGGCAAATCATATGTTAACTCTATTCTATTTTATTCTGAGTTCACAACTCACGTTGGGAAGATTCTGTGTATTTCTGTATTTCCTTTATTTTTTGGCTGAAATTTTAATGAACTCTAATCAGCCAAGGATGGATCAACATAACAGTTTTTAAATCTCTGGAAATTACATAATTAATGACTGTGTGCACCTCTTGCTAAATCTTTTCTCTGGTCCCTACCAATTGTTTAGAAGAATGATGGGAGTGTGGCAGGAACCCTGAGACTTCTTTGTGGCAGAGGTAGGCAGTGCCTGCTAAAGTCTGAGGGAAGAATCTGAGAGTCTAAAGAAAGTTGTCTCAAATCCAGACCCAGCATAAATACTGGGTTTGAAACTGCATGAAGCATTTTCTTAAAAATAGCAATGAACTGTTCCTTATCTAATAAGATAAAAGGAGCTTGGCATTTCCAATGAGAAATAAATATGTTTCCCACCTTTAAAGAGAATTTCTTTCTTTTTTTTTTTTTTTCTAGAATGTTTCTAAGAAAGTGACCTGGATCACTGGATAGATAATTCTCTAGAGACTATCAATTATCTTAAGAAGAAACATGAAAAAGAGTGGTACTGGAAGAATAAAGAAAACTCACATTGAGTTTCAAGCTTATCTTTTAATAGTAACAAACTATTACAAAGAAAAACAAAATGTATATTCTCAATTTATAAGATTTGCACCGTAGCTATTATCTTTGACTCTCTAATCTATGAATGTGGAGTAAAGGATACATTATATTAACTCTCTGATGCCACTGGACTATCAGGCTTTGGAAACTGCCTTATTTCTGAGAGGTTCAGATTCTCATAAGCACGATACAGGTATAAATGTGCAAATATATGCCTTTATCATAGAATAAATTGTAAATATATAGTTGTTACTTTTTTTTATGACTGAATGGATTTTTCATGTCCCTCCTGAAAATTGTTTTCTCAGTTCTGGAAGCCCCGCTATTAGTCTAACAGAAAACAGAAAATTACTACGATGCCTAGTTTTCAACAAAATTATTCAGATGATAGAAATGATTTGTTGTATATCCAACCAACTAAACAACTGAATTACTAATACTTGGTAATGCAAACTGTCATATGAGTAATGAGAAATACACAAAATTTTAAGCCACAAGCAGTGGCTTTTTTAAAGCAGTGATTCTCAGTGCTTCTTGTGACATATATTTCAAAAAGAAAGTCTGATAAAATTACAGACTTCTATTAAAGATATGCTTTCCTATATTTATGGATGATTTGTCTTGTAGTTACAATGTCAGGACACTTCTGAAGCCTACTTACAGACAATATTAACAAATAATCATACCACAAAGGCATAATAGACACATATACCCATATCCACCCTACATTCAATTATTAACATGGAAACCAGGGTTAGTTGTTTTTCCAATTCTTTTAATTGGTCACTTTGAAATGAGACCCAGTTACATGTGCTATGATTATGGGAGTACTATGAAAATGTTAATGATTATAAAATGCTTAAAGAACTTAAGAAAGTTTAATTCTAACCTTTTAAATAACTAATTAGACTGTTAATTCTCTAGAGCCCACTATGATCTACTGTTAAAGTAATTGAATTCTACTCTGGAAATAAACAATAAGTTCCCAAACATTATAGAATAATGATTCAATATAATTTAATAAGCGGTCTACACTTTTGAAATACAAGTGCTCAATTTCACTGCCTCATCTTCTTTAATTTCACCTAATTGCCGGGCGTGGTGGTTCACGCCTGTAATCCCAGCACTTTGGGAGGCTGAGGCTGGTGGATCACGAGGTCAGGAGATCGAGACCATCCTGGCTAACACGGTGAAACCCCGTCTCTACTAAAAATACAAAAAAAAAAAAAAAAATTAGCCGGGCGTGGCGGCGGGCGCCTGTAGTCCCAGCTACTCAGGAGGCTGAGGCAGGAGAATGGCGTGAACCCGGGAGGCGGAGCTTGCAGTGAGCCGAGATCGCGCCACTGCACTCCAGCCTGGGAGACAGAGCGAGACTCCGTCTCAAAAAAGGAAAAAAAAAAAAGAAAAGAAAAGTAATACTATTGTTAGTGTGGATGGATTCCATTTCCAAATTTCAAACCTGTACTCTCATGTCTTGGGCATTTGAAAATCTTCTCTGTGCCTCAGTGTTCCAAAGGGGAAAAATGAGAATAATGCTATTAACTGATAGAATTGTTGTAAAGTGTAAATTTTAAGTGTGTACATACTTGTATTAATAATTGTTAGCTAGTCTTATCTTAAACATTCACAAAATAGGTGAATTGTTATGAAATTATTGTTGAACTATTATAAACATGATTATTTTAATATTATGTACATTAAAATCATCAGCAATTAATTTACTAAACATTCTCCCAGATCTTAAAAGTAAAATTTGAACTTCAACATCCCCCTGACACACAAAGGTACAATACTTACCAATATGTAAGAAGTATGTCCTGAAATTATTAATATAATCCAAAATAACATCTTTTGCCTAGAGTTTATTCGTGTTGAGTAACACTTGGTACATGAGGTTTACTAAATAGTATCATGATTTCTACTTATATTACCATTCATTACAGAAATATGTGAAATGCCTACCATGTACTAGACCCTGTTCTAGACACAGTGGATGTAGAAATAGACAAAGTAACATTCCTGCCCTCATGAGCTTCTACTTCAAAGAGGTACCATGTTGTGTGTAATAAATGCTATGAAGAAAAATAAATACGGGACATAGAAGAATAACTAGTGTGAAAAGCAATGTTTTTTACATGGGTTTTTATAAAAACCCATATAGCCCATTTTCTCTAAAGTAAAATTTGAGCATAAACTTGAATTATGGAGGAATATTTTAGAAGAATGCTGCTGGCAGGTGGAAAGGAATTCAAAAGTCCTGAAGCAATGTGTGCTTTGAGAAACACCAAGGCACCTGTGTATTTAGCAAAGAGCAGCTAAGGGGTTTCCACAGGTACAAAAACATCTTATATTTATTAAATATTAACAAATATATTAGTACAAAAGCCCAATAAGCTGAAAGTTACTGAGTAGGTCTGCTTTTATATTATATTTGATTTGCTACTTTTTAATGTTACCATCAAGTTCTTATACAAAGCTTAAAAAATCATAGGGCCAATGCTCTTCTTTACATAAACAAAAATTACAAGTTATGCAATAAAAGTATATAAGTTGGCTAAAGTAAAAAATAATTTATGTTTCTTCAACTTTTGATTTATTCTGTGTTCCTTTAATATGTTATAGAAAACTCATGTTGCTACAGATAGAATTTATAGAAAAATTTTAGTTTTTATCCTACACCTAACATTCTAAAGGAATAATTTGTAGCAATTTTAAGTACTTACCCTCAACTGCATAGCCTGTATCATCGTACTAGAAGGTATATGCAGTGTATCCAAGGTCTGTGTCCTAGATATTTTTGCCTATGTAATAAAACATTATTTTTTTTCATGCAGGCCATCTCAGTATGGTTTTATTTGTTCTTTAATTTGTTGTTATGATTTTAAAACCATAACAAATATTTTGTGGCTGGAAAGTATATTTTGTTTGAACACTTTTGCAACAATATATTTTCTAGTAGACTATGATTAATAGAGTTATTTGCAATATTCTTGCTATTACTGTTTCTGTTAGATTATTGCAAATACGGTTATTTGCAATATTCTTGCTATCACTGTTTCTGTTAGATTCCATAAGAAGTCGAGTGTGTGTTAGATATATATACACACACACATACACAAGTCGTGTATGTATATACACACATATATACATATATACACATGGATCTATAGATATATATGTTATTATGAGGCATCTTATTTTTTTGTCCATCTGTTTTTTTAACTATAAAATTAGGATAATATTAGTTTCTATTTGATATATTCATTTTGAGGATGAAATGAGCTAATTCATGCAAATGCCTTAGAAGAGTGTCTGGCACATTGTAAGCACTCAAAGGTTAATTATTATCAATGTAATTGTGCCTCTGAGGATGTATGCCAAGAGTAGTTGGCAGCTACCATGACACCACACAGACCTTGACAATGAATCCAGAGCAGAGTAGAGTTGGAGAAGGATTTGTCACGGGGAAATTACTTGAATCTCAAATTTTATTTCTTTTGAGTTATGTGTACCATTAAATTTCACCCACTCTTTTTCAAAGCACTTTTGGCTTAGATTTTCTGTCACTTGCGACTAAAAAAAACCAGTACTAATAAAAATCACCATCTTTATAATTTAAATTAAGCTGAGTAAAGGCAGGGTGAATAACAGTAGGGGCCTCTCTATATAGGACTGAGTTATTGGAAGCCCAATAGCAAAATAACTACATAATTGCTCTGTCTTATACCTAGAAGTTACATCATTTAAGTCTTATCTTTGCTACATAGTAAATAACTCCAAAATTTAAGTGGCTTACAATAATATTTTTATCTTACATGCAGATGGATGACCAAAGAAGAGCTATGTCTCAGTTTAAGCGAAATTGTTTCAGATTGTTTCTATCTGCCAATCCTTTATATATCTCCAGCTAATTTCTTTACCTGGAGGCTAAATCCCTAAGAGAAATATGTTCTTTATGTGGCAAAGGGGAAAAGGAAAAGAGGGTGAGTTGAATCATGCAATTCCACTTACACATTCTACTCTGATGTTACATATAACACAACTATGGCATATAACATAATGGCTCAAATTTCATTGGTTAAAGCAAGTCATAAGGCTGAGACATTTTCTTTCTCTTCCTTTCCTTCCTTCTTTCTTTCTCTCTCTCTCTCCCTCCCTCCCTCTCTCTCTTTCTCTCTTTCTCTCTTTCTGTCTTTCTTTCTTTCTCTATCTTTCCTTTTCTTTTTTTTTCCCCCGGAGTCAGAGTCTCGCTCTGTTACCCAGGCTGGAGTGCAGTGGTGCAATCTCGGCTCACTGCAAGCTCCGCCTCCCGGGTTCACGCCATTCTCCCGCCTCAGCCTCCCGAGTAGCTGGGACTACAGGCGCCCGCCACCACGCCCAGCTAGTTTTTTGTATTTTTAGTAGAGACGGGATTTCACCATGTTAGCCAGCATGGTCTCCATCTCCTGACCTCGTGATCCGCCCGCCTCGGCCTCCCAAAGTGCTGGGATTACAGGCGTGAACCACTGCGCCTGGCCAGACATTTTCAGTAGGATAGGGAAGAGAAATTAATTTACTGAAAGCACAAACCACTTGGCAGTGAGTGGTTGGACAGGGAGCGAATGAGTGAATGCCTGCACAATAATACAATGTACTTGGAATATTAAGATACTTGTGAGAAACTGAACAGGATTTTGAGATACAATGCTTTTCTCTTTCAGGTCGAATAACTTCTACGAAACACATCATGTTAGACTTAAGGTACCCTATTTAAAGCAGATTAGTTTGATAAGAAGATCTTTCTACCTGTTTCTGCAATTTGAAATGAGTGAGAAAGTGATTTTCTAGGCTAAGATTAGTTTAAACTGTAGTAGGAAAATGTAAAACTGGAGATAAATTGGTACCTAAAAGAAAACACGTGTGGGTATGTGCTTTACAGGTTCTCTTTCGGTGCACTTCCTATGTTGAAAAGGGCACTTTTTTTTTTTTCTGTTTTAAGAAGGAAGTTATGAAATGAGGGGCAAAGTAAACTGCAATTTAAATTATAAATTGCTTAGAAGTTGAAGCCAGGTAAAGTACATCAAGGTTAGACCTAGCAGAATTAATAATCTAATCGTTAATGGGTTACTTTTTAGCATTTATTGTTTTAGATAGTGTGCTGTTCTAAATGTTGTATGATGAAGTAATTTACTTAGTATTGCAGCCTCATAAAGTAGGCACTGTTAATGTCCTCCTTGTACGCTTAGGAAAAATTAGATATGGCTTGTTAAGTAATTTGCTCTAATGTACCCACCTAGTAAATGGTGGAGCTTGATTTCAAGCCTGGCAGGCTGACTTGCAGTCTAAATTCTTAACCAATAAACATAGTACTGCCTTTCAGGATGAGGGAAGTAGTAACAACTTGCTAAGATGTTTTTGAAATAGTCGGGCATGTTCTAGATTCAAATATTATATTTTTACTTTGGAAGAAAATGATTTCTTCATGGACACTCTAACAGGTCTTTCCACCCTGCTACCCTGTCTCCTAAATTAAATCCCATAATCCCATTCACAGATCACTTGTTAGTGATCCTGTTTTTCTGATTAATATACATGTATACATAATGAAGCTATAACCAAAAGACACCCTAAAATATTCATTGAAATTAAATTCAAATAAATTGTATAATGATGAAAAAAGTGATAATTTTAAGATTGAAAGTAATCTTCAGTTTTTAAAAATAAGGAGTACAAATTTGTTCCCTTAAAGAAAACAAAACCTTTATTTAACTGAGACAATTTCATATAGTTATAATGTTATTATTTAGAGAATGCATTTGTAAATATGAATATTTGCTTATGAACATTTATTTCAAGTAACTGAATGAAGAAAGCCAAAAGTGTACATACTTTAGACATTCAAATTTTAAGATATAGTACAAATACATTAATAGACTCCTCATTTTTTGTGGATGTATGTAAATATAATAAAGTATTTAAAAGACTCTTAAATTTGTCTTCTATAAAATTTATTTTTATAAAAAAATATAAAACTCAAATATTTTTGAAGTAGTCTTTGATACTCTTTAGATATAGCTAAAATAATGTCAAGGAATTAATTTTGATGAAGGAGTTTTAAAGAAATACTTTATTTTAATTAAAATATGTCAAGATATAAGTGCTTAAAATAATAATTTGGAAAGTAGGTGATGACAGTATTTCACTATTGACAAAATTGTTGCAAAAGGTAACACAAGTCATTTCACATACATACCTCAATATAAAGGAACTCATGCCTTACAGACGTTTAATTGGCAGATATTCATTGAAAGTAATTTTGAAGCCTCCTAATTATACAGTGTCCATAATTATACATTGTATACATTTCTTATTTTGTTCATTGTCTTTCACAGCACCGTTGTGTTTCTCTTTAGAAAACACACATTATTTCCTCTATTCTTTCTTTTCAGTGTTCTCATTCATTCATCTGCAGGTCCCTATAAACAAAGATAGTCAGTTGGTTTTTACTTTTTAATCTAATCTCTCATCCAGGATGTTAAAACAGCCATTCTTATTTTCCAGTCTATTTCCAACCTATCAGCTGCTTTTCTGTCAAAAGATGTTTGTTAATTTTAACTTTTGTAACAGAAAAATATATTTTTACTGTTCTTGAAAAAAGTTTATTTTTATTTATTCTGATTCAATAGATATTAAATTATTTTTGCATTCCATTAGATAAGTAGTACGATTAACATGTTGACTTTGTGTGTAATGGACAAAGGAACCTGGGCAATGTCTACCCCATATCTGCCACAGTAATATAGAGGAGTCAATGGAGCTATTGATATGCAAGATAAATGACATTTCGTGGTAAAAATGGGGCTATCAGAGATCTGTCAAGTGTCAAGGATGTAGGCAATTGTGACTAAATAAAATATTTGGGTGAATCACCAAATGCTTCAGAAACCAGGCATGACAAAATAGAATAGCAGCAAACTACAGTAACTAACAACATGACAAGAAATTTTAGTACAGCATTTGATACAGTGACTTGATGAGCATGGTCTCTGCATCAGGCAGAATAAATCCAAGACTGTCCTGTCTCTCATTCCACAAATAACACATGATGCAAATTAAGAAGATAAATATCAGGTATATATTGTAAGTTTATTATTAAAATTTCATTCTGCATTAATTCTGAAAATAACCAATTTAGAAACTACTTTGAATATATCAATGCTAGGGAAGGCGTGTGAGAGATGTGAAGATGTTTGGACATGAATTTTTTTTCCAAAAAAAAGCATTGTCATCAAGTGTGTGTATCATATACTATACATGTTAATTATTTTTAAGTGTATATTTATAATGTGTAACCATCACCACCATCCATCTCCATAACTCTTTTCATCTTCTAAAACTTCATCTTTAAAGATAAACTTCCCTAATTCCCCTCCTTTCAGCCCCTGGTTGCCATCCTTCAAATCTCTGTGTTTGTGATTTTGCTATTCTAAGTCCTGCACATAGTGTAATCATGCAGTATTTGTGTGTGTTGTGACTAACTTATTTCACAGAGCATATTTTCCTCAAAGTTTATCCACATTGTAGCATACATCGGAATTTCTTTTCTTTGTAAGACTGAATAATATTCCATTGCATGTATATCTAAAATAAGTCTCCTATAGACAGAATATAGTTGGATTATGTGTTTTTACCGATTCTGCCAATCTCTGTATTTCAAAGGAAGAGGTTAATCAATTTACAGTTAAAATAATTATTGATAATGAGAGACTTACCTCTGTCATTTTGCTATTTTTTGTATATCTTATGGCTTTTTTGTTTTTCATTTCTTGCGTTACTATCTTTGTGTTTTGTTGAATTTTTTTGTAGTGAAATGTTTAAATTTCTTTTTATCTTCTCTTGTGTATATCATATAGTAAATTTCTTTGTGGTAGCCATGAGGGTTACATTTAGCATCCTAATATTATAACACTCTAATCTGAATTTATACCAACTTAACATCAGTAGCATATGAATACTCTGCCCCTTTACAGCCTCATTACCACCCTTCTGTTGTTGATGTCATAAGGTTATATATTCACACATTGTGTGTATGAAAGCATAAATTAATAACTCTTTTATATACTTTTGTTTCTTAAATTTTGTAGAAAACCAAATGTGGAGTTAAAAATCAAAGTTAAATTTTAATAGCTTTTAGACAAATAATTTTTAATCTATTAGTCTCTTAAATCATGTAGAAAGAAAAAAGTAGAGTTACAAATTATTATTACAATAATACTAGCTTTTATAATCACTCATGTATTTACCTTTACTGAAATCTTTTTTTTTTTTTTTTTTCAAGGTACAACCTAGTGTCTTTTCATTTCATCCTGAATGTATTCCCGGCAGGTTTACAGGTAATGAACTCCCTCTGATTTTGTTTATCTGGAAATGCCTTAATTTCTCCCTTACTTTTGAAGGACAGATATAGAATTCTAACTTAACAGGTTTTATTTTTCTCTTTCAGCAGTTTAAATTTATTAGCCTGCTATCTTCTGGCCTCTGAAGTTTCTGATGAGAAATCTGATAATGATCTTACTAAGACTGCCTTGTACGTGATCAGTTGCTTTTTTATTTTTTTCTACTTTCAATACTCTTTTTTGGTCTTTGGCTTTCAAATATTTGATTACAATGTCTTGGTGTGGAGTTCATTTTTCCTGGAGTTCATTGAGCTTTTTGGATGTTTGATGTCTTTTGTCAAATTTGGGAAATTTTCAAACATTATTTTTTCATATACTCTCCCACCCTTTTTTCTCTCTCTTTTCCTTTTGGAATTCACACAGTGTGTATGTTGATCTGCTTGATGGTGTCTTACAGGTCTCTGAGGCTCTGCTCACTTTTCTTCAATCTTTTTTCTTTCCATTCTTCAGACTCAGTAATTATCATTCTCCCATATCCTAGTTTACCAATTCTGTATTTGTTCAAATGTACACTTTGATCTAGCTAGTAAATATTTCATTTCAGATATTGTACTTTTCAGATTCAGAATTTGTTTTCAGTTTCTTTTTAGATTCTCTCTCTTTGTTGATATCTTTATTTTGTTTATACATCATTTTCTTGACTTTATCCATATTTTTCTTTAGATATTTGAGCATCATTACTCATTAAGATAATTGTTTTAAAACCTTTGTCTAGTAGATCTGCCATCGGATCTTTTTCAGGAACAGTTCCTGTTTATTTATGTATATTTATTTATTTTAATGAGACATACTTTCCTGTGTCTTTGTGTGCACTGTGATTTATGATCAAAAAGTGGACATTTAAATCTAACAATGTGGCAACTCTAGAAATCAGATTCTGCCCCCACTTTCCTGCATTTATTGTTTTTGCTTGGTTGCTATTTGTTTTTAATTGCCTTTTGTTTTGATTGCTTGTAGGCTGCCTTTGTCCCAGGAATCAGCCTAAAGTGTGTATTTAAGGTCTTCTCAGGTTGTCTCTGATCCTATGCCTTTCTTTGGGCATTTTTATTAACTTCCTATTTTTTCTTCATATGCAGTCACTTTTGAATGTCCTAGTCTTTAATGTCTGGCTCCCAAAATTGAAAAAAGAGAAAGATTAAGGGAGAAAAAGAGTGTCAAACCCTTAAATCCCTTGGAACTCACTTCAGCCAGAGGAGGAAGTGTAAAAATAATGATCATCTGCCTCTTTGTGTGAACTTCAGTGATCCGAAGCAACAATCAGTGAACAGAGACAAATACCCAATCTTTGGAGAATAGCATCATTTTTTGCCACCCTGACCCTGCAAACTACATGCAAGCTGTTTCAGGAACCTGTGTACAACTACCTGCCACAGGGCTTGGGTGGAGAATGGGTAGCTGCTACTATGCCAGGGGTTGAAACTGACCAAAATTAACTTAATTTACCATCCAAGGTTCCTCCAGAAGTTACAATTTTTCAATAGATTCCAAAGTTCCAGAATAGTCATATATCAATAGCCATATATCGTATCAATTGAATCTGCCAGTTCAATTGTTGTCTAGATAGGCAGACAGACTCCTGTTTCTTTCTACTCCATCTTTCCAGAATCTTCTCTCAGACATGCACTTTTAATATATGAAAATGCATTTGGTTAGTATTTCTGTTTTTTTTTAAAGATATTTCAGTAGGTCTTTCTTATATTAGTGGTGCTTCCTTGTACCATATTAATGCAAAATGTATATTATAAATAAACAGGTACTCATGTACTTATTACATATTGGAGGTGACATAAATATTTCCCCATCACTATTACGACAATTCTTTCCTCATTCTTTTTGCATTTATACTCAAGAATAGTCAGAAAAGTATAATTATATCGATTAATACAATTGGCATGAAGCACTGAAATTACCGTTGTTTGGTCTGACAGGTGTCTAGGAACTTTACTATTAAAATGATACATTATTACTATAAAAGGATGTAATGAACTTGATTTCTATTTCAAATTCAAAGTTTTAGACCACTATGAAATATTACAGCAATATTTACTAAATCACTTCTTTGATCTACCATCTTACACAATCTTGGAGAAAACCTGAATCTTACATCTTAGTTGAAAGAGAATTCATCCCCATCTCTTTTTCAAATGAGTATCATTAGGTTTCCCCACCCCATGCTCACTTTACAGTGTCAGTGAAGATGAGAAATCTGTACAAATGCTAAATTAAACTGAGTATGTTACATCTAGCCAAAAAATAGTTCACACACGCACAAAAGTGACCATTAGTTAGATGAAGTTGATTCATAGTTTCAAAAAGATAAAATATGTTTCTCTGAGTCTTATTATTGCTATGGTTTTATTTTGGTAACAAGTATTAACATAGAGTAAGGGTATCAAAAACCATTTCACATATGACCTCTTATGCGTGTGATGGTGGTCTTGGTCTTATCTCTAAAATGAGAGAATCTTGGTCTTAGATTCCACTTACCTACTCACTGTCATCTCTTTTGTTTCTAATAATTGGCCTCTCTGATAGCTTCCCCAAACCCCAAAATGCCCCTAAGTATTATATTGCCACCTAAAGTTACTGCAAATAAACTTCATCTTTTTTTTGTAAATACTTCTAGATAAAGGACTTGAATCATCTTGAGGGCTCTTTAAGAGTTTTCAGTCATCTGGCCTGGCGCAGTGGCTCACACCTGTAATCCCAGCACCTTGGGAGGCAGAGGCAGTTAGATCATGAGGTCAGAAGTTCAAAAGCTGCCTGTAATGCCAACTACTCTGGAGGCTGAGGCAGGAGAATTGCTGGAACCTGGGAGGTGGAGGTTGCAGTGTGCCGAGATCGTGCCACTGCACTCCAGCCTGGGCAACAGAGCAAGAGTCCGTCTCAAAAAAAAAAAAATAGTTTTCAGGCATTAATCCCATACTATGGCTCACTTACACAGTCAGGCTTTATGTGAGGATATGTGGGCTACTCAAAGTTATTTTTTAATGTAACTTTTATAAGTACTTTGACAAAGTGAAAGTAAAACATGCTTTCTCTAGTGCTTTGGAATTAGGCAACAAATAACTCTTTCTTCCCCAAATCCTTTTAGATACTTATGTTTATAACTGCCAAAATGAATAAATGGAATCTATATTGCAGTTCCTGAGAGAACCCGAGAATTGCCTCTTGAGTCTCACTTCTCTTCTTCCCTCTCCCCTCACCCAACGCAATTAAGAGTCAATAAACTTGCACCAGGCCAGACCAACAGGGTTCCCTTGAATTACTCAAAATTTCAAATGGCTTAGGCATTACTCCATGATGCAGCTGCTCTAGAGAACAGTTTCATGTCATAGCCTGAATGGTGGAAGTGATGGAACCATTTCAAGGCAAATGTTACGGTTAAATAGTTAACTAAAGAAACAAAACTAGGAATTTTGTTTCTTTAAGATACCATGAATGGAGTTAAAAATAATCTTGAAAGTTCAAAATGACTATATAGAAACATTACTCTGAGCTGAAAAAGAAGAATTTAGTTTTTAATAAATGAGATCTGGTCACTGCTTGAGTTGGGGAAGAGAGTAGAGGGTGTTGGAGGATGTTTACTGAGATTACCCTACGTATTTCTGTATCTTAGTGCCAAGCGCATTGTATGAGGCATTTAATGGATTTAGTTATTTACTCAAACTCATCTTATTTCGTGTTTATTGAGTCCCAGTCACTGTGTTGAAAACAGGATCCTGCTGAAAGAGCTCATGAAGCAACCTGTGTAGGTAAACAAGCAAACAAAGAAATACTCCTCCTATACTATATGATAGTGTATGAATGGGTTATGCATATAGAAAGAGATTTAATTCAGAGTGAGGAAGTCGTGATAATTTCCCAGTATAGGTAACAACTGAATTAAGTTTTGAAAACCAAAAGAAGTTATCCATATATATTAGTTTCTTAGGATTTTTGTAATAAATTACCAGAAACTTGGTGACTTAAAACAATAGAAATTTATTCTCTCAAAGTCCTCAAGGTGGCAACAGGATCAAGAGCCCCTGAGGGCTCTTGCAAATATCCCTTTCTTCCGACTTTGTAGTTTCTGATGGCTCTCAAAAATCCTTGGTGTACCTTAACTTGTAGCTGCTTTACACCAGTCTCTTCCTGCATCGTCAGATGGCCTTTTTCCCGGTGTGTTTACTCTTCTCTTCTATTGGGATACCAGTCATTGGATTTAAGAACAGTTCTAATCCAGCATAATCTCATTTTAACTTGATTATATCTTCAAGTAATTTATTTCCAAATAATGTTTATTCTTAGGTTGCAAGGGTCAGGACTTGAATGTATCATTTTGCAGGACACAATTCAACCCTCTATACCATACAAAAAGCACTCAAGAGAAAGGAGAGCAGGATGTACAAATAAAAGTAGATTATAAATAGTGTGACACTCAGGATCTATACAGGAACAATATGAAGCACAGGGTTTAAAACAGATTCAAAACTTAGGAGGTAAACAAAAAACCAAGTTATAAAAAAAGGTTAAATGATGTTTCCACTATGGGGAAACTATATTATTCTAAGTGGGGAGAAATAAAATGGTGGATTTATTGCCTTAGAGAATAGATTTTAGTAGTATAAGACCAGACATGGAAAATATAATGCAAACAATGTAAGCATTAGTTAAGAAACTAGAAGTATTTATGAGAAGTCAGTATTTTACATCCACGATATTTAGCAATCAGAGTTGACAGAGCTTATTGATCAGTTGAACATGGTGTTGAATGAGAAGGGTCAAGCATGGCTCTCAGGTTATCTGGAGTGATTATGATATACTGCTGATGATAATGACAGACAAGAAGAAAAAGGACAAAGAAGGAGGAAAAAAGAGGAAAGGAAGGAGAAGTGGAAAAGGGAAGAAGAGGAGGGAGGATAAGGAGGAGGAGAAAGAATATAAAGAAAAGAGGAATGAGGTGAGGAGGAGAAGGAGGTAGAAGATAAAAAGGTGTAGAGGGAAAAGATTGTGGTGGTGGTGATGTTATTACTGACAACAACAGTGAGCCAGTGTGTTATTTTTTAGTAAAATAAGGAAATATCTGATTATAAACTTTTCAATAATTACAACAAACAAGAAAATAGTATAGGTCTTTTTGTTCAGACTATTAAATATTTTGAATCATGTTGATAAGTATAAAATTACAACATAGATGGTCACACTAGAGTATTCTGTCCAGTGCCTTTATCCTGGTTATTACCTCAATCATAATTATATTTTTTGTTTCACTTTTATATTTATTTCTCTTTCTTTCCACTTCTTATTTCTCTTTTTTCTCTCACTCTTTTCTCCCTTCTCTATCTCTATATTCCATTTATCTACTTGTTTTCTGCTTTTTGAATTTTTGGCTTGGATCCCTTGATTGACTCAGCTTTGATGTTGACTTAACTGGTAATTGACAAAGTAAAAAGCTAATTTCTTATGCCTAATTCCACAATTACCTCCAGAATTTCTGTCCCCAGATGTACATATGCAGTGTAATACCCCTTTCCTTTGAATGCAGAGAGTGCCTGTGAATATAATGAGATATCACTCTCATAATTATAATCTGCTGCATGGATGTTATGGACTAAATATTTGTGTCCCTTCCAACATTCATATTTTGAAGCTGTAACCCCCAATGTGATGATATTTGGAAGTGGAGCTTTGGGGGATGATTAAGTTTAGATGAGGTCATGAGTACAGGGCCCCCAATGTGCGAATAATGTTCTTATAAGAAGAGGGGGAGGCTAGAGCTCTCTCACTCTCTGCCACGTCAGACTACAGCAAGAAGCCGGAAAAATAGCCTTCACCAAGTTCCTAATTTGCTGGCCCATTAATCTTGGACTCCTCTACCTTTTGAACTGTAAAAATAAATATTTGTTTTTTAAGTTACCCTGTCTATGGGATTCTCTTACAGCATCCCAAGCAAACTGATACAATGGCAAAATACATTTTACATAGTAGTTAAGGTCTGTAATCAATTTACTTGAGTTAACTAAAAGGGAAATTGTTTGGGGTGGGCTTGACCTGATCACGTGCACTTTTTAAAGAAAGAGGAAGCAGCAGCAGATGCTCTCTACTGCCCAGAAAGAATGTCAACAATTAAGTTATGAACAGCTTGTGAAAAGGGAGACCCCAAAAGTGGCTTTTAGTAGCTGAGACCAACCCTAGGCTTACAGCCAGCAAGAAAATATGTACTTCCTTGCTACAACCACAAGAAACTCAACTCTGCCAACAAATTGAGTGGGCATGAAAGAAGAACCTAATGCTCACATGAGACCACAGACCTGGCCAACATGTTGACTTCAGGACAGTGAGGTTCTGAATAGAGAACTCAACCATATGGGTTCTATGACCTACAGAAACTGCAAGATAATAGATAACTATCATTTTAATTCACTAGTTTGTGGTAATTTGTTGCAAAGTAATATGAAACTAATACTGTCATTTATTCTGTTATTCAAATCAGAAGCGCAGCCCTACTGCTGGAGGTTAGCATGTAGTTTCGTCAATCTTAATCACTTGAACTAATTTGATACTTAGAGATATTTGAACATTTATTAATATTCTTACTCATGACAAAGCTAATTTCTATTATATACTGAGTTCCAAAATTATCTGTAATCCCAAACACCATTTTTCAATATGATTTAATTGTTCTCATATATAAAAGTCAGTTTTATTTTAAACTGAAGAAACTATTCAACATTAGCAAATTTCTTATTCTAGATTAAGTATTACGTAACACATTTACATATTTAAATGTATATAAAGGCATCTATCTATCATCTGTCCACATATATATATATGCACAAAAGTTTCTAAACTAGATTGACGACTGATTTCCTGTCCAAAACTACTGAAACCACAGGCAGAATTACACTTAAAGCATTCATCTCTTTCTATTTTACTGCCATAAAAAGAGAGGAATAGCTTTATTCGTACTTTTGACTATTATAGTATTTCTGGAGTGAAACACAAACTCACAATTAATCTTGATTAAATTCCATTGTTTATGTTTTCTGTAAGTGATACTGATTTGTTTCAAGAACTGACTGCCAAATGCCAGGTGGTTACAAAAAAGCTTATTAATAAAGAGGAACAAAATTTTCTATTCTCATATTATTTTGCTCCAGTGAGAACCTCATAATCTTTTAATATATTTGTGAGCTTTTCTACTTAAAATTAAGTCCTTATTCAAGGTACTCTTATATTAAACTTCATTGCCAAGAACTTTTTAATGACTTCTGAGACTATAAGTGATATTTCTTTTCCAGAAGGAATAATTCCTACAGATTTTTTTTTTTTAATTTCAGATCACAAATATTGTTTGGATAGATGACAGCTTTTGATCATCTCTGTCAATTATAAAGTCATAAAATTTGTAACATGAAATTAAAAAGCAAATTTCTTGTTCTTGATTAAGTATAACAATGTATGTGTGATTTTTTGTTTCAGTAAGAATGTATGCATTTTTATGTGTCTATCCATATATTTGACTAAATGTGTATATATATATATACATTGAAACATATATTTACTATAATAGTCTAGAAATATATATATATTCAAAATTATGATAATGTAAGTTTTGCTAATGACTCATGCTACTAAAATATAATTATATCTAAGGCATATTATAGCTCAATTTAATAAACATATACTGATAACAAACATAACATGAAGAGCAAGCACATCTGGAAGGTAAGCACATGCAGAAACTAGCAAGTTTCCATCCTTATTTGTTCAGTGAATTAGTTATTGCTTTTGAAAATTATTTTATATCAAAACAGTAATATTTGTGCACATAAATTTAAATGAATAGGGGTCAATGATCTCATCTTTTAGAGCATTGTATTATTTTGTGTTTATTCCAATCCTTTTCTGTTTTGCTATATCTACGGTGATGCAGTTTCAATTGTATAACAGTATCTAATATTTGTAATATTCACCATTAGTTATTAATAGTTTAGTCAAAAGACCCAGACTACAAGACTGCATAATGTATCCATGTGCCAGAACTTCATTTGTACCCCCTAACTTTATACAAATAAAAAAAGACAAAAAAGTAGTGATTATTAATATTTTTATAAATTAAAAAGATTAAAATTCTCATGGAATGAAATGTCTGCATATAGTTTATAATTGTGACACAAAGAGTAAAGTTATTTCTGACAATCATCAAGCCCCACAGAGGTCTAGATGTTCTGTGTTATCAATATTTTTCATGAAAAAAATTTTAAGTCATAAGAAGGAGAATAAGGAAGTTAGCAAAATTTCTTCTAATTTAGTGATAAAGTGAAAATCTCGGTGTGCTTTTTCTTGGTTTATGTATTTAACTTTAAAATCATGTGGAAGAAGCTGCTGAATACATTTGCTAGTTACTTTTATTTGTAATTTTTTGACTGACCAATGTTTAAAATTTCTGGAAACTTTGGTACAGGAAGCAATTTATGACAGATTAAGATATCTAATATGATGCAGACTCTTCTTAATAGAGAGCCAAATGCTCCACTTAACCCTATTATTTGTTCGTTTTAAAAAAAACTTGTAGCACTAGCTACTCATTGTATGGATATAAATGATTCTCAAAGCATCTGACTTGATAATTTGTAAGACTTTTTATTTCTTGGGCTTATCCACTAATATATAATGTAAAATAATTTGTGATACTTAATTTCCATAATACATGTCTTCAGCAGAAATAATCATTGCATTTTTTTTTTCACTCAGTAACCAAATGAGTGGCTGCTGTAGATCAGAAAGAAATGTTATCCACAGTCTGAAGAGAGACCTTCAACTTCTCTTAACTCTTTACTTATGACTTGGCATAAACCCTCGTGGGTCTGTTATCAGTTTTATGCACATATCTGAGCCCTTACATTTTGGCAGTATTTGACATATAACTTGAGGTAAGATTCTCTTCCACAGATAACTAATATGCTTAAATATATAAAAATATTGTTAAATTCTGCACATATAAGTTATTTACTGTTACTATTACATTCTGTTATTATGAATATTATGAAACTATTAGTCGTTCTACTGCTGTTACTACAACTACCACTACTATTGTTGTTTTTGTTGAGATGTTGATGTCATTATTTTATTTTCTGAGGGAAGGAATGGGATTGCTCAAACTGACTTCTTGGTTTGCTTTTCCTTTGGTTTTGCATTTGTGTTTGTTTCTTTTCCTTTTGTTTTATTGTTATTGTTGTTTTACAGGCTACAGTGTAAATGTTTCTAGCAATGTTCCTTGTTAATTTTCTTCTCCTTGATAGTGACCTCTGATTGGTCCATATGATCTGTGAGTCTTTGCTAGTATGTTTCAGAAAATACTTCAAAAAAAGAAACTTGTTTTCCTGCCATAAACAAATCTGTGACATAAAATGGAATGGAAAGAGAATTTGGTCTTCAGGTCTAGCCGTCAGGAGAGGCAATGCACGCTCTTTTTACAGTTTCTCTTTGCAAATCCTTCCGTGTCTATTACGCATACACACCCCCACACCTCATTTCTTTCTCTCTCTGTGTATACATATGAATTGTTTTTCCAAAACCAGTAAGTAGTTAACATAATATCATTGAGTTTCATTTTGTAAACTAATTTAACAAACATCTTGACATTTACTCTAATTCTAGGGTCTGTCTTGATGTATCTGTGAGATAGTGTTTGTCTCCTCAATCTCCTGTGTTTTCTCTAATTTATAATCTCTCCTTGTCATCTCCTGTTACTAAGTTTTTCCAGCACGTCATGCTCTTCTCTTCTGTTCCATGTATACTCCAATTATGCTTAGAAAAATTCTGTAAACTAATTTATGAAAAAAGTGAATAATCAATACAAATTAATATGGTACCTCTTAAGAGGGCTATCCCTTTTCAAATGTGAGAAAATAAGTTCTATGCAGCTCTGATGTTTACATGTCAGAAATGTGGTACTTTAAAATATATAAGCTCTTCAGAAAAAATATTAAGTCCCCACCCTTAAAAGATATTTTCTTCCCTCAACGACAAGATTTATCAAATTAAGCAAAAAAAAAAAAGACAAAAATAAAATCATGCAACAAAAATAATGCATTCTTATGGTTTCTCTCCACCTTTTTCATAATAGGCAAAAAAACTCAATAAAATTACGTGTGCTAAATCTTGTGATTAGGAAATGTCCATGTGTGATGGAAGAACAGATGAGGTACATGTAACTTGGCCCTGATCATTCTCAAAAATTTTAGGATATTCTATCTAGGATAAGTTATGAGTGTCATGAGGTAGGTACCCAGAAATCATGAGTATAAAGGGCTTTGTTTAGGCAAAGAAAGTAGAATATCTGAAAAATTCTAAACCGGCAAGTAAGCGTCAGAGTCACTGATGGGGGATAAACAGCCTATGAGGTTAATCTGAACTTTTTCTGAAGGACGGAAGGCCATGTATGCTGTGCTATGAAGCTGGGATTTTATCCTGCAATAATGAACAGTAAGATCGTTATTACTTAAAATAATCATTTTAAATTTGTATGTAAGATAACTATCACATTTCAGTTATAGGAAGGTGAATTTGAATGCAAAGTAAAGACTACAGAGGATTGCCACCATAATTTGAAAGAGAAGATGGTGACCTAAAATAAAGAATTTTTATATGATTGCTAAGAATGATTAAAGTTGTCAAATACTTTCTGTTTTAATCCAAGTCCCCCAGCACACAGAGCCTGAGGTTAAAAGTTTTTGTGTTGCCATTTCATTAGAGAGTGCAATCCTAAACACCTGAGCTGAAAGCAGAGAGCAAGGTAGAAGGGAAGGAGGGAGAACTAATAAGAAGACAGTTTAATTATCAAGCATTTTGGAGTGGTGTTGACAGAGGGACTGTGAGATGGTAAGGTAAGCTCATATCCAGAGTAAGTAAAGGTTTTAGTGAGTATGAATTACTGCCTCTTTCTTATCAGGGGAAAGTGTTTGAAACAAGCGATGTAAAGCTAAGCTTATGACCAAGCTTTCTGAGAAATGATGCCATACTGAGGCACACCATTGGTCTCTGCCAAAGGCAGCATGTCCATTCAGCTGTAGCAGTTAGCTAGATCAGCTCACAGGTGCTAATACATATATTATGCATTGACTCCATCTTTCACAATGATCTTACTGTCCCTGGGCTATTGCCCAAACATGGGTGGGCTAAGAAGAAAGGCTCACTGAAAGTTACAGTATTTGTCATTGTTGCAGGCATTGACATGAAAAATAAAGATCCACATATTGACATGCTTTGTGCCCACTCCCACGGGTCTTTCCTTTGAGCTATGAATTGTTACTTTTCAATTTTCTTCTCTTGTCTTTCCAGGTCCAGACTAACGGACCAAACACTTTACTTCTGCCGTAGAGTCCAGGTATACCCATATATCTATGTCTACTTCTCTCTCATAGGAAGTGACAGCTAAGTAACTGCACACAGCTTTGCCCATTGGAATGATGCCCCTTATAACTGTACTTTAATACCACTCATTTCTGGAGTTGCAATGAGGCAGCAATCCTCTTTCACCTGTCACAAACATATTGCAATAATCCATCTGTGAGTCAGGCTGAGGTTTATCCTACTCCGTCAGTTGGGAACCCCATGAAACCATAACCATGAGATGAAGATAGGTCATTTGTACTAAGAGATAGGGGACATAGACATCAGGGTCACTTGTTCATGCAGCTTAAGCATGTTGTCTGATATTCTTGAAAGAAATCTTTCTACTGTGTCATGCAAATTTCACAATAGATCCATCCATTCTATTATGCCAAAATAAACATAATAAAACAGACCTAAAAAACGGACAATCCCAGTCATGCAGCCATTTGGTTTTTCCTGGCAGGAAACATAGTCCTCATTAGGATCATAGCACCCCCTATCAATGCATTCCTTACTGCTTTATATTAAACAGAAAATTATTTAGGCTATTCTGAGGAAGAAGACTCATGGTGGGTTCTTAGCTCTTAAGGATTAATTCTATTTTTTTATTCTATATTCTGAGAGCCTTCTGATTTCATTCTCATTGCTGTGTCAATGAAATAAGCACCTTTATTCTTAATTTGCTATAAATGAGAGCAAGATTCTACTAGCCATCCTAATAGGTTGTTAGGATATCCTAGGAATCTTATCATGGTTATGCCTCACTCCAAAATCATGAGATTATCTACTGTTAGCCTTATTTTATACCCTTTTGATGAATATACTCAATATCAATGCTTACATATTGTCCAATAGCTTCTACCAGTAAAAATTAGCTAGTTTCTGTAGTTCCTGTAATGCGCAATCTATATCCTTCTAGAAGAGGGATTGTACTTCCCTTTTTGGTTTGTGCTTAATTCTGTCCTTACACACTGCGATGGTTAATATTGAGTGTTGATTGGATTGGTGGATGCAAAGTATTATTCCTGGGTGTGTCTGTGAGGTTGTCGCCAAAGGAGATTGACATTTGAGTGTGTGGACTCGGAGAGGCAGCCCCACCTTCAATCTGGGTGGGCACCATCTAATCAGCTGCCAGCATAAAAGCAGGAATGGAAAGAGCAGACTGGCTGAGTCTTCTGACCTCCATCTTTCTCCCGTGCTGGATGCTTCCTGCCCTCAAACACTGGACTCCAAGTTCTTCAGCTTTTGGACTCTTGGATCTACACCAGTGGTTCGCCCGGGGCGCTCAGGCTTTCAGCCACAGACTGAAGCCTGCACTGTGGGTTTTCCTACTTTTGAGGTTTTGGAACTCAGACTGACTTCCTTGCTCCTCAGTTTGCAGATGGCCTACTGTGGGACTTCACGTTCTGATATGTGAGTCAATACTCCTTAATAAACTCCCTTTCATTTATACTCCTATTAGTCCTGTCCCTCTAAAGAACCCCGCCTAATACAATTATCCTAGAAGCAATGAGGAAAGGCAGGAAAAGTTCTTTTATGAAAATAAGCTCCATCTTATTAAATGTCTGATTCAAGTGAGGTCATTTCAAGGTCACCATTCAAGAAGAGGCTTATTTTCTCTAACAAAGGAATAAGGGGCAGCTTCTGCTGAAACAATACATTTAGTGAAATTGAGAATTCAAATTTTTCAGATTTATCCAATCATATTCCCCATCACAGATTTTAGGTCTCTACTCTTCTAAAAACTCACACTGACAAATGTGAGTTTTTGAAATTGCACACTTAATCATATCATACAGTCTTACAGTATTATAATTTGATTCTGTCCTGATATTGCAGTGTCTAAAAAATTGAATGGAAGCTACTCATAATATACCATGAAATGGCATTTGATACCCAGATATTGGAGGTAGTGGCTGTTGAGAATGCCTTAATGGATTTAGATTCCATCCTGTATGTCAGCCAAATTACTATTAACAGTTTTGGTTCTATTCCTTTCCAGTGATTATACCCACCATATCTACCATCAGTAATGGAGTCCTTGACTGCTGTCAGAACTATGAGTAATTCAGACCCGTACTGTTATCCTGAGTTCTGCTTTCTAGGGTCATGTCTAACATCAGTTGTCTTAGCTTGATTTCCCCAGAGAGGAGAGCCTGAGGAAAGGTATATGTACTAGCACTGTATAAGGGAATGCAATCCTGGCCTGAGTGAGGGGAAAGGGGAGACAGGGAAGGAAAGAAAAACAGTCAACATATTGGTACTAAGTTTTTTGTTGTTGTTGTTGTTTTTTGAGACGGCATTCTCCTGCCTCAGCCTCCCGAATAGCTGGGACTACAGGTGCCTGCCACCATGCCCGGATAATTTTTTGTATTTTTTAGTGGAGATTGGGTTTCACCATGTTAGCCAGGATGATCTCGATCTCCTGACCTCGTGATCTGCCCGCCTCGGCCTCCTAAAGTGCTGGGATTACAGGTGTGAGCCACCATGCCCAGCCGGTACTATGTTTTTAATCAGCCATTGCATGATATGAAATCACTCTGACTGCTTTCAGAGCTGTCTTGTAAGCTGCTATATAACTGTTGCCTGAGACAATCAACCCAAAGGGGATAGAGAGGTTTCTTTCCTGAGTCTTTTTTCTGTTTATACAAAGGTTTGCCTCACGGTACATTAATTCCTCTGCACTGCTGGGTTGTGAATGCATGGTGCTCAGTGGTCCCCATGTTTAACATCTCAGCCTTGACAGGGAGATCCCAAAAATAAGGCAAAGAATGTGCAGTATGAGTATGAGAAAAAGTCTGCTGTCAATCTAGACCTGCAGAAAGTTGGACAGAGTCCACGTAAAACTGTTTGCTATACAGTGTTGACTGGAGTTGGAACCAGTGACCAAAGGTTCTTTGATCTTAGGTTCTCTGAATCTAAGAGAATTAAGAACTTCATAGGATGTGTCTGATACACTCCTCAAGACCCCTTCAAATGGCTCATGTTTCTTAGTAACTGCTTCTGCCTACTTTTCTTATAGCCAAATAATTTGGACTGAAATAGGTATGCATGCATATATATTCATTATGCTTTGTTATAAGATATATGTATAAGTGTGTACATATGTATTTATACATATATATGTATGTATATCTTAAAACTATGTAGGAATATTTTTGACCTTCACTATAGGTAACTTTGTAGGAATTATTAAGGAATATAAGAATTTAATTGGTTAATTAAGTTTCATAATAGAACTCACTACCCTCTGTCACTACCAGTTTGCTTGTTTTATCCACGAGTACTTTCAGACACCATTATGTGTAAGCATAGGCACACTAATTCTGCCATTAGTTTTTGTCTGAGCTCTTTTATTTCATATCATTTTTTTCTGTTTTGTCTAATAATGAAAATAAAAACACCTGATACCCAAAGAAAACAGGTGATTTGTCTATTTCCGTACAGAAAATGCCTAAACCAGGAGTCGATCCCAAGTCTCTTGAATTCTTTCCAAACACAGTGTGAAAATATTACCAAGATCACTGGAAAGTTCAGGTTATTGCAAAGGTCATGCTGACAACTAAGAATATCTATTCAAACACAGACATAATGAGTATACCATATACCATATGTAGTCTAAATATCAAATTGCAGATCAGTTCACTGGGTGGCCTTGGACCAACCTAGTTCTTCCCACTTTCTTGCTTGTAGTTTTCAAGAATGACTGTAAAATATGCTAGAGTACAACATACTGAAATAAGGAGGAAGTGACTGGAATAGCCTCAGGCTCTGTTCCAGTCCCTCCTAGAAAGAATGTCCTTCATTGCTTTAATTCGATTCATCATACAACCCCAGGTTGTAAAACCCAGCATGGGGCTGGGCCTGTAATCCCAGCACTTTGGGAGGCTGAGGCAGGTGGATCACTTGAGGTCAGGAGTTCAAGACCAGCCTAGCCAACATAGTGTCTCTACTAAAAAAAGAAAATACAAAATTTAGCTGGGCGTGGTGGCGGGCATCTGTAATCCCAGCTACTCGGGAGGCTGAGGCAGGTTCAATCCTCGCTTGAACCTGGGAGGCGGACGTTGCAGTGAGCCGAGATTGCACCACTACACTCCAGCCTGGGCGACAGAGTGAGACTCTGTCTAAAAAAAAAAAACCTACCACGGGATACTTTCCAGGGTCCTTCAGCTTTGGTGCAAGTGGAGCACATGCACATGAGACTCCACCTGCCCCAGAAGCTTTCCTGATCCTGTGGGACTGGCTCCTGATGAATCCTAGGCTTCTGTTGCTCCTTGCTGTCTCTCTGTAAGTAAAGAACCCACATCATGTAAATCGTAGTGCGTTTAAGTGTTCTGTCTCACTGGATTCAGGCAAGTAGTAAAACTGCAGCCTCAGAAGCAGTGAGTTGCAGTAGTAATGACTGTACTGCACAGTTACCCTGCTTCACACAAATGGATTTCTTTTCTTCAGAATCTAGAATCCAGATATGGACTGTAGAATGGAGAATGTGTGTGTGCCACATGTATGTGTATGTGTTTACATTATGTTATTTATTATTGACATATTATTAAGTTATTCTTTGTAAACTATGTATTAATTATTATTGATTGATATTAAATCTTTAAATAATCCACATATTTGCATCTGCTTAGTGTTGAGGTACTAACTCAAACAGAAGGTGACTGCCTTCCCAGTAAATATATAGGGAAGACTGTAAACTATAGCACCACAGATTCTGTAGTGAGATCATCAGAAATCTACACATGTTCCCCATGAACCATATTTTTTAATATAATGAGATAAAGTGAAGTATCACAGAAGACAAGATACATTGGAATTTCTCCTGAGCAAAGGGTCCTTCTCTCCTTGATCTATATGTATGGTTTGATAAACTCTGAATGGCTACTGAAGAACAGCAGTCATGTTGGGGCCAGAAATGTGTCTGTGAGTGAGATCTTAAAATTCCATTTGTGATTTGAATAGACTCGTGTCAATCAGTGTTTTTACGCATATCCATTCAGGAAAATTAAGCAGGAAAATCTCTCTTGATGGTGGCTCTAATTCTCTTCCCAACATAAAAACTAATAGAAACCTACATATTTGTCTATGGTATTTTATTAGAATAGAAACTAAATAAAAATATTGATTGTTTTGCTAACATATAAAAAATTAAAATCCATGTACATCTCCTAGATGTTTATATAAATCAGCTTATCTGAACTTTTTCATCTGTTTCTGAAACTGTTATATAAAATGAGATGAGTATACCATTATACTTTCTAGCTGTCAATATAAATCTTAAGACAAAAAAGTAACAGTAAAAATATAAATTAAATATAATAAAATATAAATTAAATATTGGGTGCCAACATTTATCATGAATTATATCTACATGATATAATGAATTAAATCTACATTTATCATGAATTACGTCTACATGAATTATATCTATCATGAATTATATCTACATTAAATGTTATACTTTCAGAGAGAAGACTACTGAATATTGTATCAGTTATTCTTAAATTTTAAACGTTTCATAATTTAATTGTTGGATTTTCTTTATGACCCAAATAATCTCCCTTACCTTAATAACTTCGCTTATATATTTATTCTTGATTCTTATTTGAACCCCACTATACTTATGATTAGCCCATGACTCTGCTCTCTAATACTTATGACTGGCTCCTAGAATGCTCTAGGGAGCAATGTTCTTACATTTAAATAATATTGCTTAGGAAAAAAACACAACTTCATAAAATTGATCTCAATAATTTCCTTCTCTTGCTTTCATATAGAACCTCAGAGAGAAGTTCTCACAGAGCTGCAAAATTTGACCAGGAATTTTTGTTTGATTTTTTGTTTTTACTGATGATTCACCAAATGAATAAATTTACCAAACCCTGGGTTTATAATTGAAATAAAGGTGATTAGAACAACATATGCAGAATTCCTAAATCTATACCATTTTTCTTTGCTCTGAATTTGACCAGGCAAATATAGTACTCTTGGGAAATCCACTTTCTACACACCTGTAAAATTGTATTGAGTAAATTTTTATTCCAAAGAAACTAAGACAGTTTATACATTGGCTAAGCCAAAAGCTCTGCTGGGAGAGTTTAACTGTTTTGCTTGGGCTATAATTGGCCATCTGTTATTGATCTTTACCGCACTGAGTCATCCACGTGGGCTATGGCTAATGATAGAATTACTTCACTAAATACGCAGTTTTCATTCTAGTTTTTAGATACATACTGTATAAGGAATAAAAAACAGGCTTTATTATTGGTTAGTGTTGATACTGTATGTCTATAAAATTATTCAATCATATTAAAAGTCTGTGTTTTGAATTCATGTGCATGTATGTATGTGTATATAAGTATTATATATGTGTGTGTGTATGTGTGTGTGTATGAAGATGTGGATGTGGAGGTTAAATTTCTTTTTAAATAATAATTATTTATTTGTACAGTTTTTAATAGTTGGAAAACACCATCAAAAAAGCAAATAGCAAGTTTTTATGAAAATAGACTTTTGTCACAATCTGCTCTGAACTTTGCTGAAGTTTCAAATAATAAGTGCTTCAAAATTAAAAAATTGGAGCAAATATAATTTTTTATTATCAAGGGTACTTGAAGATAATCTAAATTTCTCATTTCTTTTCTTTGTAATGAAAAAAGTCTTTCTAGACCATCCATAATAATAATGTTTAGGTTAAATGTTAGCCTAAAGCTAAGTAACCAACTTGTCTGTGAAAATCAAAAGCAGAAATATAATAGAAATAAGTTCACAGACTATCAAAAATAAATTTGTAAATCATTAAATTATCTTCATCAACAAAAGTTTGAAGTTAATCATACTGATATTAAACACTTATTTTTAACATTGAATGTGTACCAAAGTAAGAAATTAAATTTTCTCTGTTTGTAAAATTCTCGAATTCTCATACAAAATTATATTATTATTACTATTATAACAAACTCAAAAAATTATTTATTTTACTCTATGGACTATAGGCAACAAGATGCTATATATATATATATATATATATATATATATACACACACACATATAGGAATTCTGCCTTATTTTCTTGATCATATGATAAACATCTATCTTGGTGCTCAGGAAAATATTATTTTTGAATACATTGAATTATCTGAATAAATGAAGGAAAAGAACAAAAACAGAAACAGTTTTGATGTTAGATTTCAATGATCTGCACAATCGTAAAGCAGTTATCCACCCACACTGGCATTTTCCATGTGTAGAGACTGTCCTCCCACGTTTACCTAGAGTCAATGGTAAAAAGGAATCAATAGGAACCTGAAGGTGGTTGGTGACACTTCACGACAAATTATTCTCATGGTCTCATTATCATATCCAGTCATTGCTATGGTGCCTACTCTTATTTTTAAATACATTTTTATTTTCTCCTGCAATTCAGATAATAGATTTTATGTGGAATTTTGAAAAATGATTTATTAAATTGGAAAGTTGTTTCCAATTTGAGACAACATGCCAAATAACCAGATATAGTTGCTTTAACAGCTTTATTTCTCTGAAAATATGTAAGAATTCCAAAGTCATTTTTTTAAGTCTTCAAGGGCATTTTCAACATGATAAAACGTTTTCAGTATTAGGATGTCATATTTTCTGTTAATTAAAGCTCAGAATGTTGAATTTACAAAAATTGAGAGACTATCTGATCAAAAGGGTTTTTATAGTATAGCTGACACAGTTCAAATCTTCCTCTTCCTTTTGCGACATGGCATTTTTTTTAAAGATTTAAGCTCACTGTGGCTCTTCCGAAAAATAATGTGGAAGAAAGCATAATGCATTTACAAAAAATGTTCATTCTGTATTGGTAAGAATGAAATGATCTGATGTTCTTGATATAACTGCCTATGATAAATTAGCCAGACTTCATAATATGCTATATTCCTTTGACTTACAGTTATTATATGCAGATTTCCAGTACTTACAAAAATTAAATGTATTGTGGATAAATTAGAAAGTTATAATCAGCATTCTCAAGAGTATTTCGTATGATTTCAAAAGCTCAGTTAAACTCAATGTTTTAATTTATAATATAAGTCATTGTATAGGGCTTAACATATTTAATATATAGTAAAAACATGTTAAATTGATTGTTAAATATGGAAAACCTGTGTATAGGAATGTCATGTGTAGCACCCATGTAATTAATTTTATTTATTAAAAAACCACTTAGATTGTAGTGCTAAAACACCAATGTGCTATTTGACCATTATCTTGAAAGAAAATGATTCTCTGTTGGTGCCATTTTAAAAATAAACAGATATGTATACACATTCTTTTACAGGGTGGACTACTGGAAGACAGAAATGAGGGAATAAATTGCATATGACTTTGATCTCAATAAACAGGATGAACCAACTTTATTAAGGTGCTATATATATATATATATAAATTATCAAATCTTATTATAAAACTTTAGTGTGTATTTAATGGGATTTTTCCAAAGCAACAAATTAGAGAAGTGTATCTTAAATATGAGTAACACAGAGACACTTTGAAGGGAAACATTTCTTTAAATTCCTTAAATATATCTGTAGTTTTCCCAGGTGTCCATAGATTTCAATTTGTATTTACTGACTGAAGAGACTAAAGTCTGATTTTATGTAATATTCTTGCAAATGAAAACTATAGCTAAAAATGTGAAGTTTTGCCTTTATATTGATCAAATGACAACAAAAGTGTAAGTACAGTGCTCTAGGAAGTAAAATACCAGAGTCATTTAGAAATGGGGACTCATCTGACACCAAGATTATTCTTGTGAATTCTAGAGTGAGATAGACCCCACAGATTCTACATTCTCCTTCCTGCCTTGTAACAAGATATTAGGTGTTCTTTATTCACCATAAGTTAAACATGTTTTATTAGTCTGTTTTCACATTGGCTATAAAAAATACCTGGGACTTGGAAATTCATAATGAAAATAGGTTTAATTGGATCACAGTTCTGCAGGCTGTACAGGAAGCATTGCAACATCTGTTTGGCTTTTGGGGAGGCCTCAGGAGGCTTCCAGTCACGGTGGAAAGCAAAGTGTGAGCTTGCATATCATATGGCAAAAGCAGGAGCATGGAAGAGCAAGGGAGGAGATCATTCAGATTTCAGGACAACTCACTCACTATTGCCAGAGCAGTACTACATGAGATGGTGCTAACACATTCATGAGCAATCTGCCCCCATAATCCAATCACCTCCCACCAACGTTGGGGATTATATTTCAATATGAAATTGGGGCAGGGACACACATACAAACTATATCACACATTTTACCTATTAAAGACGTGGGAAAATGTACATGTGTGTGTTGGCTTCTGCCTTTACGATGTGCTGTTTTAAATGTTGACAGTGATATGTGGGTAAAATTGAGCATCGAGATCAATGAAAACATGGGGCATAGGTAAGACTGATGACATTTGTCAAGTTGTTATTATAGGGAATGTGATGGGTCAGAGAAGAGGCAGAGAAACGGAGAAACAAGTGTATGGAGAGGGATGGAAATCAAATAGTGAGCATCTCATATTACGTGCATGTGAAAAATCTATGAAATAGGTAAGAATCTTCACTTCAAAGAAATGGTAACTAAAGTTCATGAAGATTAACCCATTCATCTAATATTCAAATGTAACATTAGAAATAGTATTTAACTTCATATTTGACCCCATTGACACTAATCAACTATGCAGAGAAATTTAAAAATAAGCAAACAGCAACAGAACCTACCTTTATATTGGCATTGCTTTCCTACTCTAGATACATTTTCCATGTTTTTAATAGCAGTAAACAACAGGTTTTAGTCTTATTTGTTACGTCACTCTAATTTCCTCCTTCATTCAATTTCCTCCTTTGTCCACTGTAAAAATGTAAAACTATACTAATTATCATCATCTTAAAACATGCCATATTTTGAGTTGTGGATGTGGGAAAATAATTAGTTTGACAACCACAGCAATAATAAAACGATCATCTATAAGAGATACAAATGCTGAAAAGATCTGCACTATATGTTTCTCAAAGATCTATCTGCCTAAACCCTCAGGAAATAGAAATACAAGTGCAGATATCATTAAATTATTATTACAGATATTTATTCTCCAGTTCTGTCAAAGTTAGATTCTTTATGTTCCCATGAAGAAAATGCATAAACACAAACTATCATCAAATACAGTTTAATATCCCTACTAAAAAGAATATGCTAAATAAAACCAAAATATAACAATTACTTAACAACACATGTATTTGATAGAAATAACTTAGGAATTTGAGCACTCTTATTGAGGGCTTGTTTCGTTGCCACTTCACACTGCAGTGTGCTAGTCCAGAAGGCATCTGGAGGCTTGCCACTGGAAACAGGAAAGGTGGAAAGCCTATAAATTACTCTTAATTATCAAAAAGAGAATGCATAAAGTGACTTTCACACTCTGGGGTATAAAACACATCAATAATTACCATTAGACGTCCTCTCACAGCCATAATTCACTCACTTGATTTTGCAGAGTTCTCAATATGCCCAGTTTCCTTGGCTTTACCTGTTTCTCTCTCATTATTCTTATTATTCCTCTTCCATTGACTCCTCAATTGGCACGTTTCCACACTCCCCATTATACTTACAAATAATCTCATTAAAAGAGTTCAGCTCACCAAAGAGCACTTGTTTCATCAAGCATGGAACTGACATTAAAATCACTGCCCCATGGGCCATAGTCAAGAGTTTCAGTAGAAATATATCCTCACTTCAGATTGCTGCTCTATGACTAAGTAGATAGCCGAATTATTGAGATCAATTATTGATTGCCTAAGCTAGACAATAACAGCTTAAAACATGATGAGAGAGTGAAAGGAATATTGCTCAGTGAGCTGGCCATTGACTAAAATATCAAGTACCTCTTATATAAAAGTGCTAAAATTTATAATCTAACAGAAATAGTATTTCATATGCTGATTACCTGGGGATATTTATTTAGCATAATATCAAAGACGTGTACAATCTTTGAGACTGCGGGGAACACAAAGTCCCCGTTAGCCACATAGCCAAGGAATTAAAAGATGAAATACTTCACGTTTAAATTTTCATTTCCCATTTGTGATTTTGTTTATTATTTCATTTTGATCCATTTTCTCATCTCACTTTTCAATATCAAGGGAAATTGGATATACTTGTAAAATGATGATTTTTAGTTCAAAATGAAACACACACCCACAAAAACCCTTGGTTGAACATCAGCTAACTATACATCAAAGAAGCAGAAACCTACATCTTTTCACTCAACTACCTCCTTCCCAGAGAATTAGTGCTACCTGCCTGCTTAGATAATAGGCTGGCACACTTTTCACAAGCATTTTTTTTTTTTACTCTTTTAAAACAATTCTTTTTTTTAAATATTATACTATAAATTCTAGGGTACATGTGCACAACGTGCAGGTTTGTTACATATGTATACTTGTGCCGTGTTGGTGTGCTGCACCTGTTAACTCGTCGTATACATTTGGTATATCTCCTAATGCTATCCCTCCCCCTCTCCCCACCCCATGAAGAGGCCCCGGTGTGTGATGTTCCCCACCCTGTGTCTAAGTGTTCTCATTGTTCATTTCCCACCTATGAGTGAGAACATGTGGTGTTTGGTTTTCTGTCCTTGTGATAGTTTTCTCAGAATTATGGTTTCTAGCTTCATTCATGTCCTTACAGAGGACATGAACTCATCCTTTTTTATGGCTGCATAGTATTCCATGGTGTATATGTGCCACATTTTCTTAATCCAGTCTATCATTGATGGACATTTGGGTTGGTTCCAAGTCTTTGCTATTGGGAATAGTGCTGCAATAAACATATGTGTACATGTGTCTTTATAGCAGCATGATTTATAATCTTTTGGGTATATACCCAGTAATGGGGTGGCTGGGTCAAATGGTACTTCTAGTTCTAGATCCTTAAGGAATTGCCACACTGTCTTCCACAATGGTTGAACTAGTTTACAGTCACACTAACAGTGTAAAAGCATTCCTATTTCTCCACATCCACTCCAGCACCTATTGTTTCCTGACTTTTTAATGATCACCATTCTAACCAGTGTGAGATGGTATCTCATTGTGGTTTTGATTTGCATTTCTCTGATGACCAGTGATGATGAGCACTTTTTCATGTGTCTGTTGGCTGCATAAATGTCTTCTTTTGAGAAGTGTCTGTTCGTATCCTTTGCCCACTTTTTGATGGGGTTGTTTGATTTTTTCTCATACATTTGTTTAAGATCTTTGTAGATTCTGGATATTAGCCCTTTGTCAGATGGGTAGATTGTAAAAATTTTCTCCCATTCTGTAGGTTGCCTGTTCACTCCGATGGTAGTTTCTTTTGCCGTGCAGAAGCTCTTTAGTTTAATAAGATCCCATTTGTCAATTTAGGCTTTTGTTGCCATTGCTTTCAGTGTTTTGGTCAAGAAGTCCTTGCCCATGCCTATGTCCTGAATGGTATTGCCTAGGTTTTCTTCTAGGGTTTTTATGGTTTTAGGTCCAACATTTAAGTCTTTAATCCATCTTGAATTAATTTTTGTATAAGGTGTAAGGAAGGGTTCCAGTTTCAGCTTTCTACATATGGCTAGCCAGTTTTCCCAGCACCATTTGTTAAATAGGGAATCCTTTCCCCATTGCTTGTTTTTGTCAGGTTTGTCAAAGATCAGATGGTTGTAAATGTGTGGTGTTATTTCTGAGGGCTCTATTCTGTTCCATTGGTCTATATCTCTGTTTTGGTAACAGTACTATGCTGTTTTGGTTACTGTAGCCTTGTAGTATAGCTGGAAGTCAGGTAGCGTGATGCCTCCAGCTTTGTTCTTTTAGTTTAAGATTGTCTTGGCAATGAGGGCTCTTTTTTGGTTCCATATGAACTTTAAAGTAGTTTTTTCCAATTCTGTGAAGAAAGTCATTGGTAGCTTGATGGGGATGGCATTGAATCTGTAAATTACCTTGGGCAGTATGGCCATTTTCACGATACTGATTCTTCCTATCCATGAGCATGGAATGTTCTTCCATTTGTTTGTGTCCTCTTTTTTTTCATTGAGCAGTGGTATGTAGTTCTCCTTGAAGAGGTCCTTCACATCCCTTGTAAGTTGGATTGCTAGGTATTTTAATCTCTTCGAAACAATTGTGAATGGGAGTTCATTCATGATTTGGCTCTCTGTCTGTTATTGGTGTATAGGAATGCTTGTGATTTTTGCACATTGATTTTGTATCCTGAGACTTTGCTGAAGTTGCTTATCAGCTTAAGGAGATTTTGGGTGAGATGATGGGGTTTTCTAAATACACGATCATGTCATCTGCAAATAGGGACAATTTGACTTCCTCTTTTCCTAACTGAATACACTTTATTTCTTTCTCTTGCCTGATTGCCCTGGCCAGCACTTCCAACACTACGTTGAATAGGAGTGGTGAGAGAGGGCATCTCTGTCTTGTGCCAGTTTTCAAAGGGAATGCTTCCTGTTGTTGCCCATTCAGTATGATATTGGCTGTGGGTTTGTCATAAATAGCTGTTATTATTTTGAAATACATCCCATCAATACCTAGTTTATTGGGAGTTTTTAGCATGAAGGGTTGTTGAATTTTGTCGAAGGCCTTTTCTGCATCTATTGAGATAATCATGTGGTTTTTGTCTTTGGTTCTGTTTATATGATGGATTATGTTTGCATATGTTGAACCAGCCTTGCATCCCAGGGATGAAGCCAACTTGATCGTGGTGGATAAGCTTTTTGATGTGCTGCTGGATTCAGTTTGCCAGTATTTTATTGAGGGTTTTTGCATCGATGTTCATCAGGGATATTGGTCTAAAATTCTCTTTTTAGTTGTGTCTCTGCCAGGCTCTGGTATCAGGATGATATTGGCCTCATAAAATGAATTAGGGAAGATTCCCTCTTTTTCTATTGATTGGAATAGTTTCAGAAGGAATGGTACCACCTCCTCTTTGTACCTCTGGTAGAATTCGGCTGTGAATCCGTCTGGTCCTGGACTTTTTTGATTGGTAGGCTATTAATTATTGCCTCAATTTCAGAACCTGTTGTTGGTCTATTCAGGGATTCAATGTTTTCCTGGTTTAGTCTTGGGAGGGTGTATGTGTCCAGGAACTTATCCATTTCTTCTAGATTTTCTAGTTTATTTGCATAGAGGTGTTTATAGTATTCTCTGATGGTAGTTTGTATTTCTGTGGGATCGGTGGTGGTATCCCCTTTATCATTTTTTATTGTGTCTATTTGATTCTTCTATCTTCTTCTTTATTAGTCTTGCTAGTGGTCTATCAATTTTGTTGATCTTTTCAAAAAACCAGTCCTGGATTCATTGATTTTTTGAAGGGTTTTTTGTGTCTCTATCTCCTTCAGTTCTGCTCTGATCTTAGTTATTTCTTGCCTTCTGCTAAGCTTTTGAATATGTTCGCTCTTGCTTCTCTAGTTCTTTTAATTGTGATGTTAGGGTGTCAATTTTAGATCTTTCCTGCTTTTTCTTATGGGCATTTAGTGCTATAAATTTCCCTCTACACACTGCTTTAAATGTGTCCCAGAGATTCTGGTATGTTGTGTCTTTGTTCTCATTGGTTTCAAAGAACATCTTTATTTCTGCCTTCATTTCATTATGTACCCAGTAGTCATTCAGGAGCAGGTTGTTCAGTTTCCATGTAGTTGAGCGGTTTTGAGTGAGTTTCTTAATCCTGAGTTCCAGTTTGATTGCACTCTGCTCTGAGAGACAGTTTGTTATAATTTCTGTTCTTTTACATTTGCTGAGGAGTGCTTTACTTCCAACTATGTGGTCGATTTTGGAATAAGTGCGGTGTCGTGCTGAGAGGAATGTATATTCTGTTGATTTGGGGTGGAGAGTTCTGTAGATGCCTATTAGGTCCGCTTGGTACAGAGCTGAGTTCAATTCCTGGATATCCTTGTTAACTTTCTGTCTTGTTGATCTGTCTTTGACAGTGGGGTGTTAAAGCCTCTCATTATTATTGTGTGGGAGTTTAAGTGTCTTTGTAGGTCTCTAAGGACTTGCTTTATGAATCTGGGTGCTCCTGTATTGGGTGCATATATATTTAGGATAGTTAGCTCTTCTTTTTGAATTGATCTCTTTACCATTGTGTAATGGCCTTCTTTGTCTCTTCTGATCTTTGTTGGTTTAAAGTCTGTTTTATCAGAGACTAGGATTGCAATCCCTGCTTTTTTTGTTTGTTTGTTTTCCATTTGCTTGGTAGATCTTCCTCCATCCCTTTATTTTGAGCCTATGTGTGTCTCTGCACGTGAGATGGGTCTCCTGAATACAGCACACTGATGTGTCTTGACTATCCAATTTGTCAGTCTGTGTCTTTTAATTGGAGCATTTAGCCCATTTACATTTAAGGTTAATAATGTTATGTGTGAATTTGATCCTTTCATTATGATGTTAGCTGGTTATTTTGCTCGTTAGTTGATGCAGTTTCTTCCTAGCATCGATGGTCTTTACAATTTGGCATGTTTTTGCAGTGGCTAGCATTTTTAAAGAGTAGCAGGCGATAAAAGGAGAAAATCAAAAGTCAATATGAAGGAGGAAAGGTTTTTCCATAGAAGTGGGAATTGCATAAGAAAGTCAAGAGAGTAATTGTTGGTTCAACATTAAATATACCTTCGTAGGTATTCTGCCTATGTTAGTGGCAGAAAGGTAACATGAACAGTTCTGACATACTAATTTTATTTTTGTCCTGCCTAGCACATTTGTAAAATTGCATAAAAGTACATTTTGTTTAACAGATGCCTGCTGCCTAATATTAAACTTTTTTCCATGCTGAAAAACAGAATTTACGCTTTCATTATTTTGGAAGACAAGTAACCCTTTTTACAATCTGAATGTTACTTGAGCTTTAAAATACAATGATACACCTTTCTAGGAAAAGGTGACATAGTAATAAAATTATTCCACCATTTAACTATGCGAAATCAGCTAACATACTAGACCAGCTTCAGCAATCTCTTTCTCAGTAATGAAAGTGGAGAGATTTATTATCCTTTTGTACAAATACATCTGGTTATCTTGAAAAAGTCTGGAAATTACATCAGTACCTTAAGCAACATTTAAGATCACTCTTATGTTTCATCAAGCAGGCAATGCTAATTTATGGGTATCTTCTTTTCAAATCAGTCAGACAATTAAGAAAAGATCTTGAAAAAATTAATAATGGATCATACTAAAACTTATTTATTTGTAAAAAGTGATATAAAGATAAGCCAACAACTGAAAATAAGTGAGTTTTCCAACAAGATTGAGCTCTTTTAGTTCTGTGATCCATGAATAATGTTTACATTGACATTGTTTTTAAGGTTTAAATAATGTATAAACAATTAAAATTATATTCAGATATTATATCTAAATAACATAAAACCTACAAAACTTTACAGAATACTTTACAATTGTCAAACTCAAAGAATTTAGTTATATTTTGATGAGAAAAAAATGATGCTTCTCTTTTCTTTAACCAAAGTTTTCTAATTTTTAATAAAATCTTGTTTTGCTTTCTTACAGGAGCAATGTAACTTCCAGAGTACTTATTAATGAATGAATTTGTGACTTTGACAGCACTATCCATGTAGTTGTGTTTACCATTCCCTGTAATTATTGTTAAGACTTTTCTTAATGTTTGCTTGGGAAAATACGATACTTTTGAGCACATTTCTCTTCCAGAAGACAATGTACAAATTTTTTTCCTCTGAGAAAGCACACCATATGACAGGAAACCTCAGGTTAATTAGAACAAATAATAGTTTGAATCCTAATAGATATAGGCATTCATTGTCACCAATGCCCTTCAAAATCCAGATTAAAAACACTCTAGGAAACTGCATTTTCTAGAATATAAAACAGGGAGCTTTTTAAAAAATTTATATTGCTAGAATAATAAAGTTTTTCAATTGCTTCTAAGTTATATCATTTTCACTAAATCATGTAGTTTCACCTGTACTTTTTTCTATAATATAAATATTACAAAGTAAAGTTATATTTTATTGACACTAAGTGAATTATTTCAAAAAGTACTAAAATCAGGAGTACACTCAGTCCCGGAAGTATTGAGCAATATCCATCATGAGCACAGTTAAGGAGCAGGATGTGAACATAAGCCACGGGAGAGAGGCAAATGTATGCCAATGCAAGGCACCAGCAGTGCCATGGCGGCTTGTGAACTGCCCCACCGAGCTTGGTGGGGTGAGCTGTTAGAACCTGCAATGCAGCCTGTGTCCTCGCCTGGTGTTGTGCTATGCATTTGTCTTTCAAATAGGTAGCTTTGGTTCTCCAAAACATGTGTTTCTCTGGTTATCCCAGGAGCAGGGATGGAACTTTTGTTACAGAGGAAACAAACAAGCTCATAACAACTCTAAAGGAGGGTGTTAATGGAAGAATATGTTATTATATAATCATGAGATATATATTTTAAAATATTATGTTTATGTTAAATTATTATTTTTGAAGTTCAGATAGAAGCCTATGAATTATTTCCTTATAATTAATTACTTTTTGTGAAAACTCTAAGTTAAAACACACAAGTTTGTTGGGAGTCTAGGGTTATGAAGTTCCTTTATTTTGGGGGCACAGTCAGGGATATTTACTGTTTTGGAGTAATACATGGGGGATGTCTGTCTCACTTCACCCATGCAATTTCCACTGTTGCTCTATTCATTTGGAATTTCTCTAACAAACTTCGATAAATTATGTAGTTAAAAACAGAAATTAGAAACAGAATAGAGATAAAGAAGTAATTTTAGTTTTAGGCCCTGCATATTTATCATGGAGAAGTTTATCAAAAAAGTTTATCGTTTATTTTGAAAAAAGGAAAATAAAATAAAATCAGTATTAGTATGTAATTGATAATTTATTTGTGATAATTTATTAATTTTTTGGACAAATTGCATTCCACAAAAACTTATTGGGAGAGGCCATTCTATCATTTTTATATTAAATGTGATGTAAGCTGCTTGCTTTATATAATTACATTTTACCTTTGAAGAATTTATTTTCGTCCTAATTTTCTAAGAATGTGGGCAATATATAAATATATCATCAAATTCACTCATATTATAACATATTAATATATTAATAACCCCATCATATTTATATTACTATCATAAACTCTATTGTGTGTGATATTCTTTGTTTTTTAATATTTGGTTAAGTAGTCTATATTTAATTTTATGGTAAATGATAATATTTGATATCAAAGTTTTGTCTTTTCATAAAGTAAAATGTAACACTTAATTGATTTTCTTTGCTCTGTATCAATTTATATTAAATAAGATTTAGCCATGACTTGAAAGTTGGAAAGAATGAAGTATTAAAATGTAGGGCTTGCATTTTCACATTTATTCTCTGATAACATGTTTTCAGTTTTATCCCTAGTTATTAGTAGATTCAGATATTCAGTGAACTTTAGTAGCATATGTATGTCCCAGAAATTGTTCCATTGAATTTACTTTTTAAGAGATCTCAACAGAAAGTAAAGCATTAATAGCAAATGTAAACTCCAAAATAGAAAAAAAGTAATAGAAACATGTGTGTTTATGAAGTATTTAAAGAACAAGAAATATCTGTTGCATTCTCCTAGCTATCACTAACAATTATCCTTATTATGTAATTTAATACAAGGAATTGAAATATGAACAAGAAATTTCAGTTTTAGGCCCTGATATGCAGTTCGTTTGCCAGTCTTCTTAGAGAACAACAACGAAAAAGACAGCAGTTTGAATCCTCTACTGGATGATCTATGAAATGTAGCACCAGATTTCCTATTGTAATATCTGGAACCATGTATGTTTTCAAGCCATTTATTTAAGACTAGCTAGCATTGTTATGGCCAACTATAATTTTAAATTATTCAACAAGCTAATTGTTAGATTGGTGAATAACAATAAGTTGTGGTTTATTTGCAATTTAACTTAAAGCTTGTATCTGTTGCATTCTACCTTCAATCATAGAGTGACAAATATATTTTTGTAAAATATGTAAAATATAAAAATTATCTTCTCTTTGTTTTTAAGTGTATATGTGTATGTTTATATTTGCCAAAAATGTATGTACATATAGAAAATATTAGAAGAGCATGTATGTATAAAATAAATACAAACATATGTCGGATTTTAAAACATGCAGGTATATCACATATTATATACTTATATCTGATATATATTGAGGGCTGTGATCACATCCCAATTATATTAAAATGTAAGCAATATCATCTTTGATAAGTTACTTATTAATACTGTCCTCATGTATACGTGGTACAATAATGAACTTATCTCACAAGATTTTTGTGAGAATTAAAATGCTTAATATAGGCAATTTTTTACAGAGCAACTAGTGTTGCTGGTCATTACTTTCAATTTTTTCTGTTATACTTACTATAATTACTCTGTTAGGGGTAATAAGTAATTAAATAAGTCCATTAATATACTATAATTACTAAAATTACTAATATACTACAATTAAAAGTAATACATTTAGATAAATACACTTATCAACTTTACTAATTTTCTTATGTTTAACCTTTACAAAACATATTCTTCACTCTAGTACTGAAATGATTAAAATGATATAAATTTATAAATTAGCTATGATTAGTCATGGCTGAAAAAACATACCAAAATGATACCCATGTTACTTATTTATTTCAATAGAAAATGATGGCTTCTTTTACATAAGATTTTCAATGATTACTACAATCACCCACACTAATTCTGACATTTGTAAGTAAAAAGATGAGACATCCTTTCCAACCCAGCACTTTAGCTACACAGCAGGATCTATCGAGTTCGTTATTTTAAAAAATAGTCACAATACAGAAATGTGAATTTAAGATAATCATATTTCTTAAAAATATATTTCTTAATTTTTCAAAGTATGGGTCAAGTTCTGAATCAAGCATTCAAAATATAAACATATAGCATAAGAATTACTTTGTTCTATAAGCTCTATACTTATTTATTTATATACCATATATTACTATATAATACTATTATAATACTATATAAAAAAGTATAGAACTTTAAGTAATAAACTTTATTACTTTATATAGTAATATATGGCCTTAAAACATATTATCTTCATCAAGAACTTCAATGTAACTATGATTTAAAATTCTTGAAGCAACAAATAAAACTATTTAATGAGATATCTGCTATATGAGAACATAGAGTGCCTTTTTTTGAATCATCACATTATTCTAACAATTTAAAATTCTAAAAATACCTTCAAAATATTATTCTTGCAAGCCAGTAATTCTTTTATGTTCTTATAGACTGGAAATGTAGTAAATAAATATATCTCAAAAATATCATCAGATCATCTGACCATATTTTAATTTATACACCCAAATACTAAGAAATCTGTTATTTTTTGTAACAAAAACAATTAAAATCATATTTGTCTCAATAAAGCAAGTCAATTGTACTGCACGAAGAACAAAACAACAGAAAAAGATATCTTTGAAGAGAATTATTTCTATTGAAAGCTTAAGTGCCTGACAGGGGCCCAGTATAAAATACTTTTAAAAATAGAGAGCCATTATACTAAGGTAAACATGGAAGTTTGCTAGTGTACGAACTGTTCTCTGGCACTTCTGTACTTAAGTTATTATGAAGAATAATACTTGTTCTTTAGAAGCCTGGCAAAGCAATCTTATCATAAGGGACACATGTTTCATATCCTTCTCTAAAGCTAATTGATTAGTCATTCAATAGGTATTTGAATTTTCTTAAACAAAATTCATCTTCTTCTTTGTTTACATTTTTGGAAACTCCTAAGTATGCTGAAAATATTCTCTGTAACTCACAGAAGACCAAAAAAAAAAAAAAAAAGCAAACCTAAAATTGGCCATTAAGTATTGTATATTGTGTATACATAACACATATAGCTTAATAGTCTATCAGTTAAATAAATACTATAAGCAGAAGAAAAATTTACATTATATACACGTAAAATGAAAAGCTGATATTTGTATACATTTTCCAAAGTGAATGATTTAAGTGTTTTCTATACAAAAGTATATGGTCTTATCAAGAAATTTGACTTCTGTACTAATAAACCAGAACAAATATTTGCAACAACATAATGCACTTGCCTTGGAATTTTTATTTTCTCCTCTTAGTAACTAGATGCCTTTTTTTCTGCAAACAGCAGAAATTGAAAGACAGAAATTGAAGACAGAATACATCTAAAAATTATTTCCACTAGTTGAAACCCTGTTAATCAAGACAATAGAGGATACATACTGGGAAATGAACTATTTTTTCAATATTACTTTTACAAAGTTTAGATATTCTAGTTTTATAGAAATGTTGCTATCACAAAATTTTCCCAAAGTGGTAAAATTTCTCATTATACCCAGCACATCATATATAAACATGGTCATGCTCTTAAAGAGTTGAGAAAGGCAATCTGCTGGGGTGTAGCAGAATTTCTGAGTGGAGCAATGTCCAGACTGTCATCTCAGAGCACTGCCGATGGTAATCACAAAGGCATTACTAATTAATTTCAAGGTCCTTGTGGATGAAATTCATTCATTCATTCATTTTTTTTTTTTTACTGAGCTCTTCCTTCGTATATGGATTCTTTCAACAAATATTTATGGAGCCTCTGCCATGTGACATGCAATTCCATAGTCTAGGGAATGATGGAGGAAGATGGACAAAGTTCTGCTCCCTTGGAGTTTAGATTCTTGGAGAATGTAGACAGAAAACAAGCCCCAAATTGATATGCCTGACAACTGTAGATGGTGATACGATTTATTCTAAAACTGAAACAGGAAAAAATAATAATGTCTCATGGAATATGACTAATAGACAAGGAGATCAAGACTGAGACACTTGAAAAAATAGCATTTGAAGTAAGGCCTGAAGAAAAGAGTAAGCCATGAAAAGATCTGGTAGAAGAATGCTCCAGGCAGAGGGGACTACAAGAGCAAAGTTCTCAGGCAGGAAGAGCCCTTGAATATTTGTGGAACAAAAGAAAACATATGTGACTAAGGTTGGTAATGTGATCAATGGAAGAAACTCTTGGTAAGCAGTTTGGAGGGATTTAAGGTACAGAAAGAAACATTTTGAATTTACCCCCTAATTAACTTTTATTAAAGTATCATTTACCAAACATTGGCCCAGGTGCTTGACTCATATCAGAGTATTTCCCAGAGTAATATATCTATTGAGACATTATTATTTCCTGGTGAGAAAATGAAGGTTTTGAAAAATTAAGAATTTGTCTCCAAAACTTGCATCTCTAATAAATGACAGAGCCAGAATATGAACTCACACAATCTGAGTCCAAATCTTGCATACCCACTGGGCTATGTGGACTTTTGAATTTTACAGATCATATAAAGGCTTTATGGAAAAGAGTTTATTATAGGGGTGTAGGAGTAGAGGCAAGGATGCTCATCTGGGATAGTCGTTGCTTGACCTGAAGTCAGGTATTGAGGAAAAAGTATTGCTAGAAATGCTAGGCTGTTGTAAGAGGTTTGCCTTATAAGAGGCATAGACTTCTCAAGACTATCTCCTATGTTTCAGGCTTGAGTAAGTAACTATGTGATATTTCTGTGAAATCAGGAGAGGACTGGGGCATGTCTGGGTCCCAGCTACTCAGGAGGCTGAGGCAGGAGAATCGCTTGAACCCGGGAGGTGAAGTTTGCAGTGAGCCGAGATTGCACCACTGCACTCCAGCCTGGGCTACAGAGAGAGACTCCGTCTCAAAAACACAAACAAGCAGACAAAAAAACACTCATACATAAAGACATGACTTTTTTTAAAATTTTGTTTTAACTATTACAATAGAAAAGTTCAAAAGTTTAATAAGAATGTTAGCACAGTTGAGAGGAGGTAGGTACAGGCTCACATGCTTAAATTAGTTGGCAAAAGTTTAAATTAGTTTACATTAGTGCAGCTTTATCAGATGGCAAATCACCAATATCTTTCTAAATTAAAACTGCCATACCTCTTTTGTCAGAATTTTCTCTTTTAGAAATTTTAGATTTGGAGGAAGATTCTTACGTTTAATTTACATTTAACCTTTTTGAAATCTTTAGGATACACAGGAATCTCTTTGGTGAATTAAATGCAAAACAAAACAAAACAAAAAAAAAACAAAAAAACAAACAACAAAAAAAACAGCTTTAAAAAATGCGGCTGGGTGCAATGGCTCACGCCTGTCATCAAAGCACTTTGGGAGGCCGAGGCGGGTGGATCATGAGGTCAGGAGATCAAGACCATCCTGGCTAAAACAGTGAAACCCTGTCTCTACTAAAAATACAAAAAATTAGCCGGGGGTGGTCATATCACTTCTAGAAAAATCAAATGCAAGTAAAGGAAGGCAACAGAACCATTTGGAAATGAAACTGTGCCTGGCATTAATTTTTTTATTTTGGATGACAGATGAACAGGTTAATGAATGAATAAATGCATAACAGAGATAAAGGCAGGTTTATTATGGATTTTGTATCATGTTATCCCTAAAATGGCGTATCTTCTACTTTAATAAATTTTATGTGATGCCAATTTATCCATGTCAATCAAGTGTATTCAGAAGAAAATATTTATGGGTAAATTATATTGCAGCCAATAGATATGTCATAAATTATTTCATAGCTTTGAGGTGAAAAATAAACTTTACCAAATATTCTAGATAGATTATGCAAATCTGAAATTCCAGTAGCTACATGCAAATGACTCTGCAAGGTAATATAAATGTCTTTTCTGAAAAGGGTTATTGTGCATATTTGACAAAAATTAATTGACTCATTCAAAAACCATAAGGATGAAATAATGTTTTCTATTGATATGAGCAGGTGATAGATCTCTCTGTCTTTCTCTCTGTGTATGTCTCTCTCTCTCTCTCTCTCTCTCTCACACACACACACACACAGAAAGAGAGAGAGAATATGAACACCAGAGTAACTGGAGTCAAGTTCGAATTAACATTGAGCATTTTGAATTGATGTAAGAGTGGTGGTGAATTGAAAATATTCCCCAGGGTCAATAAAATGAAATCAGAACACACGTTATTTAATGTAGTCCCATAACATTTGGACATGCCCTAGAGAAGATATAAACACGTCTTCACCTTCTCATTTGTCTGGTAATATTGACTAGTTTCATTGCCATTTTAATAAGACAACTGAAGCTACTTTTTTCAATGACCTTCTCTACAATGTGCATGAGAGATTATTGCATCTGAGCACTGGGAGGGCATTTTAAGTAAATTTGGATCTTGGCTTTGCTAAATACGTAAGTATCCTGTGATTTCTGGCTGCTGTACATGCATTTTCTCAAGTATATGTGATTTTGAATGGACTTTCTCTGCAGTTTATCTAATGTACTAACATTGACCATAAACTCAATGTATTTTAATGACAGTGTGGTATCTAATAAAAAAATCAAATATTTGATTGTGTCAGTGTATCATAATATCTGGTGTCTTGCATTTATGCAGTTATTTATAAATATTTTAATTTATTTTATTCTATAATATATCATGTTTAATACATGAGTGAGACTTATAGGGAAGGTAAAAATAACACTTTTATTAATGAGGTACAAAATCTCAACAATATTAGGCAACTAGCCTCATTTCAAACAGCTAAAAACAAGCATCAACAGTGATACCTCTGTGCTCTGACACTTAATATCACTTTTCTTTTAAACAATGAATCTACTTGTTTTACCTGTGCTTGAAACTTTTGATTGTCTTTAGAGTAATAATAATAATTTTTATTGTTATTGTAACAAGAACAACATCTAATAGGCTGCTTTCATCATGATGTAAAATGCTCTTTATAATCTGCTTTCTGATTTTTATTATTCCTACCTATTTCACAGTAATACTCTGTTCTCCAGCTGTATTCAGTGACTGATAATAAAATTTCATATCTTTTCAGGCTTTTACTGGCTGCTACCTCCCTCAGAATCAACCCTTGTTCCAAACTTTTTAAACTGTATGTGTTAGTCATTTTTAATATCTAAATTAATAATGACATCTAATAGAAAATCTGCATTCAACTCTCATAGCAAATTCTAAATTTGGATCACTACTGTTTTCCCCATAACACATTATGGAATCTGCTAATATTTAGAGAGCGCTGGAATTCATTAAATCTTGATTTTAATCTCCTCTGTATTTATTGACAAGCTAATAAGTCTAAAGTTTCATGGCTGCTTCTTTACAGTGAAATCTTTCAGGGAACTAGATGGAGCTTAGAAATGTGTTCACATGCTATCTTTAAATAATATCCAACAGAGAAGAAACACCTACTAAGCTGAGCCCTGTATTCTGCTTGCTGCTTTTCCTCTTGGAGAATTTGCCAACTCATATCTTATAAAGCCATAGAGGAGACAGCTACTAATATGCAGAGTATTTCATAGAAGTAACCAGAGTCACATGGAAATAGAAAGCGGCACTCCAGACTCTCTAGGAAGATAGGACGTAAAGATCCAAGAGCTTGAATAAAAGAAAAAAGGAAGAAGCAGAGGTGAGGACCTGGTACTTTGCTTTTCTATGGAGACATCTGCTGTTTGTTAAGCTTCACAGGATGTGAGGTAAAGAAGCCAAAGGGAAAGTAAAAGAAAAAAAATAAAGAGGAATTTTTAGGAGATATATGTTGTTAAGGGGACTAATATTGGAGTTCAGAACTCTGAAAAGAGGGTGGTTTTTAATATAAATAAATAAATAAATGAACAAATAAATAAATAAAACTTAAAATTGAAATACCAAATTGAGTATGGATCCCATAAGGAAATATTTAAGGAGTGCAAAATAAACTGGAGATAGCCCAAACGTTGTAAGATTGCAATTCAGAAAGGAGTCACTGGAATGTGATGATCTGCCCCTTTGCTCCTAGGGAGAAGATAGAATTGAGAGAATGTTTACATTTGAATTTTCCTCATGCACAATATCTTGCATTCATTAAAACATTTCAAGATTAATGAGTAATGCCAAACAAAAGATCAAGGTGTAAAACAGAAAATGGCTAGGTGCGCTGGCTCACGCCTGTAATCCTAGCACTTTGGGAGGCCAAGGCGGGTAGATTGCCTGAGCTCAGCACTTCCAGACCAGTCTGGGCAACATGAAACCTCGTCTATATATACAAAAAAATTATCCGGGTGTGGTGGAAAGCGCCTGTAGTCCCAGCTACTCAGGAGGCTGAGGCATGAGAATTGCTTGAACCCAAGAGGCAGAGGTTGCAGTGAGTTGAGATCTAGCCAGTGCCTTGGGCGACAGAGTAAGACTGTGTCAAAAAACAAACAAACAAACAAGCAAACAAAAAAAACGGAAAATAAAGCCAAACCAAAATATGTCCAAGATATTGGAGTTATAAAAAGCAGAGTTAACACTAATAGTGGTTACGTCATTCAAAATAGTGATAAAATGGAGATTATTACCATAGAACAGAAATAGAAAAAAATCAAATGGAAATTCTAGAGCTAAAAAAATTAAAATAGATCTAAAAAGTACATGATCATCTCAGATGATAATTTCATTATACTGAAAGTTACATCAACAGAAAATAACCAGAGAGAAGTACAAAAAGAAAAAAGGATGAAAATACGGAAAAAAGCATAAAATCAAGTTACCAGCCTTGGCAAACAGAACATGATTCCACTGGGCTACTCAGCAACCCGCAGTAAAATAAAACTTTATTTGGAGCTACTCCAGTTAAGACTCTCAGTGATGTTGGACCATCCTTCCAAAGAATTTTAAAATTATTTCATGAAGTAAATGTGTGTTAGCCCCTCTTAATGGATCCCGGTCAGCCATTGAGCTGATGTGATGAATCCCCGTTCTAGCATCCCTAGTTCTCTGAATCTTTTTACTTCTCATTCAGTATTCTGTGAAGACACGCAGTAGAATGGTTAGATAAATTGTATGGAAAGATTTTACCAGCCAGACTTACTGTTTTCAAATTCTTATGGGACACTTACCACTTTCCTAAACTCAGGAAACTTATTTAATAACCTCAGTGAAATGCAGTTTTCTCACCTGTATAAAAGATAAAATAATATAACCCACATGATAGCAGTTTGGGAAGGGCAAAATAAGTTAATACCTGCAGAGTGATAAGAAAAATTACTCACACATTCGAAGTTCTGCATACTTCCGTGTTACTTTTATTATCTCTTAATCTACATTCCTAAGCACAATATGCGGAATCTAAATATTTTAGTAATGTAAAGACATATACAGCACTTATTACATTGAGGCATTTTTCTAACTCTTTGCTATATTAACACATTTCTGTCTCACAACCACTCTGCAAAGTGAATAACACAAGTGTTCCTTTCCATAGCCCATGGCAATGAAAATAATGGAAAACATAAGAATAGAGAATGGTCAGAAATAGTGCTCATTGTGTTTATGTGGGAGTTGAACAGTGAGAACACATGGACACAGGGAGGGGAACATATACCAGGGCCTGTCGGGGGATGGGGAGCAAGGAGAGGGAGAGCATTAGGACAAATACCTAATGTAGCCGGGGCTTAAAACCTAAACGACGGGTTGATGGGTGCAGCAAACCACCATGGCACATGTATGCCTATGTAACAAATCTACATGTTCTGCACAAGTATCCCAGAGCTTATAGTAAAATAAAATTTTAAAAATGAATGTAATGGAATTAGTCTTTTCTTTCCTAGTTAATGTGCCTCTGAATGATCATAAAAGAAGAGTCTGTTATTGTTTGGAAAGATAAATGCACTAGTAAGAAGAGTGAATAGGTTCAGTATTGTGGACCGATAGATTTAAGTTTGTTCATGTTACTGGGAAGCCACTTCTTATTACATGCACTTTTGCCAGTTGCACGATAGCATCATTTCCCAATAAGACAGATTGTGATGTATAAATACAATAAAGATATGTTAGAGGAAATGAACATATGTACAGAGATGATTCTAAAAGTTCACATGGAGAGATTAAAAATGTAAACAACTGGGGGGAAAAAAAGAAAGGCAAATCCTTGTGCTATCATGTTAGCCGCATAATAATAGCATTCTAATGTATCTGCACCATGCACCATGAGTGACACAATTGTTGGGTAGAAACTGACTTTTCTCATCTTATGAGAGCCAATTTAGGGTATTTCTTCACATTTTGGAATGACTCCAGAGACTTCAGTTGGGTAGCATAAATTTGGTCTTGGAGAAGTATTTACATCATATAAAATGGAACGTGGCAAAATTCAAGAAATTCTACATTATAATGCAAATGATAAAGCATTTACCAGCATATTACTGAATGCAACATTTGATGATTTAGAAAATATAGATATATATTTATTTTCTGAGTGTATTCCATAATAGTCATATGGAGCAAAACAAACAAATGACACAAAAGGAAATCTTCACTCTACACTTCTATTGCAAGACACATGATGATTTGTTTTCAAACTGTTATGAAAGTTAGATATCCATAAAAATCTTATCAGGTAGAATCAGTGGCTCATGCTGGTAATCCCAGCACTTTGGGAGGCGGAGGCAGGTGGATCACCTAAAGTCGGCAGTTTGAGAACAGCCTGGTCGACATGGTGAAACCCCATCTCTATGAAAAATACAAAAAAGATAGCCGGGCATGGTGGTGGGCACCTGCAGTCCCAGCTACTCTGGAGGCTGAGACAGGAGAATTGCTTGAACCTGGGGGGTGAAGGTTGGCAGTGAGCCGAGATTGCGTCACTGCACTCCAGCCTAGGTGACAGAGCAAGACTCTGTTTCAATTAAAAAATAAAAAATAGTAAACAAATAAATAAAATGTTGTGATTGTTAAATACTGCTTCAATTCTAAACCCAATTTATTATCATTAGAAATTTGCTTCTACATAGGCTAGAATGGTTAAATAATTCTTGATTTTTCTTATTAGGAATTTGCTTCAACATAGGCTAGATAGGTTAGAAAGGCCTAAAATAGACCACATTTTATTTGCATTTCAAAGATTTTGTGTTCTAGTTTTTATTTTTATTAACCCATTCCATATTTTGCTCAGTTTGGAGAATTCATCTCTCCATGTAAACAAGTCAATGAACAAAATTTGCAAGTGCTTCTCAATGTTTCAAAATTACATTTGAGTACAAAGTCTTCTGAAACTTCTCACAGCTTCAGCTAATTCCATTTCTGTTTGAGATTTCACCGATTCTTGTAATATTCAAAATACGAGCAGAAATCTACCCTAAAAGCATACTAAGCAATAGAATGCTGTCGAAAGTGTGGAAGTTACTCTCAGACAAATTAATTGAGGATTCAAGTATGCAGCATTTGCTGTTGGTCTAGAGAAATTAAGAAGGTCTAAATTTCAAGGAATAAGGCCAGTAAAGAGGTGATATTTAATCACAAATAATAATCTGAGACCTGAGAGGGCAGAAACAGGGGAAGATGCTTATGTAAGAGACTCATAAGCTTATAAAAGACTCACCCTTTACTTATTTATGATCCTATTCCACCCAAATATTACATGACAATTTCAGCATTAAGATTTGAAACCACCATGTGGCTATATAGAGCAAATGGTGCTGAAGTGACTTGAAAGTATTAATACCTTTTCCAAAAGAATAAGTGCATGTCATCAAAGGTGCACTGAACTTTTACTCAGGGAGTTCATTCCTGGAAGATTCTGATTACTCAAAAGAATTATGGGGCCAAGTCATGATGGTTTTGGAGAGCAGCCTAGTCTAAAATTGATCATTTAAAAAAACCAGTAATACTATTTAAGATGAGAGTGAAGGGCTCATCTTAATACCAATATATACTGGATAAAACTATTATCCAAAGAAAGATTGCAGTAATATGCAGAGAATCAGTTGATGGGAAGCTCAAATAATAAAATAGTAAAACAATGGTAAAGTGCATTAAAAGGAAGTACTTTTTTCTTGTGTTCAAAGGGTGACTATACAAATCTTACAAAATTACATAGCATAAAATAATAGCATAATATTTAAGATGTATATGTTTATTAATATCTTATAAAATATAGCAAGCAATTTAGGAATAACAGTTAAGTTTAATATAAGCTAGAATATGAGCATCACTAGTAATTTACTTTGATACAGTAAAATATAACAAAATAGAGTAAGCTAAAAATAGATTCACATCTTTTCCTGAGTAGTACACTTTCAATTTTCCTGGGGCTGTGACTGCTTTTCTGTGAAAGAATGTGACATCTCTGCTAACTCATTCTCAGGAAAAGGGAGTATTTGATGCCGTAAAAATTAGAAACCAATCTTGGATAAGATCATTGTACAAATGAATCCCTTAATTTTTTTCTAGGTGGAGCTGTGTGAGAGTTTCAGCCTGGATTTTAGACTTTACAAAGCTATATAAGCACAGGTAAATTGGTCTTATCTGGACTTTGGTATCGTGATATTTCTTCACACAGGCATATCCTTTTTCTTCCAGTAGTTTTTGTGCCAGACCAGGACATGGGCTTTACAAAGGAATTTGTTAATTGATATGTAATGTTTTCATTTATCTTCATAAGAAATCTTTATGGCTTACAAGTAACTGAGTAGTTTGTAAACTTCCCCAAGATTCTCAAATAAACAAGGCTTTCTGTTCATATCCAAAGAGCTAAGTTAAATTTTACCTGAATATATTATATATAATGCAGTTAAATATGCCTAAAATCAATAGTAAAAAGAAAATCTATCACCTGGATGAAGCAATCAGTTGGACTAAAAATAGGCAACTTAAAAAATCCTTTACTCTTAGGATGCTTATCCCAGTTCTCTCTTGCCTTGAAACCTTCTGACCAATTTAACTGAATGCAGTTATTAGAGTTTTTTTAAAAAATATTATTGCTTAAGGGGAGCTGGGGGGATTTATTCTTTCTCTTTGTGGCAATGTATTTTCTCTCTGTTTGAAAATGAGGTCTTTCAACCTGAAAGTTTAAAGTGAGTAAAGAGATTTTGAAACTGACCAGCACTGCTTAGGTCTCTAACAGATTAAAGGATTTATGATATTGTTATTAGCTAGTGACATACCTTGGTCAGAAAATGAAAGTCTAATCCACTATAGTGAAACTTTAAAGTTGGTGGAAAAAAGAGTATTGACAGAAGACCATCTTAGAGGGTTCCTGGTGGATACTTGAACCCATCCTGTGTTAATACATCCTGTGGTTATTTACCAGTTGGCGTGTGCTTTCAATTCCTACATTGCTCCCTATAATGAGAACTGTAGCGACTTAAATGGCACTGAAGAAACTCCTGGAAGTGTATTTCCTTAAACAAGAAATAAATCCATGACAATAACAATTCCTGGGATAAGCAAGATTTGGGATAGCTAACTTAACCTCTTTCGTTTTGCCTGTTTAGCCTCTGCAGAATAGGTAGGGATCCTGGAGAACACCAGTGGATCGTCATAAACTTAACCACATGATGAACTCAATTATAGTTGTTCCTACAGTGTAGTTTACTTACTGAAGAAAATCAACATAGATTTGTCAATAGACATGAAACTGACAGTTTGGAAACTTTTCTTTGGTCTGTACCAACAGGTTGTGAACACAGAAAGCAACATGTTTTCAGCTGGCAAATATAACAATATCCTTTTATGTTTTACTTCATTGTTATATAACCTCTCTACTCTATGTTATAATTTTACTATCAAATAACAAGATAATCTCAATGTCCCAAAGGACAACACCTTTGTCCACTATATTGATGATGCAATTCTAATAACAAAGGGTTGGCAAAAAGTAGATACACCCTAGATTTCCAGGAAAGACATATGCTTACAAGAAAATCAAAGATAAATTTGTAAAACTGTCCTCATGCTACTACATAATGATGTTCCTTAGGCTGCACTATTTGCAGACTGTCAAGAGACACCTTCCAAATTGAAAAGCAAGCTGCTTTTAAAAAATAGGTTCAACACTGATAGTAACTGTAGGTTTTTGAATGCAAACTACACCACACCTACTATGTCGTCCACTACCTGGGTTTATAATTTAATCTGTAGCATAAAAGATGTCTGTCAGGAGCTCAGTTGAGAAGGGAGAGAGAAAGAAATAAGTTGTCAGGTGTTGGAGCAACTGATTAATGCAAGACAAAAATGAAAGACTTAAGATTTAAATCAGTGACTGCGATGGTTTGGCAAGAGTCTAAATCGAGAGAACGTGCCTCTTCCCCTTGGAACAGTGCTGCAGTGGAGAGCAAAGAATGAGTGCAGACAGGTGGGCTGTCTCATTGTTGAGGGAGCCCAGAACAAAAGTCTCTGGTAGTTTTATGGACCCTGAAGTGGAAAGAAGGAGAAAGGATGAGAGGGAAAGGCTTAACGTGGAAAAATACTGGATATTAAGTCAGAATGGGGAAAAGTGTCTTTAAGATTTTTCTTTCCTGGCCAGGCGTGGTGGCTCACGCCTGTAATCCCAGCACTTTGGGAGGCCAAGGTCGGCGGATCGCCTGAGCTCAGCGGTTTGAGACCACCCTGGGCAACGTGGTGAAACCCCATCTCTACTAAAATGCAAAAAAAAATCTGCTGGGCGTGGTGGTGCGCATCTGCAGTCCCAGCTACTCCGGAGGGCGAGGCACGAGAATCGCTTGAGCCCGGGAGGCGAAGGTTGCAGTGAGCCGAGATCGCACCACTGCCCAGGCGACAGTGCGAGACTCCGTCTAAAACAAAAATAAACAAACAAAAAGTTCTTTCCTTTCCCCTTACAAAGGCCTCAGCAGAGGCACCGGAAAAGGACCTCAGCCCAAGGCCTCAGATAGGGAGGAAGAGGGTCATGTAAGAGCATGGCTGGCCAGGGAATCCTGAGTCCTTGACTGCATCTCCTTTCAGAGACAGCAGCGTATTGGCTGTGCACGGAGCACGTAGTGTGCACGGTGCACCGCCTTTCCTGTGAGGCCTGCCAGGAAATACCTTTGCAGACTGTTAGGAGATCCCTTCCAAATTGGAAAGCAAGTTGCTTTCAAAAAATAGGTACAGCATTAATAGTATACTGTAGACTTTTGTAGGTCTGTAGCCAGGCCTGAATAATCACCTGTAAGTTTTAAACCAGGAGCCAGATTCCTCAATATCAAAAAGATGGTCATTTTAAGACAAAGTAAATTAATGGTACATCCCCATCAGCAACCGAATTATCTGTTTTGTTCCCTTCGTTTCAATAATAAAACATGTTTAGAGCCCCTTTATATTTTCTTAGTTCTTTATACTTACAACTTCTCTTATTTCTCGTTTCTTGCGTGACATGAACTAAGCCATGTTGTATCACTGGAAAACGTCCATCCATCTCTAAGCCCAGGCCTCAGTGTCATCTACTCTAGGGAGCAATTCCTGACCTTACTAAAAAAAAGTTAAGTAGCTCACTCTCTGTTTTCCCTAAATGCCTTATCATAATGCTTCAAAACTTATAGAGTGTCTTACTGTAGTTGCTCAAAAATATTTCTATGTGATTCAAGCAAAGAAAAACAAAATTACGGTATAGGATGTGAAAATTGAAAGCAATATAATATCAAGTTATTTCTAATTTAAAATAAGATATAATTAAAAGAAATGCAATAATATAGTCTATAAAAACAAAACCTAAACAAAAATAACTGTTTCTATATTAGTGACTAGGTTATACAGCAGTAAAATATAAACCTTGGAATCTCCGTGGCTTAACCCTATTAAGTTCTATTTCTTGCTAATCATCAGGGTATATCCATGAGTCTCTATTTTCTTAATATATAGTCACAGGATTCTTCAAAGCTGGGGAAAAGAAAGATCACATACTAGGTATTAAATGCCGTTGTCTGGAAGTGACACATTTATTCTTAGTGTCCACTGGCCAGAACTGATTTCATGTCTCTAAATCTAAGGGGCATGGAAAATGGAGGGAGGGAAGAGAGCATAAGGAAATATCACAGAAGTAAAATTTCTGTCACACACTTGTTCGTATTACTCCAAATTTTTTTCTAATTCTAAGAAACTAAATCATTCACTTGTTTATATTAAATTAAATTTTATAATGTCATTCATTAAATAAGAGATATTATAGAATTATAAAAGCAAATATTTTAGAATTATAAAGTAATTGGGAATTTCAGATTTAAAATTAAGAGAGAGAAAGGTGTTGGTAACATAGCTTTTAAGATTTTCATTTAGTTCCCACCAGTAGTTTCAATGAAATGCTCTCATTTGTACAAGCTAAAGTGTTGGAACAGAGGTGGATATAAACCTTTATAATACAGACAGTTATATAACAAAAGCAATATTGGTAGCTCAGATTTATCCAAGGTCTGAATCAAACTGTATAATTCCAGGAAATAATTAAAGGACACAGTACCATTTGTTTAGGAAAACCCAGAAGTAAAATGGATATGAGTATGGATAACTACTTCGTTACTTACTAGGAGCTTGATCAGACAAGTAAGTCAGCTCTCTGAGCTACATTCTTGCCATGTCAACTCTTACATAACTGCAGATTACATCAAACTGTATGTGGTGTACAGAGTCTTTCTGAATAATGAATACTTTAACGCTTGTAACTCACCATAGCACAATATACGATGCTGTTTATTTTGTTATTGAGGATAAAAATTATTTAAAATTCCATCTTTAATAGCTTTATGACAAATTCAAACAAAAATAGTAAAAGGAATCGACAATAAACACATGGTAAAGTAAGAAATAGTTGTTGCTTCTCACCACCAAAATAATGATAAATATATTGGAATTAAAGTTAGAGGTAAGAATGTCACTAGTAAACAAATCCTAAAACTTCAGCAGCAGTAATCCATTCTTAGCTTATTCAGTCTTTGGAATACTAATATAAATAAGTTAGTTTTGAAACAATGGTACAGGCTCTTAAAACAAAATATGTAGTGTTAAAATTCGATATATTTATTTTCATAATACCTCAACTGAAAACATGTCATACTGTATTTGAGTTTGAAACTACTTAAAATGATTTGATGAAATCATATTCTTGAAGTTAAAATATGACATAAGAATATCATCTTAGTAGGCTATTATGGATTCTTTGAGAGGACAAGTGGATACTCAGGTGCATATAACATGTGTCTCTCTCTGATCTAAAAATAGCACTTTTCTTTTAACTGAACACACAACTTTTATAATAAGCTGCAAATAAAATATTAGGACCTATTAACATAACATGGAAATCAGCTCACATTGAAAACACGTGAGTTAGAGCTTAAGCTTTTAATATACAGTTATATAAATAAACAAAATGCTTTTTAAGTTTGTCTGTGACACATTCCCTGCACACTTTTTTTCTTACATGATAAAAAAATCTTCATTTCTATGATGCAACATTGGTCATGGTTATATGAGCATATATTGGCATCAACCAAAATATTAACTTTATCTTTTATTTAAACTATTTGCCAAATCACTTTTTCCTTAAAACATAGAGCTCTTTGCTTTTAACATTAAAGCCTTTTCAAATATTCTAATTCATATACAAAGAAAAGGTTAAAATATGCAGTAAACTAGTTCAGCCAGACTCATCTGAGTTTGAAGTCTAATATTAGCCTGAGTTGATGTGGTCACTATGCTGGGTCAGTGAGTTTTCACCCGGGACCATCATCTTGCAGCTATACTAAAAGCTGATTTGTATCTCATCCCAAACTCTTTCCAATATATTTTTACTGATATGTTTTAGGAAAGGGATATAGCATTTTATGATAACTATTTAAAATTTGCTTTGATAATTAGAAAGGCAATAAAATAAGGATTCATTTATTTGGTTGTTGGACCAAATTCAAGAATAACTGTCCAGATTGATAAGAAACTAAGTTCCATAGTCTCAAGAAATATGTTTACAAAAATATCCAAATGTAGAGTTTTGAGGTTTGATAGAACCTTAGTCCGTCTACTTCCCCAATACGATAATACTGGAGTAGAGTACACAAGAGTTGCTAAAATTAGAAAGCCTCTGAGGGTTTATTTGCTTTGCCTTCAAATGCTGAGGAGTGCTAAAAGATTGTACTTTTCAGGCAGAAGTTATGTGGCTGTGTCTTTGACAATAGCAATGATCGGAGGAAAATCTGAAGAGACTTATGGTTTTGCTGAGGTTTCATTGCCAGTTGGCTGATAGTTGGGCAGTCATCTTATACGTGGGATGGGAGAAAATTTGGGTATCAAAGGCCCTAGACAACTTAATGTTGGTCTGCTGTTTTAGAAATAAGTAGTCATCTTCATTCACCACCTGTATGTCACCTAGTAGAAGGTTGTTTTGGGGATCTTGAGTTTGGTTTAAGAATAGATATCTTTGTGAGAGGGATTTTAATCTGCTTTTTATTGAACTTCTTATATTCAACTGGTGGTTCCAAGAAGAAATTCTTAAAACAAAAGAAAAATGGCAAAGTTTATTTAACATATGAAATCATTATAAGAATAAAATTATTTAGATTAATAACAGAAACTTCAAATATATGTATTTATCTACATATACTTAAAATATTATTATAATACCTGATTTTGTGAAAAATTAATTTCTCATTGCCAAACTAGTTTTGCATAAAAATACAACTATATAATCTTTCAGTTTTACTTGGAAGGAGAAATTATTTATCATTGAATACTTGAGAATTTTTAGTCTACCAAACATTGCCATCTGCCAAAATCAATTCAGTTTTACATTTTAGCATTAAGCTGGGTTAAATTTCAGCTGATAAAATTAGTATTAATGTATTTAAAATCTCATTATCTTTTGAAAATATAAACTATATTTATTGGGAGTAGAAATATAACTTACAAATTAAAATACAAAATATATAGTTTATTATCTTAAAAGCAGTATTCTAAACCTTAAAAAATATTCTTACTGCCTATATTAGTAAGGTCAAGCATTAATGTCATAACTAAAATAAAACAGAAATATCTAATATACCATGCATTTATGGAGTATTCTATCATAATGTAATGAATCCAACTTCTATAAAATTTTTCATGTACAGTTAAAAATACAGTAGCCTTGGCCCGGCGCGGTGGCTCATGATAGTAATCCCAGTACTTTGAGAGGCCAAGGCAGGCGGATCACCAGGTCAGGAGATGGAGACCATCCTGGCTAACACGGTGAAACCCCGTCTCTACTAAAAATACAAAAAAATTAGCCAGGCATGGTGGCGGGCACCTGTAGTCCAAGCTACTCTGAAGGCTGAGCCAGGAGAATGGCCTGAACCCAGGAGGCGCAGCTTGCGGTGAGCCGAGATCACGCCACTGCACTCCAGCCTGGGCAACAGAGCAAGACTCTGTCTAAAAAAAAAAAAAAAAAAAAAAAAAAAAAAAAAGCCTCGATAAATTATTCTCTAGGTAGCTATACATTTATTGATTTTGTTAAAGACGTATTGAAAAACTGGATTTCTAGGTCACACAGTCAAATGAATTCACAAAGAACACATTTAAGACTCGTGTTTTCAAAACTTGGAAATGTTACACCAAAATTGTCACACTAGAGAATGGAAGGAAAAAATAAATTTTATAAAACACAGCTTTTTTATTAAAAAGTGATTTAGAAAGAAACCTCAAACTCTGGTTATTTCACAGAGAAAGCAGTGTAAAATTTTTTACTGCTTGATTACACTTTGAATATTTCTCATCTTGTATTTCAAACATGTTAATACCATGGCTTTTATTAAAAATAATAAAAAATGCCTTTGGAATAGCAGCACAATCTAGTGAAAAGTAGATTAAATAAGGAGTAAAATAATTTTGTTTTCTAGACCTCAGGTCTAATTCCTAATAGCCATATTTACTCAACAAGATACATATTTACTCAACAAGGTATTCCAAGTGTAATTTCTAGCTTGTGAACTAAGACTAACCTGATTGAACTATACATCCTAATCAGCAAGAGGATTTTTTGTATGCCATAAATGAGTAATATCTTCTTTTTATACATGAATACCTGTAAGTGGCCCATCCCTATCAGATGCATGTGAGAGAGAAGAGTGAAACAAATAACCATCTTTTCAAAAAAGAGACGAGAGTAGGTTTCTAAAAATTAAACATAGGGGCGCTTTAGAAATAAAAACAGAAAGTCACATACCAAATCAAACAAGAAATTCCAACAACAGGAAATGTTCAAACCTATGCTATCCATCTAAGGAAACAAGGTAAGGTATATTAATAAAAGTTCAAGTTGAAATTATATGGTAGACAGGCTCAGAAAAGAAAAAACTCCAAGAAAGCGAATCCTTCAAATGAGAAGTGGCTTCCAGCAATTCTAGAAATATATTACAGGTATCAAATGTAATGGCCATCAGGTTGAGATGTTTATGACCCAAAGAAGTATATTTTTAAAACTTTAGTGGTGAATGGTGTCTATTTGTATGTATTTCAGTGTCTACAATATAAAAACAAATATTGACAGTCTTCATAAAAATAAACTTCCAATTTAAAAAACCCTCAAATATGATAAAAGATAAGTTAATATATATAATAAATACATACGTTTAAATTACACACAGTAAGCTTCAAACATGACATTTTAAAATTAAAATCATATTTATTATAATTCAATACTTAAGACATTGTGGTATATTTCTTAGCACACTAAAAATGACATGTGTTTTTGTATTAAAGCAGCCACTTCTTAATAATAAAATAACAAATTAAGAATTACCATAAATAATCCTTTGGGTTTATACCCAGTAATGGGATCGCTGGGTCAAATGGTATTTCTAGTTCTAGATCCTTGAGGAATCACCACACTATCTTCCACAATGGTAGAATTAATTCACACTCCCACCAACAGTGTAAAAGCGTTCCTATTTCTCCACATCCTCTCCAGCATCTATTGTTTCCTGACTTTTTAATGATCGCCATTCTAACTGGTATGAGATGGTATCTCATTGTGGTTTTGATTTACATCTCTCTGATGACCAGGGACATGGATGAAGCTTGGAAACCATCATTCTAAGAAAATTATCACAAGGATAGAAAACCAAACACACCTCATGTTCTCACTCATAGGTAGGAGTTGAATAACCAGAACACATGGACGCAGGGAGGAGAACATCACACACTGGGGCCTGTTGGGGGGTGGGGGTCTGGGGAAGGGATAGCATTAGGAGAAATACCTAATGTAAATGATGAGCTGATGGGTGCAGCAAACCAACATGGCACATGTGTACCTATGTAACAAACCTGTACCTTGTGCATAGGTACCCCAGAACTTAAAGTATAATAATAATAAAAAAAAAGATTTACCATAAATAAAAGCTTTTGGAATCAGACAGAATCTATTTCTTAAGAATCTATTTTATCTACAACCAAAAGCTTTTTATCTAAAATATAAGGAATAAATTAAACTTCAAAGTATAACAAAAAACACAAAATGTAATATGAGCTAGGTCTTTCTATAAGAAGAATAAATTAAAATTGGTATCATTTATCCACAGTTTTCCAAAATGGCATGAGTTCTCAATTTATTATAATACATGAGTTATATTTGAAAATACTTTTTCAAAGTTAAATTTGAAATGTAATTTCACAGAAAATATCTAACTGCCTAAGACTACTTAAACAACTGGAAAATTAATTGTAGCTATTCATTTACTTTAAGAGTAAGATTAAATTTTTCCTGCAATATTCATGGATTGTTAGAAAAGCATGCTTGACAAATTAAATTGTGTTTTCATTTTTGATTTTGCTCATGCTTTGGTGATTCTGGATATTCACAAAAGACTTCATATTTATAAACAGCTTATGACCTCCCTAGATAACTGAATTAAAGAAGTAGGGAAACATAAAAGTATTACAATTCAATAGAGCAAATATTTGCCGAGGTTGAAAAGTGAACACCAGACTTTAAATAGATGGTGTATTTTAGATATATTTAAATACTTAACAACTGAGCCAGCATGCCCACTGCATTTAGCAGGCAAGCACTCAAACCATGTTTGTAATGTGATACCCTCCATTTTAATGTCCTTTATACTTACCAATACTAGAGTTCAAATAAATTGAAAATGAAATTTTATGTCCAGATACCTATGTGTCACATTTTTACTATATAAGACCTTCGCATATGAAAGGGTGAGAAGATATACTTTATTACTAAGAAATCCTAGAACTTTTTAATAGAGCACATGTGCCTCACAGCAGATGGTGCAAGAGAGATACTGACATTTCTCCATTTCTGTATCCAATTTTATCTGTTCAGTTTATATAATTTTCTCCTTAGAAAAACAAAATAATAACATTTTCTCTCTCTTTTTCACTGTCATTAATTCCTTACTTTAAATCTCCACTGCCTTATCTTCAGAAAGTACTCCTTTTTCACTGGTTCTCATGCAGATTATTACTTTTCAGGCACTGCCCATGGGAGTAACGGGTGAAGGAAAATAGCCCTTCTTGGTCAGTCTTCTATACAACAGCTAGGAAATAAAGTTTTGCAAAATCAAGATGAAAAGCCTTTTGGAACAACTTTGTGCTTTATTACATTAAAAACAAACAAAAGTCAATTTCTTTCCTTGACTTTATTAATATTCCTATTATAGACTGAATGTATGTATTCCCCTAAAATGTGTATGTCAAAACCTAACCCTCAATGTGATGATATTTGGAAATGAAACTTATGGGAACTGATTAATTCATAAAGGTGGATTCCTCACGAACTGGATTAGTGCTCTTTTTGAAAGTGGTCAAAGAGCAATCTTTCACGCCCTTGCCATGTGAGGACACAGTGAAAACATGGCCGTCTATGAAACAGAAAGGGTGCTCTGACTAGATGCTGAATCTGACAGTGCCTTATTTTTGGATTTTCTAGCCTCCAGGTCTATGAAAAATACATTTATCTCATTGATAAGCCACCCAGTTTATCCTATGTTTGCTATAGCAGCCCAAAAGTACAAAGACAACCCCTCCCACAAACACAGATACACACTTTAAAATATATATAATATTTTAAAATATATATAATATATAAATATTATATATATATATTATTTTCAGTGCTTTCCAGAAAAGTACCAAGCTGATTGCTGCAAGTTATAGCCAAGAGTGGTGGTAGGGGATGTAGTAGATAAATTATTGTCAAATAATTTCCTTATTGAAATTTTAGGTCTTTGAAAAAATGGTCACTCAAAACTAACTGCACTCCTGCAAAAAGAGTAGCTTTAGAGTTTATACTACAGTGTTCACTCAACAAGGAGCATAAAACCATAATGCAAATTTTCTCCCAAACCATGTGTAGTTTATATTAAGTCAATACAACTATCAGTTATATTTCTCAGTACCTACAATTAGTTACCTGAATTAGAAAGCTAAGAGCTCCCTGTACCCTCAGTTATCCATCTCCCATATATGAAGTCATTCTTTTGACGATATATTTTGATACTTGAGTCATCAAGGTTGAATGATGTAGACTAAAAACTAATGCTTTGAGAAAAACACTCACGTGCTTCTCTGGTGAAATGTTACATGCCAAACCCAACTCTGAGATTTGGAAATTACATAATCTCTTTGAAGAAATAGCTTGTGTCTCACCTTCCTTTTGCTCGTGATTCTTCTCCCAGTAGTTCCCCACTGACAAAGTGAACTGGTCACTTCTTTTATTTTGTTGTAACACTCAGTATTCTGGTTTGAGGTAATATGTTTCATTCTAGTTCTCTAGTATTTTAAAATGTTGGCTTGATGTACTACCCTGTCACTCCATTACCTTTCTATAGCAATTTTTAAATTGAAAGCTATTCTAATAGATCCATTATGTAATGTTTGAGTCTTTTCCCATTGACCTCTAGTATAATTTCTCCCAGTTCCATATCAAGACTTGAATACCAAGCTAATTTCCATCCGCTATTTTGAGTATCAGAGTGTTTGTTTTTCCATACATGTGAGCCACAACAGCAGCTAAGCAATATTCCAGGAGGACATTTTCTGTGAGTTTTATTAGGCTCATGGTTTGGCAAGCTGTACAAGAAGTATGACACTGACATCCGCTGGGCTTCTGGTGGGGGCCTCCAGCTGCTTCTTCTCATGGCAGAAGGTGAAAGGGAGCCAAAGTACAGAGATCACATGCGGAAAGAAAAAAACAAAAGAGAGAGGGGAGAGAAGTTCCAGGATCTTTTTAACAACCACCTCTCACATGAACAAATAGAATGAGAATTCACTCACCACCCCCTCATGGAGAACATTATTCTATTCATGAGGCATCCAACTCCATGATCCAAACACCTACCATTAGGCTCTGCCTCCAACACTGGGGACAAAATTCAACATAACATTTCAATGGGACAAACATCTGGACTATAGCACCTGGTTTGAGGCTATATAATTATAAAGACAGAAGTTAAGTGTGTGCTATGTTTAGAAGTTTCCTGGGCTGGTTTGCTACACATATATTTTACTGAATTCATAAAGATTATTCTGGTTTAAACATTACATGCCATCTTGCATTGAATAAACCATGTTTCAAATTTAGAGTTCATATAGATTACAGCTTTCCCAGGATACTTCTGGGATTTTTTTTTTTTTTTTAGAAATTGTTCCAGCATAATCATTAATTGTAATGGTCCCTCTTTTACTCCCTAGAGTATAGTTTGAGTGCTAGATTACCTGATCACTAAATTGCTCTAGGATTTATTCACTCTCTCAAATGTCCCAAGTTTCACACATCACCATAAGCATGACCAACTGCTTCCATGGCACAATTATGTGGCTACAATTCTCTGGAGAAGAGAATCGTGCTACAGTTATCTGTACAAGACCCCTCCATTAATGAACTCTCACTTGTATCCAGACAAAACTATGTTCAGATAAAGCTGTAAGGTCTATGGGGAAACTAATTTCTTTTCACTGGAAGGACCACATATTTCTTTGCATGAATCTCTGAAGCAATACACTTTTTTTCTGATGGTTTTTTGTGAGGTCTGAGGTAATTTTCCATATCCAAGTGGAGATGTTTACTAAATCCTTTCTTCCAAAGGAGTTCTCAGTAAATAACCTCTAGTTGTCAGCCATGCCCTTCCTTGAGAAATGTACCTGATATAGTTTGGCTGTGTCCCCACTCAAATCTCATCTTTAATTCCTACATGATGTGGAAGTGACTTGGTGGGAGGTAATTGAATCATTGGGGCAGGTCTTTCCTGTGCTTTTCTCATGATAGTGAGTAAGACTCATGAGATCTGATGGTTATTATAACGGGAAGTTTTCCTGCACAAGCTCTTTTTGCTTGCTGCCATCCATGTAAGACGTGACTTGCTCCTCCTTGCCTTTCACCGTGATTATGAGGTTTCCCCAGCCATGTGGAACTGTAAGTCCAATTAAACCTCTTTTTTTTGTACAGTTGCCCAGTCGCAGGTATGTCTCTATCAGCAATGTGAAAATGGACTAATACAGTAAATTGGTACCAGTAGAGAGGGGCGTTGCTGAAAAGATACCCAAAAATGTGGAAGTGACTTTGGAATTGGGTAACAGGCAGAGGGTGGAACAGTTTGGAGGATTCAGAAGAAGACAGGAAAATGTAGGACAGTTTGGAATGTCCTAGAGACTTGTTGAATGACTTTGACAAAAATGCTGATAGTGATATGGACAATAAGGTCCAGGCTGAGGTGGCCTCAGATGGAGAATAGGAACTTAATGGGAACTAGAGCAGAGGTGACTCTTGTTATGTTTTAGCAAAGAGACTGGAAGCATTTCTTCCCCTGCCCTAGAGATCTGTGGAACTTTGAAATTGAGAGAGATGATTTAGGGTATCTGGCAGAAGAAATTTCTAAGCAGCAAAGCATTCAAGAGGTGACTTGGGTGCTGTTAAAGGCATTCAGTTTTAAAAGGGAAATACAGCATAAAAGTTTGGAAAATTTGCAGCCTGACAATGTGATAGAAAAGAAAATCCCATTTTCTGAGGTGAAATTCAAGCCAGCTTCAGAAATTTGCATAGGTAACTAGGAGCCCAGTGATAATCCTCAAGACATGGGGAAAATCTCTCCAGAGCATGTCAGAGGTCTTCATGGCAGCTCCTCTCATCACAGGCCCTGAAACCTAGGAGAAAAAAATGATTCTGTGTGCCAGAGTCAGGGTCCCCATGCTGTGCACAACCTAGGGTCTTGGTGCCCTGCATCCCAGCCACTCCAGCCATGACTAAAAGGGGCCAAGGTACAGCTCGGGCCATGGCTTCAGAGGGTGCAAACCCCAAGCCTTGGCAGCTTCCACATGGTGTTGAGCCTGTGGGTACACAATAGTCAAGAATTGAGGTTTGGGAACCTAGATTTCAGAGGACGTGTGGAAACGCCTGGATGTCCAGGCAAAAGTTTGCTGCAGGGACAGAGTTCTCATGGAGAACCTCTGACAGGGCAGTGTGGAAGGGAAATGTGGGGTTGGAACCCCCACACGGAGTCCCTACTGGGGCACTGCCTAGTGGAGCTGTGAGAAGTGGGCCACTGTCCTCCAGATCCCAGAATGGTAGATCCACCTACAGCTTGCACCTACAGCTTGCACCGTGTGCCTGGAGAAGCCATAGACACTCAACACCAACCCATGAAAGCAGCTGGGAGGGAGGCTCTATCCTGCAGAACCACAATGGTGGAGCTGCCTAAAACCATGGGTACCCTCCTCTTGCATCAGCGTGACCTGGATGTGAGACATGGAGTCAAAGGAGATCATTTTGGAGCTTTAAGATTTGACTGCCCTCCTGGATTTTGGACTTGCATGGGGCCTGTAACCCCTTTGTTTTGGCCAATGTCTCCCATTTGGAATGGCTGTGTTTATCCAATGCCTGTACCTCCATTGTCTCTAGGAAGTAACTAACTTGCTTTTGATTTTATAGGCTCATAGGCAGAAGAGGCTTGCCTTGTCTCAGATGGGACTTTGGACTATGTGGACTTTTGAGTTAATGCTGAAATGAGTTGAAACTCTGGGTGATTGTTGGGAAGGCATGATGGGGTTTGAAATGTGAGGAAATGAGGTTTGGAAGGGACCAGGGGTGGAGTGATATGGTTTGGCTGTGTCCCCATCCAAATCTCATCTTTAAACATGTTGTGGGAGGCACCCGGTGGGAGGTAATTGAATCATGGGGGCAGGTCTTTCCCATGCTGTTCTCCTGACAGTAAGTCTCTTGAGATCTGATGGTTATTATACAGGGGAGTTTTCCTGAGCAAGCTCTCTTTGCTTGCTACCATCTATGTAGGACGTGACTTGCTCCTCCTTGCCTTCTACCATGATTGAGAGACTTTCCTAGTCACGTGGAACTCTAACTCCAATTAAAGCTCTTTCTTTTGTAAATTGGCCCAGTCTCAGGTATGTCTTTATCAGGAGCATGAAAAGGGACTAATACAGTACCCCTTTGACATCCGAGAGCACTTACCACCCCCTTGTGCATACTGTGTTCCTGGTTTATTGGTGCATTCTGTGTCAGAAATAAAATATGACTCTAATACACCTCTATGACTAATATTTAATACAGATCTTTAATCTGTTCAAGGAATGTCAACAACTCTCCTGCAACACTCAAAGCTATAATGAGAAGAATGTTGCTCTTTGCATTTTTAGCCTTTTGCTCTCTTCAACTCCTAAAAAAATACACAGTTTTGAATCTATTAACATTACTGTTGTATTCTACAACTATTAGTGAAATGATAAAAGTTCCCTTGTCCCCCTCGCAAGGCATGCAATCGGGGTGTGGCTTGTTTTTTCAGTGCCCCACTGCTCAAACCTCTAGGGGGAGCATACAAACTGGCAGGCTCTGGGGCTCTGACCCTGTGGCAGCGTCTAAGGGTGAATGGTTATAGCTCCTGAAGCCCCAGTGGGCGTGTGTTACAGGGTGCACTTTTAATTTTGCCATCCGTAGGTGGCTTGTGTTAATCAGCTCAATTAGATGCCCTGCCTTATTGCAAGGACAGAGGACTTTCTGTATCCCAGGGTTTCTTGCCTTGGTGTACTACTAAAAGAATAGGATCACACGTGGCCTTGCAGAATGAGTGCAAGGTTTTATTAAGTGGAAGTAGCTCTCAGCAGATGGGGGAGCCAGAAGGGAGATGGAGTGGGAACATGGTATTCCCCTGGGATCAGGCCACTTAGCAGCCAGACTCTCCTCTGACTGCCCAGGCCAAACATTTTGTCATTCCTGTGGTCAATGGCCTGCTGGCCTGCCAGCATCTGTCAGTGTGCTCTTAACGCTGATGCATTCCTCTTGATGTCCAGCTTCTTGTGCCTTCTTCAACTAGTGTGTTCCTCTCAATGTCCAGCCACTGTGTGTGTGCCCTCTAGGGTCTTGAGGTTTTTAAGGCACAGGATAGGGGTGTGGTGGACCAGGGTGGTCTTGGGAAATGCAATATTTGGGCCCAAAGACAAGAGTGCCTGTAGTCACCTAGGTCTGTGGGCATAGGCTTGAGAGTGGAGCCCTCACCAGGGACCCACCCTTCTCCTCCCAGCACTTCCCTGCCCCCTTTCTCTATCACTAGCATTTGCCTTTTCACAAGTGAAGAGTAGTTTAACAGGTAACAGCAGTTGTATAATTACATCTCCCATTCAATAAAATGTAAACACACCGTGTCTTCTTTTTGGTAGATTAGAAATGCTGGAAAAGTTGATAGCCACATAGTCAAACTTGGATGCATCTCTTCACTAAAAAAGTCTATTATGTTTTACTCGACCTCACCAAATACATTTTTTATCTTTTCAAAAATTTTTAATAGCTCCATAGGGGAGTAGGAATAATGATGATAATAGAGCAACTTAGTTATTATCTCAAGTTATTAATAGTGCTATACAGACATCATGTGTGAAGAAAAGTATTACCAGGACTTATTGTTTAAAACCAACATCCACTCTTAAAAAGAGGTAAAAGTTATTAAAATAAATGAATTAAACAAATTAAGTTGTTGATATGCAGTTGAGTATAAATAGTTAACATTTATTTTAGCAGTGAAAATATATAGAAAAAGAATGTGGTAGTTAAGAACAATTAAAACTGAAAAGACTTAAAAAGAATGCCTAAACTTCTCTTGAAGATTAGGGTAGTGTAAAGAGAACATTCTAGATATATGTGGATGGATTCTAATACGTACCAAATTCTCAAAATGTTGTGTTAATATTTTCCATTTGGACTAAGAATTGCTTAATCTTTTTATTTTATTATTTTACGGATATTTTTGGTAAAACAGAAGTCTTTACTTCATGGAAAAATAGAGAAGTTGATTCCTAGGAAATTGATTATATGCTGGAAATCTCTCTGATGCAATCCATGCACACTTTAAGAAAAATATAAATTGATAAATTATGGGACCCGCCTGTGACATCAAATGAAAAATTTAGAATAAGTTTCTTAATGTTGTAAAGAACAGTTGTTCAACTTCGCAAATTGATTAAAAAATGAATTCAAAACCTAACTATGCTTTACTGCAGTATATTTTTCACCTATCTTGATTTGAGAGAAGGTAGTCACATAAATTCTAATATGCTTGATTTACCTTAGAATAATGAAATAGCATGAAATACTATGTTAACTCAAATAAAAATTCAAGATGTTAAAGAAAAAAAGGATTCCCTATTTAATAAATGATGTTGGGAAAATTGGCTAGCCATATGCAGAAAGCTAAAACTAGATCCCTTCCTTACACCTTATACAGAAATTAACTCAAAATGGACTAAAGATTTAAATGTAAGACCTAAAACCATAAAAACCCTAGAAGAAAACCGAGGCAATACCATTCAGGACATAGGCATGGGCAAAGACTTCATGACTAAAACACCGAAAGCAATGGCAACAAAAGCCAAAATAGACAAAGGGGATCTAATCAAACTAAAGAGTTTCTGCACAGCAAATAAACTATCATCATAGTGAACAGGCAACCTACAGAATGGGAGAAAAATTTTGCAATCTATCCATCTGACAAAGGGCTAATATCCAGAATCTACAAAGAACTTAACAAATTTACAAGAAAAAAACAAACTACTCCATCAAAAAGTGGGTGAAGGATATGAACTTCTCAAAAGTTCAAAAGGATATGACACTTTTCAAAAGAAGACATTTATGCAGCCAACAAACCTATGGAAAAAAAAGCTCATCATCACTGGTCATTAGAGAAATGCAAATCAAAATCACAATGAGATACCATCTCACGCCAGTTAGAATGGCCATTATTAAGGCTGAGGCTGGTGGATCACAAGATCAGGAGATCAAGACCATCCTGGCTAACACAGTGAAACTCCGTCTCTATTAAAAATACAAAAACTTAGCCAGGTGTGGTGGCGGGCACCTGTAGTCCCAGCTACTAGGGAGACTGAGGCAGGAGAATGGTGTGAACCTGGGCAGCAGAGCTTGCAGTGAACGGAGATTGCATCACTGCACTCAAGCCTGGGCAACAGAGCGAGACTCCATCTCAAAAAGAAAAAAAAAAAGTCAGGAAACAACAGATACTGGATAGGATGTGGAGAAATAAGAACACTTAAGACTTGGGACCAACCCAAATGACCATCAATGATAGACTGAATAAAGAAAATGTGGCACATATACACCATGGAATACTATGCAGCCCTAAAAAGGATGGGTTTATATCCTTCGTATGGACATGGATGACACTGGAAACCATCATTCTCAGCAAACTAACACAAGAACAGAAAACCAAACACTGCGTGTTCTCACTCATAAGTGGGAGTTGAACAATGAGAACACATGGACACAGGAAAGGGGACATCACACCCCGGGGCCTAATTGGGGGTGGGGGGGCTAGGGGAGGGATAGCATTAGGAGAAATACCTAATGTAGTGACAGGTTGATAGGTGCAGCAAACCACTGTGGCATGTGTATACCTAGGTAACAAACCTGTACATTCTGCACATGTACCCCAGAACTTAAAGTATAATAAAAAAGTAATTTCAAATAAGAGGAAGATTCTGAAACAACCTCAGGAGAATAGATATGATTCAGAAATTCTCATTTGAAATGAAATGACTAAATTCATTTCAGGATGTTATTGCATGTATTGAGCTGGGCAGGATAAGACATTTGACATACATAAATTTGCTTAGCAGACAGAGCTACTGTGACTTCAACCACAGGCATATAACTGTATCTGTCAAAACTCTGTTAAACTTTCTGCAATGAAAGCAGAAACAGAAGAACATGTCTGAATACAAATTAGTTGTGTTCTATTTTTCCCGAATCTGATCATTTCTGTTAACTTTTAGTAAATTGCAAGGAAAACAAAAAACCTAGGAAGACCAGTGTCTTAGTCCATTTTCTGCTGCTGTAACAGACTATCACAGAGTGGGTAATTTATAAACATTAAAAATGTATTTGGCTCACGGTTCTAGAGGCTGAGAAGTCCAAGAGCATGGCACTGCCTATTAAGGCCCATTGTGCTTTGTCATCCCATGTTGGAAGGCAGAAGGGAAGGAAAGCATGAGAGAGAAGTGGAGAAAGAATGTCAAACTCACTTTTATGACAACACATTCTTAAAATAACAACTTTAGTATACTTGTAAGGGTGGAACATTTAAAGCCTAATCACTCCTTAATGGCTCTGTGTTTTAATTCTACCACAATATCAATTAAAATTCAATATGAGTTTTGGATGAGGCTTCAAACCACAGCAGAAAGCAAATATAATATTCCCTTTCATCTAATTTCAATGAGTCAATAATCGTATAATAAAAGGAATACGTGATACAATAAGATTTTACATCATATGCACTAATCATAGCCTATTAATAACGGAGAACTTTGCATCATAAAATTTGGTTAATTCTACTTTCAGCACACTAAAATAAATACAATGACAAAGTATTTTTCACTTGTTTTTGACATGTGAATATGCATAACACAAAAATTAATAAATGTTATTTGAAATGTGTGTTAAAATTTAAAATATATATGTCTTTCCACATAATTGCAAATCCAAACATATAGACCTAGTAGAGTTTTATCATAATTCAAGTCAATGTAAACTTATTAAGAACCAGTTGTGTACCAGAATCTAGCTAAATGCTTTCAACAAACATTGATCTTTATTTCTCACAATTATATGGAGAAATATATGACTTCAAACATAGGTAGAGAGACCCAGAGAATGAATAATTGACATTGTAAAGACTACATATCAGTCATATGACAGCGCTACACATCCAATCTAAGATCTCTGACATGACAACTGGAAATGTGACACCATCATTCTACAAGTACCTACCACCAAGGTTTTCAGGCACTTACCTCATTTACAGCTGAAATACTTTCTATTTCTATCATAATTCCTATGTAAGTCAAGTTTTCACACTATTAACATATGAAATCCATTAAAAATATCCATTGAATTACTAATGTCATTCTGTAATCTTAATATGCCAATAATATGAAAAATAAATATCTTTGATTTAGATCATTTTGTGTTCCTCATTGAATGTTAAGTGTTTAGCAAAAGCTTAAGTGTTCATTTTCTCTGTACTATCTATAATGGTAAAGCATGTTTTTAAGTACCTCTATCTTTTGGGTATAACAAAATATTTTAAGTATCCAATGTATTATGATTACTTATGTATTTATAGCTATAATTGTTATTGCCATGGTAAAAGGCAAACACATTTATCTAAGTCTCTAAATATCCCTTTTGTCCTTCTCTGCTGTATTTTATACATGTTCCTATTATTTCATTCATCACATAATACTAAAATCCAGTTAAAGAGGTGTCTGTCTCCTCTATTAACCTCTGAGATCCTCGAGGACAGAGTCGGTGCCTGTTTCATGTTTGGATTCCCATACTTCACATTGAAATAGAACTGCGCTCAACAGATTAATGAACTATTAAGTTCATAAGACTATGAGAATTTAATGTGGCTAATACGTCGAAGTTAAATGAAGTCTGACTGTTGCCGGTTGTAGAACTCTAATGGGACTTTCTAATAGATTTGTTATCCTTGCCGATCATCTCTCACTCAAGTGAGTGACATTTTACTGTCCTAAATATAAAGTTGGGAATGAAAATCATACCAGTCTTATTTGATGCTCCTGTTGTTTTCATCGCTGATGTTGTTAAAAAACAAAAACAAAAACAAAAACTAGCTACATCAGTTTAGAGTCAGGCATTCTTACCTTTTACATTTGAAACCATTGCTAATTTTTATTATCTGTGTATTTTCATTAGAAACTTGATTCTGAAGAACTAGACTATCTTACCCAAATATTCACTTTGATACATCAAAACCAAATTACTTACAAATATTTGAGTTAAAATTAAATTTCTGTACTGACTAGTAGGGAAAAATTTAAGTCTCGGCGGAGACTTAATACGTTAGAGTGGGGCTAACTTTTCAGCAGTTCTCAGATATAATGATTCTGCTTATATTTTGCCACTAGTAAGTAAAAGGGAATGTGTAAATACATATAAGGGAATTAAACCAACTCTTTTATTTTTCTAAATATTGACCTATGAAAAAGATTTGAAAATTATCAACGGTTGATCTAAACTAAAAAAGAAATTGATTTTAATTGCTAGATTAACTAAATTATATGTAAAAATATTCACGAAATTAAAATTGCTATTAAGATATTTTATAGGTTTTTAGGGAAGTGTTTCTCGTGTATAGATTTGTCTACTACATAATAATAATTCTACTCATAAGCAAGTGAATATGTTGGATAAAATTATATGAGACTACTGTCTATCATATTCAATGATTTGTTGTTGAATTAATACTTACCTGAACTTAAAAATTGAATTCCAATAGCATTGAAATAAACAACCAAAACACATACACACACACACACATACACACACACAGAGCAAATAGGAACAACAATAGCATTAGTTATGTTGCCACTGAATATACAATTTTCCTCTTTTTGAAACATACAAGTTGCCTTGTTCTAATTAAAATTCTTAGGGAGTAGGTCATAGAGCTGCTTCATAAAGAAAGAATTCATATTATAAATTAGCATTTTATCATTAAGATGAAAATCCCTTGAGAGATATGACTGGGAGCATTATGTGGATAGAAACTGAACTTGTGCCATATTTGCACTCAGGAAGAACATGTCTTTATTCTTCGAAATAGATCTTTGTTAAAAAATAATTACCTATAATAACTGTTAGAATTAAACAGATACATAACAACCTCCCTCAGAAATACTATTTTTAAAAGTAAAATATTTAAACTTTTTCCTCACGGTTTAGAATATTTAAACTTATTGCAAATATATTATTTATTCTCTTGATAGACCTTATAATTGTATTCATGGATGTTTATTTTCTGCCCTGTGGTCTAGGAAGAGAGTTAAAAGTTAGGAAAAAAGTATACCTTTATCACCTTCTGGGAACTTCAAATTATCCTGAAAATCTTCACTATAATGATTTTCTTTAGGGTAAAGAATGTTTCCCAAGATTACTTCCATCGCTTAGCTAATGCAAATTTAAATCATAGGTTTGTTTAGAATATAATATATTATTTCGACTTTTAAGAATAAAAATGAAATAAATGAGCATTTTAAACATTACCATGGTCAAACACTGATAATACCTGAAATCTGATCTATTTTCTTGTACTTGGAATTATTTTCACTTGCAACTTTGTAATATGTATCATCATAGGATATATACACACTGTCATAGAACTCCAGGTATACAGAAACAATGCTGAAAACATCAAATTTTAAAAATGAAGCATAAAACATATTCTTCAGAAAAATCAAGGAGTTCCATCAGTAGGTATATGGAAATTTTGCTCTTTAAATGTCACTTAATTTTTTTTTAGTGATTAGGTTTTCTAAAAATGCTATTCAAGTAATAATAAAAACAGTGTAAATTCTAGCCCATCTGCATAAGTTTAGCTGCAATATGATTCTAATCAAATCACAAATGGAAATTAAATTAAATCCATTTTGATTTATGCCTGAGGTGTCTCAATCTGAACATTTCATCAAACTAATCAAACTAATTCACATCTAATGTTATGAAGATAATTGATGCAAAGCAATAAAAAACAAATTTCAATAAGCCATGCAGCTAATTTCTCTAACTATATACTTGAAATCAATGGAAGTATAATGTGCGTATATGTATGTGTGTGTGTGTGTGTGTGTGTGTGTGTGTGTGTGTGCGCTTAACTATATTTACATTAACCATCAATACTTCTATGGTACCTTAAGGAAAAAAAAACCCAGGACTCCTTATTTTAATTCAACTTTTTCCAGTTATAATTTTAAAAAAACCACATAGTCAATGAAATTAGATACTCAAGTTGGGCAAACTTTCTTTTTTTGTTTCTCATTTGTTTGTCTTATCAGCAAAGATTAATACAACCTGGGTAGTAGTCATGTATGTTTTCTCTACTTTTTATTTTGTAAATAGAGATAATACTTTTCTTCAACTTCTAAATAAATAATTAATACATATTAAATATGTTCCTATAGATTTTAAATTAAAAGTAAAATGCTTACATAAATGTTGCTTAAATAGCCAAATAATACTATAGGACTTATTACAAAAATAGTTTCCTTGACATACATAGTTATCCTTGATTTGTCAGACTAAACAAATTTTAACTCTTAAATTTTTCTTATGTTATTTATTTTTATCTATTTAATGTACCCAAAATATTATCTTCTCCTTATTCTAAACTGTTTAATCCTATCTAGTGACAGAATTTATAGGAAAAGAAAATTTAGGTATCCTATGATATCACCTCACAATACCACTGCAAATACGATCTCTTCTATTTTTCAAATACCTTTACACTAGAAACTTTGTGTGAAACAACATTCAGTATTTTTATTATTATTGTACAAATATTGTAAATAATAAAATCACTTATGACTACCTTTCCTGACTTACATAACGTTCTCTTTTACTCAATTAATAATTTACTTGTTCTTTAAAACTTTTTTCCTTTTATATGACACTGATTAATTTGAAAATTTCTGTTGAGTTAGAAAATTAGAACACCTCTCCTAAGAGAAAAGAGAAAATAAAACACATTAAATAATTCACCAATTCCATGTTTCTTCTTAATGACTACTCTCCTGTATCTCTTTGAGCTGGTTAAATTTTCTGCCCACAGATCTCACAAATTGCTTTCTTTGTTTTTTTTTTTTTTAACTTTTTTTTGTCAAACACTATTTTGTTACAGCTTTTCAAAAATGGTTCTCAGGAACTAAAATTGCTGGGCCCTTGAATGTATAACAATGCCTTCATTCATTATAATGGTTAACTGATTACTGTTAGATTATAAAGTTTTAGATGGAAAGTCATTTTACTTTGGAATTCCAAACTTGTGATAGGTACCACTCACTATGTTAAGAGGTTTACATACTTGCTTTTAATTCTAATTTACAACTAAATCCATATTCCAGTGAATATGTGGCTGTAGTAGCATAAGCTGACAGAGAAAAATTTTAGCTTTATAATCTTATCCTATCAGCTCACTAATGAGATTTCATTTTTTGCTAAAACATTCAAAATAGGAAACAACAGACCTTCCACAAAGATAAGAAAATATAGGAAAATTATCAAAGATATTACTGAAATAAAATAGAAATATGATGGAAAAAAGTTAACACTGCATATCTAACAAACATTTTTACTCAAAATAATGCATTTTATTCCTCTTAAAACAAAATCAACATGCTTCAAATATACATCAAGGTTAGTATAACCTGCCTTCTACTTTTCTCTCTAGCCACATCTCCTGACCCTGGAGGCTGAGTTTATTGTTCTGTAGACGCTCACAGACTTTTCTTAACTTTTGATTCCATGATCTCCTTTGGTACTTTTGAACCTTAGTTATGCTTTATTACACTGGAATATATATATATATATATATATATATATATATATATATATATATACACACACACACACACACATATGTGTATATATATGTGTATATATATGTGTGTATATATATATATATATATACACACACACACACACATATGTGTATATATATGTGTATATATATGTGTGTATATACACACATATATATATGTGTATATATACACACACATATATATGTGTGTATATATACACATATATATATATATATTTTTTTGAGATGAAGTCTCTGTCTGTCGCCCAGGCTGGAGTACAGCAGTGGGATCTCAGCTCACCGAAACCTCTGCCTCCTGGGTTCAAGCGATTCTCCTGCCACAGACTCCCGAGTAGCTGGAATTACAGGTGTCTGCCAGCATGCCCAGCTAATTTTTGTATTTTTATTAGAGACAGGGTTTCGCCATATTGGCCAGGGTGGTCTCGAACTCTTGACCTCGGGTGATCCGCCCATCTCAGCCTCCCAAAGTGCTGGGATTACAGGTATGAGCCACCATGCCTGGCTGGGATATTTTCTTATGGAGACTCACATGTCTAGTTTGAGCCTTTTGATTTGTAAGCATTTCTATATAGTTACATTTCTTAAATTAATAGAAAAGTATTGAAGTATTTGATCTCTTCCTTTTCCGAAAGGGATTCTCTGTTTTGTCCCATGCTATATGCCCATTTCCCTCCACATTGCTGATACATTGTAGAAATTAAAAGCTTATCTTTTATCTCTGTGACTTTTAAAACATACACACACACAAACACACACAGACACACATACACACGCATGTGCACAAAGACTTCCTATCTCAATTGAAGCTGTTGAATTTCTATTCCATCTAAGATTTGTTAGATGGGTTATTTGTTTGCCTTTAGTGTTGCCTTTAGTGTTTTTTGTTTGTTTGTTTGTTTGTTTGTTTTATCACTAGATGGTAAACCTAAGAGTTCAGATTAAGTGCCATCAGCATTTACTACAATCCCTCACACTTAACGCAAGCTCTTTAAATGTTAGTGATAAAAATGAAGAAATTCAGGGCCACATTACAGAGGCAAGGGAAGTATAATTTGGAATATGTTTTTATGAAATTGTCATTATGGTGGCATTTTTAGTGTTGGTAGTGTTGATGGTTGTGTTGGAGGTGGTGGTACTAGTTTTCATACTGTTAGTTATTTTTGATGATGGTGGTGGATGTATTGGAGGTAAGTGTAGAGGTGGTTCTCTGGAGAGAGTGGTGTTGGAGGTAGAGACAGTACATCTTTCAACTTTATTTGTTCCTTTTGATCCTCGGTCCTTATTTTGCTGACTTTGCTTTCTGGTTTTCTGATCTTTCAAATGTCACTTACATTGTCTGTTTCTATTAATGTGTTTCTTTGTATATTCTTTGGCCCATCTGATTTATTTCTTCTTTTCATTATTTTACATTACTTTGACCTGTTCGTTGAATTGAAGTTTAATCATTAGGCTCCTATATATATATGCACTTTTTTGTTTTTAATTAGAAATAATGCATTATACAAAATTGTTACTGTTGCTTTAAAATATATCTCTTGTCTATCAGTAAAAGCACAGCAGAACCTAATGCCATTTGCTAATTTATTTTTATCTATGTAAATGCTTCCTAGGATTCATTAGAAAATTCCTTTTGAATTTTACTGTCAGTTCAACCAAGAAAGTACACCGAGGCTCTCAAAGCCTATTTTTCTGCTTTCTGGGTCTGTTCCTGCTTCCAAAATTAATCGTAAGAAAGCCAGGTGTGCAGTTATAAAAGAGAAAGCATACAAAATTCAAGATGGCTGAACAAAACCCAAGATGACTTTCATAATTTTCTGACCATTGGATGAAGAAACATATAAAACTGTACATAACCTGTACACATTCATGATGACGCATATGACAAATTATATTTTTGTAAATATTATTTTGCTATTCAAATAAAACAAATTTGATTTTCTTATCTAGCTTGAAAATTATCAAGCCAAACGAGTAAAAGGGATAGTTAAAAATGTTAAGAGTTATTTTTGCTGAAACAGAGCTATCTTGGAATTCAAACTGAGGGAAGGAAAAAGACATTTTAAAACTGACCATTTTGCATCATTTAAATTTTATCTTATGAAGGGAAGAAAATGAAATTAAAGAATGAACATATGATAGAATTATATTTAAAAAATCATCTCACTCTGCATCACAATGCCAGACAACTCGTAAAGGTCCCGTGTTTTCTAACTACAGTTTTGTGAATTCAATGAAATTCTATATCCGATTAAACAAAAGAGATCTGGTTGGAGAGAGAGAAATAAGGCAAACAGAAGACAGTTGAAGATTGTAAATATCTTGAGACTAGTTCTTTTAGTTAGGGAATAGAAATCTCAAATGTAGATTTCATTATTTGTTTTCTAAAAAAAACTGTCTTTCTACAACCTACGTTTCAGACTTTAGTAATTGATTATATATTTTGTTTACAGGATGATCTAACTTGATTTCAGTGATTTCAACTTAATGTAAAATAATTAAATATATGATATGTGTTTATGTGATGAAATCGATCTCTCAAATTGGAACAAAAATAGCAAAACTTACTTCAAAGTTGTCTTTGTTAGAGTCTGAAAGTTTTTTGGGTATACTGAAAATCTTTTACATGTCTTAAGAATATTTATTTTGGTGGAGAAGGCTTAATTTGTTGAACATGATTTAGTCAGATTACACAATATGTGTTTTCAAACAATGAGAAAATCTCCTTGACTAAACGGTACAGATGTTTGACTATTTCTTATTCCTACAAAATCTACTTGGAGACCAAGATTCCTTGCATCTTGTGGCTCTATATCTCATTATGACCTTGACACACAATGTATCACGCCAAAAAGTAAAATTCTATTTCATTCACCTTTGTGATGTATTTATTTCCCCAAGTATGCACTTGCTTGTAACAATGCAATTATCATGTATCTCATAACTTTATACAAATAGCAGGATGTAAATTTTATTTCTATCTTCCTTAAAAGTTCTCTACATGAGAAATAGTACATTACATCACGTCTCTTTCTTACTATTAATAAGGAAATAAAAATCACCATGAGAAACGATGGCAACTTTAAACATAAAACAGAATAACTAGAGTTAAGTTACAAATTAGATTAAATTTAGTGTAAACTTAATAGCATATTATGATGAAGACTACATCCTAGTTCAAGTTATTAACATAAGTGTTCAGTTACAATATTTGGCTGAAAGAATTATTCTTTTAACAATTTATACTTGCACTGACATAAGGAAAATTAAAGTAAAATGTCTTATTATTATCTTTGTACCACTCTAGAAAACATGTAACATTCAGGTAAGAATAATGTTGACTTTATCTTTTGAATGTAAGACACATTTTAATAAATATGATTGCAATAAGAAATTATGAGACTGTTACCAAATTTATATGTTAAAACTAAGTAATTGTTTTGGTACCAATATTAATAAATTATCATTTAACTAGTAACTTCTAAACACAATGTATGTGATCTTAAATAAAATACTGAATTTCTGTATGCCTAAGCCAGTTCCTCATCTATAAATGTGAATATTTTTAGTACCAATGTAAAAGAGTTATTGAGAGGACTGCTTTATTTATTTATTTATTCATTTATTTATTTGAGACGGAGTTTCGTTCTTGCTGCCTAGGCTGGAGTGCGATGGCACGATCTCGGCTCACTGCGATCTTACCATTCCCGGATTCAGGCGATTCTCCTGCCTCTGCCTCCCGGGTAGCTGGGATTTCAGGAGCCTGCCCCAACGCCTGGCTAATTTTTTTATATTTTTAGTAGAGACGGGGTTTCATCATGTTGGCTAAGCTGGTCTGGAACTCCCGACCTCAGGTGTTCCACCAGCCTCGGCCTCCCAAAGTGCTGGGATTACAGGCATGAGCCACTGCGCCCGGCCGGATTGCATTATTTAATACAGGACAACGTTATAGTAACATGCTTGAGTCTTGGGTGCACTAAATAAATTCTAGTCATTTATATCTGTACATTTACTTTAAAAATATAGAATTCTAAAAACTTTTCCTTCTTTTCATTAATTTAGAGATGAAGAATACAAGCCTCAAAGAATCCTTTAATAAAACATTTATCCCTTCCTGAGCAAAGAGTAAAGAAAAATATTATCAATTGAATTTTGATGACATAAAATAAAATAAAGCTAATTATATAAAATAAATAATATATAAAACTATTATTATAGATAACCTAACAAAGTTTGACTATTTTGTTAGTAAGATATTTTAAGTTATTTTTAAAGTGATAATCATTAGATTATACCTAAATAATATTAAATATATTATACCTTTAAAAACTGGACTTGTTTCCTCTAAAATTTTAAAATAGTATATATGCAGCATTTTTGTTGAATTTCACAGTGAGGGTGATTAACATATTGTGTACATTTTTTCCCCATCTTTATGTTTTATGATTCCATTTTATATGTGCTCTTATATGTATGTTTGTATTTTTAATTGGTAGTTTATAAATCCCTGGCCCTTTTTACAAGCATAATGAAAGATGTGCTCCAGCAAAGAAGAATGTAATTCAAATGAGATTAAAAAAAGGGATGCATGTGAAAGTGGATCTATGCAGAATATGTGTAATTGGGGATCCCGAAATGATTGTATAAAGAAACCACATTTGGATTTTCGTGTTACAGATCCAATGAGCAAACAATCCAATTAGAAGTTAGATGCCGGTAGATTCTAGGCGGAGGACTTTGGGGTGGGGTGGAGGAGAGAATAGAACTGGTGTTTTTGAACATTTAAACACGTTTTAAGGCAAGTAGTAGAATTGTTATTTACTTTTATAAAATTAGTGATTACTACATAGAAAATCGGGTAAGAATAAATAAAGAAAAAAATTAGTGCAATAAAAAATAAAGAGCTACAAATCAAAAGAGTAATTGTGTTGTTGGACTTGTATTGATTAGTATTGTAAGAACATAGTATAAAGGTTATCTGTTATTTAAACAAATATTGTCATGTACTGTGAGAGGTGGTGAGAATAAAAATGTTGATGGGAAGATTTTCTCTGCCTTGTAGCAGTCATGACATTATGTATAAAATACATTAATCAAAAATAGCCTTTCAGTCAGGTAATCCAGAAATACAGAGACAAGGTCTTAGAAAAATAACTATACAAGTTAAGGATGATTACTTTGAAAGTGAAGAAGGAGAAGAGATAAGGCAGATGAGGAAAGTTTTTCACTATCAGATTTAAAGACATACGTTTTTAAAAAAATGAGGATATATCACACTGATAAAAAGTATTAAATGTTTAAAATTTGTACTTGGGTGAGTAATTTTCATGATAAATTAAAAGATGTAAGTTTTTTTTAAAAAAGCTAAAGTCTGCAAGTAGCAAGAATAAAAGACATACATTTTAAAGCAACAGGGAAAGAACTCTTTATTCAATAAATGGTGCTGGGATAACTGCCTAACCATTTGCAGATGATTGAAACTAGACCCCTACATTTCACCATGTACAAAATAATAAAAACTCAAGATGGATTAAAGATTTAAATGTAAGATATCAAAATACAAGAATCTTAGAAAAAAACTCGGAAAATATCCTTCTTGACATTGACCTTGGCAAAGAATTTTTGGCTAAGTTCCCAAAAGTATTGCAACAAAAACAAACATTGACAAGTGAGACTTGGTTAAACTGAAGAGTTTGTGCACAGCAAAAGAAACTATCAATAGATTAAACAGACAACTCACAGAATGGGAGATAATATTCACAAACCATGCATCTCACAAAGGTTTAATATCCAGAATCAGTAGGGAACTCAAACAAATCAACAAGCAAAACATAAAATAAAATAAAATAAAAAATGGACAAAGGACATGAACAGCCACTTCTCAAAAAAAAAAAAAGCACACAAGTGGCCAAAAATCATGAAAAAATGCTCATCACTATTCATTAGAGTAATTCAGGTTAAAACCACAATGAGTTATCTCACACCAGTCAGAATGGCTATTATTATAAAGTCAAAAATCAACAGACACTAGTGAGAGTGCTAAAAAAAGGGAATGCTTGTATACTATTGGTAGGAATGTAAGTTAGTTCAACCACTATGGAAAGCAGCTTGGAGATTTCTCAAAGAACTTAAAAGGGAGCTGCCATTTGACACAGCAATCTCATTACTGAGTATATAAAGAAAGGAAAATAGATAATTATACCCAAAAGACACATGCGTTTGCATGTTCATCGCCATGCTATTTACAACAGCAAAGGCATGAAATCAGCCTAGGTGCCCATCAGTGGTGGATTGAGTGAAGAAAATGTGGTACGTCTATGACATGGAATACTATAAAGCCAAAAAAAGAATAAATTGTGTCCTTCACAGCAACATGGACTGAACTGGAGCCCATAATCCTAAGTGAATTAATGAGGGGACAGAAAACCAAATACCACACATTCTCACTTATAAGTGGGAGCTAAACATAGAGCACACATGGACTTAAACATGGGAACAAAAGATACTGTGGCTACTAGAGGAGGAAGTGAAGGAGAGGGGTGTGGATTGAAAAATTACCTATTGAATACTATGCTCACAACCTGGGTTTAATATGCTCATGTAACAAGCCTGCACATGTATCCCTGTATTTAAAATAAGAGTTGAATTAAAAACTAAAATTTTATTTATAAAATAAGTAAAATTTAAAATATAAAAAGATATTTTTAAGACAAAATTTCAGTTAGATAAGAGAAATAAGTTAAAGAGACATATTATGCAACATGGTGACTGTAGTTAATGTATTGTACATACTCCGGAAAATTGCTAAGAGGGAAGATTTTAAATGTTCTCACTACAAAAATTACAATTATGCATATGTTAATCAGCTCAATTTAGCCATTCCACAATGTATGCATATTTCCAAACATGTTGTACATGATAAATATATTCAATTTATATTTGTCAATCAAAAAATTTTAAAGTAACAAAAAAGATACGTTTTAAGCAAGCAATTTTCTTTCTGAACATACACCATTATGTTCCAAATCAGAGTTGCATTATGTAATGTGTTTCCTATCCAACACATGCAAAAAAGTTTTGTTCAGGTATCCTGCTTCAAAATAATATTTTCTATTTGTTTTGCAGATATTTTCTTCATTAGCAGTTATAGTTATTGTATACATTGATTGAAATAACATCATATGTCTAGCAAAAGAGTGCTCAGATTTACATTTTATTTCATAAAGATTTAAAAATATTTAAACACAAACATGCTTGTATGAATGTATATATATCAACTATTTATTCAATTTTCAGACAGTTCAAAGTGCACCTGTGTATTTTCAGACTGTAGTTTGGAACTACAATCTCACATCTAAGAATCTGAGAGAAAAATTTGCACTCATCAGAAAATCGGATATTTCTACTCTCAGAATATACTACTTTTGAATTATAGTTAACATTTTCTTCACTTGCTTCTTTGAATTTTAGAGTTTCTCTTTTGGTGTACCCAAATCCTATGAATGCATTGAAGATAAAATTTTCTTTAAAATATAGATAGTTATAATCTATTTTAATCTCAGCTAGTAAATGTCCTAATTAGTATTACTTAAGACAAATCACTATACCTTTCTAGTAATATGGAAATGACTCATAATTAAGCAATACTGGTTTCATTATCATTGCAAAAAGAGAGACAATAAACATCATTAACAACATCTATGTTCTTTTTTATAGAAACAAAATCCTTTAAAGAGGTAATAGGTTAGGAAAGTTTATTTAAACCATGCCATCCATCTGCATGACTACATTAAAGACAAGCTTAACAAATTCAAATTTATGTGTGTCAAATTCAAAACCTGGTTGAAGGTAGATGCATAAAGTCAGTATTTTCAAAACAAAATAATGTACAAAGTATGATTTTGATCCTTACATTTTGGCGATGAGATCGATTAATATGATTATATAAGAGATAATTTATATTAGTCTCAAGCTATTTGGTTGATGTATCTAGAAGGAATATAATAGAAAATAGAGCATATAATACCTAAATATTATTACTAGATTTGTAGTCCATATAAGTTTTAAACAGTTTTTCCATTATTTTCCCCTTTTTGGGATGCAGTTTCTTATTAATGCATGCATAATTAAATAACATTCCAGGCTGCTGAACTTTAGAACACAACAGAGATATGCAATTATATTTGGGTAATTCACTTTGAGAAATTGCTGGCATGTATTATAGTTCTATCATTTAAACCTTCATCCTTTAATTTCTTCTGTTGATAATTTCAATTATTTTATATTGCCAGTAAGTCACTGATGACTATACCAGTGAGATTCTGTTATGAATATTAGTCAGAGAAGCAAATTAGCTTAAATAATGTACTGTGCAAAGGCAGCAAATTTCTGTAACACCAAGAATAAGCATTTAATATTAACTTTATATGTAGATTATTTGGGTGTATTATTTTAGAAGATAATTTGTGTCAGGTGTCTTGTTCATCTTAGTGCAATCAGATTTGTGCATTACTCAAAGATATGTTCAAGCCTTCTCTCCATGTCTCTCCCTCTTTTTCTTCCTCTCTCTCATTAAGTTTACTTTGTTTTGTTTTGCAGTTTAATATCAGTTATAAATATATTGCTGTAATCAAATGCTTTGTAGAGTTTTCTGTAATACCTGATCAATTTATAAAGCAATTATAGTGACTTTTTCACAATTTCCCTTTGTTCTATCTTTATTTCCCCTAGTAACCACTCTTATATCAGTTCCAAACTGATTATCTTTACATTTTCTCTGAGACTGGCCCAAAGTGACGTGCCAGATTTCAATACTTAGAGAACTCTACACATGGCCTTAAGAAATTCTGATCAACTACGCTGTATGCCTTTTAAAAATGCAAAAACCACACTGCCTCGTATCATCTGATTTTGGTTAGTGTAATGCATGTATGGGCTTTGTCTCTTAAGTATGTTATTCGTGACACTTATTAGAGTTTTATGTATTTAAAATAGAAATCTCCAAACCAATTTAAAATTGCTTGTGGGCATGAACCAAATTTTATATTTCATTTGAACCACATGGTAGGTACCTCACATAAAGCTAATGATTTTGTCAAGTCAATCTAGCAATCCCATTCAATTGATATTTATTTAACCATTAATGATTGTCTACCTATTTTGTGTCAGACACTGCATTTGTGGGATAGGTATGTTTGTCTCTAATGTCATGAAGTTCTACTAAGGCTCTTAGCAGCAAGTAAGCAATTGATTACTGTGGTGGCATATGAAAAAGCATATTTAAAATTTTATAATATAAAATTATAATATAATATAAATATAACATAAAGTCTATGCTTAACAAAAAATGACTGCTATGTGGATGGCATTTTTAATTTTTTATTTCTATTGTGTTTGTTATCCTAGTCTGTTCAGGCAGCTATAAGCTATAAAAAAGATTATAAACAGCAGAAATTTATTTCTCACAGTTTTGGAGGCTGGGAAGTTCAAGACCATGGGACTGGCAAATTTAGTTTCTGGTTAGGGTCCCCTCCCTGGTTCACAGATGGCTATCTCCTCAATGTCCCCACATGGTGGAAGGGGCAAGGGGCAAGTCCAAGGTCTCCTGGACTGTTTTTATAAGGTTACTAATCCCATTCAGGAGGGTTTCACCCTCATGACCTAATCACCTGACGAAGGCCCTAAGGCCCATCTCCTTAGGGTTAGGATTTCAGCACATGAATTTGGGGGTTGGACATAAACATTTTGTCTATAACAGTCATCAATTAAAATTGATGCTGTTAATGTATATAAAATTATAAACAGGATTATTAAAAACTAGTCAGAAATGTTGAGTTGCGGGAATATATAATAATTAACACACACACATACAATTTAATCTGTGAAATGATGGAAACTTTTGCCGGACACGGTGGCTCATGCCTGCAATCCCAGCACTTTGGGAGGCCGAGGCAGGCAGATCACGAATTCACGAGATCGAGACCATCCTGGCCAATACGGTGAAACCCCGCCTCTACTAAAAATACAAAAAATTAGCCAGGTGTGATGGTGGGCGCCTGTAGTCCCAGCTACTCGGGAGGCTGAGGCAGGAGAATGGCGTGAACCCGGGAAGCAGAGCTTGCAGTGAGCCGAGATCGTGCCACTGCACTCCAGCCTGGGCGACAGAGCAAGACTCCGTCTCAAAAGAAAAAAAAAAAAAGAAATGATGGAAACTTTTCTTGAGTAGCACTCAATTGGCAGACTTTCCTCATTCAAAAGCCAGGTGAACTATAAAATAACCTTGCAGACTCACAACAAGTGAGTAAAAAATATACAGAAGAGAAAGGCAACGTTCAGAATGTCAAAAAGAAGTAACAATAAAGAAATCCAATTTTGATGAAAATCAGCAGAGACAACAGAAATATACCAAGATTGCATTTGATAAGAAAATCTTAAATTCTGTGAAAATAGAAACAGACATGGCTAGAGGTAGAAATATTAAGTTGATAGTGAGGGAATGTAAACAGCAAAATGAAAAATCGTGATATATAGACATGCATTTTAAATGAGATTGCAGGTGACATGATGGTTCATTTTAGGTGACAACTTGACTAGGTCACAGTACCCAAATCTTTGGTCCAACAATGTGAATACTTCTGTAAAGGCAGTTTTTAGATAAGGCCAACATTTAAATCAGTAGACTTCTAATAAAGCAAGCTGCCTTCCATAATGTGAGTGGGCATCAACCGTTCAGTTGAAGACCTCGAGAGAAAACAGATTGAGAGCCCCAGAGAAAGAGGAAACTTTGTCTCCAGATTGTCTTCCTACATGAGCTGCAACAGTAACTCCTCCTGGCATCTCCAGCCTACTGGCCTGCCCTGCCAATTTTGGACTTTACCGGTCTCCCCAGTTCTGTGAGCCACTTTCTTAAAAGAAATATCTTGTAGAATTTGGATGTGCATCTGGTAGAATTTCCATGTGCTCATTTGTAAGTGGGAGCTAAATAATGAGAACACATGGATACATAGAGGGCAGCAACACACACTGGGACCTACCGGAGGTGGAGAGTGGGAGGAAAGAGAGGAACAGGAAAAATAACTAATGGGTACTAAGCATAATACCTGGCTGCCAAAATAATCTGTCCAGCAAACCCCCAAGACATGGATTTATCTACATAACAAACTGCACATGTACCCCTGAACTTAAAATAAATGTTAACAAAACATTAACAAAAATCTTCCTGCTTCTCTCTCTTCCTTCCTCACACATATATGGGTGTACATGTGTGTGCATGTGGGCATGCGTGTGTGTGTCTATACATACATGCACATACACATGTAATGAAGAAAAATTTCATATCTATATGCAATGAACTGAATGTTTGTGTTCACTCAAAATGTGTATGTTGAAATTCTGACCCCAACGTGATGATATTTAGAGGTGGGGCATTTGTAACATGATTAGGTCATGAGGGTACAGCCCTTGTGAATGGGTTTAATGCCCTTATAAAAGAGACCACAGAGCGCTTTTTTCCACTATGTGAGGATATAATGAGAAGTTAGCAGTCTGCAACTTGGAAGAGAGCTCTCACCAGAACTCGAGCGTGCTGATACCCTGATGTCAGACGTCCAGCCTCCAGAACTCTTAAGAAATACATTTCTGTTGTTTATAAGCCAACCAGTATATGGCATTTTATCCCAAACTGCTTAAGACAATATATCTACACACACGCGCGCACACACACATACACACACACACACACATACACACACACACATACACACACACATCCATTGGTTCTGTGGTTCTCTGGCTAATACAGTGACAAAATCAAATAATGATGCAGAGTAAAAGTTCCATACAAAAATTATCTAGTTAGAAATAGGGACTGAGATGATCACTAATGAAGCACTATGAAACTGTACTGTCATTTTGCACTTTATTGCTCCTTATTATGTAGCTGAAAATGAAGTTAACTATATTTTTAATAACTGATTTAGTAATTTCTAGGGTGTGCCACACGTTCGAGTATTAGTCTGGTTGCTCTCTATTTCCTTCGCCTTATATGTGGAAGTCTTTCTGATAGAATACAAACATATACCACATATACTTATATATATGTGGTATATATATACACACGTATATATATAAACTTAAGAATTTGTATACACACACACACACAGAGATCAAAAGAATCACTGCTGGAGAGTGTTTGTGCTTAGAACCTGTTTCTAATATAACAAAAATAGAGAGGACTGGGTATGGGGAAGAAAAGCAAGAGGAATGAGGAGCAATTGCATAAAGAGAAGAGAAGGCCAATCTGGAGAATCACATTACAGGAGACCTAGATGGAATTTGGAATCACATTCCCCATCTATCCCATAGTCCTATTCTCTACACAACTTGCCAATTTAACAGATCTGGATTCTTGTAAACCACCCTGTAAGAGTAGGGGCCTTAACGACACTAGTGCAAATGGTAACATGAAGGGAGAAACTGCCACACTAATTGATTTGGATCCTGTAAGAACCACTGGAGAATTTCTTAGTGAGTGGTTGTGATGCTGGAACCATAGATACTAGTACATAAAAAGCTTTTATTATCATTGAAGAGATAAGAAATGCACCTCTGCCTGTCTTATAGAATGGATGCCTGGCCCTAAGGGATCTTAACTCTCAAACCTAGTCTTGATACTTCTTTTTATAGTGAGCTGACCAAGCAGTGCCATATTTAAAATGCTGCTCTAGAGAGATGTACTTAGCAGGTCTTCATCATTATATTATTTTCACAGTGGTTGTACACTCAACAGTTTAGGACTCAGGAAGTTAATGGGTGGAGGGCATTCCTTGCATAAAATTCTGTGTTCAACATTAACATGATTAAATTTATTAACTGGTACTTATACATATGTAATGTAGAATAAATAATTCCCTGACACCAAAGGTGAGCATGGAAGATTCAACATGCATCTACTCTTATGCCATCACATACTTTGTGCTATCTTATACATTTCAAAAATAGCTAATCTACAAATGTGAAGACTATGATTCACCTAAACAGATTATATCACAATAAACTGAATTATGCTCATTTCTATTAAATTCATGTTTAACACTGCTAATATTAACTGCATAATAATTCTAAATACAAACTACATGCTGATTCTTCGTGTTTTGTATATTTATAATTTTTACATTATAGCACTTTTTAAGAATGCATTGATTTTGTATTTTATAGTCATAATCAAAATGAAATAGAAAAATAACCCCCTGCCGCGCCCTTCCGGCAGCTCCTGCAGCCGTAGCCCCGGCCGTGCGCCCCGTCCTTGGTGCTGCTCAGCGTGCGCACCGGGTCCCCGGGGTCCCAGAGATGGCTTGGCCTCCTGCGGCCTCGCAGGTCCTGCCCCAGTGGCTGTGGCGCGCTGCACACCGAAGGAGACTGTTGATATCCTGAATGGTGAAATTGAGGAGGAGAGGAAAATCCAGAAGCATAAAACCCTCCCTAAGATGTCTGGAGGATGGGAGCGGCAGTTAAATGGGACAGAAGCTAAATTAGTGGGAAAAGCTGCCGGGGAAAGATCGCTGTCACTTTCAACATTAACAACAGCATCCCACCGACACTTGATGGCAAGGAGGAACCCTCGAAAGGGCAGCAAGTTGGAGAACAGGAGCCTGAATTGACATCACCTCCCAATTTCGTGGTCCAAGTTTTGAAGAGTGGTGGCAAGAAGGCCCTTGTGCTGGACTGTCACTACCCAGAGGATGAGGGTGGGCCAGAAGAGGAGGTTGAGAGTGACCTTTTCTCTATCAGGGAAGTAACTTTCAGTCCAATGGGGAGTCTCAATGAAAGGACACTAATTTTATACTCAACACAGATTTCCGGGACTCGGCCTTATATGACCACCTAGTGGATTTCCTTGTGAATGGAGGGGTGGCCAACCCTTTTGCCCATAAGCTAATGGAGCTCAGCACAGCCCTGGAGGAGCAGGAGTACATGACTTTTCTTGAAGACCTCAGAAGTTCTGTCAAGAGCCAGTAGAACGGACAGACACTGAAAGCCATAGTTTTATGGCAGGCTTTGGCCGATGAACAAATCCTACCCTGAAGCCAGACACATGTGCTTTAAAATGATTGTCATCTTAATACCACTGGGAAAAATAGCAAATTTAAATTCTTTCTTTTGTGCTCCCATTTATTATCATTTGTTTTTTCTGTACAAATCTATTCTTTCTAGATTTTTATATAACACGATAGACAATAAAATGGGTTTGTCTCCTCAAAGACAAAAAGAAAAATAAATATGTCTGAAATTTTGTGGCAAAATTACAAATAATTAACTCACCAACTCGAATGCTTTCTCTATTAAGCATGGTAGGTATATCTTCAATATATTCACATGTAGAACTATGTCAGTAGGTATACATTTATATATGTGTATGTGCTCTAAAATCATTATTCGAATGAAAAAATAAGGTAATAATAATATAATAAGCCTATAAAATAATTATACTTATAATCTTTAATGTAGCAAAAAATCCTGGAAAATTTAGGACATATGTGTGTATTGTGTGTGTGTGCGTGTGTGTGTGTGTGTGTAAACTGAATCTGATTTGTAGAGAAAATTGAACTAGTCTTAACGTATCTTTTCTTTCTAATAAGAGCAAGCAAGGTGAGAGGGTTGATAATGTACTCAATCGCTGAGTAGTTGAAGGCATTCCTTTTTTTCCTCTTCTATCTTTTCCCTTTGTATTTGTTGTGTGGTGAGTTAATAAAACTTTGCTATAATCAATGGTAAAGAATAGAGAAAAAAATATAACTTGCTTACTTCTTTTTTTGCCAAAAATTATGCTCACAGAATTAACATCTAAGTTTTTGGTTGAAATTAAGCTTTCTTAATATTTACTATTGCAATGTCCTTACTTGTGTTTTTTTTCAATTAATAGATGTCACACCACACAACTGAATATGCTATGTAATAATAATAAAAATAACAATAGCCACTATAATCTTCATTCTACATGGTTAGGAAGACACAGGCATTACATGCTTATTTTCAATGTCAGCCATTAAATATCCAGGAACTGGAAATGTTATTAAGCTAAATAGAGATTTTGACTGAAATTAGAGACTTATATACTAACAAGCATGTAACATTAATTAATATAACAGAAAGCCAGGATTATCTGAAGTCTAAACTCTTCCACATCCTGTTTAATCTATTTGCTACCTTCAAAAGAACTTGAGAAATACATGATCAATTTACTTTTATCCTTCATAAATAGTTTAATGTAGGGTTGACTGTTAAGCAGGAAGATATGCATTCGACCCCATCATGAATCTGAATCAGTAAAATACTCTGAGAATACCTTTCTCGATGAAGCAAATTAATGTCTCCAGGACAGCAGGTAATTTAGTTAATATCTTTTCTGCCTTTGCACACAACACTCTGCTCTCTTGAAAAATTTGCATTTACCTTGCAGAAGGAAATTGCTCATCTCCAAAAACCTTTACTCAACAGATTCAACATGCATTCATACACCAGATCCATCTTAGTTTTGGATTTATACATCCTCAAAAACAAATATTTATGCCATATATTTCCAAACTTTCTGAATATTTCACATACTTTTGGCTCAAAACACCTTAGCAATTATCAGAATGAATCCATTATTGTACTATAAATATGCAGAGATTCACTTTATTTTCAAATTTAATGAACTGTATATTATACTTAGCTGTCAAATTTCCATTTTAGGAAACTCAATAGGGAAACCAGAAGATGCCATTAACGTACTTTAAAGAGTAAAAACAAAAATTAGTATAAAATGCTCTCCTGACATTGATTCCACATAAAAGACTTTAAAAGAAAATAAGCAGCAGAATATGTTCTAACAAGAGACATAAATTGTTATTTGTTTTACTTAACACAGCTCTGCAATCCACCAGTTTATGAAGAAGTACAGTTATACTCTCAATACCAGAGTTTGATGTCATTGATTAAATAATATGCCTGTTAACATGTAAATCAGCAGTAGTTTAAGCAACACTATAATAAACAGATTACTATGAGCACATCAGGTAAGCAGTACCATTAAAGTTCCTAAGGCTCTCTAAATATTGTAATTTGGAGAAAAATGTAAATGATAGTTCACTGCTTTTTATACAATATTTTCTGCTTTATGCAACAGGAAAAAAAAGAAAGAATCTTATAACAAACTACTTGTGAACATAATATATTGGAAAGTATATTGTGAGAAATTTTTACCCAAAAGATTTTATTTTTATACTCTTTGCTTGATACACATACATTGCACATCAACATTACAGAGAAACACAAGAGATAAGTGGAAGGAACTTGTTGAAAAATAAAGCTTGAGAACTGCTTATAAATCAAAGTAAGTTTCAGATTGTGACATTTCATTGTAAATGGCACTAAAACATTAAGAATTCTGTTGTAACACTATTGTTTTGTCCTCCAACTAAATGACATCATATATAAAAGCTTTAAACAAAGTAGTTACAGGAAATAAGTATTTCTCTCTAACTAGACAAGTTTAAAGATTTCTGAGTTCTAACTTCATCTCTAAGAAGATTTTACTCTCCAGCTTTGCATTTGACTATCTGCAATTTGCAAATGGTATATAACCTATATTTTCACTAATGTATTGAAGGAAAGAGGATAGATACACTTTTGTTCCTAGCTATAACGCTATGATTATTTCTATGCTATCCTAAAATATAAACCTCTCAGTAACTTTCAGCTTTCCTATGCTTTTTACACATTAAATCAAATGACACTTCTTTTTGCGTTATTTCAAAGCAGCTTTTTAATTTTATGTTACCTCAAAAATCACATTATGAAACAAGACTAGGGTACAGGTAGTATGTGTGGTAGAGTGAGGGGGAAAGACTGGAACTCCAGCAAATAAGAGTGTGGAAAAGAAATGTCAGATACAGGAGAGTGGAAAAAGAGGTGTGAGACTGAATTTTCTCAGTCAGGTTTTAAGGACTCAATTCATCCAGGAAATCTGAGCATCATATGCCTCCCAGAATTGTCTGCATAAAGGAGATAATCTGGGACATTTGTCTCTGGGCTCCCATTCTCATTTGGTTCTTGTGGGGAAGGAGGTAAGCTATGAACTCAGTTCTACCTCCTAACTGCACTTCTCCCTTTGTTTAAACAAGAACCTGTGGCAGAGAGCAGAAAAATGGATATCACACGCTCAAATTGTTATGCTGAAAACAGGTTTGCCTAGAGACGGGACACTGAAAAATTAAAGGATCTGCCACACATAGTCCCACTTTTCATAGTAGTCTGTAAATAAGAACAGACAACACCATCATCTCTTGCTGCCCCCCCATCCCTTAATTAAATATGCCTCACACATTATTTAAGACATATCATGAAATCAGGGTTTCACATGAAAGAGGTCTCACCATCTAACCTTAGAAAAATCTCATTTTATTTTTACTTTGTGCGTAAGAGGAAGAGAGACAGAGAGAGTGACTGAGATTAATAGGAAGTATTGTACTTTCTAGAAAACGGTTTTAAATGTGAATTAAAACTTTTTAAAAAATTTTTATTTATTTTATTTATTTATTTATTTGTTTTTGAGACGGAGTCTCGCTGTGTCACCTGGGCTGGAGTTCAATGGCTCGATCTTGGCTCACTGCAACCTCTACTTCCCAGGTTCAAGCAATTCTCCTGCTTCAGGCTCCTGAGTAGCTGGGACTACAGGCGCCATGCCACCATGCCCAGCTAATTTTTGTATTTTTGGTAGAGATGAGGTTTCACCATGTTGGCAAGGATGGTCTCAATCTCTTGATCTCATGATTCGCCAGCCTTGGCCTCCCAAAGTGCTAGGATTACAGGCATGAGTGAATTAAAACTTTAAATTATAAAGTCGGCTTTAGGAGGGGAATTTCTGACATTTCTAAAAGAGAAAGGAAAGCACATTTTTTGTTGTTGTTGTTTTAGAGATTCAAGACAAATATTTCTTCTGCCTATTAATTAATTATCTCTTTGACCTATTCAAATACTTCAAGACTATTCATAAGAAAGGATGTTTTTAACAGTTCATATCACCATAAGTCTAATCAAATGTTTTGCAAATAATTAAGAGAGATTCATGTTTAACTTCTATTTTTTTCTGTATTGTTATATCAAATATTTATACATAATGCCAAGGAAACCACATGAAAGACATGGGTTATTTATATGTAAGTGTTCACTGTTTAATATGCCTGGTAAATTAAATATAAAGACTGAAGTTGATTTAGACTGAAAGGAGTCTTGCTAATTTTTCAAAACATTTTCAAAATTACTAAGTACTACTGTAGCATAATGTTATGAAAACATAAATGCTTTCAGTGGGTAAAGTGGAAGTATATTTTAATGTCATTATGAATAAAGCTTATGTGAACATTCTAATACATATTCTAGATATTTATTTAGTTCTGTTGAGAATTTACCTATGAGTGAAATGCTGAGGTCATGAAATGAGCACAGGATCAATTTTCGCAGATGGTGACTCCTCTAGTTTGAATGTTTGTTTTCTCCAGAACTCATGTTCACATTTAATTGCCATTGTAACAGTATATTAGCAGGTGGGATGTTTAAGAGGTGATTAGGCCATGAGAGATCCACCCTCATAAATGGATTAATGTCATGATAAAAAGTGCTTTCAGGAGTGCGCTGACAAAAGTTTTTGTATGGGTGTAACTTTTCAACCCATTTGAGTGGCTATTAAAGGGTGTAAATGTTGGATCATTTCATAAGAGCATTTCATTTTGTAGAAAACTGCCAACATGTCTTCCAAAGTAGCTGCACCATTTTCAATCCCAGCAGCAATGAGTGAGTCTTCCTGTTGATCCACATCCTCAACAGCTTTGGGTGTTCTCAATGTTTTTGATTTGGTGTGAGATATTTTTGATGGTATTTTAAATTATACATAATTTCATTTTCTAGTAGTTGCTATTACTGTAATAAAAATCATTTGATTTTTGTATTTGGCCTTTTGCCTAGCAACCCTACTAAATTCACTGCTTAATTCTGTTAATTTACCTGTCGAATTAAACTTCATATACAATTGTCATAGTCAGAATGTTTCTACCCCTCACCCCCAAATTCATACATTGAAATCTAATCCTCAATGCAATGGTATTAAGAGGTGAGGCTTTTGGGAGATAATCAGGTCATGAAAGCTCCACCCTCATGCATGAAATTAGTGCCCTTATAAAAGAGCACAAGGGAGCTTGATTATCATTCTGTCATGTGAGGACACAGCTACAAGTTGCCATTAAAGAAGCACAGAGCAAGTCCTCACCAGGGAAATTGGCTGGCATTTTGATCTTGGACTTCCCAGTTTCCAGAACTGTAAGCAATAAATTTCTGTTGTTTACAAAGTACCCAGTCTAATGTATTAATGTATTTTGCTATAGCAGCCTGACTGGATAAAGACAACAGTGATGACACTTGTGCCTAAGTTTTATTTTTTCATTTGTTTTTTAAAATCATTTTCCTGCCTGATTTTTAGAACTACCAGGACTATGTTAGATAGAAACAGTGATACAGTATATGTTTATCATGTTCAGTCTCAGAAAACAAGCTTTCAATATAGTACTAGTCAATATAAAGTTTTTTTGTTTTTTGTTTTTTCGAGACTGAGTTTCACTCTTGTTGCCCAGGCTGGAGTGCAATGGCGCGATCTTGGCTCACTGTAACCTCCACCTCCTGGGTTCAAGTGATTCTCCTGCCTCAGCCTCCTGTGTAGCTGGGATTACAGGCATGCACCACCACTTCCGGCTATTTTTTTTTTTGTATTTTTATTAGAGATGGGGTTTCTTCATGTTGGTCCAGTTGGTCTTGAACTCCCGACCTCAGGTGATCCACCAGCCTCGGCCTTCCAAAGTGCTGGGATTACAGGCGTAAGCCACCATGCCCAGCCCAATATGAAGTTTTTGATATGCTATTTGTAGAAATTCTTCATCAAATTGAAGAATTAGGATATTTTAGTGTGCTAAGAGAATTTCCATACACAGATGTTGAATTTTATCAAATTTTTTACATTATTTCACACCTAATAAAAATCATTAGATGATTTTGTGTTCTATATTGCTAATATGTATAGTAGTTCTGCTAAAAATTGCTAAATTCAACCTAGCCATAACGTAAACCTTTCCATTATATATTATCTTCTTACATATACTGACTTCCAATTGTTCATTTTGCTTAAAATATTTGATTTTATATTCATGACAGAATGAATTCATATTCATTTATATTCATGAAGATAATATTCATAAAAGAGATAAGTTTACTTTCTACTGTTTTTGTAAGGTTTTAGTATTAGTAATATGCTAGCCGCATACAATTTCTTGAAAATGTTCCCTTTTCTCTATTCTCTAAAACAGTTTCTATAAAATTGACATTAGTTCTTCCTTAAGGTATTATAGCAACTGACAATTAACTTTTTAAGACAATAGTATAAATTATTGAATCAGTAAATTTTCTGAATATAGGACTATTTATGTTTCTATATCTTCCTGAATTCATTTGGAAAATCCTGTTTTTCAAAAAGTTGATCTATTTCATATAACTTAAAAGTTATTGACATAAAATTGTTTTCCTCTGATAACCGTTTCATGTTCTAACTGATAAAAGAATTTCTTTTCTTCATTTTTACTAAGTATAACTCATAGCTTTTATTTTTTAAGTATAACAACATTCCTAGAGATATGAGCATTTTATTTATCTTTTAAAAAACAACTTTTAGCCTTGTTTGGTTTCTCTTTTATATGATTTATTGCTAAATCATTGGTTTTTTTGCTCATACCTTTATTATTTCCTTTTTTGCTAGTTTTGTGTGTGTAGGTGTGAGGGGTGTATTACTCCTTAAGGTATTGATTGTCAGTCTCTATTTCTAATAAGTGCATTTTTGTTAGAAACTTTTCCATAAGAATTGCTGTTTTGCATCTACAAGTTTCTATCATATATTCATTATAACTCATGACCAAAATAAATTCAAATTTAGATTTAGATTTCTTCTTTAAATCATAGGTTATAATATTCATATATAAGTGTATTCCTAAATGTCTAAAGGCATGTGGTTTTAGTTTTATTATTATTTATTATTTCTAGTTTAATTCTACTGTGCAGAGAAAACACACACTCAATAATGTCATTATTTAAAATTTTGTTAAGATTTGACTTGTGGGTATTGGTTTTAAATTTTGGTCAGATATTTTCTATTTTGTTGAATGTTTCACGTGAAATTAAAAATAAAATATTCTACTGTTGCTCTTATGTTTTATATATGAAAATACGATTCGGTTTTTCAAATGTATTTTCAACTCTCTTATTTCCCTACTGATTTTATAGTTTAATTTTTCTGTCATTTACTAAGAGAGGGGTTTTTAAAATCTGCAATATAATTATGGATTTGTCACTTCCATTATAGTCATCATTTTTTGTGTATAGAGTATATAAAAATGTAATATTTTTTCTTCTTGAATGTTAGCACTTATCATTATAAAATATTATTCTTATGTCTAGTAATAAGTCTTTTCCAGTATTTTATTTTATGTTATATTCATTAGCTGTGTTATTCTTTTAGTTTGTGCTAACATGGTAAATCTTTTTATCATCAGTATACTTTGAATGCTGGGTATGCTTATAGTTAAAATGCATATCTTGTAAGCATTATTTAATTGTTATTGCCATTGTTTTTCTCAGTGAGAGGATTGGTGTAATAATGTAATATTCCCTGCTCATCACGTTCAGAACCAGAAGTGTGTCAAAGTCTATTTATATAGTCATTTTATATGGTCCAATTTCAGTTTCTATCACATTATGTGGCACATATAATTCTTCAACAAATAGTAGTTTAATGAAACATAGTAGAAACGACTTTAAAAATTGTGATCCTTCAAAACTACATGTAAATGACAAACATGCAAAATTCTAAATTTATGATTATTTCTAAGAACTATCTGAAGTGTATAGTGAATTCATTTAAATAAATAATTTTGAAACCCTTAACTCTTGGCTGTTATAGAGAATCTGATCATAGGGCAGAAAAAATTAATTATTATAATATGTAGAAATAAGTACACTTACAGATATAGCAAAGAATCCTCTGTGACTCCTGAAGAGGAACATTTTTAATCACACTGCACCAGAGAGTTTGAGAAAGCTTCCTTGAGGTCAAACCTTGCTTAAGACCTAAAGGCAAATTAAAAATTCAAGTAAAGAATAAGGAAAAGGTCATTCCAGACAAGAGGAATGTCATGTGTGAAGGCCCAGAGGTGTGAAAGTAAATCTAACACATGACAAAAGTGCATGCAAAGGTAACTAAATGCTTGGAGCATAATTGAGCCCATTAAATATTAGTCAAATAAAGAAATGATAGAAGTATAAACCTTTGACATTTATTAATTCCACAGTAATCAATCCTTCATATGAATAGCCTCAAAAATGGCTCTGATAAATTATGAAAGCTACCAGGATATTGAGAAAGATAAGAGTCATGGAGGAATACAATATGAGAATGAGAAAGACTATCATGCTTTCTTCAAAATATTTACTCCTACTCTTTGGAGCTGTATACTGCAATTAGATCAATCATTCTTCTGCTAAATACATGAAGTATTTTCTTACATAAAGTGGACATTTTTTAAAAAGTCTAACATTTATTTGAGAGTATGTACAGTATGATGTTTATATTTATTAGTAATAAAAATGGTTTTAATTACAAATTTCATTTACTTTTCTGAAATGGAAATATTTGTGTGTTTTTTGTACATGCAATGCAGATAAAAAGGTTTTTCCTTGCAGAGAATGTTTTTCACTTAAGATTAATACACAGTCATGTGTCACTTAACAATGGGGATATATTCTGAGAAATGCATCATTAAATGCTTTTGTAGCTTTGCAATATCATACAGTATACTTTCACAAACCTAGATGGTACAGCCTACAACACACCTAGACTATAGGCTATAGCCCATTGCTCCTAGACTACAAACCTGTACAGCATGTTACTGTACTGAAAACTTTAGGCTATTGTAACACATTATTTGTGTATCTAAAAATATCTAAAAATGGATGGGCGTGGTGGCTCACACCTGTAATCCCACCATTTTGGGAGGCCGAGGCAGGTGGATCAACTGAGGTCGGGAGTTCGAGACCAGCCTGGCCAACCTGGTGAAACCCTGTCTCTACTAAAATACAAAAAATTAGTCGGGCATGGTGGCGTGCACCTGTAAGACCAGGAGGCTGAGGTCGGAGAATCTCTTGAACCTGGGAGGTGGAGGTTGCAGTGAGCTAAGATCATGCCATTGCACTCCAGCTTGGGCAACAAGAGCGAAACTCCACCCTCCCCCCTAAAAAAAAATCTAAACATAAAAATGATACAGTAAAAATGTAGTGTAAATGGTAAAAAAATAATAGAAATAATAATATATCTGTTTAGGACACTTACCATGAATAAAGCTTGCAAGACTGGAGCTTGGAGGGCTTGTTCTGCGTGAGTCAATGAGTGAGTCTGAGTGAAGATAAAGGCCTAGAACATTAGTGTACACTACAGTAGACTTTATAAACATTGCACACTTGGGCTACACTGAAATTATTTTATAAAATTTCTTTCTTCAATAATAAATTAATGTTAATTTACTGTAACTTTTTTTACTTTATGTACATTTCATTTTTTAAGCTTTTAATTCATAATAACCTTTAGCTTACAACACAAATGCATTGTACAACGGTGCAAAAATATTTTCTTTCTTCATATCCTTACTCTATAAGCTTTTTGCTATGTTTAATTTTTACTTTTTAAAGCTATTTTGTTAAAAATTACGACACACACACACATTAGCTTAGGCCTACCCAAGGTAAGGCTCATCAATATCACTGCCTTCCATCTCCAAATCTTGTCCCACTAGAAGTCTGCAGGGGTAATAATAGGCATGCTGCTATCATCTCCTGTAACAATGAGTTCTTCTAAAATGCCACCTAAACAACCTGCCTGAGGCTATTTTACAGTTAATTTTTTTATAAGTAGGAAGAGTACACTCTAAAAGAAAGATACAATGTCTAGTATAGTAAACACATAAAGCAGTAACACAGTTTATTATTCAGTATTATGTACTGTGTATAATTGTATCTTATACAGTTAGTAGTGCAGCACGTTAATTTACACCAGCATCACCACAGACCCCTGAATAATGCATTGCGCTATGATGTTACAATCGCTACAAAGTCATTAAGCCATAGAAATGTTTTTGCTCCTTTTCAATCTTATGAGACCACCACCCTATAGGTGGTCCATTGTTGACCAAAATGTCCTTAGGAAGCACATGACTGTATATAGTGTAAATCCATTTTTATGTTTTTGGCATATAGATGTCCAAGTGTTCTTGAAAGATTTATTAAAAACACTACATTTTTTTTCACTGTATTGCCTATGCATGTTTGTGAAAAATAAGTTAAATAAGTTATCTAAAACTTGCAAAACTGAGCACAAGATTTGTGTTGTAGTTAACGGTATTTTATCAATGCCAATTTTGTATATCTAAAGATGGTTAAACATAGGAAAAACACAGTATAAACATGGTATTATAAACTTGTGGGACCACCGTCATGCACACAGTCCACCATTGACCGAAACATCCCTAGGTGGCATCTGATTAGGCCATTTCTCCGTTCACAATGCCTGCCAAAGAGTAGGCACTTATTAAATTGTACTTAAATAGATGCAAATGTACCTCAAGGGAATGGTCAAACTCATCACTTTGTCAAGAATGTTTAGGTTACATAGTCTGCATCAAGAAGAAGGTATTATTCATTTAAGTGTACTGCATGTAAGATTTAAAAATTAAAATTCCTCAGACCTTATCAACAGCATCGGGCTACTGAATATAAAGTTTACTTAACATCTTATTGTATTTTCGCTGGCACAATATAGACAATAAATTGTTGTAAATAAATATGATGTTTTGAAGAAACATAATATCTAAAGAAGGAAATGTCTGTTCAGTTTTCAAAAGCAGCATGTAGGAACTTAAAGACCAAGAATGAGAAACGGAACCTGGTAACTGTCAGCTTAAGCTTGTGATTCAAAACTAGCTTTAAAGAGTTAGAATTGCCTTGTAAGTACAGCACGGGGTGTCTAAGGAATAATGAAAAAGAAGTGAGTTTAATTGCCAATATGTTACAAATGGGTATCATTTTACTTTAAAGTGTTGCCTTATTTTAACACCCTTTTCTAATTAAAAGGCACGTTTTAAGAGCTTAACTGTTGATCGCGCTTCACCCTTTTACTTTAAATTATTGATATGCACAGGCCTGAAAATACATTGCTCAGGGCACATGATGCCCCAAATGAATTCAATGGCTAATTTTCTAGGATAAGGACCACTGTACAGATCCATAAAAATCAAAAAAGTGGAACGCTGCAGACTTTTAACTGTCACCAGTTGTTCAGACTCAGACTATGCTTCATAGGCAAAGAAGTACTAAGTCACACAAATCAGACGGTTTCTTAAATGGCCCGGTGGTACTTTGCCCTATTTTATACTACAGTATTTTGTAGGCTATATACTGAATTTCTTGTCTGATATTTTGAATTCTTAAATTAAAATTACACAAAATGTATATATGTCATAAAAGGAAGAGATAATAGTCATGGAGATTTTATTATGCAATTAGGAGCTATAAAATTAAAGAATTGGAACGATGATTAGTGAATTTTGTTGATCTAAGTCTTTAACATCCAGTGGTGTATTATTTTGTGCTACAAATTACCTTGATATTGCTAAATCTATGATCAGAGGTATACCTAAGAGAAAATTATTGTTCCTTTGAAAATGGGAGTCTATTAGATTATTGCTTTTGTCTTTCAAAGACATATGCATTTCATTTTTTAATTAGCTTAGATTTTAACTTTTTAAACTCCAGATAAAGGATTTAGAGATTTTCATATATTTCAGTGTTAAGAAATAATTATAATGTAAATATATTATTATTAAAATAATGTTAATATGTTAAACGATACCTTCATTTTTTAAAGCATTTGAAGTATCATTTTCTTCTTCCTATGGTTGGATTTTAAATAAGTAAATCAAAAAAATTAATCATCCTACCATTCCTTCAGTTTTATAGCTACTAATTGCCTAATAAAACCTCTATGGCTATTATCTCCTTGTTTTAGGACATAAAAACATTCTATGTAATTTTAATTTCTTTATGGGTTCAAAATATCAGACAAAAAATTTAAAAAAAGAAAAAAACTTAATTTTTGCTTAAGATAATCAGCTAAATTTTAAAAATAATATTTGTATTTTAGACTTTTTTTTTGACTAAAAGCCCATCGATGTTCTAAAACCCTTGAAGTCAGTATTCAAAGTGTGCAGAGTATCCGCAGACAGAGAAGCAGTCTAATCATGTAGACCTCAAACACCGATAGGAAAACCAATTTTCTCCGCTCTTCTTGCATTGCTGGCTTTATTATTGCAATAATGAAATAAAGGATTTGGGCTTCCAGAGTAAGGCTTAATAAATAACAATAAAAATGTTTTTAAATGGACAGTGAGTAAATTACAGATTGGCAAGTTAAATAAATGTATGAGACATTTTTCATTCTCAATTGAACAGTATATCTCTGTCCTGCAAATAATATTTAAAAAACGTTCTTATAAAACCCTCAGGTAGTTGATGAGAGAGTGAAATATTTTCAGAACATTTCTAATGAGAGTAGAAACTGAGAACAAAGAAAATCATTTGAAGTGTCACTTTGAGGAACTCACTTTAGAGTTTTGCTTTTATTTTTCTTTTGCTTGTAAAAGAAAGATATTGAAAAAAATCTATGCTCATTCTATTCAATGTGCGAGTAGCACAAATCATCAACTTAATTTTAGATCATGAATTGGTTAAGATTTTATATCTATGGAAGGGTTCCACAGGTAGTGGTTTAAGAAGAAACAATACCTAAAAATCTCAATTAATTATGTGTAACCCTTATCCATTGTGATAGCTAATATGTATTAACATTTATTTATGGCACAGGCATTGTGCTAGGTATTTTCTTGAATTTCTCCTTTGGGCTTCAAGAAACCCATTAAATAAGAATTAAGTTATTCTTATGATACTGGCAATGAAACTGAACTGTGGAGAGCCTAAGTAACTATGTCAAAGCAAGCAGTTGAAAACGTATGAGCTCGAATCGGAACCTATGTCTGCTTCCAAAATCAAGGTCTTATTTTTAAACTACACAACTTCTATCATCTTAGAAAAGTGTTTCAGATATTTTAAAGCAGAGATTCCCTACTTTTAAGAAGAAAATAATTATTATGTTAGAAGTTTGTGAGTTAGTGTTGTAATAATATGCAATGCAGAAACAAAATGTTCAGATATTGTTTATGAGTTGGCAAAATTAAAATGTAACAATTTTGCCACTTTTGAAAAAGAAGATAAAACTGTTATTTGTCTAGAATCTATAGTGGTCTGTAACTATACTATGGTTTTTACATACGTCATTTTTATAATTGAAATTATACTTTATATCCCATTTTGTAGCAACTAAAATTGGGGTCACGTGGGTAAAGCAATTTCTCATTTTTATAATTTTTTATTTCCACATACTTTAAAGCTTATAGCAAATTTGCAAGAATAGTGTTAAGAATTTCCATATACCCTCCAACCATATTTCTCTATTTTAAATATTATTATATTTGTTCTCTCTCTCATATAAATGTGTGTGTTTATGTTTATGTATGCATAGGTAGTCTGATATATATGTTTTTACATATATATAAAATTTTCACGCCCTACTTCTCAGCAAACTTTTACCATCTATTTTGGCATCAGTTGCTGAATCTTACTTGAAATAATTATTAATATGATGACTGCTAAATGACAGTTTGAAAAATCTCCATAATTCTATCATTCCTGTACATTTATTAGGTATAATTCCACCCTAAATGAATATTTTTCCTTTTACCCTCTTTATACAATTGTGTATTTATTTACATATGTATAAATACATGATTTCTCATTTGATTTATTGGTTTTTAATTTGTTGATACTTTATTATTATTAATTTTGATTGTCAAATTGCCCCAGATTTATCCAATAAAAACCCCTTCAAACTGAATTCAGTGTGTATTTTTTAATGCCCTATTTATTTTTAATGCAACTTGCTTTCTAAAAGAAGATGTTCTAATTTCATCTTGTACTTTACTTGCCCAGTCCTAAAATCAGCTACCTCTCCACAAAGACTTTGACCATGTGTTCACAATGATACCTACATGCCTGGTTAAACACCACAGGGTCTACTCTCCTTCCATTTACGTATTCGTAATTCATTTCTTCATCAGTGAGAAATCTGGCTCCATTTATCCTCAGTATAATAATTTGTTTGCTTAAAGCTAAAATTAGGGTAGTTTTAGAATTTCTAGCAATATCATAGCCAAAAAAACCCAAACCTAGTAACTATAGTACAGTATTTGTCTAGGGTTATTTTTCTTTGTAAACTGATGATGTATCAATACAATACTCCGTTTTTAAGTTGCATTGGTTAGTTATTTCCTGTTTTTTTACCTTGGTCATATTAGTCATTTGAAATACAGAGTTTCCTTAGTTGCTGTTTGTATTTCTAATTTTTTTTCTAGCTCATTGGTTTTATTTTGCAATGTGGTTTCAAAAAGTAAAAGCTACAAAAAAGGTAGACATAGAGAAGTCTCAAACCATCACCACCAACATTTCCAATCTGTTCCTACTCACGCTTGTAAATAATCAATTAGAATTTTGTCTAGCTTATCTCTACTGGGTTGATCTTTGTAAAACTAAGCAGATGCATGAATACTTAATTATCATCCTCTTTTTCTTATAGAAAAAAATACAATATTTTGAAGGCTTCTTTTTAAATGTAATTAATACAGCCTATAAGTTAGTCAATATCAGTTAATAGAAATTTTCCACATTTCTTTTGCAGCTGCTATTACCGCCATCTGAGTATTTATCAGAGTGTATTTAAGCAATGCCCTGTATACAGGCAACTAATTTGTTTTCAGTATTCTGTAATTATACCTGGTGCTATAAGAACTATTTTTATATTTACAGAAGCTTATATTCAGTGAAATTTCTAAGTAACAGTATAAACATATAGGTTTGTTCAATATAGCCAAATTTTCTTTTATAAAGTATGAATCTGTGAGACTGTTTTGTAATAGCCTCACCAATGGAATAAGTTACCAAGATTTTAATTTTTGATAATCTGACAGACAAGAAGTGGTAACTCAGCATGGTTTTGAGATGCATGCATCTATTATAAGTGAATGTAAATATATCATGTTTTAAAGGTCATTATATAATTTTGGGACATCCCTATTCATGTTTTGTTTATTTTCCTGTATGGTTTTGGTCTTGATTCCTTCAATTTTAAGAGTGTTTCATATTCTTAAAATATACATTAATCCTTTATCTCTGTTATTACAAGTTTCTTCTAAGTTTTTGTTATTTGCTTTTGTCACTTGTTGGTTTTTTATGGTAGTTTGGAAAACAAAGTTTTTTAAAATCTTTTAAAGTCAGAGATATCTACATTTTCTTGAATGCAGAATTTGAGTCATATGTAAAAATATTTTCCAAACCATAAGTTAGAGAGGAATTTACCTTTGTTTTCTTCTAGTATTTGAATAGTTCATTTCCTTTTGAATTGATCTATTAAATGATCAATTGATCTATCTTATGATTAGATTTCTTTTTCTTTCAATAAATGAGTTAGATTCATTAACATATGTAGATAAGCTGATATATTGTGTCTTAAATTTTACATTAGTTTACATTATACTTACTATGCTTATTATACATGATTTAATCTTTATTTCTCTATGTCATGTGCTTTCTTCTGTAATTTTAAAGTTACATCAACATTTAAGAAAGTTTCTATTTTCATTCCAGTTGTAACCTCTGTTCTTACGGCTTTTAAAATTGCCCTTAAGTCCCTATTTTCTCAATTAGTCTTTTAATACCTGATTATCAATATTTAATTGCACTATTTGCCATTTATTTTCTATATATCAGAAAATGAGATTAATCTGCTTTTTTGTTTCTCTTATCTTCTTTTTTATTATATTGATTCTTCTTTGTCAAAACATAATATTTGTATATTTTCTTCTATCCATGTATCCACTTTTTAAAAAAATTTGGGACTATTTTTTTAAATGCCAACTATTAATCCTTTTGCCAGTGTTTCTTAAATTATATCTTATTTTTTTATTTTTTATTTTATTATTCTTATACTTTAAGTTTTAGGGTACATGTGCACAATGTGCAGGTTAGTTACGTATGTATACATGTGCCATGCTGGTGTGCTGCACTCTTTAACTCGTCATTTAGCATTAGGTATATCTCCTAAAGCTATCCCTCCCCCTCCCCCCACCCCACAGCAGTCCCCAGAGTGTGATGTTCCCCTTCCTGTGTCCATGTGTTCTCATTGTTCAATTCCTGCCTATGAGTGAGAATATGCGGTGTTTGGTTTTTTGTTCTTGCAATAGTTTACTGAGAATGATGATTTCCAATTTCATCCATGTCCCTACAAGGGACATGAACTCATCATTTTTTATGGCTGCATAGGATTCCATGGTGTATATGTGCCACATTTTCTTAATCCAGTCTATCCTTGTTGGACATTTGGGTTGGTTCCAAGTCTTTGCTATTGTGAATAGTGCCACAATAAACATACGTGTGCATGTGTCTTTATAGCAGTATGATTTATAGTCCTTTGGGTATATACCCAGTAATGGGATGGCTGGGTCAAATGGTATTTCTAGTTCTAGATCCCTGAGGAATCACCACACTGACTTCCACAATGGTTGTACTAGTTTACAGTCCCACCAACAGTGTAAAAGTGTTCCTATTTCTCCACATCCTCTCCAGCACCTGTTGTTTCCTGACTTTTTAATGATTGCCATTCTAACTGATATAAGATGGTATCTCATTGTGGTTTTGATTTGCATTTCTCTGATGGCCAGTGACAGTGAGCATTATTTCATGTGTTTTTTGGCTGCATAAATGTCTTCTTTTGAGAAGTGTCTGTTCATGTCCTTCGCCCAAAATCAATGTACAAAAATCACAAGCATTCTTATACACCAATAACAGACAAACAGAGAGCTAAATCATGAGTGAACTCCCATTCACAATTGCTTCAAAGAGAATAAAATACCTAGGAATCCAACTTACAAGGGATGTGAAGGACCTCTTCAAGGAGAACTACAATCCACTGCTCAATGAAATAAAAGAGGATACAAACGAATGGAAGAACATTCCATGCTCATGGGTAGGAAGAATCAATATCGTGAAAATGGCCATACTGCCCAAGGTAATTTAAAGATTCAATGCCATCCCCATCAAGCTACCAATGACTTTCTTCACAGAATTGGAAAAAACTACTTTAAAGTTCATATGGAACCAAAAAAAGAGCCCGCATCGCCAAGTCAATCCTAAGCCAAAAGAACAAAGCTGGAGGCATCACGCTACCTGACTTCAAACTATACTACAAGGCTACAGTAACCAAAATAGCATGGTACTGGTACCAAAACAGAGATATAGATCAATGGAACAGAACAGAGCGCTCAGAAATAATGCCGCATATCTACAACTACCTGATCTTTAAGAAACCTGAGAAAAACAAGCAATGGGGAAAGGATTCCCTGTTTGATAAATGGTGCTCGGAAAACTGGCTAGCCATATGTAGAAAGCTGAAACTGGATCCCTTCCTTACACCTTATACAAAAATTAATTCAAGATGGATTAAAGACTTAAACGTTAGACCTAAAACCATAAAAACCCTAGAAGAAAACCTAGGCATTACTATTCAGGACATAGGCATCGGCAAGGACTTCATGTCTAAAACACCAAAAGCAATGGCAACAAAAGCCAAAATTGACAAATGGGATCTAATTAAACTAAAGCTTCTGCACAGCAAAAGAAACTACCATCAGAGTGAACAGGCAATCTACAAAATGGGAAATTATATCTTCTTTAGATGAAGGTCATCTTTGTTATAGAGTCCACAAGAGAGAATTGTGGAATCTCAGAAAATCAATGAATTCTCTGAGTTCTGCATTTTAAAATTTCTTCTTGTTGTTGTTGTCTGTGGTCTTTTACATGCTTCTATAATCTTGCTACTAGAAAGATAACTTGGCTGGGTATACAATCTTTGTCTCCCATTATATTTACCAGCCTGCTGGTCTCCCGAAATCCAAAATAAATTAGGTGTATTTACGTTTATCTTTGCATATATTGCTTCTTTAGTCAATGGGAGTTGCATTTTTAATCCTGTGATATTAAGCTTTAATTTGTTTTTATTTCTTTACTTCTAACTCCAATGATTTGTGAATATTAAAAACAAAAGTCTCTCTTTTCTTCTCTCTTTCTTTCTCTCTTCCACCCACCTGCGTGACTTACATATCTTTTACCATCACTTAATCTCCGGTGCTCTGTTTCATTATTCTTTCATAGATCACAGCAGTAAGAAAGAAACAGCCATAAAGTGATCCATAATGAATTAATAATAATGTCATATAGCATTGTATATGTCTCTAGGCTCCAAATATCTTTATGCAGATAATATCCATGTTTTAATCATTGTATGACTTTGTACAATATCTACTCTCAGTTGATAGTACTCTGTGTAGTATTCATTTAAATTTGAACAATGTTTCTATTTTTTTACTAGCTTTAAAAGATATTATATTTAAGTATATAAAGCTATTAAATTTATATTATAGCTTTTTATATATCTGTGTCAAATTTATATATCTGTGTCAAGAGCAAAACATTACCCTTACCTAGCTTCATCACTTCAAGGTGGGCATCCGATTCAGCAATACTCATTAACTACTAGGTAGATGACTCGTGTTAACTATAGTAAAGCCATTTTACAATCAACTTATGAAGTAATAACACTAGCCAAAAACACAGAGACACATATACCAAAAATGATGTGTTTAGTACATACAAATAGCTATACTTGGGGCATCACTATCAAGTAACAAGACTGATTTAATACTTTACAGTCATAGCATATTAAAAATATATTACCAGAGGGATAATGGTCCCACATACAAAAAATGTCTGTATGGAAAAGGCTGTGATTTATTGCAAAACATAATATATAGCAAATTCCAAGGCAAGGCAAACATGTTTTAAAAACAAATTTTTAAATTTAATGGCTTAAGCCAAAGTCTCAGTTACTTTCTGGAGAATTCAGAACTTTTAGGGGTAGAAGAATGCTTTTTTTTTTCTCTCCTTGTTCTTTCCTTTTTGTGATGTTTCCCTTTATTGATTTACTCTTTTTTTCTTTTCTTTCTTCTGATATCTTCGTTTCTTTTGTTTTGAAGTGTCCTCTTCAGTGGAACTGGATAAGACCTTTTTCTTTTTTTTCAATTTGATTTTTTCTTTTTTCTTTTCCTCTTCTTCATTTATTCTTTTTTCCTGTAATGCCTGCAATTTATTCAGTTCTTCATTCTCTTCATCTCTATCTTCACTACTTGTACTGCTGACATCCAAAACTATGTCCCTTTTAGGGTCTACTCAGAGAAAATTGCGGCATTCAAAAGTAAGGTGACAAGGGTAGCCACATTTTTTACAGTCTTTTCTGACACTGTCTTTGTTGCAACCTGGGACAGCCATGACAGTGGTAAGAGGGCTCACTGGACCAATTTTTCTACTTTTAGCATGTAGTCTGGGGAATAGTGAATAATTATTGTTAATTTCAGTGTGAAAATGAAATTATAAACTTGAATTTTATTTTATATAAAAGAGCAACTACAGTAATTAAATCATGCAAATCTTATTAATTTTATGAATGTGTACTTCACAGTATGTAACTATTCTCAGCTGTCTCTCTAAGGAAAATTGCCCAGATCCTAATACCTTATAAAAGGTTCAGGACTAAGCACTTACCATCTCTGGGATATTTAGCAAAAAGTATGAAATGGGTTAACAAGTACAACCTGAGGAAACCTGCAAAATGAAGCAGATTTCCAGTGAATAAAAATGAACACCAAATCTGTTTCAATAACCTAATTCCTGTTAGTTTCTGATTTCAATTATTGTCCAAACTGATATTAAAAAATAATTATTTATTGTCCATACAGTAATTTGAGTCATTTTCTGTTCTGTGAAGTCAGAAGAAAAGGAGATCAAGAAAGAAGATCCAGAATCAAGGCTACAAACATTAGAGGACTTAATGAGCTGGTTGAGACATAGCAGGTGAGCAGCAGACTCTAAGATTGCCCAGTAGCAAATCAGTTTGTGTTGCTGATGTACTTAATAAAGTTTTTGCTGGCAACTAGTTAGGATCTAGATGGTGAAGGTGAATACATAGAGGGCATTTTTGCTGGTGATCTAAAGTATTTGTATGGAGGGAAAATTAAGAATGAGAGTTTTAAATATCACTGAGTAATTTACAGCAGAAATCAGATCAGTTCAATTCTGTATGCTCTATCCATAATAGATTAGGAAATACTATTTGAATTAAAACAGTTTTTATATATATAAACTTTTAAAACATGACCTAAGATGTAGTATGCACACAATAAATGTTAACTCTCATTGTTGTTGTTAATAATGATGTCACCACTACAATAGAAAATGTTTCCTGGTGTAGCCAAAATTCTGAGACTCCTGAAAATGTAGTCCAAATAGTGTTCCCAGATGTTGCTTAAGGGCAGCACTTTATGAATTTTCTACTGCTTTCGGCTTCTCTGTTTACAAATAAGAGGAGTCTGGATATCAAAGAATAAATATTTGGAGGAATCAAATAAGTTAGACGTTTCTGACAGTTTCTACCCATCTCCTCTAAAGTGCTTTTCATTTTCATTCTGTCTTGATGTTACATGACCCCAGACATATGTCCACTGGTGTTATTATGACCCCAAAAAGCATAAACTACAGCAAAACATAAAAACCAGAAATCTCCATCCAGAAAATTGGCTAGAAGAAAAAGAAACATAAAATAAAATGCACATATATTTTCTGAGTGATTGATTTAGCAGGACAAAGTAAGTAAAATTTTAGTTAGAGATGAATCTAACAGGCTGGCAGGTCCTCACAGGAGATGCTCTGCTTAATTCAATGATGTAGGCAATTGATTAAAGTACATCTCATTTGTTGATTTAATGGACATGAAGTCTGACAATGGATCCATGTCTGACAATCACTGAAAGGAGAAAAATTCTCTTGGAAACTCACTGGTGTGAATGATTCAAAAGGAAGAGTGAAGCTTGAATAGTCACTCTATACGTGCTTTCAGGAATGTCTCTCTCCTCTCTTGAGTTACTTTCTGAAAAAATTATTCCTTTTCTCAAACATTGTTCAAACACTGACATTTCTGAAACTTTTTCCTGACCACCGTGACTATAATACCTTTCACATTTACCTAAATCATACCCCATGGCAAGTTATTGAAATATAATAGCCAGCAGTGCAATTATGGCAGTTAATTAACTTTAATGTTGCTCAATTTCTTCACCAGAAAATAACTAGGGGAAAAGGGGAGATGTTACATACACCTCACCAGCCTGTTCTTAGGATTTAAAGAGAGCATTATTGAAATAGTAAGAGGGCATGAAATGTATAGTAGGAGTTTGCCAAATGTTATTTCTTTGTAGCTAGAGCATATTTGTTTTCACATATAAACAGAGAATTCAAAGCCCAAGTAGCCGAAATGATGTAATTTTATTGGATCTACTCTTACAATCTCAGCTTCATTCATTAATGTTGGAAATATTTATGCTCGATTCATTTATGTACCAGAAAATTCATGTGATAGTGGGAATGCAATGATGAGTGAAAACAAACCCAATCCCTTTTCTCACAAAGTTTATAGATGTTGACCAAGAATTAAGGTGATAAAAAATAAATAAATAGCAGTTAACTATGTAAAATGAGCAAAAGGAGAAGAATATTCTATGCAGAAACACACACACACACACACACACACACACACACACACACACAAATTGCAAAGGCAATATGACATAAGAAAGAATTATTCATTCAAGGAACAAATGGTGATGATGATGATGATTGACAGAGCAGGAGCATCGCCATCTTGGACAAGCACCGCCTTTTTAAAGTTCCCCTTGATCAACAACCGCCTAAATCCAAAGGGCATCAGCTTAATAGCTAAGGTCAGCATGACCATAAACCACAAATGACAACTCCAACCAGAAACATTCCAACCCTAAAATAAACCCCTCCCTGACCAGAGACATGCCAGCCCTGAAATAACCTCCCCTCCAGCAGGAGAGATGTCAGTCCCAAGATAACCTTCCCTTTGAGCGGAAACATTTCAACTCCTCAATAAACTTTTCTCCACACAGAAACATTCCAAGTCTTTGATAAGCTCTCTTGCCCTAAAACCCTTAAATACCCTTAGTCTGTAAGACACAGCACTCCTGACCAAAATCAGCCAGAAGCCCCTCTCAGGTTTATTCTCCAAAGTAAACCTGTTTTTGACTGTTGAGTCACTTTTCGTGTTTCTCTCTTCTTTCTTTAACTCTTATAATGATGATGGTGATAGGAAAGAGATTATGGCTGGAGAAGAAAGCAAGGAGGTAGACACATAAGATTATGAGATAAAGCTGCAGTGGAAGACAGATGTCAGAACATGCACAGTTTTGCATTATGTAATCTTTTAAAAATATTCATCTTAATAGAATTGGGGAAAAAAAGAAAATAAGAAATCTCAGACACAAAAACAATATTTCGTGGGGACAAGGAAGGTATATCATTGTGTTGGTCTGCTGTAAGAAGGTGCCACAAACTGGGTATCTGAGAGCATCGGGAGTTTATTTTCTTACACTCCTGGAGGTCGAAAGTCTTAAATCATTATGTTGCCAGGTCTGTGCTTCCTCTGAACATCCTGTTCCAAGACTCCCTCATAGCTCCTGGTAATTCCTTGACTTGTGACGGCATAACTCCTATCTTTATATGATGCTCTCACTCCATGTGTGTATGCCTGTAGCCACATTTTTCCCCTTTTATAAGGACCGCTGACATTCTAAGGAGGGCACACCCTAATGGCGTCATCTTAACTAATTATATCTGCCATGACTGTATTTCCAAACAAAGCCACACTTGAGGTAGTGAGGGTTAGGACTTCAATGTATTAATTGGTGTGGGAGGCGGTATAATTCAATGAATAACAGATGGCATATTGTTTAATGGTGCATAACTGCAGTCACATGCTCTACCCATGAGCTATACCGCCCTTTAATGGTGCATAACTGATACCTGATATTAAATAATAAATGTACTTATTATTTATTAATCATCTATATGATTTTACTAATTACTTTTAAACTTGATCTTATATTTACAGCTTGTGAAAGGAAAATATCTTGGGCCCTCAAAATCACTAAGGAAAACTCAAGGCAGGAACTGCTTCATGTGAACCTGCCTCCCATTCTATTCAAAGTCACTCCTCTGCTCACTGAGATAGATGCGTATCTGATTTGCCTCCCTTAGAAAGGCTAATCAGAAACCCAAAAGAATGTAACCTTTTGCGTATCATCTATCTGTTGCCTGGAAGCTCCATCCCTGCTTCTAGTCCTCCTGGCTTTACTTCAAGTTGTCGCGCCTTTCCAGACCGAACTAGTATACATCTTGCATATTTTGATTGATGTCTCATGTCTCCCTAAATGTATAAAAGCAAGCTGTGCCCTGACCACCTTGGGCACATGTTGTCAAGACTTCCTGAGTCTGTGTCATGGGTGTGTCCTCAAAGTTGGCAAAATAAACTTTCCAAATGAACTGAGACCTGTCTCAAACTTCCAGGGTTCACAAGCTTATAGTCTACCATCCTTATGATCCTTTAACAGATGTAATTTTTTTTACTGTATAAATGAAATAACCATACAGATATGCTGATATAAACCATACAAAATTAATATTAATGTAATTGAATATTCATTTCTCATAAGTTAGGTTACCTTCAATTGAACAGCTAGATGAAGATTGTATTACCTGTATGTGTTTTCTATGTAAAAAGTAGGCATTTAGATTAAGATGGCATTCTAGACTCACATGTGATTCACTTATCCTTGTTGAGAAACTAACACTGTGTAGAAGTGAAAAAAAATAGATCAAAGAAAAATAAAATACAGAATTCAGGAGAGGGTGAGACAAAAAAAAAGAGGTGACGTAAAATTCTGGAAAGGAGGTGAAGAAGAGGAGTGAGAGGACACAAATGAAAATGGAAGCAGAAACTTATGACAGCAACAAGGGGGAGCCTTCATACATCTGGTTTAATAAATACATCAGCAAAGAGGACATATGGACACAATCCAGGACAGCAAAAATAAATCAACATCACAACTTATTTTATGAGGCCAGCATCATCCTGATACCAAAGCCTGGCAGAAACACAACAATAAAAGAGAATTTTAGACCAATATCCCTGAATATCGATGAAAAAATCCTCAATAAAATACTGGCAAACTGAATCCAGCAGCACATCAAAAAGCTTATCCACCATGATCAAGTGCGCTTCATCCCTGGGATGCAAGGCTAGTTCAACATATGCAAATCACTAAATGTAATCCAGTGTATAAACAGAACCAAAGACAAAAACCACATGATTATCTCAATAGATGCAGAAAAGGCCTTTGACAAAATCCAATGGCCCTTCGTGCTAAAAACTCTCAATAAATTTGGTATTGATGGGACGTATCTAAAAATAATAAGAGCTATTTATGACAAACCCATAGTCAATATCATACTGAATGGGCAAAAACTGGAAGCATTCCCTTTGAAAACTGGCACAAGACAGGGATGCCCTCTCTCACCACTCCTATTCAACATAGTGTTGGAAGTTCTGGCCAGGTCAATCAGGCAGGAGAAGGAAATAAAGGGTATTCAATTAGGAAAAGAGGAAGTCAAATTGTCCCTGTTTACAGATGACATGATTGTATATCTAGAAAACCCCATTGTCTCAGCCCAAAATCTCGTTAAGCTGATAAGCAACTTCAGCAAAGTCTCAGGATACAAAATCAATGTACAAAAATCACAAGCATTCTTATACACCAATAACAGACAGAGAACCAAATCATGAGTGAACTCCCCTTCACAACTGCTTCAAAGAGAATAAAATACCTAGGAATCCAACTTACAAGGGATGTGAAAGACCTTCAAGGAGGACTACAAACCACTGCTCAGTGAAATAAAAGAGGATACAAACAAATGGAAGAACATTCCATGCTCATGGATAGGAAGAATCAGTATCGTGAAAATGGCCATACTGCCCAAGGTAATTTATAGATTCAATGCCATCCCCATCAAGCTACCAATGACTTTCTTCACAGAATTGGAAAAAACTACTTTAAAGTTCATATGGAACCAAAAAAGAGCCCGCATCACCAAGTCAATCCTAAGCCAAAAGAACAAAGCTGGAGGCATCACGCTACCTGACTTCCAACTATACTACAAGGCTACAGTAACCAAGACAGCATGGTACTGGTACCAAAACAGAGATATAGACCAATGGAACAGAACAGAGCCCTCAGAAATAATACCATGCATCTGCAAATATCTGATCTTTTACAAACCTGACAAAAACAAGCAATGGGGAAAGGATTCCCTATTTAACAAATGTTGCTGGGAAAACTGGCTAGCTATATGTAGAAAGCTGAAACTGGATCCCTTCCTTACACCTTATACAAAAATTATTTCAAGATGGATTAAAAACTTAAATGTTAGGCCTAAAACCATAAAAACCCTAGAAGAAATCCTAGGCAATACCATTCAGGGCATAGGCGTGAGTAAGGGCTTCATGTCTAAAACACCAAAAGCAATGGCAACAAAAGCCAAAATTGACAAGTGGGATCTAATTAAACTAAAGAGCTTCTGCACAGCAAAAGAAACTACCATCAGAGTGAACAGGCAACCTACAGAATGGGAGAAAATTTTTGCAATCTACTCATCTGACAAAGGGCTAATATCAGAATCTACAAAGAACTCAAACAAATTTACAAGAAAAAAACAACCCCATCAAAAAGTGGGCAAACGATATGAACAGACACTTCTGAAAAGAGACATTTATGCAGCCAAAGGACACATGAAAAAATGCTCATCATCACTGGCCATCAGAGAAATGCAAATCAAAACCACAATGAGATACCATCTCACACCAGTTAGAACGGCGATCATTAAAAAGTCAGGAAACAACAGGTGCCAGAGAGGATGTGGAGAAATAGGAACACTTTTACACTGTTGGTGGGACTGTAAACTAGTTCAACCATTGTGGAAGACAGTGTGGTGATTCCTCAGGGATCTAGAACTAGAAACACCATTTGACCCAGGCATCCCATTACTGGGTATATACCCAAAGGAATATAAATCATGCTGCTATAAAGACACATGCACACATATGTTTATTGTGGCACTACTCACAATAGCAAAGACTTGGAACCAACCCAAATGTCCATCAATAATAGACTGGATTAAGAAAATGTGGCACGTATACACCATGGAATCCTATGCAGCCATAAAAAATGATGAGTTCATGTCCTTTGTAGGGACATGGATGAAGCTGGAAACCATCATTCTCAGCAAACTATCACAAGGACAAAAAACCAAACACCACGTGTTCTCACTCATAGGTGGGAATTGAACAATGAGAACACATGGACACAGGAAGGGGAACATCACACACCGGGGCCTGTTGTGGGGTAGGGGGAGGGACAGCGTTAAGAGATATACCTAATGTAAATGACGAGTTAATGGGTGCAGCACACCAACATGGCACATGTATACATATGTAACAAACCTGCATATTGTGAACATGTACCCTAGAACTTAAAGTACAATAAAAAAATATATATATGTATATATATATAAAGAAAACAAACAAAAAATAATAAACATTGTCAAGGAAAAAAAGATTATTAAAGAATATGGAGAAGTTACTTTCAAATAAAAAAGATGACATTCCAAGGAATTAAATTTAAAAAAAAAAGACTCTTAGATAGATGACTGATAAAAATAGAAATTCTTTAGAGCAATCAGTATATAAAAATCCTGAAATGTTTCTGGATGCAGAAGGGGGACAAAAACAACAGACAATATGATGGAAAAGAAACATAGGAAAGCACTCCAAAGGATAAGATATATAAATAGAATTCCCAAAGAGAGAAAAAATTTAGAGAGGAGGGGTTATAATAGATATATATGCATTATATATATATATATATATAGACATATACACATATATATATATACTATACCGACATTCTAAGAGCTGAGATGTATTCTGAATCTTCAGACACAGAGTGATCATTAAGTGGCTAGCATAGTTTTAAAAAGAAAGAAAAAAGAAGGCCGGGCATGGTGGCTCACGCCTGTAATCCCAGAACTTTGGGAGGCAGAGGTGGGTAGATCACTTGAGGTCAGGAGTTCGAGACCAGCCTGGCCAACATGGCGAAACCCCGTCTCTACTAAAAATACAAAAATTAGCCAGCCATGGTGGTGCGTGCCTGTAATCCCAGCTACTCGGGAGGCTGAGGCAGGAGAATCACTTGTACTGGGGAGTTAGAGGTGGCAGTGAGCCAAGATTGCACCACTGCACTCCAGCCTGGGTGACATAGCAAGACTCCGTTTCATAGGAAAAAAAAAGAAAGGGAGAGAGAGAGAAGAGATAACCTTGCACAACTATTTTGATTCTAAAATGCCAAGGATGAAGTAAAAATAAATGTGTAAATATTGTACATTATTTAGGTATCCTCTAAGATGCCTCCAAGATTTCATATCGTAGAAAATGTTGAAGCCCTTAAGTAACAGGAAATACAAATGTCAAATTCTTTTTACCAGCAGAACGATACCAGGGGTGTGAAATGTGTTTTTGTAACACTAGGTAAACATGTCCTTATGACCTTTCAGAGGTGCCAACTAGAAAGCTGGGTAACCAAACTGTTTGTTACAGTTTGAAGATAGATGTTATGAGCCAATAAAAGTGATGTTGCCACACTGATTATATTCTTCAGCTTGTCATTCTTTCAGTATATGTCAGTTCAAGTGTGTGAGTGATAACATCAGCAGAAATAGTTGATTTTTTTCATTTCCTTCATAAACTATATATTCTGCAACTTGATACAACAGATAAAGAAGCCAAGAAAGCTGAAAAAAATTGACTGACAAAGAAAAAGGTTTTTGGTATTTTTTAATTTAAGGAGAAATTTGAATAGCACCAGGCTTCAGTTACTGTTTACTATATGAAATCTGGTGATAACTATAGCATTGACTGAAGTAAAAGTTCAGATCTGTATTTAAGATAGTTATTTCAAAAGTGTCAAAGTTGACATTGTTGTTATAAAAAGTAAATTGTAATGAAATGTTTGCAACGAAATACGTACACTTTTAAAAATAGAACTTTGCACTGTGAAAATGTGCATGTCTTGCTGAAAGATAATAATATGTTGTATCCAAGGTTACCTAACCTAGAAAAATAAAAATTCCTGGCACCGTGTTTTATAAAGAAAAATACTGACCTTCTGATTTCCCTATACATCACTCTGAAATTACACTGAATATAAATGTAACAATAAGCTTAAGAATATATAAGATGTAGAATATTGTTTATTTAATTCATTGGAAGGTTTCATTTACATAACTAGCTATTGACTTTATACGCACTTTGGTCCAACATATGAAGTTGGTGATAAATTATATTTTAAAAGAACTAACATATTTCCAAAAATTATATAATAAATCAATTACTGAATGAGAAAGAGAAATAAGTAAAAGTGAATTGTGTTTTTAAAAATGCTCAAAATAAAATTACTTTTCTATGTGTTTAGTATATATTAGAATTACTGGATTCAATTCAAACATAGTCATCATCCTTTGCAATGGTAAATAGTGAGGAAAGTAGCTCTTTTTCAGTGATAATATTGGCATAAGATAGAAAAATATAAAAGTCTGAAAAAAGTATTAAAAGTTAAAAGTTTTACTATGCTATATTTCAAAAGTGTGATCATACATTACAAATAAAACCTAGGAATCACTTAACCAGAAGTCACAATAAATCGACAAATTGGATCAAAAGAAAAGAACAAAAATACATATAAATATGTATTTAACAGTGAAAACAACCATTTTAAATATTAAATAAATGTATTATAAAAACAAAGAATAATAAAAACATTTATTAGGCTAAGTATAAGTAGGTATAGTGTGTAAGTTATTACACATAAACTGTCAGTGACTTTGCAGAAAGACTGCACTTTTAGGTCATAACATACACAAACACTAGCTTAAATAGATTGTTTTAGGAGGACATGTCTTCATTTATATAAGAGATATCACCATGTATTATCAAAGACTTGAGTATATGTTCTTGGATTAGATTTCCAGAAATGTGAATATTCTTTAACCCCAAAAAGTCAGAATACAAAGATAATTAGATATAATCGGGTATTGAATTCTGATCAAATATTAATAAAACAGCATTAGTTACTAATGTTTAGAACTAATGTTTATTGAGAAAACATTAACTTATTTAATCTTCACAAAAAACCAACATAGTGCCATATATTACAGTTTCCTAACAAGCACACATTGTTTAGTAGAATATTGATATATTAATAGAGTTTGACTTCCACAGTTATAGAAATAGATCATACTGTTTACAGGAAAATTAACATATATTTGACACAGTGACATGTAAGACAACTCAAATATTAAATAAAAAGATCAATCGAGACCAGCCTGGCCAAGATGATGAAACCCCGTCTCCACTAAAAATAGACAAATCAGCCAGGCTCAGTGGTGGGCGGTTTTAATCCCAGCTACTCAGGAGGCTGAGGCAGGAGAATCACTTGAACCCGGGAGGCGGAGGTTGCAGTAAGCCGAGATCGTGCCGCTGTACTCTACTCTAACCTGGGCCACGGAGCAAGACTGCGTGTCAAAAAAAAAAAAAAAAAAAAAAAATCAAATGAATGTCCATTTACCCCAACTACTGAAATGACAACGCAGAACTATTAAAGCAAAAATTACGTGAGAGCAAAACTTCTAACAGTGGGGGAGAGAATAATCTTCAACATTGAATAAATGAGTTTAACAGTGTTCAGGAATATGGATTATTGATAAATATTATTTAAATATAAGCAATATAGTTTCAGCTGCAGATTAGATAACACTAAAAGATAATATGATGTTAGTTTCCCAGTGAAATGCCAGAGAGATATCGTGCAGAGATTTGGCAGATAGGGTAGTTGTACAGGATTTAAATGTAAAGATGTAACACCAAGGGAGGAATTTAACTCCAGGGAAATTTTTAAAAATACGATCATTCTCTAAAGAAATTGTACGAAGTTCAGGGGACAGCAAACATTTTTACAGTGCCTGCCGGTCATCCAGGGAAAACTTTCATCCGTGAAATACCATGTGTATGGACGTGGGTAGGTGACATCAGTTCTCTAGTGACCACTCTTAAGACGAAGCTCTCCAGTTAAATTGCAGCACCATTTGAGGAAATGGCCCATTTAGTTGGTTGTTGTTGTTTTAAAAAGATCCATAAGGAAACAGACATACATGGGCTAATGGAGGATAAACATATCTCAATGATTTAAAATAAACAGTCCAGTGTTCTACTTTTAAATTGGAATGGATAATCAGGCAGACAACCAGCAACATACAAAGTGAAGGTAGCTAGCCAGATAAGCAGCCATTAAAAAAAAAGAAAGAGAAGAGAGAAAAGAAAGAAAGAAACTTTATTACAGCCTCGGGATAAATATATTTTAAATAATAGATGGAAACACTTTAAAATAATCTCTTTATAGAAATACAGTAATATAAGAAATAGAGTAATATAGACAAAGATGGTTATAAACAGGATACTTCAGAAAAATAGACAATGGTAACAAGTTAATGGAAACAAAAATTATCACTGAAAAGAAAACCAAAGATTCAAAAGGATTCAAAACTATGTTAAATGACGTTTTTTCTAAAATTAGAAGAGGCTGAGCACAGTGGTTCATTCCTGTAATGGCAGAATTTTGGGAGGCAGAGTCAGGAGGATTGCTTGAGCTCAGAAGTTTGAGACCAGCCTGGGCAACAGAGTGAGACCTTGTTGCTACAAAAAATCAAAAATATATCTGGGTTTGGTGATGCATGCATGTAGTCACAGATACTCAGGAGGGTGAGGCGGAAGGATCGCTTGAGCCCAGGGAACGAGGCTGCAGTGAGTGGTGATCACACCACTGCACTCCAGCCTGGGTGACAGAGCACAACTCTGTCTCAAAATAAATAAATAAAATGAACAGAGACCATCAACCAAATAAAATTTCCAAACATATTTTACAAATAACTTTACAAGGAAAGGGTCCAGTGAGTATTATATCAAATAATTTGACTCCCACTAATTACATGATTCTGGAGTCTCAAATGATAAACACAAAGAAAATCCAAATGATACATATAACTTGTAATGAAATACCAAATGGGGTATGTTTTTCAGTAAATAACATGCTAAAAAAAGAAATAAAAGTTCAAGACAACATTTAGGTTGTGAACATTCTCCCAGAGTCCCAGTATTCATGCTATTTAACAAAAAGGTCAATAATCTGATCCTACAATGAATAATATTTACACAATTACTGCATACAGTGTAATGGATTGACTTCAGATTTACAACAAATTTAGAGACAAAGAACTATATAGTAGTTAAGGAACCATATTAACACACTCAAAAGTGTTAAAGCAAACAGCTATGACACTGAAAAGGAAAAAAAAAGCAGCAGAAACATAAGAGAACTAATATCATCATCATACAAAAAATCCAAGATGAAGACCAACATTCACAGAACAAAATAGAGAGGTATACCTGGAATATTAATACCATAAGAATAAGAGAGGACTGGAGAGAGAATACGGTGAGAATATAAAACAGGTCATCTAATTTTTTTTAAGATTTGGGTGAGGACAAACTAGATCACTACATAAGATTTTTACTTTCTGGAGAGTAATATTCCATACAGAAAAATTCTATATAAAATGTATTTCTAATTTTCTTAAACACCTGAAACAAAATAGCTTATATTCTAAAAGAAAAAAAAGAAATCTAATAATTAGAAAACCTTACTTTAAATAATAGAAATGCAAAAAATTGCTGATCTATACAAACAAAATAAACTGATTTTTTAGGAGAATATCTTAAGCAATAAAATATTTTGACTTAAAACTGTTGTTTTGGCAAGACAGTAGAATGCAGACAACAAAAATGAGAACAATCAACTAAAGGATGATTTTAATTATTCTTTATTTTAGGATATTTTTGCAAATATTTGCAAACATGTCAATGCAATTTTATAACAGCAAACATGGTCATGACATGCTTTTTCTCTCTTTATAAATTTGAAATATTGTTCTTGTTGACTATTTTCGGCTTATTGCACCAAAACATTCTCAACTTTTCACTTAATAATTTCCTTCATCTTACCGCTATTTCCTTCATCTTACCGCTACTATTTCCTTCATCTTACCACTACTAATTTTATATTCTAATTTTACATATGAGAATTCTCCACAAAGAAAGTACTCTCAATTTTAACTTTAAACAGGGAATGCAGATCTAAGTGTGAAGACACCACTGAGTGGAATTTGTATCTGAGAAAAACAAACAATAAACATCATTCCTTTTATGAACTTAAAAATCTATGATTATTAAAATTAACACAAAGGCAAGTGGAAGAGGAGCTATGGTAAAATAACAGTATTCAGCCCAACAGTGTCTGACACAGGTGCAGGGTTATTTTTCATAAGCAGCAGCACCAGCACATTCCAGCTCTTGCTTTAATTAGTGGTATTAGTGTCTAGTTAATGCCTATCTTATCTTCCAAATACCACTCCCCTGGCAGCACAGCCATTCATTTTTGTATGCTTCTCCCTGTGAAGTAGAGTAATTTCTGTTACAGCAACTATAAATTGTCAGAATACAAATCACTATATAATATTGAAAAATGAAAATTATACTTTACAGTCTAATGAGAGGTCCTAAAATCCTCTGTAACTTTTGCAAGTTTTCTGATCATTCCTTTTCCTGTTAATACAACTTGGTGAAAATAACTGACTGGCATAGACTGGTGTTGATGAAAACTTTTTGTTCTGTCTGACTAGTAAACACTTTTCTGATGAGATTCTACTTTTATCTGTTGCTTCCAAAATGATATGTGTAACTTGGCTTGAATCATTTTTTAAAGGAAATTTCTTGTATAAATAATTATTGGTATTGGACACCCCCGAGGGTCAGTGGACATTTCAGTGGTCATCTAGATATCACCTGGAAATATTTGTGGATTTATAGTTGTTAGCAATGAATTGAGTAACAAAATGACTGCCAATTATTTATTGTGGCAGGCATAGTTGTAATTCTGAACTCGATTTTGATACTTTCATTGACTACATATTTCTAAACCGCACTATGTAAATTTTTTATAGATTTATAGTGCATTTTATGTTTGATCACGCTTGATCTCTCTCAATGTTTTTATTTTTGAATTGTTTTTAGCTATTGGTGCTATTTCAGATTATTGTTAATTCTGATAATTCTATTAGGTTACTACAAATCAAATCATGTCTATATTTTGGTTGAAATTTTCTAAATTATGTAGATAGGTTTGGGAAATATCATGCACTTAGTAATATTATATCTTCCTATTTTTTCTATTTTTGTTGTATTCTTCAAATGGCTACTACATATTTTACAGTAAGTAATTACAGGACAGGCTTTTCTGTAAATGTCTAAAACATACTATGTGTGTAACTTAGGTCTGATAACCTCACTGAACACAGTTTCTAGAATTAATTGCTTACATTTGCATCCTTTGTATTTTGTAAGTAGTTAGGATTTACACAAACAGAATCTTGAAATGTTCATTCAAATATGTGTAATTGCTTGTCTATTTCCACTGGCTTAAATTTCAAGAATACTATTCAGTGATAGGAGACTTGCTTATGGATTGACTTTTATCTTGACATTTCATTGTGAACTATCTTAGTATTATATAAAATAGATATTTTACAGAATGTGTTTGTAATTTTATATAAAATTTTTCTATCATAAACATATTTAGTTACATTTTATAAATTTAAGATATTCACAATATGATCTTCATTTAGCTTATTATTCTGGGTGACTGTATTAGTAGGTTACTTTTTATAAATTCATGTATTCCAATTATAATTAATAATATGTCATAGAAAATACTGTAAAACTCTGCTAGCTTCAGGTTTGTAATATATTTAAAATTATGTGTTAATATTTATTAATGATTGGTTTGCAAAGTTTTTGTGCTCCAAAGTAATTTTGGGAAATAAGTCATACATGATTTATAACATAATCAGTTAAGTATTCATTCTTTTCTATGCTTTGCAATATTTTAATTTGCATTAGATATTCTGCTTCCTGTATAGTTTCAGACTTTGAATCAAATATATACTTTATATATATAAGGTAGTTTGTGGTGTATGTAGATTACCAGAAGACTAGAAACAAGAAAGAATCTAGGCTGACAAGACCACTGATTGGGATCCTGGAGGAATTAAATTGATAGTGAATCATAAGTCAGCATAATGTCAAGGTTTCAAGCCAGTTGAAACAAAGGCAATATCTGAAACAAAATAATTATTCATGATGAAATGAAGTCATGGATGGAACGTAGATATTATAAAATGGAAAAGCATTTATTCTGTTAGTGGGTGAAACTTCGTAGGAAACACGTACTCACGTGAGGAAATTTCATTTGGCAGAACTTTCTTCTGGGAATATAATAGAAGCAGAGGTTTCTGTGAATGTGAGGAAGCAATGTTATTATACCATAAAACAACTTCCTAGGAGTTAAAGGTCTCTAAATAACAAAGTAGGCTTTTTAGAAACAGTAGGACCTCCTTATGACCCTATTCCTTGGCAAATGATAAAAGACAATAAATTATGAAGGGCATTTCTATGTAAATAGAAAGATGATTTTGGTGTTTTGTTTTTGTTTTCCAAGACAGAGTCCTGCTCTCTTGCCAGCCTGGAGTGCAGTGGTGTGATGATAGATTACTACACCCTTGAAGTCCTTGGCTTAAGCAATCATCCTGCCTCAGCCTCCTGAATAGCTGGGACTATAGCTGGGACTACAGCCATGCACCACCATGCCCGCCTAATATTTTAATTTTTTATAGAGACAGGGTTGCACTGTAGTGACCAGGCTGGTCTCAAATGCATGGACTCAAGCAATCTTCCCACACTGGCCTCTCAAATTGCTGGGATTACAGGAATGAGCCACCGTGCTTGGTCATAATTTTGTTTTTTTTAATTATTAAAGTCTGTATGAGAGGTTTAAATTGTACTAAGCTTACCTCACTAATTAAAAAAAAAAATTAAAAAAACTTGAAAATGTAACTAAAGAGCAAAAACAAATAGAAACTACCAAAGAATGATAGTAATTACAAAAACAACCACAAAAACATTCATCTTTCACTAAAATGCAATTACAGTTAGAAGCACGTTAGCAATAATATTGCTTTATGGTTACAGTATTGGAATTAAATATTAAACAGAAATAAGTAAAACAAGGTGTAGGTCTATATTTCATTTTTCTAAGTTCTGATGAAGGCAGTTTCTTTAATACAGGCAATTTCGCTTTACAGATATTGCAGTTTTTACTAATTGAAAGTTTGCAGGAATCCTGTCAAGGAAGTCTATGGATGCCATCATGCCAACTGCATGTACTAACTTCATGACTCTGTGTTACATGGTGGAAAAACTCGCAGTATTTCAAACTTGTATTATTATTATTATTATTATTACTATATGTTATGGCGATCTGTAATCTGTGATCATTGATTTTATGTAACCTTTTTAGGGCACCACAAACCATGCCCATATAAGCCAGTGAACTTAATTGATAAATGTATATATGCTGACTGCTCCACTGAATAACCATTCCCCCTTTCTTTCTCCTAGCCCTCAGGCTTCCCTATTCCTTGAAACACAATATTGAAATTAGGCCAATTAGTAACCCTGCAATGATGTCTAAGTGTTTAAGTGAAAGAAAGAGTCACACATCTCTCACTTTAAATCAAAAGCTAGAAATGAACAAGCTTACTGAGGAAGTCATGTTGAACACCAAGATAGGCTGAAAGTGAGGCCTCTTGTGCCAAACAATTAGCTGAGTTGTGAATGCAAGGGAAAAGTTATTGAAATAAATTAAAATTGCTACTTCAGTGAACACATGAATGATAAGAAAGCACACAGCCTGCTTTGGTATCTGGATAAATCAAACCAACCACAACACTTACTTAAGCCAAAGCCTAATCCAGAGCAAGGCCCTAACACTCTTTAATTCTAAAAGCCTAGGTGAGATGAAGAAGCTGCAGAAGAGTTTGAAGCTAGCAGAGGTTTATTCATGAAGTTTAAGGAAAGAAGCTGTCTCTAAAACATAAAAGTGAAAGGTAAAGCAGTAAGTGCTGATAGACAAGCTGCAGTAAGTTATCCAGAAGATCTAAAGGAAATAATTATGAAGGTGGCTACACTAAATAACAGGCTTTTACTGTAAACAAAACAGCCTTCTATTGGAAGATGTCATTTTGGACTTTCATAGCAAGAGGAGAGAAGTCCATGCCTGGCTTCAAAGCTTCAAATGATGAGTTTACTTTCTTGGAAGGGACTAATTTAGCTGAAAACTAAGTCAACGCTCATTTACCATTTCAAAAATTCTGGTGCTCTGAAGATTGATGCTAAATCTGCGCTGCCTGTGCTTTGTAAATGAAACAAAGCCTGGATAACAGCACATCTGTTTAGTGCATGGTTGACCGAATAGTTTAAGACCACTGTTGAGAACTACTGCTCAGAAAAAAAGATTATTTTCAAAATATTGCTGCTGATTGACAATACACCTAGTCCCCAAGAGCTCTGACAGAGATATACAAGGAGATTCATATTGTTTTCATGCCTGCTCTCACATCTATTCTGCAGCCCATGGATCAAGAAGTAGTTTTTTGTTTTTTCTTTTGTTTTTTGAGACAGGTTCTCACTCTGTTGCCCAGACTGGTGTGCAGTGGTGCAATCTCGGCTCACCACAACCTCCAACTCCCAGCCTCATGTGATTGTCCTGCCTCAGCCTCCTGAGTAGCTGGGATTACAGGTGCACGACACTGCTACCCAGCTAATTTTTGTATTTTTATTAGAGACAGCGTTTCACCATGTTGGCCAGGCTTGTCTTGAACTCCCTGACCTCAAATGATCCACCTGCCTCAGCCTCCCAAAGTGCTGGAATTACAGGCGTGAGCCACCACGCCTGGATAAGAAGTTATTTTGACATTTAAGTCTTACTACTTGAGACATTTCATAAGGCTAGTTGCCATAGATACATAGCTTTTACATAGGCATGCTTCTAAGTATATTTTTATTTCATTGACTTCTTATGCATGTGGTGCCATTTGGCACATTATCCCCAAAACAAATAGCAGAGTAAAATTTTATTTTACTACAAAATGAAAAGAAGGGAAAATGTAATAGGTAGGTGGCTTCTACTTTCTCAACTTGTAAAACACCGGATTTCCTGGTTCGGTTGTCCATATTACAAATTATCAGAAATGTCCGTATTACAATGATCAAAAGCTATCAAATCTGAAAGAAAATGTGTACACTAGAATGTATGTAAAATTTTCTTTTCAGTGTGCTATAAAAAATGAAAATAAAAAGTAAAATGTACACTTCATATTCTTCAAAATTAAGCACTTTCAAAAATATATTGTAACCAATTAAATGTTTTAAACATGATTACAATTTCAAGCTATCTTTTATATTTAATTACCTTTAAATTAAAATTTTCTTCATAATGGCCTAAGTGATTTTTTAGAATTTGTGTTAGACAACATTGGAAACTAAGTACTTGACAAATTTTACCAAAACTTTCCTACCAAGTTCATAGTTTTGTTATTTTTTAAATAGAAAACATCATGATATGGGAATGTATAGCAGCAAAAGTACATACACTTTGAATTTAGACAGCTTTGTTGAAATACAGATCAGATTCATTGTGTATAAATAACATAGCACATAGAAAAGCCAAAATACATAAAAACTGTTGGCATCATTATTAATTTATCCTGTTAGGTAGACCACATAAATCAACTCCTGAAATTTTAATGCAAGTGTAAATAGTTATATGTTTGAGGAGTAAGTCTCTGGATATTTTAATTTTAATACTCTTAAGTCATCAAAGTTTAGGTAAATGAAATTTTAGGAAATACATTAGTTAATTTTATGTGTCAACTTGTCTGAGTTAAGTGTTACCTACATAGGTGGTAAAACATTATGTAGCGTTTTCCAGAAGAGATTGGCATTTGAACCAGTAGACTGAGTAAAGAAGATTCCCCCTCACCAACGTAGACTGGTACCATCCAATCTTTGAGGGCCCTTCTGAAAAAAGGGAGAGGAGGTGCAAATTCTTTCTCTGTCTCTCGGGCTGGAACCTCCACCTTTTTCTCCTGTTAGTGATCTCAGACATTAGAGCTCCTGCTTCTCAGGCCTTTGGACTCCGGGATTAGGTGCTAAACCCCAGGTTTCCAGGTTCTTCAGCTTGAGACAGATGGCATATCATGGGAGTTCTCACCCTCCGTAATCACACAAGCCAATTCCACTAATAAATTTCCTCCTTATCTATATATCTATCTACCTATCTCCTGTGTGTGTGTGTGTGTGAGTGTTTGTTTTTTTCAGAATATTGGGTAATACAGGAACTTTTTCTTAAATAAAAGTAAAATGATGTGAAATTTCAAAATATTTGTAAAAATGCTTTCTAGGCAAAAATAATGTGCCATTTACATTAATAAAAAGGGCTATTGATCTGCAATGTCTATCATTTTGCTGAAGTTTTAAATTATTTTCTAATCTACTCAAGTTACTATTAAACTTTGGAGTTCTCTGGTTTCTCTAGTTTAAAAAAGTTAGAATTTTCTTAAAACCAGTAACAAGATTTGCTTCTTGCGAATTATATATATGCAAGACAGAATCCAACCTATTAGATTCAAATTACCCTTTGCAGTCAGATAATACATTTAACTTGCCAGCTTTCGTGGTCTTCAGCATAAGTATCCTTAAGTGTTACTGGGTACAAGTGCAAGTCACACAGTTAAGAATTCTAAGCACCAAGGAGATCAGAAACTTGCCCTGTGACATTCAGTATCTTTATATTACAGACATTAATTCTTAAAAATAAAATGATAAGTAGTGTGCAAATAAGAGTAAAGAATTTTATTTGATAATCACAAATTCATTTTGTCAATGTCATGTAGGTAAAACAGGGCAATACATAAACTACTACCTGAGAGAAAGCACTGAGGGTAAGGCGATCAACGGCAGACATGGAGCTTACTAGTAAGAGTCTGCTACTAGTAGACTCTATGGAAAGTTATCTGACTCCAGCAGTCTTGTTTTTAAAAGTAGGAAGAAAAAGCTTTTAGCCTTCTAGTTACAATACTGGGGAGATAAGAAATCATCCCTTAGAAATATACTTTGCATCGTATCTTATTGCTTCACACTCTTTTGATGGCATTGGGAGAAATGAAATGATACAAAATTTGCTGGAGCAAGATTGAACAGGAAGCAAAATAAATTAGTATATTAGAAAGGTATTACAAATAAAATAATTTTGGGAAATGTATGCTGCAAATGTCAGATAAAAAATTATTGAATCCTGATATTTAAAAAAATCACTTTTAAATGTATTTATAGGAAAATTTAACTATTGGCTATAATAATGAAAGTGGATGAACCTAAAACTGGAATTTAGGGTTGTAATATCTGGCTTCTAAATTCTCAAGGTATGTACGTAACTGAGCACACTGTTTTCATATTAATATAATTTTAATGTCACCTAGAGTATCTTATCTTTCACTAATTATATACCTTTCTATTTTTAATCAGCTATGTCTTCTGGTTGTGGACATTTTTAGAGTATTTTAGTATTGTAAGCATGTCCCCAAAACAGTTAATTTTAATATCTTAAATAATAATGACAATTGAGATATTTCTGACCTTCAACATATAACGGGCTATCTCCTAACACTGCCTCAAGTGTAAGGAGAAGGCTTTCTGGTCTTTGTGCACCCTCTCTTGTGTATGATGTCATCACTCTGTAAGGTGAGAACAGACTAGACAATATCCAATTCTTGACTTTTCTTGTTTTCATAATAAAATGAATCTAAATAAATCACAGATTTCTGGTTATGCTGCACCAAGGAAAATATTTCATCTTTTTAGTTTGCTCTACCCACAGATCCTAGTAGTAAATTGTACCCCAAAATATTGTGACATATTGATGTTTATGATGGATTGGTTAGACAGAAATATAAGGAAAACTTACTGATTCTCCTCTGTGAAAAACAAGCTACATTCCCAAATTGGGACCAGTAAAACCTGGACAATATATATATGTGCTCTCTATACCAAAAAAACAAACAAAAAGTACTGTCAGAAGAAAACTGCTAAAGTATAAACAACTAAACAAACAAAAACGATAAAATAAGAAATTTAAAGAATACCAATTATAGACTAAACACTATGCTATCTTCTGAGTTTTTGTGTCTAAATCTGCATGTGTTTCTGAGAGACTATTTTCTCCTAAATTACTTACATTCCTAATCTTGTTTTTCTAATTCTTTGTAAGTATAGCCAACAATTAAAAAACAAAGGAAAACAAAGTGAAACAAAAATGCTCCTGAAAGTTTTTGTCTTTTAACTGCTACAATACCTTGCTTGTTAGTATTATAATTTTTTTCTATTTAAAGAAAAGAATTTATCATTAGAAGAAAAAAAAAGTCATATTTACTAAACATGAAAGTAATCAAAACCACAGGAAGTAAAGAGCCAAAGAATAAGATTTTCAAAAATACGAAGCATTAGGTCAACAGAATAAAAAATTTGACCCTTCCAAATTCTGCATGAAGTCTAGGAGTCCTTCATGGAATGCAGATTAACTCCTAAGCCAATGGGAGAATTCAGTGGTGTTTTTTGTTTTCCCCAAGTGGAATTGCGTGCAGCAGCCAATATATGATAGAGATCAAAGCAAAGCTGCTTGGCATGGAACAAACAACCACATGACAGCCTATAGTCCTATCTTCATCACTGGTAGGGTCCCATGCAGTCTAGAACAGCCCATCTCATTCATGACGTTCTTTTGGTCAAGAATACCATCCACACTTTCTATATTCTCTTAAATCAAGCCTTCTCACCTTATTTATTTTAAAATAGAATGTAAATTTTAAAATAATGTAGAGGAAAACAAGTCAAAAATAATTTGCTAAATGCTATCATGGAAAATTGATATGCAAGTTCAGAAATTTTGATTAATACTTAACGTTATTAAGGAGCGAATAAACACTAGGTATTATGTCAACTTTAGAATGTTCACTACTACAGCCTTCAAACATAAAGCTTTTTAGCATGTTGCAATTTTGTAAGATGGCTCAGAATTAATAACAGATACAGTTATTTTTCAACATTACTTTGAAAACAACAAATCCTAAGTTTAAGAACAAAATATTATACTGTAATTAAGAAGTATTAAAAGGTATTCATGTTCTGTTACCAGAAGGAGAAAGTGTTAGCCACTTAATTATGTATTTAGTAGTGGTTTATATAATTAGAAAAATAAACATTTTTAAAATATATGAAATTTATTTTATCAGCCCTAAAATACATATTATTTTTATTTGTTCTTAAGTAGATTTTTTTAATCACTTAATTTTTATGCTGGTGCCTTACATTACTGATTGGGGTACTAACTATTCCCATTAGTATATTAATTATACTCATATACCACAAATATTTTTTCAAAAGATGATACAAATAAAACTTTAATACTGACAAAATCTAAATGATAAATAGTAGAATTAGCAAGGCTTTTTAAAGTGTCTAATAAATGAGTTCGGAAATTTACTGTTAATTTATTTAGAAATAATATACTACCAATAATACAAATCAAGCTTGTAAATGAATTATTACCTTTAATATGATCACATTAAAGTTACGGCCTTATTACTGTTCAATTACTTTAAATTGGCTCATAATCTTTAAGTTGTTTCATTTAAATAAAGGTCTCAGTAGTAAATGTTAGAAATAGACACTGATCAACATTTATTTTAGAATTTCAGGAATTACTCAGGTTCTTGCAAATTTACTGTTGAATAATGTGTAGCATGAGAAAAGTAATGTGTATGAAGGCCAAAAATTCCCAAATACAATTATTGTAAATTCAAAAATTATATGAATTTCACCAATTAACAGGTAAATGTGAAGAATAAAAATATCAGTGTGTCAGTGTTCATAACTTTTTTCTACACTTGTAAAAGAGTGTTTGGACATGAAAATTGAGCTGTTTTAATCTCTTCTCTCAATGGAAAGAAATAAATGCACCAATTAAATCGGGTAGAACCCAAAGGAAGCAGTCAGAAAAGAAACCTTAGTTTTCCAGGGATGGAGTGTCAGGAGAACAGGAAAGACAGTAAAAGGTCCCAGGAGTTTTAGAGTAGTAGAGAGAGGAGAAAAAAAAAAAAAAGAATTTTTTTTTCTTTTTGAGACAGAGTCTCCCTCTGTCACCCAGGCTGGAGTGCAGTGGTGCAGTCTGAACTGACTGCTGCCTCCACCTCCCAGGTTCAAGGTATTCTCCTGCCTCAGACTCCTGAGTAGCTGGGATTACAGGTGTGTGCCACCATGCCCTGCTAATTTTTGTATTTTTAGTAGAGACGGGGTTTTGCCACATTGGCTAGGCTGGTCTCGAACTCCCGACCTCAGGTGATTCGCCCACCTCGGCCCCCAATAGTGCTAGAATTACAGGTGTCAGCCACCACACCTGGCTGGAAAACAAACCAACCAACCAACCAACCAACAAACAAAAACTCTTAAGACTCACAGTAATCCTTTGTGTATTTCAAACATAACATATTCCTGGAATTTACGGAAATTATGTATTTCAAACATAATATATTCCTGGAATTTCTGTAACCACATAAAAATGACATTACTTCTTAAATGAAGTTAGTCAGCTTTAGATTTATATGCCAAACATAATTTGAAAGATGCAATAACTTTGGAAACCTTTAGACTTGATATTCTATGAATTATTTCCACCAGACTCCATCCTAGTTCTGCACTCTTTTTCTCTCATACAATCTCTCTCTCTGGATCCATGTTGGGAAAACAGGACAGCCATAACGCAGTCCATGTTTTCTTTCTCCCATAGGAGAGAACCTACTCAGCTACCTTCTCTTTCATTAACCATGTTTAAGGGGGAGTCAGTCATAGGTCTTCTGAGTTCTTCAAAACACAAATAAAGTATATCAAGTGTTCCATGTGGTCTCAGCAAAGCTCCACTTTCTAGGATTGAAGGGAGAAACAAGTACCTTCTAACCTCCATTATTGTTGGAGCAGGGAGGGCATGAGGGGGAGAGATGCAAACACAGTGAAGGGTTACACTTTGTTACCACAAACTTTTCACAAATGTAAAGGTGAAAATCAATAGAACCAATGCAACCATAAATACCCAATCATGATTATTTTAACACTTCAATTGGATTTTAGAGTGAGTCATTTTTATACCTTTTTATATTGAAAATGACACAAAATACTGTGTAAACAATGCAGAGTTATCAATATATTTTGTCAAATTCCCTCAATTACAAGATGTTACATAACCATGGTACATTGTCAAAGCCAGGAAATTGACATTGGTACAATTCTATGAACATGAGTACAGATCTTATTCAGAGTCTTTCCGTTTTTACATGCAAATTTATATTATATAATTCTATGTAATTTTATCACACATATAGATGTACGTATGCACCATCACAGCAGAAAACAAAAACTGTACCATCATCTTAAAGAAACTTCCTTGTGTTAAAAATGCCCCCAAACCCTAACCCATGAAAATACTAATCTCTCTATTCACACGATTGTGCAACTTCAAGAAAGTTATGTAAATAAAATCATAAAGTAAATTTTAGGGATGGCCTTTAAAAATCAATCTAATGACTTTAAAATACATCAAAGTTGTGTAAGTCAATAGTTCCCTCCTTTTTATTGCCAAGTAGTATTCAATTGCATGTGTCTACCACAATTTGTACATTCACCCATTAAGGAACATTTGGGTTGTATCCAGTGTGGAACTTGTATGAGCCCCAAACTGCTACGAACAATGATGTACAGGTTTGTCTGGAAACGTAGTTTTTAATTATTCTAGGATAAATATTCAACAGTGTTATTGCTGGGTTGTATGGCATTTGTATAGTTTTGTTTTATAAGAAACTACAAAACTGTTTTCCAGAATGGCTGTTTCATTTTACATTCTTACCAGCAACATATGAAGGATTCAATTTCTCTGTATTCTGACCAGCAATTGCTATATTTTTAATTTCAGCTATTCTAATGGGTGAGTAGTGATATCTCATATCATTAAGCTTTAGTTTGCCTTTGCCTCATGACTATTGGTGTTAAACATCCTTTTAATGTGCTTATTTTCTAAATGTCTATCTTTTTAAATGAAAGTGTCTGTTAAACTTGTTTGCACATGTTCTAATTGGATTGTCGTTTTCTTACTGCTGACTGTAGAGTGCTCTTTATATATTTCACATACAAATCTTTTGTTAGTTATGTGATTTGCAAATATTTTCTCCCATTCTGTGGTTTTTCATCTAATTAACATGGTCTTCTGCAAAGCAAAAGTTTCTAATTTTAATCAAGTCCAGTCTGTTGTGATAAAATCTAATTTGTTTGATTTTTCTTTCATGGACCACGTTCTGTTGTAACCTCCCAGTCCTGATCATTTTGTATCCTGAATGTGAGTGATGTTAGAAGAGTCACAGACTCATTTACCGGAAAGTTCTTTGCTTATCCTGAAGAATGAACTTACCTCACTTTCATATAAGAATAGCTGATATTTTATTGTCTTGCGGTTTGCATCATAGGTGAAATTAAAGGAATTTCTTTTAAATAACCTGTTATAAGAACATTAATTCCTAGAATTTCCATCAATCATTTTCTGAAGAAGGCAAGGTCGAGAATATATATACATACTTGTATATGACAAATATTATATATGTATAGTCTCATGCTACCAAGTTTCCTGGAAGTTGTCAAAGAAGCTAAATCCACTCTATATTTAATTGCAAAATATATTGCTAAGATAATTACATGTAAATCAATATCTCTATCATAAAATTAAGCCTGACAATTTGCCAGAATAATTCCTAAAATTATACATTATCAACAGATGATGAGAACCTTAAACTGCTATTAAATTTTTTATTATATATTCATATTTTTCAATTAATAGCTTTTCATCATTCTTTATGGATACTAACTCATATTAAGTTGACGAGGTCAGATACTTTGAGACTTTTCTTTATGCTCTGACAAAGCTATAGTTTAATCTCTTATTTTTATAGCCCATAAATTCAGTGACTTAAAATGGAGAAACTTTACACTGTTGGATATTATTTTGATGCTTATATCCTATGTTACAGAAACATGAAGCCTAAGAGAATAGACAAGTATAGAAAGAAAATAGAAATTTAGAAATTTATTCTAAGTTCATAGTTTATTGACATTAACACAAAAATTAGTGACCAAAAACAGTGATTGGTTATATGTAACATTTAATTTTTAAAGAATTTGTATATAATAACAAAGCAATTTGCCTTCTTCATGAGAAATGGAACAGGTTTTTGTTCTTTTACACATGAAATTATTGTGTGATTTTTGATAAGGTACTTGACCTCTGTTGCTCAAGTTTCTGTGTAAAATATGTGATCCTTGGTGCCAATGACCACTGCATCCTCCAGTGAATGTCAATGATTAACCAGGTAAAAACATATGTACACTTATAAAGATAGTAGGTAATAAATAGGTATTCATGCTCTATTTGTTATGGTAGGCTAGTAAGACTACTGTTGCCATTAACATCAGGTAATTTATAAAGTTTTTAATCCACAAAAATAATGGCAGTATTCTGGTGAATGAGTAAAATTATTTTCTGACTTTTTCCTTGATTTTTCCCATGTACTTAAGACAAATGAGCTTAAACGATGAAGCAACAGACATGCAATTGGTTTTGTTGTATTTAAATTTTGGTTGAGTGCATCTGATAATTCAATGAAATTCTTCTGTCAGTACCAATATGCTAAATCATTTGATATTCCAGTAACAATGAGAATTTTGCCATAATGATTCGACCTTTCACAAGCTGGGAATAAGCCTTCAATGCATAAGTACCAAGGAAATAAGTGGCACTCTTGATTGGTTATTATTTTTCCATTCACTTATGCATTTTTAAAAGACAAATATCACATATTTTAAATTCAATTAGACACAAGTCAGCAATCAGCAGAATTACTTTCTTTTTAAAATCTGTAATTCCACATCTATTTTAAATTCTATATCTATGCATCAAAATTCTTTCGATGCATAGATATCTTTCTGGATGTTTTCTTCCTTTTAACATGTATAGATGACCTTATCATATGACTTTCCTGACTACTATGAAATTTAGTCATCTAGTGCTGCATGACAAATTATCCTCGATCTTAAACTCTGATAACAACAAAACCTTATTATCTCAACAATCTTTGGTCAGCAATCCAAGCATGACTTCATTGTGTGCCTCTGGCTCAAGGTCTGTCATGAGGATGTATTGCAAGCATTGACTGGGACTGCAGTGTGATTTGACTGTTCAACTTCGGGGAGGATCCAGGTCCTAAGTTGGTCCTTTACCACTTGAGCCTTTCCCCAGGGCTGCCTAATGCAGCTGGATTCCCAGAGAGAGAGAGAAATCTAAGGGAGATGAGGGGGTGCATGCCCAAACAAAACCAGTCTTTTAATTACCTGTTCTCTAAAGTGACATCACGTTTGTATCTTCCCTGTGCTGTTTATGACACACGAGTTAATAAACCCTCGAAACACTTACAAAAGGGGTACATAAGGCATGAATACCACGATGTGAAAACTAGGAAGTGGCAATCATTGAATTCCATCTTAGATGCTGCCTACCACACCGTTTATGTATAATTACAATTGCTATGTGATAGAGCAAATGCCACCAGTGTATCCTTCTTTGAGTGTATCTTGACTATCTTTGCTTTTTTTTTTGCTATTTTACGTAATGTTAATAAGTTTACCAAGTTAAAAAAATGCTATTGCCATTTTGATTTAAATGACATTAATTCTATAAACTTATTTGATAAGATTGATGTTTATAGTGTTGATTATTCTTATCCACAAAAGGGGATTGAATGTTATTGATGTATATTTTTTAACATCTTTTTATAAAGTTTAAGTTTGTTCTCTTTTAAAATTTTCACATTGTGTGTTAGATTAATTCATTAATTGTTCAGTTATGAATGTAACTGTATAGCCTTTTATTTAACGTCTAGTAGTTGCTGTCCTCTCTTCTAAGCACTGGGCATAAAGAGTTGAACAAAACAGACAAGTATTTCTACCTTTTTACAATTTATATTCTTTTGATAGAGTGAGAGAATGTAAACAAATTGAATAACAAGTGTAGTACATTAGATGGTGAAAAGCACTATCAAAGTGGAGAGCCAATGAGTAGGGAAAGAGAATAATTTTAAATATGGTGGTTATGCCTCTTTCACAGGTTACATTTGACAAAAGACTTGAAGTTGATAAGTAAGTCAGGTAAATACTAGAGGAGAGAACATTTAAGATAGACAGCCTAGGAATTAACACGTCCTGAAGGTTTGGGCAGGCTTGGTTTGATTTAAAAGATTGGGGAGGCCCATGTGATCAGGATCAGAGACCCAGTGGAAGATGACACCAGATTTGAGTTGGAAGCTGTTTCCTGATCATCCCTGTCATCCATTTTTATAGCCATTCATTCTTCTTTGAGTGAGATAAGAAATCTATGAATGATTTTTGAGCAAAAGGAAAACATAATATGACTTAGAAATGAATGAATTTGAAACCCTGAATGCTATTTCAGGTAATAAAATAGGATGAAAATTTAATCCAAGGTAGAGCAATGGATGTGGTGATAAGTGATAAAATTCTGGGTACATCCTAAAAGTAAAAAATCATGCAGGCAGAAGAGATACAGATTGCGAAAGAAAGGGAGATGTCAAAGGTAACTCAAAGGGAACTTGACGGGAAAACTAACAGGATGTATTAGCCGTCAATTGAGATGGAAAAGTGGAACAGATTAGATGCGGTGGAGAAAGATTAGAAATTCACTTTCAAACATCCAAGTTAATTTATATCTGGATACAAATATCTAAAGTATTGGCTTCGGCACTAATCTTTTGGGTCTTCAATGTAGTATAACTCCAAGTTTTCTCTTTTTTCATGGCATAATTTCCCAGTCTCATATTTTCTTTTTACTGTTTGTTATTTCACTTTTGTATATTCTAGTGATTTGTTTTCTCATCTGGAGCCAGAAATTAATTTAAAAATCAACAAATTAAATTAAAATACATATATCAGAAAGTGAATATTGTTCTGCTGATCAGTCAGACAGAATGATGTAATAATTTCACAATAGATGTTGGTTACAGAAAGAACCTTCTGATGAGGACACAAAGACTCAGACATAAAAAGGCAAGATGTCAGCTCAATGAAGATCAGGAAAAGCATATTTCAAGAGAGCAATCTATTACAAAGGCCCTAGGCCAGGAACTATCTAGAGCATTTACAAAAGCCAATGCCATTGAAAAAATACTGAAAAAAATAGTGACAACACAGGCAAGTAGGCAGTTCAGGAAGATATAGGTGGGACCATATTATGTAGGTTTTGTAATACAATTAAAGTGTTGGGGTTTTAATCTTACTGCTTTGAGAAACCGTTGAAACAAATGAAATCTCATACACTATTTGCTTTAAAAGTTCACAATATCTGGTCATGTAAAAAATGAACTGGAAATGCCAGGATTAGAAGCAGAGAGGGCATTAAATGTGCATTAGAGTAATCTAGCAGGCAAACAGTGTGAATGATTGTAGTTTAGATGGAATATATGTGGAAATTTGATATATATTTTAAAGATAGATATTGAAAAACATAATGAATGATGAGCTAGAAATTTAAGAAAAGGAGAGAATCAGGAATATGTCCTTGATTTTTTTCCTTGAATTAGGAAAATCTGAGAGGCACAGATTGCATGGAGAACAGGAATTAATCATTGAGTTTTATGTCCATGTTAATATTAAGATGTTTTATATTTTCAAGTCGAAATATCAAAGAAATTTGTACATGTGATTTGGTAGGTATGTGGAGAGATTGTAGAGCTGAAAATCATATGTTTGGGAGTCAACACCGCACATTGTGTAAAGCAAAGAAATAATGTAATTATCAAAAGAGAAAGTGAAGTTAGACAAGAAAAGGCAGACATAAAATATTATTTTAAAAATTATATAAGCTTATGTATTAAATCAATTGGAAGTGAAAATACCTTAAAATACTCTAGTAGTTTCATCAAAGGAACAATATCTTTATTCTTTTATAAACTTTAAGGACTTTTCAATACATTTGATTATCATCTGCTATCATAATATGGTTAATACTCAAAGAGGTCCTACCACATTCTCAACTTTTATTTCCTCAGAGTCTTTCAAACTACATTTTCTCTTACAAGCTGTCTCTAATATTGACTGACCTTTTTCTATAATAAACCAGTCTGAAATACTAACATGTTATAATGTCAAAGATCATACACCATCTGTCTTTGTACTTACTTTGTGTTAATCATTCATCCAAAAGGATTTCATATATTCTTGAAAAGGCCATAGACTTCTAGATCCATTATTGTTGTTCTCAGCATCACTGTAATGTAATAAATCATTAGAGTATTTGTGTGTGTGTGAGTATTCACACTATTGAAGCCTCAATAAAATGGTCTATAAACTTGAATCAATGTTGAACATGTTTAACTTGGAGTGCATTTTATCACTAAAGGAAAATTTTCGGGATTAGGATAAAGTTAGTCGAAAATGTGAAGGAAATAAATTAAAAATTTCAGCTATTACCGAATATATTGAAATAAATTATTCAGTCACCCACTTGAAAACAAAAAATTTTGATTCTCAAAGACATCAACATATTTCAGCTATTTTTATTGAATTCATTTAGAACAATTACATTGAAAAGTAGAACTGGCTATTTCATTTTCCTACAGGGAATAAAAAGGTAATATTAAGATAAGTTAAAGATATTATGTCTCCTTCTTTCCATTACTGAAAATATTTGCTCTGTATTAGACAAGAAGCCTTTTATTATGCTTTTACGTCTTCTCTAAAAGGAGCTTGTCACACAAAAATGTCTCATGTTTATAATTATGGTCTTAACAATGGAATATTTAAATCTTTTTCATATGTAATACTTCTAATAATCCATATACACAACAATTTGAAGCCAGAAATTGATACTGTTCTTAAAATATATTGCAAAATGCACAGGCCAAAAAATTCAACTTGACTTTATGTATTAGTCCATTTCCACGCTGCTGATAAAGACAGACCTGAGACTGGGAAGAAAAAGAGGTTTAATGGACTTACAGTTTCACATGGCTGGGGAGGCCTCACAATCATGGTGGAAGGTGAAAGGCACATTTCACATGGTGGCAGACAAGAGAAGAGGTCTTGTTCAGGGGAACTCCCATTTTTAAAACCATCAGATCTTGTGAGACTTATTCACTATCATGAGAACAGCATGGAAAAACTTGCCCCCATGATTGACTTGCCTCCCACCAGGTTTCTCCCATGACATGAGGGAATTGTGGAAGTTATAATTCAAGATGAGATTTGGGTGGGGACACAGCCAAACCATATCATTCCACCCCAGTCCCTCCCAAATCTCATGTCCTCAAGTTTCAATAGCAATCATGCTTTCCCAATAGTCACCCAAAGTCTTAACTCATTTCAGCATTAACCCAAAAGTCCACAGTCCAAAGTCTCATCTGAGACAAAGCAAGTCCTTTCTGCTTATGAGCCAGTAAAATCAAAAGCAAGTTAGTTACTTTCTAGATACAATAGGGGCACAGGCATTTGTTAAATACAGCTGTCCCAAATGGGAGAAATTGGCCAAAACAAAGGGGCTACAGGCCCCATGCAAGTCTGAAATCCAGCAAGGTGGTCAAATCTTCAAGCTCCAAAATGATGTCTGTTGACTCCATGTCTCACATCCAAGTCATGCTGAGGCAAAAGGTGGGTTCCCATGGTCTTGGGCAGCTCTGCCCCTGTGGCATTGCAGGGTACAGCCTCCCTACCAGTTGCTTTCACAGGCTGGCATTGAGTGTCTGTGGCTTTTCTAGGCAAATGGTGCAAGCTGATGGTGAATCTACCACTTTGGGGTCTGAATGACAGTGGCCCTCTTCTCACAGCTCCATTAGGAGGTACCAAGTAGGAACTCTGTGTGGGGGTTCTGACCCCACATTTCCCTTTCACACTGCCCTAGCAGAGATTCTCCATGAGAGCTTCGCCCCTGCAGCAAACTTAAGCCTTGACATCCAAGCATTTCCATACATCCTCTGAAATCTAGGAGGAGGTTCCCAAGCCCCAGTTCTTGACTTTTTTGCACTGGCAGGCTCAACACCACATGGAATCTGTCAAGGCTTGGGGCTTGCATACTCTGAATCCACAGCCTGAGCTCTATGTTGTCCCCTTTCAGCCATGGCTGGAGCAGCTGGGATGCAGGGCACTAAATCCCTAGGCTGCACACAGCACAGGGACCAGGGACTTGGCCCAGGAAACCATGTGTTCTTCCTAGGCCTCCAGTTCTGTGATGAGAGGGCTGCCATGAAGACCTCTGATATGCCCTGATGACATTTTCCCCATTGTCTTGGAGACTAACATTCAGATTCTTGTTACTTGTGCAAATATCTGCAGCTGGCTTGAATTTCTCCTCAGAAAATGGAATTTTCTTTTCTATCACATTTTCAGGCTGCAAAGTTTCCAAACTTTTATGCTCTGTTTCCCTTTTAAAACTGAATGCCTTTAATGGTACCCAAGTCACCTCTTGTATGCTTTGCTGCGTAAAAATTTCTTCCACCAGATACCCTTAAGCACCTCTCTCAAGTTCAAAGTCTCACAAATCTTTAGGGAAGGGGCAAAATGCCACCAGTCTCTTTGCTAAAACATAACAAGAGTCACCTTTGCTCCAGTTCCAAACAAGTTCCTCATCTTCACCTGAGACCACCTCAGCCTGGGCTTTATTGTCCATATCATTATTAGCATTTTGGACAAAGCCATTGAACAAGTCTCTAGGGAGTTCCAAACTTTCCCATATTTTTCTGTCTTCTTCTGAGCCCTCCAAACTGTTCCAACCCCTGCTTATTACCAAGTTTCAAAGTTGCTTCCACATTTTGGGGTATTTTTTCAGCAGAATCCACTCTACTGCTCTAATTTATTATATTAGTCCATTTTCACACTGCTCATAGTGACATACCTGAGACTGGTAAGAAAAAGAGTTTAATGGACTTACAATTCCACATGGCTGTTGAGGCCTCATAAACATGGCGGAAGGTGAAAGGCACATCTCACATGGTGGCAGACAAAAGAAGAGATCTTGTGCAGGGAAACTCCTGTTTTTAAAACCCTCAGATCTCATGAGACTTATTCCCTATCACAAGGACAGCAGGGGAAAGACCAGCCCCTGCGATTCAATGACCTCCCACCAGGTTCCTCCTACAACACATGGCAATTGTGGGAGTTACAATTCAAGATGAGATTTTGGTGGGGACACAGCCAAATCATATCACTTTTTTAGAATATAGTATTTTATAATTTGGCTTTCTAAAACTAAGTTTAAGGAAGAAAAAAATACTTTTTATAAATCTCTCACTGTCACATCAATATATTGTTTCTAAAGAGTTATGAATGAAATTAAGCTGAACCAAATTAGCAAATCCTTTAAGAAGACTGTATTTTCTTAATTGTGAGCACACAGAGAAAGATGTTTCTAATCCTCTATTGTGCAACTAAATATAGTATGGTCTTTCCAACCCTGATATTATCGAGATACTATTCTCCTGGAAAATATTTTGAATTAATTCTATTTTAAATACTTTTTTTTCTTGGTAGCTTATTAAATGTTCAGGAAAATCATATTTTTAAAATTTAAAAGGTTAAATTATTTGACAATATCTAGCCTGGTATATATGTATGCATAATTATTAATTTCTGGAATGCTATCACAGTCTTAGTTTTCAAAAATTAGCAAATACATTCTTACAAAATAATGCATTTTCAGAGAGTTGATGTTACTCATAAATTGAATTTAATAATAGCCACTGCATATTTTAAAAAGCAGCAAATCAATCTTGACCTTATGATACTCAAAGAAAATTCCCATCAACTGTATCAACCTTTATGTCTACAGTGGTTCACCTTTATCTATGGTTTTGCTTCCTGAAGTTTCAACCAAGCTCTGAAAATATTAAATAGAAAATTCTAGAAATGAACAACTTCCAAATTTTAAATAGTGTCTTCCTGGGTAGGAAGATAATATCCCATGCCATCTAGTTCTGTCCCTGTTTAGTGTCTCCACACTGTAGATGCTCCCTGCCTGTTAGTCACTTAGTAAATGACTCTATTATTCCATCAACTGTTGCAGTATCACAGTTCAAATAACCCTTGTTTTACTTAATAATGGCCACAGCCCTGGCCCAAAGTGAGAGAGTAGCAATACTGGCAATTTGGATATGCCAGAGAAAAGCCATGAAGCGCGTCCTTTAAGTGAAAAGGTGAAAGTTCTCAATTTAATAAGGAGGGGGTGATATTATATGCTGAGCTTGCTAAGATTTATGGTTAGAGCAAACCTGCTATCCATGAAATAGTAAAGAAGTAAAAGGTAATGTGCATATGGTATACATAGGGTACTAGCCATGGTTTCAGCAGTCTACTGGGGGTCTTTGAATGTATTTCCCTTAGATAAGGAAAGGCTACTGTATTTTCATAGCAGAATTAGTAGCTAATATTTTAACCCATAGTCAAAAAATAATGTCATAATAATACATTTTAAATATTGTGTTTTATCATTTTATGTTTTCTGACTCTGCAATAAGTCCTATAGTTACTGTTTTTTAATCAAGAAAGTCAAGCATAGTTTGCCTAATCGAATATACTAAATTTAGAGGAGACTTTGAGAGAAAATGAAAATTTAAGGGGTTCAATTTAAGCTTGCAACTTCTAAAAATATTAATATCTAGATGGTGTTTGATGGCTGGATGTAGACTTGCATTCTGATATAACTATTGAAGAAATTATCAAATGATTTTGGTGCATATTTGTATGATTCAGAAATTGCTGATTCAACTGATAATAAAAACCCAATGAATTGTGGTGATTTTACATTTTGCTGATCTTGGATCTCATTTTCTGGCATGTACTTTATATAGGGTATTTTGAGAAATCAGATATAAAAAAGTGAACTTCCTATTGGAAAACAAAATAGTACCTTAATTGATGACATTAACAAGTTCATATATTTCTCTGAGCAGCTTTTCCTTCTTCAGAATTTATTGAAAATTAAAAGGTCTAAAGATATAAACTTAAGATTAAACATTGATTGATGCACATATTAATGTACACTCCTTCTTAAATTCCTACTCTAAATATGGTAGGGAATAAAACCTATATATACATAAAAAATAGATGGAAGACCTGATCAAATATGAGACAAAGAAGACTTACTTAAAAAAAGAAGGAAAATAGAAATGTGCTAAATGAGTAGGCAGAATGCTACTTGCAAAATAGTCACATATAGGAGGAATATGAATATATTTTCAGATAAGCAAGGTACCGAGAAGTTTATGATAATCATCATTTCTAAGAAGATATACTCCACCATAAACTGTGAGGTAAAACAAACGAACAGAAACTACAGGGCCCAAGAATGTGACTGGTTTTAGTCTATTTTCGTGCTATGAAGAAACACCTGAAGCTGGATGATTTATTTTTTTTTAAAGTTGTCTATTTGGTTCACAGTTATGCAGGCTGTATAGTAAGCATGGTGCCAGCATCTGCTTCTGGTGAGGGCTTCAAGTTGCTTCCACTCATGGTAGATGGGGAAGGAGAGCCAGCATTTGCAAAGATCACATGTTGAGATAGGAAGCAAGAGAGATAGGGGAGATGCCAGGCTCTTTGTATTGATCAGCTTTCGCAGGAACTAATGGAGAAAGAACTCACTGATTACCATGAGGATGGCACTAAGCCATTCATGAGGGGCTGTCCCCATAACCCAAACACCTTCATTAGGCCGCATCGCCAAGATTAGGGATCAAATTTCAACATGAGGTTTGCTGAATGATATGGTTTAGCTCTGTGTCAGCACCCAAATCTCACCTTGAATTGTAATCCCTGTAATCCCCTCATGTCAAGCGGAGGACCAGGTGAATGTAACTGAATCATGAGGGTGGTTTCTCCATGCTGTTCTTATGATAATGAGTGAGTCTCATGAGATCCGATGGTTTTATAAGGGTCTGGCATTTCCCCTGCTTGCACTCATTCTCTCTCCCACTGCCCTGTGAAGAGGTGCCTTCTGTCATGATTGTAAGTTTCCTAAGGCCTCCCCAGCCATGTGTAACTGTCAGGCACTTGAGTGTAGAGTAAGGATGATGGATTATAGTGGAGGTTGTTTTTATTTTAAATGAAATTGAGGGAAATTTTATAGCTCTGTGTGTGTGTGTGTGCATGTTGTGTGTGTGTGTGTGTGTGTGTCTGAGTATTTGATTTTGTTTTTGGTTTTTGTTTGTTTTAATGTCTGATGTGAAATGAGTAACAGCTTTAGAGGAAACTATGCAAGTAAGTGAATTAAACCTGCCTCAATGTAACAGCAATAAGATACTTACCAGAATGTGGGCCAGCTGTGAGTAGCATTTAGATGGTCATAATACTGATTCAAAAACAAAATGTGTAATAAAATCCTATTTATAGAATGAGTAGAACATAGACTTATGTGTGTTTGCGTGCTTTGGTGTCTATGTGTTTTCGAGCACGAGTGCATTTTTTATGTGTATGTGTGAATGTTGGATGTCATAGCATTGTAGGTCAACAGAGCTAATACTCAGTTTAAGAATAAGACAGTCAATAGTTAATACCTAATATTTTAAGAGGAAAAAAAGGAAGAAGAGTAGCAACATGTTATTTTAAAATGTTTGCCTACATACCAGTAAGTATGTTCTTTAAAATGTTTTACTAGATACCATAAGAAAAATCTAAACAGAGTTTAAAGTTTTTGCCCTTGGGAGGTAAGAATCAAGGGGGTATCACAGTGTGGGGAAAGATAACTATTTTTTGTTGTTGTTGGTTTGTTCATTACACCATTTCATAAATTTGAGATTTACATGTCAAGAGCTCTTGCCAACTTGTATTACACCAATCAACCACAGCAACAATCTCTTGTGGCTCAATCAAGCTGTGGTTTAAGCAGAAAGCACAGCTCAATATCAATTTATCTCATGTTCATATCATGTGTCCCACACCTCCCCCTCGGCTTAGTCCTGTTAACTTTAAGACAGACAAATATATGGGATATGCATATCACCTTCACCCTGGCACACACTGGAGACATAAAGCAAAGTTTTAACCAATGAGAGGTAGAAACCAGTGGATAAATTATTCTCCTTCCACTCCAGTTCTGGATTGTTTATAGGCAAAGAAACACATAATTCTCTCACCAAAAAAAAAAAAAAAAAAAGGTCTGACTTGAGACAAAATAGTGGCATACACTCTGGTAACACATGGTTTTATTTTTTGTCTAGCATTCTCTGCCTCACTCATGTATTTCCCCTCTCTGGTTTCTTTTGGATTGTACTTTCTGGTAAAGTAGCCTATGAGCATTTGCCTCAAGTTCGATTTGAAAAGCCTACGATAAAACAGCGGATGCCAGAAATAAACTGGTGATAAAACATGCCATGTATTCACATCACAAGTGCTAAGGATTTCACCTTTGATTAACAGGAGCAAGGTAGAAGTGGATGGAGAAGTGTTGGATATATGTGGACTATGGCACTTGAATTGTATGAGAGCAATGATAATGATAAAGACTGAAGACTAGACTGGCTTCTGTTAATTACATTGGAAGGCCCTGCAGAAAGAAAATTATAGGCTACGGGAAGCCAACTGGAAATTGAAGGTGTGTTGTAAAACTGTGAAAGCAAAGAGCTATGGTGACAGCTTTTATGTAGACTCTCTTCTCTTACAGGTTGAGGGCAGCTTCTATTAAAATGTCAGCCAGAGATCTTATTGTAAAAGTAGCAAAGTTTACAATTAAAATTAATGGGCAGCCTTGACAAGGCTTCTATATTATACTAAGGCTCTGATAGGTAAATATTTTGAACTTGAGACCTGGCAAGGTGATAGATGGTACAGCCTGATAATGTTGAACTTCTATATTCCCCTGAACAATCTGAACAAAACAAACAGCTCCTCCTTCCTAGTATTAGACGTAAAAAATGCTCTCATAGTTAAACATATGCAATAACCTCTCACCAGAAGTGAATGCCTCACAAAATGATGTTTATTCTCTTCAAGATCTGTCTCTACCACCCCTCATTGCCTTCTGGTCATTAGTCAGGGTCACCTATTGGAGAGTTTATGTGGATCAGTGTGGTCCATCTACCAATAAGAAATAGTTTATTTGCCAAAGAGAAAACAGAATCTGGAAATATGTCCTGCAGAAAGTGGGCCAACACTGGGATTAGATTGGAAGAGTATGGGAACAATATATGTGAGATAAAAGCCTGGATTTTGGAGAAATTATTGATATGGCCACCCTGTTACTAAAGTTTCTATGTACTGGAGGAAAAATTGGACTTAATCCTAATAGTCTTCTGGAATGTCTTCTTGAAAGTAGATCTTGAAGATGTGTAGAATAAAAAAAAGTAAAAATGGCAGGGTGCACTGGCTCATGCCTGTAATCCCAGCACTTTGGGAGGCTGAGACAGGCGGATCACCTGAGGTCAGGAGTTCGAGACTAGCCTGGCCAACATGGCGAAACCCTTTTTCTAATAAAAATACAAAAAAAAATTAGCCTAGCATGGTGGCAGATGCCTGTAATCCTAGGTACTCAAGAGGCTGAGGCAGGAGAATCACTTGAACTTGAACCCGGGAGGCAGAGGTTACAGTGAGCCAAGACCACGCCATTGCACTCCAGCCTGGGTGACAAGAGCGAAACTCTGTCTCAAAAAAAAAAAAAAAAAAAAAAAAAAGGAAACATAGTCAAACCACTTTGTTGGAGCATGAGGAAGAAATAAGGTTTAGAATACATTCACCATGTAATATCTCAGAACGTTGACTATGTTTCCCAGAAGGCCCCAGAGGATACTCCTTTTACTGAGGCAATAATGAATTCCCTGGTGGGGGGGACCACTGATATCTTTGAGAGACTTCATGGTGGCTGTCCTCAATATGCAGGGCTTGATAGTAAGCACTGCTGCTATTAAACTTGGATCCATAATATCACTGATATTGAGGACTTCAGAATGGTGGCCTTTAACTGTTGAAAGCAAGGTGGCAATGATAGCTACAGAAAACAGAAAAGCTAAAGTGACAGAGTATTTGTCCATGAGTGACCTGATACAGCAGGCTAATATGCATGATAAGTACACAGGTAATGATGGAGTTTCTAAAATTCTATAAGTTCAAGAATAATAAAGAAATCTATAGCAAATACAAATTACAACAAATAAGTAAATAAGTAACCAGAGCTGGTATGCAAAAGGCTAAAGTCCACCACTGCACAAACATGTATCTCCATTAAAAATCCAGCTATAAATTAGTCCCAGAGCTTCTTGAGCAAAAAAGTGCTGAATCCCCTTGAGAAAAGAAATTTAAATAGCACTGCATGTATATATGACAGACAGTCCCTGATTCTACCTAAAAGGACCACTGGCCGGTTGTTAACTCTTAGATTGTATATCTTGATTGACATTGGGGCAAGGGAACTACAGATATTATGCAAGTCCAATAATGAAATTAACTCACTCATCTCCACAGAGTATACCGTTATAAGGCTTGGCTGAAGACAATATGATGCAGGAAGAGAAAATGAGTGTTGGTAAGTATTGTCCAAACAACACTGAGGCACATCTCCCAGGGTTCATTCTTATAAAGTTCTTTCTTTATCTGCAGACATTGAATGACCAAGACTTGTGTAAGGAATTTTTGCTTTTAAAAGAGTGGGAATTCTTCAAAAGTGTTCAACAAGATTGACATGGTTTGGCTCTGTGTCCCCACCCAAATTCCATCTCAAATGATAATCTCCATAATCCCCATGTGTCAAGCGTGAGACCAGGTGGGAGGTGATTGGATCATGGGGGCCGTTTCCCCTGTGGTGTTCTTGTGATAGTGAATGAGTTTTCACAAGATCTGACTGTTTTATAAGGGCTCTTCCCCCTTTCTTATTCATTCTGTCTTGCCTGCCACCATATAAGGCGTGCTTTTGATTCTCTATTGCCTTTCACCATGATTATAAGTTTCCTGAGGCCTCCCCAGCCATGTGGAGCTGAGTCAATTAAACCTTTTCCCTTTATAAAGTACTTAGTCTCAGATATGTCTTTATAGTAGTGTCAGAACGAACTAATACAAAGGTCTTTTTTGTTCTTCTTCTCACATAACCAAGGGAGGCTATTTAACAGATTATGTCAGGTGTAAGCCAGCAAGCCTTGGTACACACTATGAGAGTTTGGAATTTTGAAAAGCATATTATAAATCATCATTTAGCCCATTTGACATTATATTGGCTAAGGATCAGTTCCGTAACTTTAAGCTTCCTCAGAAATAAGTTGAGGGCAGTCCCATCCAGCTGGGACCCTCTTGAAACTATCAGCTTTCAAAATCCACCAACATGTTCACAACAGTGTTCCAAAATATATAGCCTCTACAATCCAAAGAGATTCACTAAGTTTTGTGCCTTAGTGGTAGAGATATGAAGTTAAAAAGAAAAATGTCTCTTACCTTAGTAATCCTGACATGCTCCAGAAAAGAAGATTCCTAAAATCTTTACTTAGGTAATAGGTCTCTGAATCTTTATGTAATTTGTCTTCCATCTCTTGAAAAGTTATTTTTTTTAAAAAAAAAAATAGCTTTTACACTAGGACCTAGAACACTATCAGATTTTCTCATTAGTCTATTCATGAACAGAGTTTTGGTTCAAGCCTACATCCATTGGGTCCAACTTGGAGTGATATATTTAGGATCCAATGTTTGTTATCTCACCTGCAGAATGAAAGGGCATTAAGGTAGGAAAACAGTAAAACATGTACTATTTTGCTGAGCAGAACAGTAAAACAAAAGCATTATCAAATTTCAAGACAAATTCACAATTGAGTCCAGTATCAAAGTTTTGATGAATGGTGGAGTGGCTCCCATTCATCTCCATTCATTTAATCTCTCTGGTTGCTATGAAAAAAATGCATGCGATTAAAAATTATGGTAAGCTTAACTAGGAGTAGCCATACCTATACTTGCTGTACTGGATGTCATCTCCATACTGAAACAGACCCATCCAATATTTGGCTATTGAGCTGGTAAATGCTTCTGAATACGTAACATTAGGGGGAATCAAAGCCAGTTAATCTTTACAAAAAAGGGCGAGAGTACCTATACAGTGCCTCATACACTGTCTTGCTCCAGAACTGGTTAAAAACTTCTGCTTTCTGTCATAATATAGTCAATATCCTTGGTCCTGACATTTCTAATAGCTGCACGCTCTTGCATTATGTTGACTACATCGTGTTAACTGTTTCTAATAAGAAGGAGTAGTGAATACCTTAAATTTTCTTACTAAAACAAATGCATTCCACGAGATAGGAAACAAATTCACTGAATATTTAGAAGTCTATTACAGTAGTAAAGATTTTAGAAATCCATTTGTCTGGAACATGTAGGGATTACTAAGATTGGAGGCTCTTTGATTTTTTTTTAACCTCATATCTCCTACCACTGCACTTAGTGAGCCTCTTTGGATTGTAGAGATGGTATAATGTATTTTGGAATACTACTGTAAACAGTTTGATAGATTTAAAAGCTGACAGTTTCAAGAGGGGTCCAGAGCAACAGTAGGTTCTGCAGCATGGTGAGAGTATGTTACAAGCTGCATTAACACTTGGGCCATGTAACCCTGCAGATCTCGTGTCTGGTAGTATCTGTCAAAAATGTGGATGTTTTTCCCTGAACAAGCTTCAGTAATAGAGTAAAAGTACAATATTTTAAGATTCTGAAACAAGGCTGTGATTTCTGCATCAGAGAATTAATCACTGTTTTAAAAATAACTCCTCAACTTGGTACAGGCTTAATACTGAGCATTTGAACATGGAACATCAAGTTACTATGCAATTATGTCAGCCCATCAAAAAGTGGCAATATTAGAGTCAATAGTGACAAAGTTAAGCAGAAATTGAAACAATAAACTTTTCAGTTAAGGTGGTTTGTTTGAGATCAGGACAGAACAGGTCTAAAGATACGGGTAAATTATGTGATAAGAAGCGCAAACCACCCTGTTACATTTGTCTCAACTATATTCTCAAGGAGATTTCTCTAGAGGTAACTAATAGAGAAGGAATGGATGTAGGCCTGGTTCACAGATGAATTATGGATTTGAAATCCAGAAATAGAAGGAGAAAGTGCCTAAAAGTGTGGATATATATGGATCTCATTATGAATAACTGAATGTTTCAATGAGGGTTTGGAAAGAGCAAAACTTGATGCAACATGAGGGACATGATGGGCTAAGAAGAAGATGTAGAAATACGCACAACATGTACAGATATTTGAATCTCACCCAACTGCCACCAGACAGAGATGCTGATTATTTTCTTTGCTCAGCTACTTCAGCTTTGGCACAATGAGACCATTAGCATTAGAGGCATAGTGTCAAGGATGGCAAATATGAAATGGCCTGAGTGCATAGGCCTCATCCTGCCAGAGCTAATTCTAACCAATGCCACTGATCAATGTCAATGTCACCACTGCAGATATCAGCTGTAAACAACTGAATAGTGAACTATTCAGCCACTTGGTGGTATGTCACATGTTAGATTCTGCCATCCTGGAGCAGACAGCAATCAATCCTTACCATAATTGATAAATATTCTTAATATGTGTTTGTCTTCTTTATTGCTATAGACTGAATGTCTGTTTCCCCATAAAATTCATATATTGAAGCCTTAATCTCCAATATGATGATATTTGTAGGTTAAGCCCTTGCAAGATAATTAGATTTAGATGAGGCCATTGTGGTAGGGCCCCCATGTTGGGATTGGTGCCCTTATAAGGAGATGAAAGAATCAGAGCTCTCTCTCTGTGCCACCTGAGGATATAGTGAGAAGACAGCTATCTGTAAACCAAGATGAAAGCCCTCACCAAAAACCTGATCTTGGTTCCATATTGCAGAACATGAGAAATACATGTTTGTGGTTTAAGCCACCCACCCAATCCATGGTATCCTGTTATAGCAGCCCAAACTAAGACACTCATGCAATGCCTCCACATTCCCCACTATCTAAGGCTCAAGAATGATTTGTTTATGCAGTGTCTCACAAATGACACCACTTCAGAGAAGAGGATAGATTTTATGACCAAAAAGTGGTATAATAATGATGAAATAACTTCAAGGGTTTATATATATATTAATATATAATATAATATATAATAATAATTGTAATAAATAATGACATAAATTAGTGAATATGTGTGATATATATCACACTAATTTGTATATTATTATTAACTATTATTATATACAAATTAACATATCTTAATGTCTGTATACATACAAACACATATATGTATGTCTTATAATGTGTCCTAAAACGAGTCAGTCTGGTAAGAACAGTGTAAGGACAGTTAAAGTGTCTTCTATGGAGCCAGCATGAACAAAACAGCCTGCAGGGTTGAGGCATCGTCTCCAGCATGTGCTTGATGTGCTGATTCAAGAGCAGATATATAGTGCTGTGTGTGCCCCAACAGCTGTGACTCACTATATCAATAGATCTAAAAGCCATCATCATCATTTTAGTGTGTGCTTCACATCTTTTCAATTCTATACACTGCCAGGTTCAAGGTCTCGGTTCCTAAGAGAAGAACACTTCCCTCAAGAGAATCATTGTGAGTTATGCTAAAATAGGAGTAGAATTTACCTTTTCGCCATGTTGGCTTCCTCAAAGGAACCAGAAGAAAAAGAAAAGATCTACAAAATGATTGGGCAATGAACTCTGTTTACCAAAGTGTGCTATAGTTTTCTGTACACAGTGAGGAAAGGAAGAAGCATTTCTGGACCTTAGAAACCTTCCGAGGCATTTATTGATATAGTCATGCCCAGAAAGAATGGAAAATGATAAGTTGCAGCCAACATTTGTTAACAAGGCAAGGTAGCTAACAGTACAAACCTCTCAAGGATGATGTCATATCACCAGTCAAGCAGCTCAGAGCAACAGAAATTCTGGGTGAAAGTAAAGGAGGCCTTAAATAGGTTGTGGAAGAGTGTTATGACTATCAGGGTCTTGAGAAGAGCTGCAGCAAAGAAGACTGTAGTGAGTTCCACTAATCCTCTTAAAATTGTGACTGGTCACCAACTTGAAGGAACTTGCATGCTTAATTGGATTTGTATGCCTATGTCTCAGGTAAGAAGTAAAGGCATATTATTCACACAAAATTCAAAGGCTCTGTAGAGTTAGAAAGAAGCATGATCATAAGGACACAAACAGATCTGAATGGACAAACCTGGATTGTATAAGACACTTACAAGATACCACCTCAGATCTTCTTGAATCTTTTTCTTCAGCTCTTCATTATTTGTGTCCCCAGATTCCACTGGGGCAGCCAACTCTGAGTGTTGCTCATTATAAATCATTGTGTTGATTAAAAATATACATAAGAAAAAATTCATTCCATCTTTATCATTATGTTAACCATCATTCATTAATTTGACTATTCAGAATGATTTTAGATGTTTTCATCTGGTTACTATCTAGTTATTTTCATTACTGAAGTATATGTTTAATTGTTCAGTAAGAATTCAGAAAAAACTCTTTAAATATTTAATTCAATTCCTTTTATTAATTTCCTAATATTATATCTGTATTTATGGCAATAGAGAATTTTGATACTAATTATCATTTAAAGCTTGATCACCAGGTTTAAAGATAAGTAGGCCAAAATCTCAGGCAAACGTAGATTTAGTGTAGAGAATCCAAACAGGTACAAATAGTGCCCATTTTCCTGTTAATCTTTCTCAGGAATACAGCATGAAAATATGTAGGATGCTCACAGATCTAGTGAAAAACAGAAAGTGGAAAGCTAACATCTATGGTAAATAACTAATAAACAGGGCCTATACAATTATCAACTGGATCTAAGTATACAATTTTCACTCATCTTTTTTCAGCTTGATGTTTGCTCCTCTCTTCATATACCCACTATTTTAGGATGAATTGTGTAAAAATTAGAAATACAGCATTAACTGTCATTTATAATAATAACTTTCTACTTAAAATAGTCAATAATAAATATATATTATATATAGCTTATAAAAATGTGGGATTATTTAAATTATCTTTTCACTCATTCTATGTTCACATTAACTACATAAATGTAAATAAATTATATAAAAGTGCACTTACTAGCCATGCTACTTCTGTTGCCCCTGTGTACTAAACATAAATCTTTAAATTTGCACAATAAATCTCACTGAATATGAGAGAGAGAATTTTCTTCCAATTTATAATAATATAATACTACAAAGCTTAACTCTTAAAAACAAGAATTAGAGAAAGTTGGTTAGAAACACAAACACACACACATACACACTTTCTAATGTATGATTTATTTATATGAAGACTGATTTAGTCCATTTTCACACTGCTGATAAAGAAATACATGAGACTGGGTAATTGGCAAAAGAAAGAGGTTTATTGGACTTACAGTTCCACATGGCTGGGGAGGCCTCACAGTCATGGTGGAAGGCAAGGAGGAGCAAGTCACATCTTATGTGGATGGCAGCAGGCAAAGAAAGAGCTTGTGTGGGGACACTCTCATTTTTAAAACTATCAGATCTCATGAGACCCGTTCACTATCACGAGAACAGCAAGGGAAAGACCCATACCCATGACTCAATTATCTGTGATCAGGTCCCTCCCACAACATGTGAGAATTATGGGAACTACAAATTGAGATTTGGGTGGGATCACAGAACCAAACCATATCAAAGACTGAATTCTCTTATTATCAAATGTTAAGGAAAATATATTCCCCCAAAGGGATGATAGTCACAGATTTAGATATATATTAAATTGTATAGCTTCAATTTAGATATATGTGAAAACACAATATTTAATTCAGTTTCATATTTTGAAATATTAAGAATATTTTCCTCATTTTATATATAACAAGACATTTAAATACAAATAATCCTTGAAAAACTAATCATTTATACAATTGTACTCAAATCCAAATGTTCATTTTATAATTCTACTCAAACCATGCTTTAAATTGATGTCTTAAGAATATTCCTAAAGCTTTTTAATATGTAAACGAATGCCCTTGCAATAAAATCTAAAGGAATAATGTGAATGTTTATAATCTCCATGAGCAGCTCATTTCTGTTGCAGTGAATACACCCAGCAGTGATTGTGTGTAAGCTACTTTGGGAAAAGGCTTCTTGCTGTATTAATAGTCAGTTTTATATTAACAAATTACCTTTCTTGAGAAGGACTCCAAAAAGCTTTTCAAGTATTATCTCATTAATTCCTCCAACACTCATGTGGCAGTATGTGACAATAATTATTATTCCGCTTTGTTATATTAATAAGCCAAAGATGGCCTCTCTACTGGTCCCTAGGTTTTGTATGCCTTCACTTTTGGCTAAGATACATTAGTTCCAAAGTCATCCAGCACCAAATTCACAATATATTTACCTTAAAATAGTCCAGAAAAGCATATGTTTAGCCATTTAGAGACTGTCTGCTTTGCCTGACACTTCAGTCTGAATCTTCCAGCCACTAACATGATAGGGTCTTGTTGTTCTAAGGCCTTAGGTTCGTGGCCTTTTAAGACTCTCAGACCTAGAGATTTCCCATCGTGCAGCTGATTGACATCACCTAGACAGGTAAGGCCCTCTCAGAGTCCCTTTTTGTCTGGGAGTTCCCCTAACCTTCGCTCTGTCTGGAGTGATCTTCTCACTGTAACCCTCTGGACAATTTCTCATTGTAAGGGGCTTACCCCCTCTTGCAATTTTGTTCAAGCACTTCCCAGTAAAACTCATCATGTGTTACTGCCTCCTATAGTCATAGCTTTTTCCTGGATCAATCTCCAAGTCACTTCAAATCTCCTGTCCAACTTTAGGTGAAAATTTGAGCCTAAACATCAGGTAGTTGTGGAGAGCAGCTAAAATGAAGAGAGGCTTCCCCCTCTATAATATTGGTTAGTTTGGGGAAAAACAAAAACAAAAACAAAACAAAAAACAAAACTGAAGAGGATAGAGTGGTCTGGTCACTAAGAACTTTTAAAAAATGTCCCTTCAGGTCTTTCTTCTAGAACAGAGTTCCATACTAAGGAGAAATTATGAGAATTGTATCATAATTGAGCAGAATGAAGACAAGAGTTAAAAGAAAAGAAGATTTAGATTAAAGTAGAGAGTTAAACACAGCTGGAAAATCTAAGAAAACAAGTTACATAATCTTGAACACTATACAAAAACAACAGAAAAGATAAATTTGAAAAACTATAAAACTTTCCTGAAGCCCACTTTATTTTAAAACTTCAGGAAAAAATAATTTCACAGAAAAAAAAAAGTTGGAAAAATAAGTAGCAAAACCAAGTAGCTGACAGACAATGGGAATCTCAGCCTTGAAACTCCCAGCTCAGTGCTTTATCCAGGCACATTTATCCTTTTAGGTAATTGTTCTCTATAATCTGGTTTATGCAAATCTATAAGACCCCTAGAGTGTGCTGGTGTTATCATGTCTTTTCACCATTTCTACAGAGGTTTAGTGAAGAATACAGGATATAACAAAGGACAAAATACTATGTTTGAGACTGGGATTTAGTTAATGTCTGTAAGAAGGTGTTTTTTAGAAAAAGTAAAGTTAGCCTATAAACTTGAATTGTCATACCAAAATAATCAAAATGGCAATAATTACATGTGTATTTTTTTAATTTTCTCATGTCATTAACACTATGTAGATCTATGAAGAACAATTTAGTTACATGAGGAATAAGCATAGAGATTATGCATACTTTAAGTTTTTCTATTGATATTCTATTTTTATGCATAAGGACGGTTATGAAGAATAAAAATTTAATTTGAGAAAAGTGGTCCTTGATTGAGTGATAAGAGACAAGTGTGCACAGGACATGCTATAAACATTCTCCACGTTGTGGTTAATATTGTAGCAGCAAAAATAGGATAGAATCTTTATAACAGTTAGTTGCTGGGTTCAAATATATAGACTCAGCTCATAGAGTCTTCAACTTTCACACCAAAAGTGCATTAATAAGCCTTCCTTGGTTCAAGTGTTACATTTTCCCCTCACTAGTTTTTCAAATTATTTTGGCTAATTCACTTTGCCTTTCCTGAATCAAATGCCACATAATTTTATTCACAATCAAGTTATGACAGCATACATTAGGCTCCCATGAAGCACTGGAAATATATTTGCCCCTAAATAAGGACCTGTTGATAAAAATGTATCACTTTAATTAAGCATAATTTTTTAATTCAAACATAATTTTAGCAATCAAATAAATACTATATTGTCATTTACATTTTAAGTTATGTACATATGAAATATCAGTAATTATTTTCATTGGTATTTCAATCTTCATGAACTTTTCTAGACTTAATAAAGATGTCATCACAATTTATCTAGAAAATATAAATTTTGTTCATCACAAAAAAGGCAACTTCTACCAAAATGTGAGAAAATAATTGAGATTTTTCTTTTAAATCAAGTCTCCAAATATCAAGAGATAGGAATCCTATCTCTCAACAACAGACGAAATGGCAATTATGGATGGGTAAGAATTTTGAGAAATCACTGTTTATATCATAGATATAGGTATAGATCTAGATATAGACAGATAAACTCAATGGAGCTCAGGATGAAAAAAATTTCTTTTAGAAATAGATTGTGTTATCATTAGTAATATTTTTAACCACCTATGTTTTATAGGCTATCATATATCCATTGAGTCATATCTGAGAAATAAAATACAAGAGTTGATATCTGATACAATAATAATATTAATAAAAGTAGGTTCAAAAGATATCACAGGACCTTAAAATACAAGTGAGTCAGTAACAAACCAAATGACCAATAAGTCTTGCATATTACTGTTATCTGAGGAAATAAAAATGAGAGTTGCTGTCTGACAAACTTGTATAGAAAATACCAATATATCCAAAGTACTCACTGGAAAACACATGGGAGCAATTTGAGAAGAGCCAAAACTGAGGTGTTTTGTCCTCTATAATATTGATAATCTTGGAAAAGAAGGACTGAAGAGGATCTAGCTCCTAAAATTGTTTTAAAATATACCTCCAGATCTCTCTTCTATAACATAGCTCCATATTAAGCAGGAATATGAGTTGAATTATAATTAAGCATAAGAGAGACAACAGAGTTAAAGGAAAGGAGAGAGAGTTATATAATGGCTATAAGCTCAGGAAATGAAAATATAGTACAACCATAGAAATGAGAGAGAATTAAAAGAACAATGCAAAACTTTAAAAATATTTTCAGTAATTACTTAAGACAGCAACTATATATATTGCTTCTCTGAGATTGTTGTTGTGTGTGTGTAATGCCAAACAAAATAGAAAGGATAATTGAATGATGTTCAAATTCTGCCATCGCCTTTGTCCTTTAGAACAACAATTTTCAGGGGAAGAAAGAAAATAGAGAAGTAATAGAGAAGAAGTTAAGTAAATATCTGTAGTCTTTACAGAGGAACGTCAATAACAACTGCTGAGGTATTTGATCTTACATTTATTTTCTAATTCTACTGAAAAATACTACAAGATGAGCAATTCCTTGATTGTGTCTTGAATTCCTATTCAGAATTTTTTTTAAAATCAGGGATTCTGATTGAAATAGATAGTTCCAGATCTGGGGCAGAAAATATATATGGTGAGGCTAGAACATGTTGCCATTCCAAGTAGCAAGTAAATTATCAAGGCAACTGACATTTCAAAAAGAGTTAGGAACTGACTCTTCAAATTCCCAACTGGCTGAATGTGGTTCACTCTCTACTTCAATAACAATAAAAACTGCAATGAATTGGGTCCTCGAACATACATATGAATCTATTATTTCTTTAAAATACTAGAAAAAAAGATTGGCTAATTGTGGAAGATGTTAGAAAAATCATTGCTTTATTCACAAAAATGATCAATAATGCAAAAGAATCAAACATCCTGGCCTTTCTTCATAAATGGTTCCACTGGTAGAAAATAATAGGTGAGTAAAAGTGTCTTATTTTAAAAGCATTTCAAATAATAAAGGAAAAAGAAGTGATAGCAATGGAATATTATTATTTACCAATCCCTATTTGATTACCAGATATAGGTCATATATAGATAGCAATGTTAACAGTAAAAAACGAGAGACGACCAGATGGTGTGTGCCTTATTGTCTTGCTAACCACATATAGCCATACTGAAGGAATCTAATGTAAGTTTGATTCAGTCTCTGGATGGTACTGTCTACTTTTAGAAAATACAGAGGACAATGGAACATATTGAACTGTACCATTGTTATGAAATCAATAGAATTCACACTTTAGAAAACTCTACAAGTCAAATGCTTCAGGTTAATAAACAGACAAATAATGAAGAAATGGTTGGATGGGAGAGAACTACATAGCAAAAGATATATATATATATTCTTTTTAATTTTGTAAATGAAAAATAGTAAATTTTATAAGAAAACACATAAGGATCTTTAAACTATTGAATAATAAAAATAAGAGTGATTACTATTACAAATTGTATAATGTTTATAAGCTAATAGGGGTGAGAGAATTTCTGGAAGTTTGGCGGAAACTAGATTCACCTCTAGTAATTTATGAAGACATATATTTGGTTGTTATATTACAAAACATGTATACACACACACACACACACACACAAGTTTTGTACAGTTTTCTGTGTCTGCGCTTTACTTTAAAATTAAGACATTTTAAAAATTTTTGAGCAAAAGTGGACAATAACAAAGAAAGTAAAATAGAATTGTCTACAAAGTACGTTTCTATATTGATATTGATAGATACAGATAATTTAGATATATATATATACATATGATAGTAATAGTCCTTGTAGTTATTAATAGTCTAATAGTAAAAAAGGCATAAGCCAGTAATTTGTATACTTCCGTATACACAGAAAAAGAAAATAGCTAAAAACATATTTAAAACCCTTCAGCATCAAATAAATAAAAAAAAACAAAAATGATAATAGCTTCTACTTAAAAAATTTAAAAATCTAATCTTTAATGTGGGGTTAGGTTTTGGGGAAACAGGAATTCTAAAACACTACTAGAAAGGTAAACAGTTCATAGTTTTTACAGCATAACATGAATGTAACATTTGTAGCTATCTTTTAATCCTCAATTAACCAAGTCAGTTTCTGGCAATGTATCCACAGGCTAAAATAATTAATCTGTACAAATTTTTATCTAAAAAGATATCCATTAAATTAAATCATAAAAAATTAGAGACTACTCAAAATTGGAAAAGCAGTAATAATACAGAAATTGTCTATCCCATATCATGAAATAGCCAACAAAAAATAGAATTTATGTTGCCACTAAAAAATAACTGTATATATGTCATAACAAATATTCACAACATATTAACGACTAATATCCTATAAATAATGTACATAATTATACCATTAATAACAATAAAATATTTCCTCTGACATTAAGATTACCGAATCTATGTGATTCTCAACATTGTTCAAGCTTTCTAAAAAAAATTATTACATTTCTGATGAAAGTTCTAAAAATGATTTAAAAATAATTTAAAAGCAAATTAGCAACAAAAAGTTTTTAATAAATATGACCAAGTTTTAGTACGTTTGTTAAGTACATTTTTAAAAGACTATAGGTTGGGCACGGTGGCTCAGCCTGTAATCCCAGCACCCTAGGAGGCCGAGGCGGGTGGATCACGAGGTCAGGAGATCAAGACTACGGTGAAACCCTGTCTCTACTAAAAATACAAAAAAATTAGCCTGGCGTGGTGGCGGGCGCCTGTAGTCCCAGCTACTGGGGAGGCTGAGGCAGGAGAATGATGTGAATCCAGGAGGTGGAGCTTGCAGTGAGCCCAAATGGCGCCACTGCACTCCAGCCTGGGTGACAGAGCAAGACTCTTGTCTCAAAACACAAAAAAAGACTATAAAAACACCAAAATCTCCTTATAAAGAATATAATTGAGTAATTTTCTATTAAAATCTAACTAAACACATTAAAAGAATATAGGCAACTCCTAACAATAAAAATAAAGACGACTAGTTTAAAAATTATCACTTAATTTAATTTTACAATAATGGAAATACAGATTCAGTCATATGTTATTGTTTTTTATTTTGTTTTTTAAATGTTTATTTTCTAGTTGGATAATCTATTTCTATTTCTCAAGGCAGTAATATTCAGTGATAGCAATGATGCACCAAGATGAGCCATTTTATTTGTCAATGATGATATTGATATTGACAGAAATATTTCAAAAAGTCATTTGCCCATAGAGATCTAGAATGTTAAACCACTATTACACATTCTGTGCAATAATTCAGTTTTCTATTCTAGACAAGATGTAAAACATAAACTATAAGAAGGCCCAAAGTTATTTATAATAGCAAGAAATAGGAACAAACTTAACTGTCCTATACTGTTAAAATGACCATTGTAGGTACATAAATTATGGCAAACCCAAAGAGAGAAATATTAAACAGATTTCCAAGTGACATAAATGACTGTTTTGAAATCACATTGAAAAATGCTTAAAATAAAATATTCAATAAAAAGTAATGAAGTATCAAATGCCATTTTCAGATTAAGGAAAATGGTCTTAAAGTATAGATGTGTTTTAAATTTGGTTGCTATATTTTCATATAGTTTTTTTATTCTTTTAATTATTCTTCTGAATATTTTAGGCTTTCTAAGAAAGCAGGTATATTCTTGTATCAGGAAAATGTTTCCACAATTCATTATACTCTACATTCTTTTTCAGGACATAGACTTTATGTCAGAAAAATATGTTTCGTGTTAGTAAAAGAAAATCCAACACTGGGTTTGAAAACATGTATTTGCTAAGACACTGAGAATTTCAGAAGTGGTATGGGCAATTATAATTTTATAATTTCTTGGCCTTTTTTTCATCTCTTACATTCACTACTTTTAAATTTTGTCCTGCAACAGGCTTACTCCAGGAAAAATATAGTTACATACTTTTTTTTTCATAGCCAGAAAAGAAAGCATCTTTTGATTTGTCTGATTGAATTATCTAAACTAATCCAACTGGAATAGACTTAACTATTATAGACAAATCAGAATCATTTCTAGAGATGATGCTAGACTGCTACATACTCAGTTTGCAGGTTAAATGGATAGTATAGAGGCAGCCATCAAGTCCACACTAGAGGTAGCATAACACACAAGAAGTAAAATCTACTCAGAAAGCTTCAAGCATTATTAAATAACTTTCTGTGAAAAGGGAAATAATTCATTTGATTATACAGAAAAAACTTATTAAGATAACAATTCTAAACTTTGATAATAACCAGTAGCATGCCATATTCTGAGAAAGCACTTATTTTAGAGGGGAAAAAGAGCGTGCATATTTTCTGGTTTCTGTATTTAAAAATAATGGAGAAAGTACTTTTAGCTCTGGTAAAAAGCTTAGAAATCATCACTTTCAGCTGTACGTAAGAAAAAGAAAACTGAAAATCAATGACTGTTCTTAAACTTAATTAATGCCACAAGGCAAAAACAGCATTTCAAGGTCTGAAGAGATAGGTAAATACAGAGAACCACAGCAGAAATTAACTTACTTGGAGCAGGAGTTGCAGAAGCCATAAACTGTTACACATATTTACATGGTAATTTTGATTGATTGTTGGAGATAAAATGTGGACTAGCTTTAGAAGGAGAAACTCTTGGGGGACCCTGTCTTAAGAGGGTCTCCACACTTATATGGGTTTTACTCTCAGGAACTCTAACAGTTCTCAGAGCAAAGATCCCTTTGTGTTCCTAGCAGGGAAAGGAAAAGTTATGATTTGGAAACATGGCCAGAGTGCTCTACATAACAAAGGTCTACTCTCCAAAGGAAACTTTGGAGAAGAAACTTTGCTGGAACCTTAGCAGAACTAGGGGAAGGGAAATCCCCTAATTCTAGCCAATTCTAGCCCCATCTGCCTTTCTGTCTCACCCAAGAGAACAGAAGAGGTAGTAAACATTTGTGAAGGTCACAAAGTGCAGGGACATAGGCCCTTTAAAAGACTAAGATATAATCATAAGATTGTGGAATACTCCTTTGTACTTCCATCAGCAGGGCTCCAATATAATAATGGAAACTCTAAGAAGCAATCAAAATGATATGCTAGAAATGAAAAAAGCACTGAGCCAGGCACTTGTAGTCTCAGCTACTAGGGAGGCTGAAGTGGAAGAATCTCTTTGAGCCCAAGAGATCAGTAGTTCAAGGACAACACAGCAATAACTTGTCTCTTAAAAAAAATTACTGTAGTAGAAATGAAGAATATTCTTGATGGGCTCCTAGAACATCCAAGAATTGTTACATTTTTTTAAAGTGTAACATTAACATAGACATATTTGAAAAACCAGAAAGAGAATCAAGAAGGAACAGAGCAGAAAAAAAAATTTGAATGTAAAATGGTTGATGATTTTCAAAATTAATAATAGGCACTCAATCCCAGATCAAAAAATCTCTGAGTAGAAAAAATGCTAAAACAAACAAAAACAAACAAACAAAACACACGCACACACACAACAAACAAACAAGCAAAACTCAACTACACCTAGGTTATCATTAAAATTGTGGGAAGCCAAAAACGAGGAGAAAATCTTGAAAGAAGCCAAAGGAAAAATAATACCTTACCTATAGAAGAACAAGGATAATATTACAGGAGACTTCTTGTCAGAAACCATGTAAAAAAAGAGGCAGGTGGATTAAAACATTTAAAGTGTGGAAGGACAAGGAGGAGGAGGAGGCAGGGGAGGAGAAAAATACACCAACCCAAGAATTCTTTATCTAGAAAATTATCCTTCAAATGTGAAGCAAAAATAGTTTCTTAGACAAAAACTGAAGAAATTTGTCACAAGTAGGCCTGCCATGTAAGAAACATTAAAAGAAATTTTTCTAGATATAAAGGAAAAGTATATATATCAAAAACACAGACCTAGCTAAACAAAGAATGAAACAGAAGAAATAATGAAAGTTAAGATTGGAGGGTCTGGGCCAAGACAGCCAACTAGAAGCAGTGGAAATCAAAGGCTTCCATCAGAAAGAACCAAAACAGCATGTGAATCCCACAGCAGCAACCAAGGCATCCAGGTTCTGTCATCAAGACTGGCTTGGCAGCTGGTGTGACACACAGAGAGAAAGGAAGAGCAGGGTGGTGCCTCAGCCCATCTGATAGCCACATGGGGCAGGGGAGCCCCTCCCCTGATCCAAGGGAAGCAGTGAGTGACCGTGCTACCCAGCCTGGGAAATGTGCTTTATCTACAGAACTGTGCAACCCAGAGTTCAGAAAATCCCACTTGTGAGCCCATGCCCTGGGGGCCTTGGCTCCCAACCACAGAGTAATGCAGATTCTCAATAGCCACTCAACTGGAATCTGCCTAAGCCTGCTGATTTCCCAGGCGGAGGGGCGGCCATCACCACTGCTGCTGCTGTTTGTTGTCTAAGCTGTCTGAGCTCCTTGAGGGAGGAATGGCAGCCACTGCTGCGGTGCCCTAAGACAAGAACTCCCCAAGGGAGGGGCAGCTGCCATCATTGCTGCAGCCTGCTTTCTCAGCCATCTGAGTTTCCTCGGGTAGGGGTAGCAGTCATTACTATAGCTCCAGGCTGTGCTTTTACCCTGCTGGAGCCAGGGAAGCTGGATGGCTTGGTCCCAAGAGGTATTCCCCAAAGTGCATCACACCAGCTGTGGCAGATGGTTGCCAGAATACCTGTTCAGGTCAGACCCTTGCACAACCCTCCTTACTGGGTGGGACCCTCCTGAAGGAACTCCAAGAACTTCATCCAGGGGCTCAGGGATAGAATTCTGATCTCCGTGGGCCTGAGCCCCTAGGAGGAGAGATGACTGTAGTCTCTGTGGACTGGCAGACTTAGTCTTTCTTCCTGCTCGCTCTGAGGAATCTGGGCAGCCCAGATGAGTGGATTTCCCCCCAGCACAGCACAGCCCCGCCACCAAAGGACAGCCAAAGTGCTTCGTTAAATGGGTCCTGGTTCCTGTGTGCCCCAACTGGGTGAGACACCCCAACAGAGGTCGCCAGACACCATATACAGAAGTGTTCCTACTGGCATCAGCTTGTTGCCCCTCAAGGTCAGAGATCCCAAAGGAAGGAGGAGGCACCCATCTTTGATGCTCTCCAGCCTCCTCAGGTGACAACTCCAGGTGCAGAAGTGAACCAGATGAATAGGGCTTGAAGTGATCCCCCAGCAAACCACAGCAGCCCTACAAAAGAGGAACCTGACTATTGAAAGAAAAACAAACAAAAAGCAACAACAGCATCAATGAAAAAAGTCCCAATCAAAACCACACCCAAGTGTCAGCAGCCTCAGCGATCAAAACCAGCAAACTCATGAAGATGAGAAAGAACCAATGAAAAAATGCTGAAAACCCAAAGGCCAGAATGCCTCTTCTTCTCCTAATGATTGAAACACCTCTTTAGCAAGGGCACCAAACTGGACAGAGGATGAGATGGACAAATTGACAGAAGTAGGCTTCAGAAGGTGGGTAATAAACTTTGCTGAGGCTAAAGGAGCATGTTTTAACCCAATGCAAATAACTTAAGACCCATGACAATGATACAGCTCTGATGAGTGGAGGACCACCAGGGTTCTTGTCTCATGTCAAATTAGATAAAATGACATGGACACCTGTGGAGTGGTTCTAAGAAGCCGAGAGTTTAACAGGCAGCAAAGAAGGGAGAAGAAAGCAGGAAAAGCTCCCCCTACAGAGACCGAAGGAGGAGGGGCTCCAAAGCCAAGAGAGGGGACCTCATGTGCGGTGCATATCAGCCAGTTATATGAGGAGGCTGGAAGAGGTTGTGTCTGATTTGTATAGGGTTCAGGGTATTGGTTTGACCAGGCATGTCATTCACTTCACCCACGAAAAAACTGGCCCTCCCACCCTAACCTTTTAATATGCCAGTGTAGGGGGCCATGATGTTCTACAAAAGTGGGGATATGTCGGCGGGCAGCCATGTTGCCAGGCACATGTGGAGGCAAGGGCAAGAGGACAACGGTGGGAATCACCATGTTGGGTGGACCCAGTTTCTAATGGTCAGCATTTGGATATCAAAGGTTGCCGGCCGGCTCTTAAGAGCCGGGGCTTTTCTGCTAGACAAGAAACGTTTCTGGAGCTGCTTTAAAAGAGACAAAAAATTTCTAAGGACCCCTTTTCCTCTCTATCTGCCTAAAGTAATCTCTTAATAATTCCTAAAACTTTGCCCCCTATGGAGAAGTCACCCTAACTGCTACTGGGGGGTTTTGGGCGACGACTCTTTCTGGCTACCTGCTGCTGAAAAGGGCGTTGAATGGGGAACAGCAGCTGGGACTCCTCCTGGGGTCGATCTAAGGGTCCTCGGAAGAATGGCGTGTCCATGCGTAGTTCAGTTTGCAGCACCATTTGGAGTTTGATTACTTCTAGGTGAGAAAAAGCAATTCAAATTATAGTATTGAGTATACAGGGTCCAAATATTAATAAAAGATATATAAGCAAGAGAGGGCTTAATAAAGGGATTAACCAATTTAACTGAGAAGAAAAGAGCCTTTTTCCAGAAAAACAAGATCCAAGAAGAGAAAAACATAAAAGCCTTTCAAATATACCTACAACTTGAATACCCATGTTTAATTAAGCCTAGCACTCTTTAAGAAGGCTCACGCCTATAATCCCAGCACTTTGGGAGGCCGAGGCGGGCGGATCACGAGGTCAGGAGATCAAGACCATCCTGGCCAACATGGTGAAACCCCGTCTCTACTAAAAATACAAAAAAATTAGCCGGGCGTGGCGGCGGGTGCCTGTAGTCCCAGCTACTCGGGAGGCTGAGGCAGGAGAATGGCGTGAACCCTGGGGGCGGAGCTTGCAGTGAGTCGAGATCGCGCCACTGCACTCCAGCCTGGGCAACAGAGCAAGACTCCGTCTCAAAAAAAAAAAAAAGAAAAGAAAATCATTTCAAATCCCTTGTTATTTGACTTTAGCCACGTCAAACAGTTAAGATTTTCTGCTTTTGAACTTTACAAAAAGTAAGTCACAGGTGAAACTGACAAGCTTTAATTAGATTGTGACTTAACCACAGGCATACAAGGTATTTTTAAAGGAGTGATAGGAAGCTTTCAAAACAGTAATTGCAAAATTGTGACTGAGACAGTGAAAGAGATCTGACCCAAACAACTCCATTTTGTTTCTAGCTCCCAAGCTTTCCTTGTCCATCCCTGGGCATAGGTGGAACCAACTTTGGGAGGAACCGGTTTTACAGTTTATAGTCTAAAACAAAGATGTTAACAACCTCTTCTTAAGATACACTTCCCTCTTGTCTGGGGACCAGCCCAAGAAACTAGCCATAAAATTAGAAACTATGGCCCAGGAGCTATGCAGCTGAAGGCTGCAAGATTTTTGACCTTCCCTAAATTGCTTTTAAAATCAGTGCATAAGATATTTTGTAAACCCTGCTCTTGATGGATTACCTGGCACCACCCAGACTGATAAACTGGCTTATCTGATTTTGTGGCCCTCACCCAGGAACTGACTTAGCAGAAAAAGACAGCCACCATTGTAAAATGGTGGAGGCTAAAACAAAGTATTGCCACACGGTTACAGGTCATGTTCCCAAGGACATGAAACAAGATGGAGGCCTGTAGCCAAGTTTGTTACTATTTTGTTGGGCTGGCTTGAACAGCAGACTTATGGGGTCCTGGGCCTCCATCCTAACCTAAGATACCCTTTATTTGACAGAACCATACAGAAAGACATGCAAGGCACACCAGACTGTCTACAGCTTAAGACCAACTTCACAAATCCTTTTTCATTAATTATACATTTACAGAGAATATAAATGATTATCCTTATTATCCCTTGTACTGGTTTGCACAGGGGGAGAGAAGCCAAAAGCCCCATTTGTAAGAAATTTTTACCACTTTGCTGGCATATCAGGCTTCTGGGTTCCCTTCCCCCTAGCTTAAATCTAAATCAAGCATTTTAAGGTTGGGAACTTTTTCCAGATTGGAAGAACATTATAAAAGAGATATAAGTCATTTTAAACCACCAAAAAAGGTAAAACACCATAGAAAGGGGTTCCAATTAGGGTTGTCAAAAGATATTGCCTTTTTTTCCTATTGGGAATGGTGTTTTTCCTATTTCTTTGCCTTTCCCATTTTCTCTTTTCCCTTTTGGCCTACTATAGGAGACATATTGCTCATCTCCAAAATTTTCTTCTGCTTGCACTGCTGCCTGTTTTAGCTGCAGTTAGGGTTTGGCTGAGGAACACCGTAACATTCCTCCATGAGAGGTCAAATACCTGAGTTAAATTTTGAAAAGCTTCTATATACCTATCAGGGTCGTCAGAAAATTGGCCCAAGTCTCCCTTTACTTGCCTAAGACCCTGCAATGAGAAGGGGACTTGAAGGGGCCCCAAATAAGGGAATCCTCAGATGATTTCCCTGAAAGTTACTTTTTTCATTTGGGGAAACTATTTTCCCTGGGCCTGCCCCATATGGCTGCTGAAAGGGCTGGGTTGATTTTGCAACACTTGCAAAGATCTAGTAAAAAGGCCATACCCTTGTGCAAAAGAAAATAAGCTATTTTTTTTTTCAAAGTTTCAAGGTCGAAGAAGTCCCAGAACTTCAAAATACACTCCAGGGGAGTTCATGTTGAAGATGATCTGTTACCCATCTAGAAAAAGAAGTGAGAATAAAAGAGGTATTTTAGTCTCTTTGCTTTTGGTATGTGATCTAGGATGGAGACGAAAACAGTAGAGGGTGTCCCCTCCACTATTTTTTCTCCTTTGCTCCTGAATCCTGGCACCCATTTAAATGTGCTGCCCATTACAGCAGGCGTGACCCTCCAATCCATGGCACCAGAGGAACTAAACTTTTGTTCCTTAGTCATGCTGCCCCCAAGCAGTCTTAGTCCTCTGCCTTTTGTTTCCCTTTGACCTCCTAGACTTGTGTGGCCTGTATGCCTCCCCCTCCCCCCACCCCCCGAAAAAAAGAATTTCAATAAAAATCACGTAATTGTGCAAGGCCCCTTTAAGGAGGAAGGGTGCTACATTGAACTCTATATCGTACTATTATAGCCCATGCTAAACTATTTACTCATAGAAGAATGGTTCTGGTTAACTTCTGGATTTAAAATCCCCTTACTAATTAAGTAGTGTCTTAATAGGAGACAAAATAGGTGCCTTAAAGAAATGTAGGAACCGAATGGCCTACATATTGTTCCAGTCGGACAATATCGACACTAAAATCTGGCTATGGGAGACATCTTACCCCTAACTGCTAAAGGCAGAAATTTCCTCTTCCCAGAAGAGGCCTAAAGCCTGATTTACTTCCACGAGTTGACACTGTTGGCTTAGAAATGCTATGTGTGCTCCAGAGGAGTGGTAGCAAGTAACCTCACCACAGGGGAAAATGGGAAAACTCTTTCTAGGGTGTAAAAATCCTTGCACATTTCACACAAAGAAAGAGCAAGAGGCTGCAGATAGAGAAGGAAGAAGAGTTTTGCCACAGGACAGTTGAGGATGCTCTAATAACACCCAACTGGGCTGTCGGAGTCTGTGTCCGGTACAGAGGCCTATGAATCACACCAGGGTGTGCCCTGGTAAGAGATTCTCAGTTGCCTCAGAAATTTTCCCAGCCTCACATGATGCTGAGGTTTCCCATGAAAAGAAGCCAGTTCAAACATTGCCAACATTCCCAATACCTGTGGGTAAAGGGGGTTCTCCATGTTCTCCCCAGCAAGCCTCAAATCCATGTCTTTAGTACAGCAGCCAAAACTAAGAAACATTTCTGGAACGGCTTTAAAAGAGATGAAAACTTTCTCAGGACCCCTTTTTCTCTCTATCTGCCTAAAATAATTTCTTAATAACTCCTATAACAATAACAGGTTACAGGAGTTGCTAACTAGAATAACCAGTTTAGAGAAGAACATAAATGACCTGATGGAGGTGAAAAACACAGCATGAGAACTTCATGAAGCCTACACAAGTATCAATAGCCAAACTGACCAAGCAGAAGAAAGAATATCAGAGTTTGAAGACTACCTTGCTGAAATAAAGCAGACAAGATTAGAGAAAGAATAAACAATAATGAACAAAACCTCCAAGAATTATGGGACTATGTAAAAAGAATGAACATACAATAATTGGAGTATGGAGAGAATGGAACCAAGTTGGAAAACAACCTTCAGGATATCATCCAGGAGAACTTCCTCAACCTAGATTGATAGACCAACATTTAAATTCAGGAAATACAGAGAACTCCACCAAGGTAATCCTCAAGAAGATCAACCCCAGCACACATAATCATCAGGTTCTCCAAGGTCCAAATGAAGGAAAAAATATTAAGGGCAGCCAGAGGGAAAGTCCAGGTTACCTCCAAAGGGATGCCCATCAGATTAAGAGCGGATCTCTCAGCAGGAATGCTACAAGCCAGAAGACAGTAGGGGCCAATTTTCAACCGAGAATATCATATCTGGCCAAACAAAGCTTCATAAGTGAAGGGGAAATAAAATCCTTTTCAGCCAAGCAAATGCTGAGGGAATTCGTCACCACCAGGTCTGCCTTGCAAGAGCTCCTGAAAGAAGCACTAAATATGGGAAGGAAAAACTGGTACCAGCCACTGCAAAAACATACCAAAATACAAAGACCAGTGACATTATGAAGAATCTGCATTAACTAGTGTGCAAAATAACCATTTAGTATCATAATGACAGGATCAAATTCACACATAACAATATTAACCTTAGATGTAAATGAGCTACATGCTGCAGTTAAAAAACACACAATGGAGAATTGGATAAAGAGTCAAGACTTACTGATGTACTGTATTCAAGACGCATCTCATGTGTAAAGACACATATAGGCTCAAGATAAAGGGATGGAGGAAAATTTATCAAGCAAATAGAAAGCAGGAAAAAGCAGGGGTTGCGATCCTAGTTTCTGACAAAACAGAATTTAAACCAACAAAGGTCAAAAAAAGACAAAGAAGGACATTATATAAAGGTAAGGGGATTAATTCAACAAAAAGAACTATCTATCCTAAAAATATATGCACCCAATATATCAGCACCCGGATTCATGAAACAAATTATTAGAGACCTCCAAAGAGACTTAGACTCCAACACAAGAATAATGTGATGAAAAATTAACAAGGATATTCAGACTTTAATTGAGCTCTGGACCTAATAGATATCTACAGAACTTTCTACCCCAAAACAACAGAATATACATTATTCTCAGTGCCACATAGCACATACTCTAAAATTGGAAGTAAAACACTCCTTAGGAAATGCAAAACAAAGAAACAATCAAAAAACAGAAATAATAACAAACAGTCCCTCAGGCCACAGTGCAATCAAATTAGAACTCAAGATGAAGAAACTCACTCAAAACCACACAACTACATGGAAATTGAACCAGCGAGGAACCCATTGCCGCTCCTGATCAGGCTAAAGGCTTGCCATTGTTCCTGCACGGCTAAGTGCCCCGGTTCGTCCTAATCGAGCTGAACACTAGGCACTGGGTTCCATGACTCTCTTCCGTGACCCACGGTTTCTAATAGAGCCGTGACACTCACCGCATGGCCCAAGATTCTATTCCTTGGAATCCGTGAGGCCAAGAACCCCAGGTCAGAGAACACGAGGCTTGCCACCATCTTGGAAGCAGCCCACCACCATCTTGGGAGCTCTGGGAGCAAGGACCCCCCTGGTAGCATTTGGAATAGTTGAATTCATTTTTAGCTTAATACAGATATGATGGTTAAATAAATGAGTTGGTAGATATATGTGCATGTCTACAGGTTAGCATACATACATATGTTTTTTCTTTCCTGTCAACTGAGAGGGCCTAAAAGAACTGACATTGCAGTAGCAAAGAGCACTAGATCTTGGTTTCTAGTATCATTAACCATTAAAGAAACTAACACTCCTTAGAGAAAAGGCTGATTCTAAGGCTGAGGCAGAAAATTTCAAACTTGAGTCTGGAGCGTTACGTGGCATTAGAAAGGAAGAAAGTGATCAAAAACAACAAACAAACAAAGAAACCCTTTCACACTGATAAACGTACTTCAAAGGAACATAATAGCCAACTGAAAGAGCTCCCAATGCCCAAAGCTGTAATAATTTGAGAAACAAAGTAAATAAAGTAGCATTGGATTATAACATAAAGTACACAATAAATACACGTGACTCCATACTGTTACACAAAAATGATTATGTAGTTTACCACACAGGAAAGAAGTGCATAACAACTGCCTTCCAAAGTATATAGCATGGGAATGGAGACAAAAACAGCAACTTTAGAGTAAAGAAACTTGACACTTGACAAGCACTGCTTCAGCCAGATGACCAAGATCTACATCAATAGTGATACAACTTGTTGATAGTATGTACTCTTCATATGATGTGATGATAACAGGACTTTATATCAGTGCCCTTCCTCCCCAAATCTCAGTATAGTTATGACAATAAACCAGGATTTTTCAAAAGCTTACCTCCCAAAGCTGTCACATCCAAGAGGAGCTTACGGTGATGCAACGAGAACCATGTAATGTGATATCCCAGATGAAATTCTGGAACAGAGAATTAGGGGAAAAAATAGGACATGTGATTAATCAAGGACTTTAGTTAAAAAAATGTGCAATATTTCTTAATTGTGACAAATATACTATTCTAAAGTAAGATGTTAATAACAGAGAAAACTGTATGTGTGAAAGGGAAATCTCTTTGCTATATTCTTATTTGTTTTTATAACTCTAAAACTTTAAAAAAATAACATGCATTAAAAATAAAGTGGAAAATAGATACATGCACTAGATTTGTAGTTAGTAAATCTATGCATACTTCTGGACAAGAAAGTCATGGTGGAATAAACAGAATAGAAGTTTGATAGAATGTTAAATAAGTATTGAAAGTAGAAAAATTGTGGATAATTTTTAATTTTTAGATTTTTATACTACTCTTGTCACCTTCAATTTTTAATTAAAAGTATGTATGAAAATAATAAAAATTGTTCACAAAAAGTAATGGTGTTATCTAATGGGAGAATATATTCTTAAGTAAGAGACTCATATAGACAGTTTTTCAGAGCCATGTTTATATAAAATATTGAAATCAATAGGACTAAAACTCTCATATTTTATACAAAATCACACATTTGGGCAGAAATCTGTGACACCCAGGACATGAATCACACATCACTGTGTTAACTAGAGTTAGGTGGTCTGAATATGTGATGTACTTAACCGTGGTTGTGGATGCTGAGTGATCTACATTTTGAAACTTAGAAATTAAAATAGAAACATTGAATTAGAGAGATGCATAATTCCATTTTAAATACCATTTCCCTCTTTATTCATTATGTTTCAGAAAGTAGTATTTTAAAAAAAAAACCATGTTTCTCCAATTCGCTGTGCACATGTAGATGCATTCAAATATATTGAAAAGAGGAGAATTCCAATTTCATCCCACCGTTTTGAGGAATGCAGATAATTCTCATATGCAAATATTTCATGAACAATTATGAGTTCATTTCAGCACAATGAGCTTGCCTCTGTAAAGAAAAACTATTGCAAATTGGTCCTTTAGATCTCCATTTAATTATTAGCAGCCTTTTAAAATGTTCTCTTTGTGTTTAAAAGGGATTGAAAATGCCTGGCTTTTTCTCAAATGCCTACAGGTATTTCTTTAGAGGAAAATAGACTTTCCTAGAGACCATGACCCTGTTGTGAGGCTGTTCAAAGATATTTAAAATAGATAAAATTGTGACCGTGTGCAATAGGTCTGGCTTTAGTTATTTCAAAACAGCTATTTCTGTGACATGAAACAGTAGGAAAAAACTCACAAAAGTGGTAGGTTATGAACTTGATTTGCATTGCTGTTTCTATTGTTACTATTTTTTGTAAAAGAAAATAAATTAATGGACTCACAATTAAAGAGAGTCCATTTTTTTAAAATAATTTTTTAAAAATTATTTTCTAATACACTTTACATAGATAAATAAAATTTACATATTAATTATTAAAGAGAATAATTTTTTTTTTTTACTTCTTTCGAGATATGAGGTCACACTGCTCTGTAAAGAGCCAAAGATGTTTCAAATACTTTCATTTTGTGGGATGGGAAACTTTAGTTTAGCATAAGTTTGAGATGGGAATGATTGACTGGACTTGGGGTTGAGAATAATTTTTAAATAGGACAGTCAGACCTATCTGAATTGCAATTTTGAAATAGCTCTATATGAGTGCAGGTTAACATAATAGAAAGTATATATACTAGACCTGATTAATAAGGTTCCTATGGTAAGGTATTAGACTGAGTCAGACGTTTCTTTTAACAACAGAAAGTTCAAGCTTCTCTATTTTATAAAGGGCAAGGTATATCACAACCTTGATTGAAAGACAACTCTTAAAGGCTCATAAATGATCAGGACAGAACCCGTGGAAACATAGCTGTTGTCCTGCTAATCTAATGTGTCTTGTTTGCTACCTGGAGTCTTTAGAAAATTGGAAAAATTGATAAATTCTACCCTTAGGCTTGGAATCATTAAAATTGGAATGTGATGTTTTGATACGGTTAAGACCAGCCACAAGGCAGCCTCTGAAGAAATATTTCTTTCTCTGTACATTTTTGGGCATTTTTCTGTAGGAACAAGAAATTGACAGTATAATGAAAGGGTTATTATTAAATATTTAAAACAGCAAAGATTTTTTTTAATTACACTTTAAGTTCTAGGGTACACGTGCACAATGTGCAGGTTTGCTACATATGTATACATGTGCCATGTTGGTGTGCTGCACCCATTAACTCATAATTTACATTAGGTATTTCTCCTAATGCTATCCCTCCCCCCTCCCCCCACCCCACAACAGACCCCGGTGTGTCATGTTCCCCTTCCTGTGTCCATGTGTTCTCATTGTTCAATTCCCACCTATGAGTGAGAACATGCGGTGTTTGGTTTTTTGGCCTTGTGATAGTTTGCTGAGAATGATGGTTTCCAGCTTCATCCACGTCCCTACAAAGGACATGAACTCATCCTTTTTTATGGCTGCATAGTATTCCATGGTGTATATGTGCCACATTTTCTTAATCCAGTCTCTCATTGATGGACATTTGGGTTGGTTCCAAGTCTTTGCTATTGTGAATAGTGCCGCAATAAACATATGTGTGCATGTGTCTTTATAGCAGCATGATTTATAATCCTTTGGGTATATACCCAGTAATGGGATGGCTGGGTCAAATGGTATTTCTAGTTCTAGATCCTTGGGGAATCGCCACACTGTCTTCCACAATGGTTGAACTAGTTTACAGTCCCACCAACAATGTAAAAGTGTTCCTATTTCTCCACATCCTCTCCAGCACCTTAAAACAGCAAAAATATTTAGGGTTGACTTTTTTTGGCTTAAATTATGTTTTCATGTGCTGCTCCTATTAGAGCATAGCGCTATAATTTATTTGACCAAAAAAACTGACAATAATTCTAGTTAGTAAAAGAAATAAGGACTATGTTAATTTGAGTTTTTCAATGTTATGTCCTGTACAGTCCACTGCAGAGGTTTCTGAGGGCCCGCATTTAAAAAGTATTTCCTGGGAGTGGTGAAATTTTCTGGGCTCACTCCTGTGAATCCCAGCACTTTGGGAGGTCAAGGTAGGTGGATCACGAGGTCAGGAGTTCGAGACCACCCTGACCAATATGGTGAAACCACATCTCTACTAAAAATACAAAAATTAGTCAGACGTGGTTGCCTGCACCTGCAATCCCAGCTACTCGGGAGGGCTTAGGCAGGAGAATCGCTTGAACCCGGGAGGCGGAGGTTGCAGTGAGCAGAGATCGCACCACTGTACTCCAGCCTGGGCGACACAGCAACACTCCATCTCAAAAAAATAATAATAATAATAATAATAATAAGTATTTCTATAAGCTTAGAAAATACAACATTATAGGTATCATGTTGTTGCATTAGGAGCAGGGACAAAAATTAAGGAAAAGACACTGACTAAACTCTTGACTTGGATTTTTTATTATCTTGACTATTTTCTCAAGAAAGAATTGACTCCTATAGTGCTATATCTATGAACACTTAGGTTATCTTTCTTTTTTTTTTTTTCTGTTTCTTTCTACTACTTCAATACATAAACAACTTTTTAGGGTATAGAGTTTTTTGTTTTTTTTTTTTCATATAACTCTCCCAACCCTACCAGGTAGAACCCATTATACAAAGTATAAAATTCTTTTTTATTGCTGGGGAGGTTAAATATTGAGATTTTATTTTAATTGACTATTTATAGTTCTTTTTTTGTGAGTTTTTTCTACTCATATTTGTATTCAGGTCAGCCACATGTATTTCCTGGCCTTAATGGTATGCTTCTGGTTCTCTGGGAGGAATGGTAGTCGTTTCACCAAAAATACAAAATCTGAAGTATTTTTGTGAAGTAGACAAAGGTTGTGGCTTTATATAGACAGATAGGGAAATCATTTGCTAAAATATTTGCCAAATTGTGTGGTTTATGAAATACAAATATAATTTGATAAATATGGATATTTACTATATCCAGCCTTTGTCGTATAAAAGCCTAGACATAGAGTCTACACATAGAGACATTTTTGTGGGTAGTGGTAGATGTGGTTGCCCTACCTAGATTTCCTTTGTATCTCTTTTGACTGGTAATGGCTAGGAGCTGTCACCTATCTACATAGAAATGCACTTGACTGATAGGAGTCACTGCCCTAAAAAACATACACCACTGCTCCTTCCCCAGGGAGTGACCTTTAGCCCTGATTAACAGTATATGGTTTCCAACATCTCACCCTCTGGCCTAAAAAAGGAACCATCTTCTGGGAGTAATGCATTCTCCAGGGTCTTTTCCCTGTGGATCAAAATATCTTTGTTCTTATTTTTCTCTTCTCTATCCCGCTTCAGTTTTTTCCTGAAAAACATTTCCACCAAAATTCAGGTATATCTTTATTCCTGTCTCTGGTTCTGCTTCCAGTATATTTGTGAGATACGTAGATACAGGTATGCAACTTTACTGAATTTGTTTATCAGTTCTAATAGTTTTTCAGTGGAATTGGTTTTTCCAAATGTAAGATCCTATTATCTACAAACAAGGATAATTTGACTTCTTTCTTTCCAATTCGGATGGCCTTTATTTATTTCTCTTGTCTAATTTCTCTAGCTAGGACTTCCAGAACTATGTTGAATAATGGTGGTTGGTGAAAGTGGGTATTCTTGTCATGTTCCAGATCTTAGAGGAAAGGCTTGCAGTTTTTCCCTATTCAGTATGATACTAGCTATATGTCTGTCATATATGGCTTTTATTATGTTGAGGTATGTTCCTTCTATACCCAGCATTTTGAGGGTTTTTAACATGAAGGGATGTTAAATTTTATCCAATACTTTTTCGGTATCAATTGAAATGATCATATAGTTTTTGTCCTTCATTCTGTTGATATGATGTATCACGTTGATTGATTCATGTACATTGACTACTATTGCTGATTGATTTTTCTTTCACTATTATGAAGAGTAATCATGAAATTCAATATGTTGAATTTAATATTAATGTTATTTAAAGTGGAAGTAATCATCAACGTAATACAGTTTTTAACATAGAAGTTTAATCTTTACCTGAAATTTATAAATACATGTTGTCTGAAAAGTAAAATAAAAGAAAGGTAAGGCTATATAAAGGTAGGTGTGGTTGAGGCAGTAAAAGACAGAAGTGAGGAGTTTAAAACGCCTTCTTGTTTCTCTTAATATTGATAGGATTGTCCATTAAACCAATCTTCAAATGTTTCTCACTTCTGTTTGCCTCTTGGTGACTGTTTTGGCTTGTTTGCATAATCAAATTTGAAATAAGCATGACAGACATTCAGCTTTATTTTAACTTTTACCATGTGTTTGCATTGCTTTTAGTTTAAAACTTTTATTTATGAAATGAAGACACAAAAAATTAAGACAAATTATATGTATGATCAAAATCTATATGTCAAATATAAATCTATATTTCAAATAATATTTCACTATTATTAGTCTTAGGATGCTTTCTAAACAACTAAAATCAATTATTTAGTATTTAAAATGATTTAAATAATTTAAATTTAAAATTAAATTTAAAATAATAATTTTTTTTCAAATTTGCAACTTTTGTCAAGGGTTGTAAAATAATCAAACATTAAAACCCAATTCATAATTACTGTGATGTACCAGTCACAACTAAATGTGATGTCTTTTAATGAAATAACTTGTGATAAATATTATAACTACATTGCATTGTAATCTGCTTTCTAGCTTCTATATTTTTCCTGTTGCCCACTCACTATTATTACAATTGTCAAAGCAGTTAATTTCATTGCTTTTATCTTTAGAATAAAAATAGAGAGGATCAAGTACATCTATGTGGTAGACAAGTCCTTTATAATGTGTACTCTGTTTAACAATTTGCTTTTTTAAGTATACATATAGAGACCTACCTCATTTTATTGTGCTTTCCTTTATTGTCCTTCACAGATAATTGCATTTTTTACAAACTGAAGGTTTGTTGGCACCTTTTGTCGAGCAAATATGTTACTGTTACTTTTCCAACAGCATGAGTTTATTTTGTGTCTCTGTGTCACATTTTGGTAATTGTCACAACATTTCAAACCTTTTTGTTATTATTATATTTGTTATATAATCAGTGATCTTTGCTGTTACTACTACTATTGTCTGAGGTCACCATAAACTGCGTCCATATATGATGTAGAACTTAATGAGTTCTGACTGCTTTATCAAGCAGCCTTTTCCCCATCTCTCTCCCTCTCCTCACTTCACTCTAATCCCTGAGAAACAACAATATTAAAATAAGGCCAATTAATACCCTACAATAACCTCTAAGTGTTCAAGTGAAAGGAAAAGTCACATATCTCTCACTTTAAATCGAAAGCTAGAAATAAATAAGCTGAGTAAAGAAGACATGTTGAAAGTCAAAATAGGCCTCCTGTGCCAGTTAGCCAAGTTGTAAATGCAAAAAAAAAAGTTATTGAAAGAAATTTAAGCTACTACTCCAGTGAACATACAAATCATGAGAAAGTAAATCAGCTGTATCACTGAAATGGAAAAGCTACTAGTGATCGAGATGGAAGATCAAATGAGACACAGCATTCCCTAAAGCAAAGCTTAAGTTAGAACAAGGCCCTAGCTCCCTCAAATGCTGTGAAGGTAAAGAGAGGTGAGAAAGTTGCAGAAGAATCATTGAAAGCTAGCAGAGGTTGGTTCATGAGGTTTGAGGAAAGAAGCCATTTCTATAACATAAAAGTGCAAGGTGAAGCAGCAAGTGCTGATGGAGAAGCTGCAGTAAGTTATCTAGAACATCTAGCTAAGATGATTGATGAAAGTGGTTACACAACAGATTTTCAATGGAGATAAAACAACTTTTATTGGAAGAAGATGCTATATAGGAGTTTCATAGGTAGGAGAAGTCAATGCCTGGCTTCAAAGCTTAAAAGACAAGCTGACTCTTGTTACAGGCTAAGGCAGGTGGTGGCTTTAAGTTGAAGCCAGTGCTCATTTACCATTCCAAAAATCCTAGGGCCCTTTACATTTATGGTAAATCTACTCTGTTGTGCTCTATACATGGAGAAACAAATCCTGGTTCACAGCATTTCTGTTTGTAGCATGGATTACTGAATATTTTAAGCCCACTGTTGAGAACTGCTGCTCAGAAAAAAATATTCCTTTCAAGATATTACTGCTAATTGACAATCTATCTGGTCACCCAAGAGCTCTGATGGAAATGTATACAGAGATTAGTGTTGCTTTCATGTCTGCTAACATATCCATTCTGTAGTCAATGGATCAAGAAGTAATTTTGACTTTAAAGTCTTATTATTTAAGAAATACATTTTGTAAGATTATAGCTGTTCTAGTTATTCCTCTGATAGTTTTGGGAAAAGAATACTGAAACCCTCCTGGAAATGATTCACCATTATAGATGCTATTAAGAACACTTGTGATGCAGGCAAAGAGGGTATATTATCAACCGTAACAGAAGCTTGGAAGTTGATTTCAACCCTCATAAGTGACTACTCATGGGGTTAAAGACTTCTGTGGGGGAAGTAACTACCAATGTGGTAGAAACTGCTATAATTTCATAATACTTGAAAAAGTGATGAATTGCTTCTTATGAATGAGCAAAGAAAGTGGTTTCTTGATATGAAATCTGCTTCTGGTTAAGAGACCGTGAAACATTGTTGAAATGACAACAAAGGATTTTGGATATTACATGAACTTAGTTGATAAAGCAGTGAATGGCAGACTTTGAGAAGATTTATTCCAATTTTGAAATAAATTCTACTGGGGGTAAAAATGCTATCAACCTACTACAGAGAAATCTTTCATGATGGTAAGAGTCAATCAATGAGGAAAACATCACTGTCGTCTTATTTTAAGAAATTGCTATAGCAACCCCACCTTCAGCAACCACCATTCTGACCAGTCCGCAGCCATCAACATGAAGGCAACACCCTCCAACAGCAAAAAGATTTTGACTCATTGAAAGCTCAGATGATTATTAGCATTTTTAAACAATAAAGTATTTTTAAAGTATGTACTTTTTAAACAAATAATGTGATTGCGCACTTAATAGACTATTGTGTATAGTGTAAACATAACTTTTATAGGCAGTGGGAAGCCAAAAATTACATGTGACTTGTTTTATTGCAATATTCTCTCTATTGTGGTGGTCTGAAACCACACCAGCAATATATTTGAGGTATGCTTGTGTATGTATATATAAATACATAGTCATATACATATCACCTTGTTTTTAATTTTCTTTGCAATTTATGATGTCAACAAATTAATCCACATAATCTGAGCTTTTTATAGCCAAAAGAACTCCCAAATGTTTTCTTAAACAGTTCTACATACTTCATATTATATTCCTTTCACACATATGGCTATGGCATATGGCATCTTAAGTAACTCATTTCACAGAAGTGAACAAGTAATCACTTACGTTTCTCTAATAAACCTACTAGCTTTTAACATTTTTTTATTATTGTGGAATTAAAGTTTAATTTTCCCCACATAATCTCTAGAAATTTTATTTTCAAATATAAGAAATTTGTAGGAAAATGTCACTTTTACTTTGTCTGTGGGATAATAGAGAAATACATAAGCAAATTTAAGTTTTTACTCAGTTTTCCTTTTGTATTAACTTTTTACATTCATAGGGAGACTTTACTTCATATCCTCACAAAAAATAATAAGAACACACACAAATATGTACACCATTTATTTCTACAACACAGGATTACTCTTTATGATCTTCTCTTTGTAATTTAATTACTTAACATTCTTTATGGAGGAGATATTATATTGTAGGCACTTGGGGAGATGAACGTTTCCCAGGAACATGTAGCATATAAGGCCATCTGGAATGTGGATATAAATTAAGGGGATTATGGAAGGAGCAGAGAGAACAGTGAAAACCAGGGTTTAAGGAGAAAATTAAGAAAAATGAAAACAATTCAGTATAAAAGAGACAAGCAAGAAATAAAACAGAAACAAGAGAGATAATTGATTAATAGTGGGTCGCTTTAGCAGGGAAGCATAGTGGATTAGACACAATTTTACTTATTTTCCCTCTTGTACCCATAGTAATCGATAGCAGTGGTGTTAAAAACAAAAGCATAAGTCCTCAAGGTATACTATATCAGAAAAAAAGAAGAGAATTCAAATATCTTTAAAATAGAAAAAAAAATACAATATAGAAGTTGGTTTCCAGCTGACTTAATGGAATTAACAAATAATAGTAACTGAAAGCTAAATCCTGGCATATGTAACAATGGTAGAAGACTGAAAGCAACCTAAATTTGTTGTCATAGCCCCAGAGAAATACAAAGCATTCTAAATGCGGAAGTGCTGACTGGTATTGAACACAGGCAAATTACATAAAATCTGGCAAAAATTATTTTTATGATTAGTATTTTCTTACTGCTCAGTTAGAAAATAACCCTGGCCAAAGACCAGATTTAGTGTCTGGGAAGAGTGAAACAAAGAGAGTTTGGACTCTGAGACATTAAAAACTACAGAAGGCTTTAATATTGCACTTTATACAGACTGCATGACCCCGGTCCTCTCTCCCTGAATGTGTAATATCAACAAATCATAGCAGTTTTTAAAGTAATATGATAAAGTAAGGCGTTAGATTATTCTTATATTTATGACTGATACAAAACAAGTGTTTAACACAACAAATTCAGTAAGAAATTAAAGTGCCTTCGTGGGAGTGGCGGAGGTATGTTCAGAAGTGGGAATTGGGTCAAGATATTTTGTTTCCCCAAAGCATAGTTCTTGAGACCCTTCTCTTCCCTGTACACTCTGGTGAATAGTGACTTTCTCATAATTTGAATAGTCACATCTAAACTGTAAATGTTCATCTATGGATGGCATTCTTTGTTAAGCTCCAGAAACATTTAAAACTTTCTTTGAATTTTTTATTTTAATCATTTGTATGTGTATGGTTCAGGGATATTCAGTAAATTCAAATGTATGTGCAACCATCACCATCATCCATTTCTAGAACTTTTTCATCTTTCCCAATAATAACTTCGTACCCTTTAAACAATAACCCTCTTTGTTCTCTCCAGCCTTAGGCAACAACCATTCTAATTTCTGCCTTGATGAATGTGACTACTCTAGGTACTTCATATTAGTAAAAAATTGCAACAATCACCCTTCTGTGACTGGCTTATTTTATTTAGCATAGTATCTTCAAGGATCATACAGGTAGTAGCATGAATGATCCTTTGTGAGTATTTCTTCCTTTTAGGGGTAAATAATATTCCATTGTATGTATAGACAACATTTTGTTGATTTATTCATCCATCTATGACACTTGGGTAGCTTTTACATTTTAGCTATTGAAAATAATGTTGCTATGAACATGAGTGTGCAAATGTGTGTTTGAATTCTTGTCTTTTATTACATAAGTGGAATTTATGGATATTATGATAACAAGTGTTTATTTTTTAGGAAATGCTAAAAAAGTGTATTCCACCATGGTTCTGCCACTTATTAATGCATAGGTTTTCAATTTGTTCACATCCTTATCAAAACTTGCTATTTTCTGTCTTTTTTTTAATGTTATCCATCCTAAGAGTTGTGATGTCATATTTCATCATGGCTTTGATTTGCATTTCTCTAAAGTTTAGTGATTTAGAGCATCTTCAAGGGTTTATCAGTCATTTATACATCTTTGAGGAAAAATATCTGTTCAAGTGTCTTGTCTATTTACCATTTAGTCCTGATAGCTGCCTGTGTGATTACTATATACTTGAGAATAATTTTACTAATATGCTATATGAAGACTACCCAAATATAAACAAACATAACCTATTCAGAGTTTCCTACAGCAAGCTTGAGTGTGACAGAGATTCAAATGCAGGCAGGGGAGTGAGAATGCTATATAGTGAACAAATAGAAGGTTTCAGGTACACTCTGATTAGAGGTCATGAGGATGCTCAAACTCAGCTAACTAACAGCAGGACATATTCTGTGGTTGGTTTTGGGAGTACATTTGATTTTACTTGGTTGGTCATGAGTTGGAAGCAGGGAGAAAAATAGGTAAGCAGTCATACGCTGTCACGACCAAGTCCTGACAATTCTGGGCCAGTTGATGCAGAGGTTGTGGTTTGCATTCTTGCGCTTATTGTGATATGCAGTCTGGTCATTGCTTATTTGTATATTCAGTCTCTAAGCTCTGTGGTCCATTATTTCAAACTTGGATCACAATAAAGTAATAAGATATTATTCATCACTTTATAGTTGTATGTTTAAATGAAATAAATATTAGATTAGTTGTAAATGAAAATGACAGCTCAATTTGTAACTCCATTAATAATTTTGTTATATTTATGTGAAACATACTCCCTTAATGTATATTTCCAAACACTCTCATTAGCTATCTCTTCACTGTATAGTCAAAAATAATTTCAGATCGTTGATGTCAGCAAGATGGCAGAATAGAAGGATAGAGTCTCTCCTTTCCCCCATGGAGACAAAGACTCAACAACAATGCATGAATCAATTTCTTTTGTGAGAAATACAGTTAAAGGTTAAAAGTCTCCCGCACCCCAGGTGATTCAAAACCAGCAGCATCAAAGGTAGCAGGAAAATTTGTGGTACTGAATTATCTTTGTTCTGTCTCTTGTTCAGCCCCATGTGATCATAGGAGACTTCTACTCCTGGCTTCTCCCTAAAGAAAGAAAGAGAAGACTGCAGCATATCTCCAACATTCTGACGATTCAGAAAGACTGATCAAGGGACTGGCTTTTATCTTACCACATTCAAAGAGCTGATAGTGAAAGGCAACAGACTGAGAGACACTGAGGACAAAGGCTTTTTTTTTTTTTTTCACTGCATGCATCCTCTCACCGTAGTCTGTCCCCTTAGCTCAGTGTAGAAAAAAAAAGAGGAGAAAACTCTTGAGTTTTCATTAAGGAAGAAAAGGGTTGGATATTCTGGCTTTTTGAGGTCTCCAAGAGACTGGTTTCATCTCACCTGTGTCAGAACACTGACAAGACCTGGCGTATTCTAAATGCCTGGAAAATGCTGAGAGCAAACAGGTTAGTGTCTTGCTGCTGCTCCAGAAGACCCACAGCACAGTAGGCAGAAGACAATACAGTTTAGTAATCTCTTCCTTAAAAGGGGGGAAGAGTAAAGCATGTGTCCAATGTCCAAGATGTCCAGGGGGCTGCACAAAGTACAAACTTCTATCTTTCTGGACTCAAAGTACTGATAGGACTCAATGTATTCTAGAAGCCTGGGGGCCTATGAGAACAAAAGAGAGCAAATGACCTGTGAGAACTCCAGAATGTCTGGTGCACCACAGACAAACACCAGTGGGCACAAAAGATTATGAGCACCTGAAAACTAAAATGGCAGACCCCTATAACTGGGAATTTGCACATACAACTAGAGAAGATGTATCACAGAAACTTGAGTGCCCCCCAGACTCTCTAGCTGGGCTGATTGATAAATGTCTTTAGTCTGTACAAAGCTCGTCTATATAGATTGAGAGACTTAGCTGTTTTTCAAATGTGTGAATGCCAACACAAAGTTACAAGGAACAAAGAAACAGGGAAACATGACAAAAAGAAACAAAATACATCTCCAAAAACAAACACTGAAGAAAGAGATCTACAGTTTGAGTATTCCTTATGTTAAAGGCTTGAGACCGGAAGTGCTTTGAATTTTCTTAAAATTTTGAAATATTTGAATATAATTAATGAGATGTCTTAGGGATGGGACCCAAATCTAAACACAACATGTATTTATGTTTTAGATACACCTTATGCACATAGCCTGCAAATAACTTTATACAATATTTTAAATAATTTGGTGCATAAAAAGGTTTGTGTTTGTGTACATTGAACCATGAAAAAGCAAAAGTTTCTTTATCTCAGCCACGCATGTAGATAATCTGGATTCGTGTGGTATCACCATGATTCTTGATTCTGAATTCAGATATAAATGATAAGCAGTCATTTTCTTACCCTCATTTGCACAGAAGTACTTAATGACAAAAATATGTACAAGAATGTACAAATAAATACAAGTAGTTAACATAAAAATACCATTAATACAATTAAAATAAGTTATTCGAGGTAACTAAGTAATACAGCAGCATTATCAGAGTACATATACTAGCTTTTAAACAACACAAACTACAATGGCAGGATGTTAGTGTTCAGCTATGATGTTTTGTCTCTATGAAAAGGTTACTATACATTGCGTCTTTTTTTAGGTGAAAAGAAAGTTCAGAAGCTTTTGAAAGACCAGGAAGTGAATCCCTGGGGGATAAGGAGGCATTCTGCAAGACGGCTTTTAAAAATGTTTACTGAAAAGTCATTTGAATCATTAAGAAATTTTTGTCTTAAAATTCTTTCTTTGATTTTACAAACTGACATAATTTCTTATTCTGTTATGAATGCACACTGCTGTAGTCTTTCAACAAGCCCATCACGTTTTCACTATGTTATCTGTAGACATTGCTTTCTGCTACCCAAGCAATGTCATTTGAATTATTACTATTATCATGATCACCTTGATTCAGAACAAGTTTGGCTATTTTGCTATCAGTTAATGAATAAAGAATAGAATTTGAAAATTTCTTCAATACCTACTTCTTCTAGCTTACTGACAGACTCTGAACGTATATTTTTACATATGTAAAGAGATTAGACATTTTTTTTTCACTTGGCATAGGAAATTCTTCAAAAAAAAAAAAAAAAAAACAGAGTAAATAAAGCACATACGTCTTGGTCCCAGGTAGGGCATTGTGGGAAACCCACCACTGGCATGTGAAGCCTGCACATATGACATTTTATTACCTTTTTCTTATTCTTGCTTGTGGAAATCTGGGCATTTGTGGAAAAGATATACTGAAGCTTAAGGGGGTTGGAGAGGTATTTTTTATTTTTGTTTGTTTGTTTTTTCTTGAGGACACTGAATAAACTCTGTATTGTGCATCTGCAAACCATTATGTGATTTTAGGTGTGGAATTTTCCACTGGTGGTATCATGCCAGCCCTCAGAAATTTCAGATTTGGGAGCATTTCAGATTTCAAATTTTGGGATAAGGGATACTCAACTTTATACATGTATTAACTTGCAAATAATTAAAAATAGGCATCATAATGATACTCAACCAGGTCATAAAAATGATGTGTACAAATTGAAAATGTCAATAAAGAGAAAATATAAAAAGAACCAAATATAACTGCTAGAGTTGAAGAATATACTAACTGAACTGAAAAATTCACTAGAGGAATTTCACAACAAACAAGGTCAGGCAGAAGAAAGGGTTAGCAAATTTGAAGTCAGATCACTGGAAATAATTTAACCAGAAAAGAAAAAGAAAACAAAAGTAAGGATGACAAAGGAAAGCATCTGATGATTTTGGTACACTATCAAGCAAACTAATATACACATTCTGGGAGACTCAGAAGAATGAGAGAATGGTGAAAAAAAAACTTTCTTGAAGAAAATAAATGGAAAATTCTGGATCTGGGGAAGAAAACAGATGCCCAGATTCAAGTAAAACAATAAACTCCAAATACAATGAATCTAAAATGTTTATACTAAGACACATAATCAAATTGCCAAAAGTCAAAGAAAATGAAAATGTTGAAAGCAACAAGGAAAATGTACATCATCATGTACAAAAATACCCCATAATACCATCAGCAGTTTTCTCAGCGAAAACTCTGCAGGCCAGAAAACAGAACAATGACATATTCAAAGTGATGAAAACAAACAAATGAAAAAAAAAAAAAACACTGCCAGTCAAGAATACTTTATCCAGCAAAAGTATCCTTCAAAAATGAAAGAATTAAAGACTTTTCCAAACAGCAGAAGTATTTTTATCATCACTAGATCTACCTTAGAAAAAATTCTAAATGAAATACTTCAGTTTAAAACAAAAGGAATGTAGACAGCAACATGAAAGCAAAAGAAAAATAGAGCTTACTGGTAAAGGTAAATATATCAACAGGTCTAGAATACTGTAATACTCTATCAGCATTATAAAAATCGCTTTTAATTTTGTCATAGAGGTTCAAAAACAAAAAGAAAACCAAAAGTGTCTTGTGACAAACAAATAATCAAACAGACTACAATATACCAAAAATTATGGAGGCAGCAAAAACACTACTAAGATGAAAGTTTATACCAGTAAGTACCTTTATTTAAAAAAGAAACAAATGTAAATATCTTTTAAGTTCATTTGTTCTAGGGTATAGCTTAAGTCCATTGTTTCTTTGTAGTCTTTCTTTCTTTATGACCTCTCCAGTGCTGTCAGTGGAGTATTGAAGTCCCCCACTATTATTGTGTTGCTGTCTATCTCATTTTTTAGGTCTAGTAGTAATCATTTTATAAATTTGAGAGCTCTGGTGTTAGGTGCATATATATTTAGGGTTATGATATTTTCCTGTTGGACTAGTCCTTTTATCATTATATAATATCCCTCTTTGTCTTTTCTAACCACTGTTGTTTTAAAGTTTGTTTGGTCTGATATAAGAATAGCTACTCCTGCTTGCTTTTGGATCCATTTGCATGCAATGTCTTTTTCCACTTCTTTACCTTAAGTTTATGTGAGTCCTTATATGCCAGATGAGCCTCTTGAAGACAGCAGATTTTTTGATTGGTGAATTCTTATCCATTGTGCCATTCTGTATCTGTTAAGTGGAACATTTAGGCCATTTACATTCAATATCAGTATTGAGACTTGAGGTGCTATTCTATTCATCATGCTATTTGTTGCCTAAATACCTTGTTGTTGTTTGTTTGTTTGTTTCATTGTATTGTTGTTTTATGGGTCCTATGAGATTTATGCTTTAAGGAGATTCTATTTTGGTGTACTTTGATGATATGTTTCAAGATTTTAGAGGTTCTTTTAGCAGTTCTTGTAGTGCTGGCTTGGTAGTGATGAACTCTCAGCATTTGTTTGTCTATAAAAGGCTGTTATTTTTTCCTTCATTTATGAAGCTTAGTTTTGCTGGATACAAAATTCTTGGCTGATAATTGTTTTGTTTAATGGGGCTAAAGATAGAACCCCAAACCCTTCGAGCTTGTAGGGTTTCTGCTGAGAAATCTGCTGTTAATCTGATAGGTTTTCCTTTATAGGCTACCTGATGCTTTTGCCTCACAGCTCTTAAGATTCTTTTCTTTGTCTTGACTTGAGATAACTTGATGAATATGTGCCTAAGTGATGAGCTTTACAGAACATTCTACCCAACAACTACGGAATGTACATTCTTTTCAAATTGAATATGCAAATAAAATCAGTAATAAAAGAGGAGACATTAACACTGATGCCACAGGAATAAAAATGAGAATTATTATAAATAATTATATGCCAATACACTGCATAACCCAGAAAAAAATGAACAAATTTTTTAAAACATACAACCTATCAAAAATTAATGATGAAAAAAGAGAAAATTAGAGTAGACCTATAGCTAGCTAGGAGATTGAATTCGTCACCAAAACTTCCCAGTGAAGAAAAGTCATGGTCTAGATAGCCTCCCTGAAGAATGCCATCAAATATTTAAATAAGAATTAACACTATTCCTTCTCAAACTATTATAAACAATGTAAAGGGAAGAAACAATTCCAAACTCATTTTATGAGGTCAGAATTACCAACACCAAAGCCAGACAAAGATATAATTACAAGATATAAATATAAAATCTTGTATCCTCAACAAAATACTAACAAACCAAATTCAATACCACAGTAAAAATACCTCATGGCATGACCAAGTGGCATTTATTTTTGTGAGACAAGGATGATCCAACATAAACAAATGAATCAATAGGATACACTATATTATATTAACAGAATGGAAGCTTTTAAAACACAGGATTAACTCAATAGATGCAGAAAAAGCATCTGACAAAATTCAACATCTTTTCATGAATTAAAAATACTAAAACACAAGGAATAGAAATAAATTATCTCAATATAATAAAGGCCATATACAAAAAGCCACAGTTAACATTATACTCAACAATGAAAACGTGAAAGTTTTTTCTCTAAGATCAGAAACATGGTAAAGATGCTCACTCACATGTTCAATAAAGTACTGGAAATCCTACCTAGAGCAATTAGACAAAAAAAAAATTAAAGTAAAAAAGCACTCAAACCAGAAAAGACACTTTACCATCTTTAGTATTGTGGAGAAATATAATGTGACTAGTGAGAAAATGTTCACAATATATTACATCAGAAAAAGCATGTGTTTTAACAAATAGAAACTTACATTTCATCATTAAATGCAGTTCCACTCAATTACAATATTGACTATATGAAGGAGTTTTGGGTTTGGAGTAGGTTGAAAAGTAAGCACTATGATTCTGTACTAATAAATTGAAATAGTGCAGTAGTTAAAAGTTTTAGCTCTATGGATAAAGGTTAATTTTATTTCTTCAATTTATTGCTTACTGGTTATGTTGTTATTTTTGTCTTGCATAACCAAATCTCTATACCCAGTGAACAATAACTCTCAATCTCCCCTGCTTCTGGTCTCAGTTCCTTCCATATAAAATGGAATGAGTATGAATAGATGCAATCTCAATTATTTGTTGTATGGGGAAAATTTTAGAAAGTAATATGCATATAACACTCTACGTAGTATCTGGCTAGTGATAACAGTCCAATAAATGATCATAATCATGATTATAAGAATTAGACTCAGCATTATTATAAATGTTTTGTTAGTACTCTCATGCTTTCTTGATAAAACAAAGCAATAGTTTTTCTAAAGGGATTAATTGTATTTGAGAAAATTAGAAGTTTGCAAAATTTGTTAATTATTTTTACTTACATGAACAGCCAGTGCACCATCTAAAATTATATAAGTCTAGAAGTATAAAGTATTTTAAGAAGTAATCCTGTCACTTAATATGGTTGCTTCTTAAAAGAAAAAAAAAATGAAGTAACTCTAGAGGTTGTGAAGTCGTAGAATGTTGCAGTCACCAGCATGAGTAGGAGTGCACAAGATCTAGGTCCCAACAGTAGATTTACTTCAACTTGCTTGATATAAAATTGAATTCATTGCCCCCCAAACTTTGTTAATATTATTCTTTCTGATGTCCATATCTTTTATTTAACAAACAAATACATCATCATTTATATCAGACAGTAAAATGGGACTATTAATCACATGTGACAAATTTGGATTTTAAATGATTTTGGTTTCTAGTCTAGTTCTAACATTTGGAATTCAGATAGAAATAACTTTTGACATTGTATTAGTTTTCTTTTGCTGTGTAATAAATTGTCGCAAACTAATTGGCATAACACCCATTTTCTATCTAATAATTTCCACTAGTCAAGTGTCTGAGCATAGATTAGCTTGACCCTGTGCTCAAGAGCACATCAAAGCTGAAATCAAGATGATGGCTTTAGCTAGGTTTGGTGATGTGTCTGTAATTACAGCTACTCAGGAGGCTGAAGTGGGGGAAGAGGAAATCACTTGTGCTTAGAAGATCACTTGCACCCAGGGGTTCAAGACCAATCTGGGCAAGGTAGAGAGATTCGGCCTCAAAAAATTGTTGGTTGTGCTGCCTTCCTTTGTGGAGCTTGGGATAGTGTTTTAAGGCTTATGTGGTTTTTGACAGAATTCAATCCTCTGTTTTTACAAGTCAGGCCCCTGTTTTGTTTCCAGCTATTGGCCAGGGTCCACTCTTCAATCCTAGAGGCCACCTGCTGTCTTAACCAGCAACGGAATTGAATTTTTCTCACATTCCATGTCTCTTTCTTTTTAGAGTCTACACATGACTAATTCAAGCCCACTGAAATAATTCCTTTTTTTATTAACTGAAAACCAAATGATTTGGAACCTCAATTGCATCTGCAAGATCATTTTACCTTTGTCATATAATGCAGCCTAATTATAGTTATAAAATCCATCTTATGCACAGACCACAACACATACAAGAGGAGGAATTTGTACAATGTTTGCAAACCATAAAGCAGGTGTCTTCAGATTCATCTTAGAATTTTGCATAACATGATCCAGGATTAGATAACATTGACATATCCTGAAAAAAGGCCAAAATATTATACAGTATTTCAGTATATGCAAAAGTAAAAGACTGCTGATTACATAAGGCAATGCTGGTTAATAAAGTTGCAGTCCAATAGTTATATTTATATCTTAAACAAAATATTTTTATTATTTTTCTAATATTCTTAATTGAATGACATTTGTTTATTACAATTTTATCATACATCCCATGTAGATATGCAGAGGGACAAAGATTACCAACAATCATAATTATAAATTAATTCAAAGACATTTTTCCCTTATTAAGTGAAATAAACTAAATCTCTACTTGGATTTGTCAAACTCCAATCATTAAGAAATTATTATGTGATTTTAGGACAAATAAATTATAAAAGTCATTCTAAGAAGTTTCTTAGGGGGCGATTTAGTACATAACCATTTATATTATCAAATAAATTGTACTTTACATTATCAAATACTTGTACCAAGAAAGACTTATATAATATTTGCCTTTAAAATCTCCTTTCTAAATCTTCTCTCTGTGTATTATCATGGAATAGTATGGAAAATGAATAGATGTAAGATACCAATGACCAATATGGATCAATAAGATAGTTATACCAGAGGTATTCATATTCATATATAAATAGTAATAGATGGAGTTCTAATATTTTAGAAAATTGTTGAAAATATATTGTGAAATGTAGGCATTTCTGAGGATCCAGAATGACATCATGTAGGTTTCTAACTACACCTGGCTTTTCATTCAGAAGAATTTTTTTTTCAAAAATTACCTCTTTCTGTCACCACCAGGGCTCACCTCATATTCATGTACTACTACTTATAAACTTTCTACTGTTTTGCTTCCTTTTTATACATTTCTTGCCAACCAGATAATCTGCCATTCTGATTCTTACCTTTTCTCAGGTGCCACTGGATGGTCAGTCAGTTCTCAAACATTCTTGTCTCCATTTCACAGGTATTCTTGTTGGTTGCCTATCAGTCATTTCTTGGTCTTCTCTCTTTTCAGGTGACGAGGGAATTAGTTTAGCTTGATAGATATTTTTTAACACATTATAAATACAGATTTATTGAATGCAATGTTTGCTTATCATTCACAACAAAAATCATTCACAACAAAATTCTTTTCATTGATTTTATTGCTCTCTACTCATCATTATGTGACAAATTGGTAGTAGGTTTAGATGTTGTATATTTATTTGGATATAGAAGGATTAATTTTTAAATATATCACTTATTAATATGAGTATACTACATAGTATATTCACAAAAGGTTTTCATTATTTGAAATGTATATTTAAATGAGAAAGAGAAGGTGAATAGCAACAGATGCATCAAAAGCACTTTCCCTGTATTCTCAAGTTTGTTCTCATTTTAAAAGATTTATGAAATATGTCTAAGTTTACCTAATATTTTGCCTTATTTTGTAACTTATTTTTGAATGAGTTTCTTCCTTTGCTTTTGCTTTTCAATATCCTTCACTTTACCTTTTCTTTTAACGTAGTCTCTCCTTCCCACCTTTGTAATATCCTTGTAACACAAACACATGAATTATCTTTAGTAAAATTAAATGTCAAGATACTAAATATTATTTAATATTATACTTGGTCAAAGATGTGGAAAACATGGTCAATTCACATGCTGTCTTATGACATATCTCCAGAACCTTCTAGAAATATATTCACTTTCTTTATCATTATTGACACCTTCTCTAGTTCAAGAAAATAGCATTCTTCTCTCTACAATTGCAGTCAATATCTGCCTGGTCCCTCAAATCTTGTTTCCCCCTCCACTCATTCTACCGCCAGACTTAAAAAAAAAAAATTAGCTTAAAACCCTTCAACTCTCAGCATCATACTTTAGATGAAATCTACATTATGTTCTATAGCCTATTTTGTTCCCCAGTTATCTATTACAGTTTCTTTCTTTAAAGTTTCTTTCCTCTTTAGTCAGGATGTTTCCCCAGGAACACTGGTGTTCTGTTTCCCAAATCTTCCAAATGACCCTTTCTCTGTTAAAGCCTGACTTACTCATGATTCTTTTCTATAACACTATCTTCATATATGTGGTTCTTTCCTTTCCTTCTAAAAACTAAAACAGGTGACTTCTTTTAAAGAAACTTCTGGGTTTTGTTGTTGTTGTTTGTTTTTTGTTTGTTTGTTTGTTTTTGTTTTTGTTTTTGTTTTTGTTTTTGAGATGGAGCCTCACTCTTGTTGCCCAGGCTAGAGTGCAATGATGAGATCTCTGCTCACTACAACCTCTGCCTGCCAAGTTCAAATAGGATTCTCCCTGCCTCAGCTTCCTGAGAGCCAGGATTACAGGCGCCCGCCACCACGCCCTGCTCATTTTTGTATTATTAGTAGAGACGGGGTTTTGCCATGTTGGATAGGCAGGTCTTGAACTCCTGACTTCAGGTGATCCTCCCGCCTTGACGTCCCAAAGTGCTGTGATTACAGGCGTGAGCCACTGCGCCTGTCCAAAAGAACTTTTAAATTAAGTTATATTCCATACTGTTCTCTGTAACTGTATTCTCTATCTTCCTAACATGTCGCATGTTATAGTTATTTACTTTTTTGTGTGTTTGCTTATTTCCTGAGATACCCACTCTATTATACATTTTACACAGGCAAGTAGTACAAACTCAGTGCTTATTACACATCTAGCCAAACACTTGGAACATATTTGCAAGTCAAGAATTATTTAGTAAATAAATAAATGGATGAATGAATGAATGAAGATGTATCGGTCAGTACCACTGGACTGGAGTGGAGTAGTTTGTGTGTTTTACAAATTGTGATATTTTAAAATAATTTTTTCCAAAGTACCACAAAATATCTTAAAAACCAAGCACTGACCTTCCCCCTACCTCCCATATTTCTGATATAATTACCTTCCCACAGGAGAGGAACGTGTGAGAAATTAGCTTTGCTTCAAAAGCCAGGAGCTGGTGCAGGAAAGCCCATGCTGGGCTGGCTATGTTGAAATCAGCAGTTGGAATTGCTATTATAGACTACTGAAAATTCAAACAATAACTTGAGATATAATTCTACTTTTGTTTTTATTGAGTCGGAAAAAAATGAAAGCATTAAAATAAAGAGTCCAGAAGCAAACAAGTATTTAACCAAAATCAGTAATGACATCATAACCATAGTCACTCGTATTTTTTCATGACAGAGTATCGAATTATGAATTTCTGTCCTAGGATAAGAGGTTGGAAACTAGGAGGCTGAGTAATTAATTCCTGTTTGTTACCTTTTCCTCCTTACCACTAAGATTTTATAATTATGTGGTTAAGTGTTAATATCTAGAGGCTAGTATTAAAACTGATTTCACTGGACCAAATACATAAGACAGCCTTTTAATTACCACAGTAAACCAAGTATTCTTTCTGCAAAGATAATGACTGAAATGTAGCCAGGCCAGCTCTGAGTTGAGTGTATTTTCTTTTAAATCTCAGGTTAAAGAGGGATGAATAATTGCAAAATGCAAACTGTATAAGCTACATGATGTAGCAAAAAAATAAATTACGTATTTTACTATTTATTGATGACCTGGAAAAGTCATACTAATCATATAAAATGTTTTTTGTTTGTATCTAAATCATTTTCATCATCAACAAATCTTCTTTTGAATTTAATGCTACGTGATTAAGATTATAGGCTTTCAGAGAGTAATAGAAATAATCAGTGAGTAAATTAACAAAAATAATTTATAGCTTTCTAAGTTGCATTAATGTATAGAATATTATTTTACACTATGGCTAGATAAAAGACTGCATTATTATTGTTATGATAACAGAGATAATTATCAAGCTGTTTAAATAAAAGGATTATTCACAATATTTAAGGCATTGAGATTCATGATTTTAAGAATGAAAGTATGTTCCAGATAGATAGCATTGCACTGACTGAATTATATTCAGAGATGCTAGTTGATTAAAACAAATACCTTTCATCCCTCTTTCTATTTTTAACAACATTTTGTGATTAGCAAATAAAAAATGCTTTCTACTTTCATATTACAATTTTTATAAATTTATAATTTTAAATGTATACCTTTTACTATTACGGTAGAAAAATATGGATTCATATATTATAATAATTATATCACTTATATTTTTCATCTTCAACGTACTTCTGATTTGTTTTAGGTACCGTATTATTAAGCCTTGTATAAAACATCACTATAAAAGAGTCCTGATACCATAAATTAAACAAAGTCACTTGATATGATTATTTGCACAAATATTTATTGGGTGTGTCTAAGATACTGCACTAAACTCTTTGGGGATTGCAAACATGAGTTTAATAAAGATCATCACCGCTAGAACCCTATATTCAAGTGAAAGGGTGAAGCTTTCTTAATGTCAGTCAATAACTCCTAAACATGAATTACTGATTGTGAATTCCTTTTTTTTTCTTTTTTTTTTGAGATGGAGTTTTGCTCTTGTTTCCCCAGGCTGGAGTGCAGTGGCATAATCTCAGCTCACTGCAACCTCTGCCTACCAAGTTCAAGCAATTCTCCTGCCTCAGCCTCCTGAGTAGCTGGGATTACAAGCCCTTGCCACCACGCCCAGCTAATTTTTGTATTTTTAGTAGATACAGGGTTTCACCATATTGGCTAGGCTGGTCTCGAACTCCTGACCTCAGGTGATCAACTCGCCTTCTCCTCCCAAAATGCTGGGATTACAGGCGTAAGCCACCACACCCGGCCTGAGTGTGAATTTCAAAGAAATATTTCTAGAATAGAATGCCTTAATTTGGATTCTTCCCAGAACAAAGTACAAGGTAAAGACTTTTTTTAAAATTAATTTTTTAAAATTTTTATGGGTACATAGTAGGGGTATATATTTATGGGGTGCATGAAATAGTTTGATACATGCATGCAATGTGAAATAATCACATCAGGGTAAATGGAGTATCCATCACCTCAAGCACTTATCACTTCTTTGTGTTATAAACATTCCAATTCTACTCTTTTAGTTATTTTTTAAATAGATGCTAAATTACAGTTTACTGTAGCCACCCTATTGTGCTATCAAATTCTAGATCTTATTCATTCTACTTTACTATATTTTTGCAACCATTAACCAACCCCACCACCCTTCCCAGGTCCTGGTAACCATTTTTCTACTATCTATCTCCATGAGTTCAATTGTTTTAATTATTAGCTTCCACAAATGAGTGAGAAACGAAAGCAAAGACTTTTCTGTGAGCCATGTATTGGAGAATGTTAACTATGGAAAGTACAAAAACTCTGAACATCTCAGTTTCTTTATTAGTAACATGGTGATGATAGTTTTTTTGTTAAAATTACAAGAAATAATGTATATAATTTATCTGAGTAGCCTCTAAAATTTCTCAATAAAGAGTAACTATTATGTGCTAGAGATAGCACTTTGCCTTATACTTTATTTTTATTACCATTATTCCTTAAATCTAAAGTGCTCCTTACTTTGTCAAAAAAATGTTTTTCTTTATAAATTTGTATGCTACTTTTACATTCTTTTTAAACTACAGATTCTCCTAAAAAGCAACGTCACCTTTTAAATGTTTTACATGATAAACACCATGTTACACTGAACGAGTGGTACCAAATCCTGGGTAACCTTTTTGGGTTGTTTGGTGAAATATTCATTGGCTTATGTGTCTCTCTCTTAGACATGTCGCTGAAATTCCTCTAGAATCCTTGATTTCAGTTATATTTTATTTCCTGTTTAAGTTCTGGAGATCTCTAGTTCTTGTTTGTGTGGAGTACATCCCTTGCCATTCGTCACCCAACAGATTTCTCTTCCTGAATAAGCCTGATGTCCTTTACACATTGTATTCCTTGATCTGCCGCCTTGCACAACTTATCACCCTAGCACACCGGGTTATGTATTTCTTATCATAGGTTACTCAGTACACAAATATATTTTACCACAAGTATCAGAACTGAAGAAATAATGTGATATGTTGCTAGAAAGAGAAGAAAAAATGAATAAAAGGTGAAGAAAAAGAGAGGAGCATCAAAGCTAGCATAGCTCGTCACTATAGTCTTCTTATAAAAATGAAGAGCATATTTGACCACTCTGAACATACTAGAATGTAAGACTACTACCATAAATTTGGAAAAACTTTCTGAACTATATAGCTAAATTACAAAAAAAGAAGAGTTAAAAGCGAAAGTTAAGTCTACTTTTGAGAAAATCCATTATTATTCTTTCAAAAACTATAAAATAATCTTGTCTTAAGGCTTAATTGTCCATATGGGAGAGATTCTCCATGATACTGGCAGAATGAAACTTATATTTTAATTGCTTATTTAAAGTTTAAGATGAAACAATCATTCTCCAGTTAAGTTGAGCACCTAAGAAATTGCCTTATGCTCTGTCTTGAATGAAGCTCAGAATTTAAAGACGTATTAGGTAGAAGTAGCCAAACTGCAAATTTACTTGATTATTCCAAGTCATAGTCTCTTTATTTAACATTTATATATTCTGCCAATAAATTAAATGATTTTTATTTTTATTACTATACTTAAGTATAGACTCTTCAGTAATAAAATCTTATAAATGTTTAAAAGGACACTGTGGTTTAGTGTCACTCATCTACATTTTCATGAATCTTCCTAAAATTCCTTTAATGATTTTGCTAAAGAAAAGTGGGCTTTTCTCCTCTAATATTTCCAAGTATTAGATATTAAATCATGTTACATTTCCTTTTTTCATGTTTGTGTATATGCAAGCTTTTAGTTATTTATTATGAAAAAATATAATTTCAAACAGTGTTCACTGAAATAAAAGATTCATTCCTTCACTCTTAAACTCATTAAACCTTAAATATGAGTCCATACTGCATGAGAAATTCTCATCAAAATGCATAATTCCAGTTAATATTCATAATTTGTACTTCAAAATCAATAATTCTAACTTTTCTTTTTCTTAAAACATTTTTATACCATTGAAGGTTACTGCTAAATAAATACATGAACTTCTTTTACTATTGGTTGTAATTAAGTAATATGTAAAGTTTCATTTGACATCAGTAACTAGTATTATGTTGGTGCAAAAGTAATTGCGGTTTTTGCCATTACTTTCAAAAACTTCAACTACTTTTGCACCAATCTAATACTTGCAGAGCAGGCAAAATCAAATAAGCTGCATTATTGAAGGTTGTCTAAGTGTTAAATGACAGTTTTAACTTAAAATAGTTAACTAAGATAATTTTAACCTACACGGGGACTTTCAGGACCCAAACGTTTTCTCATATTTATGTATAAATTTTATGTTAGAATTATTTTCAAAATGGTAAAAATATTAACAAATAGGACTTCCACATTGGGTCCTGACTGTTGAGTTTTTAATCAAATTAAATTTTCTGCTGAAAACAAGTATAAAACGTATAAAATACACAAAAATACTCAGAGGATATAAGAGAGCAATAAAAGGGATATAGAATGTGAGGGGCCACATTCTAGAGAGAAGGGATGTGAACTGGGACTCAGACATGTTCCTCATTTACCTTCCTTCTTTCTTTCTTTATTTTGAGACGGAGTCTCCCTCTGTCGCCCAGGCTGGAGTGCAGTGGCGCGATCTCGGCTCACTGCAAGCTCCGCCTCCCGGGTTCACGCCATTCTCCTGCCTCAGCTTCCCGAGTAGCTGGGACTACAGGCGCCCGCCACCACGCCCGGCTAATTTTTTGTATTTTTAGTAGAGACGGGGTTTCGCCATGTTAGCCAGGATGGTCTCTATCTCCTGACTTCGTGATTCACCTGCCTTGGCCTCCCAAAGTGCTGGGATTACAGGCGTGAGCCACCACACCAAGGCCGCACATTCACTTTTTTTTAACACATGGAATATTTACATTTCCGGTGTGGACAATTAGAGTCTAAGAAAATATATATTTATTTTGGCTTTCAGTAGTGTCACCTAGTAACACAGACAGGTTGAAGTTAAAAAGCTACAAAGGTGACTGTGGCTTAAAGTGATGAAAACCCCGTGCAGCCGAAAGTCTGCATGCCTGCTATCTTCTTTGAGCTGTCAACTTTTACGGTGGACATGTACAAAGGAAAACAGAAATAAAGCAAAAAACAATAACTGGAATTCAAAAATAACACTTCAGAGCCTTGTTGTCCTGAAGAGCCTAGATTAAAGTATGGGCATGTCATGGTCAAGTCATGAAGCATTTTTCAGGGGCCAGAAGATGTAAGCTCTAGAAGTAAAGTTACGCTCTAGGAGAAAAATGTATATTCTGGACTAAGATTAAACCATAAGTAAACTTGACATAAAACTCAAATATATCATGTGATATCAAAGATACCAAAAGATATCATCTGAATTCTAAATAATGGCCAGGGGAAAGTTCAACCATCCTGGAAGAAGAGTACATCAACCAATGACTGCAATTTTACATACAAATTGAAGACTTTTTTTAAAAAAACCTACCAAGCATGCCAGAAAAATAAAAGTACTAAAATGTAAAGAGAAAGAGAGAATAAAGAAGAGAGGAAAAAAATAGAAATGGATTAAACACATCAAAGAGATTTTTAAAATCTTTATTCTCCCTAGTCCAAACATGGTATTTTCTATGTATTTCTCATCCAATCTTTAACATGAGAAAAAAATGTTTTTGCAATACTTAAGAAACTCATAATACATATATTTGAGCTTCGAAAATGTCTGTGGTTTAATTAAAGAAAGCTAAAATGACAGAAGCAATTTTTCTTGAATTACTCATTCTTTTGCAAAGTAGATAAAAGACCAAAACCTATGAACTTAAGAAGGTGCATGAACTGCAAGTAGGATAGTCATAAGGAAAATAAACCCTAGGAGTGGCACAGTAAAATTTCGAAATGCCAGTTCAGAGGGGAAATCTTAAAGTGGCCAGATGAAAAATCCACATTATCTTTAAGGAGCAAAAAGAAGACAAATAGATGTGATTTCAACTGAAAGTATGGAATCAAGAAGGCAGACAAATGACATCATAAATTTTGGAGAAAAAATCCAATTAAAAAATGCTATATTATTTTTAAAATCCTTGGAAAATTAAAATGAAATAGATATTCCCAGGCAAACACATTTTTAAAACCCCGAGAGATTAAATAAAAGTATTGCAGTAAAGTTATATTTTCTAATTTTGAACACTATATTTTGAACCATACTGTGATTACATAGGAATTAAATTATTTCTTAGAGAATGTGTACTGAATTATTACGGAGATAAGGGTATTAGGTAAGCAACCTACTATGAAGTGGTTCAGAAAAATATACATGTATATTTTTAATGGGCCAGAAGACCTAAAAGGGCATGTAAGAGAGATTGTCAGTACGCTGCAGATAGTTCCAGTACTTGGCAAAGTATTCATGGATATTTGTCTCTGAGAGAATATTCTACACAATATGAGATATATATTTGTATATGTGTGTGTACAATTTATATATATATATAAATTTGTATATTATGTAATATATAATTATATAGTATATATTATATAATTATATTATATATTATACTATATTATATATTATATTTTTATATATACATTTGGAGAGAGAGGGAAAGATTTACTTATTATAGGAATTGGTTTCTGTGACTATGGAGGCCAAGAAGTCCCACAGTGTGCCCTCTGCACACTGGAGAACCAAGAAAGTCAGCATCCTGAACCAGAAGAGCCAATGGTACATGTCCAGAGTACTGAGAGTACTGAGAGTACTGCCTTTTTGTTCTATTCAGGCCTTCAGTGGGTTGGATGATGCCTGCCTGTATTGGTGAGGGTGATCATGTTTACCCAGTCTACTGATCCAAATGCTGATCTCTTCAAGAAATTCTCTCACAGACAAATAATCCGTATGGCATCATGAGAATGTGTCAGCTAGGCATTGATGGCTATGAAGATGCAAGGGGGCCACAAACCAGGAAACGCAGGCAGCCTTTAGAATCTGGAAAAGAGAAAGCTACAGAATATCCCCTAGAGCCTCCAGAAGGAAAACAGCCCTGAGAAATGTTGATTTCAGCCCAGTGAGAAGAATTTTGCAGTTCCGACCTACAGCACTATATGATAAATTTCTGTTACTTTAAGTGGTTAAATTTGTGGTAAAGTTTTATAGCACTAAGAGGAACTAATAGAAGCCATTTATCCATTATATCCTATTTTTCATTCGTTGAGGGTCATGTCTGGGGCATTACTTTTGTTCATTCTTCCAGTTCATTCATGATCCTGTAGTTAGAATATTCTCCCAGAGACAAATATTCGTAAAGACTTTGCCAAGACATTAAATTTTCCAGTTTTATTTAGAAGCATAGTATTTTAACTTTAGTCTCTAATACTGTCCTTCAAATTTTTATGAAACATAAATTATTGCATTGATATACAAATGATATGACTTATTGAAACATGTCCTTAAATGATTATACATCCCTAAAAGCATAATTATGATCACATAATATTTCTATTCGCTGATTACTCAAACTAAGCTTACTCTAGGATGTTTGACTTTTTTTCCTTTGTTACCTGCTTCAACTGTTTTGTCACCACATTGATTAATTTATTATATATTATCTGTACTTTAGACATTGGAATTGAGTAGTTTTTTTTTCTGTGCATGGTGAAAAGCTTTAACAACTTATCTAACATGTATATGTAGATTCCCTTTGAAAATCGTCTACTTGTAGATAACATTGGGAATTGTTGCAGAGGACTGTGACTCTTAAATGTTTCCAAGAAAAGATACAGCATATTTAAAAACTACATATTTAATACCACGGGTGGAGAGTGATGTTAATTGACAATAAAATAAATGCCATTATGAAAAATATATAAAACAAAAACTGGAAGTACAGTTAATATTTCCTAGAGGAAGAAGTAAGTAGTGTTATTACAAGTATATAGTACTCTGCAAAATATACATGTGATGCTATCAAAATGAAATTAGAATAATGAAAAACAGCAAGGTAAGACAAAAATATCAAGCTTCAGGTTTAATTATTTTTATAAGTACAGAAAAGCAGAGTTTCTAATTAACAAAGTTGTTTTAATACTTTTTTTTTACGAGATCACAAAGTGGTCAGAACTTAAAATTAAATATAATAATAGTGAATATCATAAAACATATGCTACCTAACATAAATATTGTTAATACATTGTCTATTTTCTCAGACCTTTTCATATTATAGCTATAGATATGCAAAATTTTATGTCACTACATCTTTAGCCTGATTCTAGGTCAATGAACTTTTATAACTTATCTTTTAATAGTGACATTACCCCAAAGTTCCCTCAACATCCTCCTATAAATCTACATGGATGATTTCTGTTTGAGAAAAGTTGGTGTGAGTTACCTATAAAAATTCATCTTACCTTTCTAGTGCATTGTTTATTCTGAGTTCCTAATCTCAGTGAATAATACTATGATAAACTCAGTAGCCCATGGTGAAACCTGGAAGGTGAACTTGGCCCTTCCTTCTCAGTAATGATCAGAGGACTTGAATCTAACTACCCTTCTGGGCCCACAACAGCATCAGCGTTTTCAAAGACAACTTCTATCTAAAATTAATACCAGAACTTAACTGGTGTGCCATCCAATTACTCTCTGATTTATGCTTCCCTATGCAGCCAGAGAAACTTTTCTAAAAACGTATGGTTCTTTCTTGTTAAAATCCTTTATTGTTTCTCTTTTATTTTAGGATAAAATCCAAACTCCTCAAATATGGATGTGAATATTCTTCATGAGCTGTAAGCCTTTTACCATGTAACAAGTGATAAAATTTCCTAGTTTCTTCTTTCCTTGCTGGGACCTTCATATTTACTTTTCTTAGGAGCTTATATTGTAATTTCCAATCTCAAATGAGTCCAGTTAGTTTAGATTGGCTGACCCAACTTTATTAGATGGCTATTTCCTGTTTGTATCCTCTCTGCTAAATTGTCAGCCCAGTGAGGACAGAGTGCACATAATTTTATCTCAAAGCTTATAAGACTTCCAGGCAATAATTTGTTGTGAAATATTTGAATAATTTGCTCAATTTATTCCTCCATTATTCAAACACCAGTTTAAAGAACATTATGGTTATGTCTAATTTTTGACTGCTGTAAATAATATTTTAACTAGAGTTATGTGCACATCTGATAGAGTCTTTGTCTTACTATTTTCTAAAACTTAACTTTGACAAAAATATTGATGTTTGACATGTTTAAAGTTAGCAAGCTCAAAGCTCAAATTTATCACAGGATTCATACAAAATGCGTGTGGCAGCTGGGGAACTCTGAAAAAGTGCAGTATTAATTCAGTGTTACATGTTACATTACTAGTATACATAATTCCAATAGCTTTTCAAATCAAGAATGAGAACCTTTGTATTAGAATTAGCATCAAAGCAGGGAAGGTCATTTAATGGTGGGGGAAAGAGCAGAGAGCCTGGAGTTAGGAGGGCCTGTCTTATCCTACTTCCATCATCCATTAGTAAGTGCCAATGGCAAGACACCTAACATTTCTAAAACAGGGCCCAGTTTCCACTTCTAATAAATTAGGAAATTGCATTAGATGGACTTTAAAATTAAATATCTATGATGAATGTTCCCAAAAGAGGACAGTAAGATTGAAAGGGCTATTTAAGTATAAATATTCTATTATAATAGAGTCTAGTTTAAAATGCACTTCTCTGTTATTGAGGTTAACATTCACAGTGTGATTTACTTAGTGCCAAGGTGATGTTGAATTTTATATAAATATAGATATAGATAGAATTTAAGTTTTATATATATGGTAAATTATATATATAATATTACAAATAAAGGCATATTAGAATTTGACTTACAACATTTGTATTTCAATAAATTTCTCACTACAATTATATTAACAAATCAAATTATTCATGCCATAGTAAAGATAAATTGGTTATTCCTTACTAAACTTTATTTGTTTTATAAATACAATGGGTACACAACAGGCTTTATACGTAATTAGTGTTTTATATCATACCAATTTTATATTTTGTGTGACACATTACACCATTGCCATAATTCAACTAAAATATGAAAATATTACAGAAATAACTTTTGTGATTTGTAAAAGCCTGGCATTTCTAATTCATTCATTTATATAGGAAGAATATATATGTATTTTTACATACACACACATATACATGCACTTATGTACATATATATACACTGTGAGTATAATTACAGATATTTTTCTCTGGAATTGAAACTTATTTTACTCAATAAAGCAAAAAACTATCTAAATCTGTCTTATCTTTATATATCTGTCTTTTTTTTTTTAAAGTACAGTAAATCACAGTAATATAACCCTTCAGTTAAACACTTAAGTATTTTAACTGTTTCTTTGAAGGCCTTTAATTTTGTTAGACAGAATTTAAAGGTAGCCCCCCAAATTTCATCTCTCAGTGAAATTCTTAGATAATAAATATGTGTAGTTTTACACTGGTACATTTGTGGTAATTTGTTACAGGAGAGTAAAATAGCAATACTTTGCAAGATTTCCCTGAAGGTTACATCTAAATATTATAGTAAACTTGCAAAAGCAGTTAAAGATTCACTTTGTTATTTATGATATAATTATTAATGTGGGTAATTCCACATATTGATAATATATAAATACAACTTTTATATTTGGTATCCACTCACATTTTTGCCCATAAATTCTGCTGAGTTATGGGTGGGGAGAGAGAATTAGCCAGGACAATTCCGAAGAAGAGCAAACATGGGCCTTACGATCCTATGTATGGTCAGAGTAGGAAATCATAAAGGACAAAGTTTAGTTATGAAATAGAAATAGATAGGTATATATTTGTACTGAATGCACTATGGGAGTATATGAATCAAAATGTTAATTGTGGTTATCTCTTGCTGGTGAGTGTAATGTTGAAAATATTTTTCTTCCTTTGTATTTGCACCATCTAATATTTTTACAGTAACCCTAGATTACTCATCTAATTATAAATAAAAATAATAGAATAAAACTGTCCCACTATAAATGGAAATGGAAATAAAAATAATAATTTGTCTCCTCAATACTGTATCCTACTTTTGTTGAGATTTTGTGGAAGAGAGCTTCATGGCAGTGATTTTATTACCTTGTCTCACTATATACTGACAACATATCCAAAATTATTATCTCAATAACACAGTCAATATATTATATGCTCCATAATATAAAATAAACATGACATTCAAAACAAACATAAAGTAAAAGTCACCTGACTTTAAAGTAGGTAAGCTATTTTATTTACTACTCATTAATATATTTACTCTTCCAGCAACATTTAAATTTAGAAGAGTTTTTCAAAAATTTGAGAAGGGAAGGCCGGGTGCAGTGGCTCACGCCTGTAATCCCAGCACTTTGGCAGGCCAAGGCAGGCAGATCACGAGGTCAGGAGATCGATACCATCCTGGCTAACACGGTGAAACCCCGTCTCTACTAAAAATGCAAAAAAATTAGCCAGGCATGGTGGCGGGCGCCTGTAGTCCCAGCTACTCTGGAGGCTGAGGCAGGAGAATGGCGTGAACCCGGGAAGTGGAGCTTGCGGTGAGCCGAGATAGCACCACTGCACTCCAGCCTGGGCAACAGAGCGAGACTCCGTCGGAAAAAAAAAAAAAAAAAAAAATTGAGAAGGGAAGTACTTGTTTCTATTTTTAGGGAAATATGCTACTGTATTAGTCTGCTAATGAAGACATACCCAAGACTTGATAATTTATAAAGAAAAGAGATTTAATTGACTTACAGTTCAGCATGGTTTGGGAAGCCCCAGGAAACTGACAATCATGATGGAAAGAGAAGCAAACACGTCCTTCTTCACATGATCGCAGGAAGAAGTGCCGAGCAAAAGGGGGAAAAGCCCCTTATCAAACCATCAGATCTCACGAGACTTATTCATTCTCAAAAGAACAGCACTGGAAAGACCCGACCCCATGATTCAACTACCTCCCACTGTGTCTCTCCCACAACCCAGGAGAATTATGGGAGCTACAATTCAAGATGAGATTTGGGTGGGGACACAGCAAAACCATATAAACTACTCAAACAACCAGATTATATTTTTTATGCTTTCCGATTACATGTTTTTGTTCATTTTATGTATATTTTTAAATTAAACATTTTTCCTGATTTTCATATGTTGAATATTGTGATTGCTAAAATTATTGGCTTCTACATTCTATTGTCCTCCTCTGAGATTCTCGTATGTGTGAAGTGCATTTTCAGTATTCTCTTAATGAGTCTACTATTTGGAAATAGAAAAGCAATCCGTCCAGTCCATATTATAAAAGTTAATTCATCTAGTTTAGTGAGGCTTCTTTTATTTAAAAAGTATACTGCTGCAAAATTTTACAGCTTTTTATGTGTATTAGAGGTTTGATTTTTACTTCTGAGATCAAAATAAATTTTCTTCAACTCATGGTACTAAGTTGAGTTTAATATGTTTGCCACAAAAGCCAACTGCAACTTCGTAAAGTGAGTTCTGCAGTTTGAAATAAATAGCGGCAAGTAAATAACAAGAAAAGAAAAATAATAAATAGAAGTATAAATGGATTCTCAACTTCATGATTGAGACTAGAAAGAAAATTCTACATGCTTATCACTAAATAAATATCATCTTGAACTCTGTAAGTAATTTATTAATCTGATCAAAAGAAAAAAGAACTTTCAATGAGTGGCAGAGAACTCATCAGCAATTTCTTTTTAATAAATCAAGAAAAAAATATGAAGTGCTTGGAATAAAATCCTTGGACCACTTTTAAAAAATAAAGCCGCTTTCATACAATCATGGGAACATTATTCTGTGCTTTCTTAAATCCATAAAGCTAACTTTCTCAAATTAATAATATCTCTCGGGCAGCTTCTGAAATGTCTCCCAGTGGTATCCATCCCTGATATTCATATGCTTGTGTAACACCCTATCTTTGAGTATAGGCAGGATCTAATTACTTGCTTGTAATAAATACAAAACAGCAAAAGTTATGAGATGTTACTCGCAAGATTACTTTATAAAAAACTGCGACTTTCATCTTGTTTGTTCTCTTTCTCTCTTGTCTTCTCTTACTCTCTCCAGTGAAACAGCAGCCGTGTCATGAGTTGTCCTGTAGAAATGCACCTGCACTAATGGGCCAAGCAAAGACTTTGGCGAACAGCCTGCAAATAATTGAGTCCTGTGACAATCAAGTGAGCGAGTTTAAAATGACTCCTTTGTCAGTAGTCTTGTGATCATTGCTAGCTCCGCCGGCACCTTGAAGGCAGCCTTGTGAGAGGTACCCAGGTAGCACCTGGCTTCCTAGCCCACAGAAACTGAGATACATAATGTTGTTGTTATTACAAGAACAGAAAACCAAACACCACATGTTCTCCCTCATAAGTGGGAGTTGATCAATGGGAACACATGGACACAGGGAGGGGAACATCACACACCGGGGCCTGTCGGGTGGTGGGGGGCTAGGGAGGGATAGCATTAGGAGAAATACCTAATGTAGATGACGGGTTGATGGGTGCAGCAAACCACCATGGCACGTGTATACCTATGTAACAAACCTGCACGTTCTGCACATGTACCCCAGAACTTAATGTTGTTGTTATAAACCACCAAGTTTGGGAATAATTTATTATACAGCAATTGATAATTAACATATCATGTAGATTAGCTTCTTTCTCATGTAGAAATCCTATGACAGATTTGACAGATGTAATTTCCCAGTAACTATAAATAGGATCACACTAGTTTTGGTAAGTAAATATACTTAATTGCTTTTAAGTTGTAATCAATAGAGAGTGAAGAAAGAAAGGAACTGGGAAAAGTGCAATGGAAATATATATGCATTTTTGACCAAATTAGTAGAATAAGAATTTCTTTTTTTCAATAAAATTTTTCATCGATTTGTAGGTATTCATCAAAAATGAATATGTATGTCATTGCTAATTAAAGGAAATCAGTTTAGGAGTGCTGGTTAACACCTGTCATCCTAGTGCTTTGGGAAGCAGAGCGGGGGAGGATCACGTAAGACCAGGAGTTCAAGACCAGCCTGTGCAATATAACAAGACCCCATCTCCACAAAAAATTTAAAAATTAACAGGGTGTGGCAGTCCACACTTGTAGTTCTACCTGCTGGGGAGGCTGAGGTGGTAGAATAATTTGAGCCCAGAAGTCCTAGTCAGCAGTGAGCTATGACCATGCCACTCCACTCCATTCAGGGTAATAGAAGCAAGATCCTGTCTCTAAAAATAAATAAATAAATAAATAAATAAATACATACATACATACATATATACATACATACATAAATACATAAAATTAAGAAAATCATTGAAAGTTTAAGGATAGTATATATTATGGAGGGATTTGGCATTCGGGAAAAATTGCTTTATGTCACCAGTATAGCTTTGTTCTAAACACTAGTCTGCTGATAACTAGTTGGAGACTTTAGGTAACTAGCTTCTGTCTCAAAGATGAAGGTGCTAGATAAGCTATCTTTAAGATATATAACAACTTTAAAATTCCATAATTATAAATTCCTGATTTTAATTTTTTTCACTTTCAACACATTATACTTTAGTGAGCTGAAGTAGAAATTATCATTGGAAATATGTGTCAATGAGTATGGCAAAATTTAAAAAGAAGCTGGATTTTCAAAGAGACTTTAGGCAGTTTTTATGTAAATTATTCTTTGATTAAAATAATATTAAAATATTATTAGATAAATATTAATAAATATTACATAAAATTAAAATAATAACTTCTATTTTGACGGCTACAATGTTCTAGGCTCTGAGCTACCTTATATATGTACTTTATCATTCCCAGTTACAGGTTAAAAAATGAGATTATGTGACAACTCTATGGACACACATTCATAAAAGAATGGAAATAAAGTTAAAATTTATATTCCCCAAAATTCATAATCACAATGGGCAGGAAATATGTATACATAAAACTATTTTTAAATTTTGTTTTAATTTATTGAAAAAAATTAACGTGTGTCAGAGAATGAAATGTCTTAAATTTTAGTAATAAATTAACATATATAATGTATTAAAACTAGTTCAAAACAACCAAAAATGTTAAAAAAATACTAAAGTAAAATAGTTTCATAATTACAAATGTAAGTTTGTGTTTATGCCAGAAATTAGTACAAATACTTGATAGAAGATGTAGAGATAACTTATAAAGCAGTTGCCAGAATATTTATATATTTCTTATTAATATATAAAAGTAATAAGCTCATCTCTGAGATAGTGGGTATAATTACAGCTATTTCCCTCTAGCTGAAGCATCATTGCCTTTCCTCTTGAACTACAAATTTAATTAAGGTTGTGTTTAATTTAAATATCAAAGTTTTTTTAAGCCAAATAAATCCAGTTCATTTTAAAGAGCCATTTATGTGTTGGGTAATAAGAATGACACACTAGCCCCTCAGGTGAAGCAGAAAGATAAAGATGGCTATATTTAATTTTTAAGAGATGTGACACATAATATAATAACTGACCTTAAATAGGAAATCTCTGTGATTTTAAAAATTGGAGAGCCTCTCAGATATGAAATAAAACCTTCTGAGTAGCTAATATTCTGTGAGTTTTATTACTCAAATGCAAAACGCACAGCTGACAGAGAAGGAGATTAAGCAAAGGGGGTAAAGTGAGCATCATAATGCTTAATTTACAAAGTTAGTGTAATGTAACAGAGCCATCCACCTCCTTCATGAACCAAAAGGGACTGTCATTTAATATTTCACCATTTCAAAGTATTGCTTCATAAATGGAAATAAGTTTTCATAGTATATAAATTACATCCTATTTTTATGTTTGAAATTCACCAAGGAAAACACAAGTCTCTAAAATCATCTATGCATTACACTTTCTCAAGAAACAACAATAAAATAGGTTTTACTTAATTGCTATTTTTGTGTTTTATGATGTACCATTTTACTGGCGATCAAATAACTTTGAAAATCTTTTTAAGGATAAATGCAGAGCATATGTACAGGTAATGGAATCAACCTAAAAACTGGTTGGTCTTATCAGTGCAGTCATCATCTTAAAATGATTTTGTGGTAAAAGGACGATCAGAAACAGTTGTAGCTTAAACTACGGACCCAAAGGTTGTTTCACTGAATTAAAAAGTGAAGAAAGATGATCCATACATTTGAAGAAATTAAGCACGTAATTATAAGTATATTAAATTTGGAACATCTAAATTTTTGAAATACTAAAATATGTAACTACTTAAAAATGATATTTGTAAACTGCTATAATCAAATCATTTGGGGCTGTTGTTGTTGGTATTATTTTCTGATTGCCATGATTAAATATTTACAACAAAGTAAATAAATAAAAAACATATTTCAACGCTTTTTCTAATCATTCAGTTTTAATTTTCAGTAATATTTGCTGAGACTTTTCACTTTAACATATTTCTTCAGGTCTTCTTAAGTTTTATAAATGCATATTTCCATTGATAATTTTGGGCCATCTTTATTTTAATTTTTGTCATAATTTGCTGTTATTCTGTCCTATAATTCAATAGTATAGCTTGTCACTTTATTACTAATGAATGTGTCTCCCTATATTATCAAACATCAAAATTATTTCTTTAAGGTTATGCCAAAATAGCTCTAAATCTTTCCAAATATTTTATTAAATTGCTAACTTAAGGCAGGCAAAGTATAAAATTCAGAAAGTGTAGTAGCTTTATCTTTAAACTGACATCTTGGTTTATTGTTTATATAAGCTGAATTAACCTAATATCTCAAACACTTCCTATCTAAATATTAGAGTAATTTTTGAGTGTCCCTTAATTGGCTGATAATTCACATACAAATGTCCAAGTAGGTCAATAATTATCAAATCTTTCATATAGAACTAAAGTCATTGTTTTCCCACCATCTTGAATTTTGAATAAATTTTGATAGGAAATTTGAATAAATTAATAAATTTTTAACTAAAAACAAGAGTAATTTGAATACAATATATTGTTGAATATGAGTAAGATTAATATTAGGAATGTTCTTCTTTTCCTTAGTTTGTTAGATGAATATAAGCTTTCACTGATAAGGCAGCCTACATAGAATTTTACAGTTGAACTGATTTATCACAGAAATGAATACTGTGCAATGTTCAATTATATTCAATGTAAACTATGAATTTGGAAAATAAATACTATCTAAAGTCTTTCAAAGAACTATAATTCCTTTTACACAAAGACACAAACACATGTGTATGCAAATATATCACTACATGTTTATGTATACATAAACATATAAGTAAACATGCATTTATTCATATACTTAAACACACCAAACAGATTGCATCTTAAAGTAAATGACCAAACTGTAATACCTCCAGTGTGATAATATTTTATATTTTTGATAAATACTCTAAATATCTTTGAGCCTTTTTTACCTGTTATATTACCATTAATCTTGGAAACAGGCATCATTTGTAAATCCATATCTTCAGACGTTTTGCAATTTAAAAATCAAAATAAATAACAAATAAAAATTGAGGACAGAAGGTAATTCTGACAAATATAACCTGTGGATATGAATTTAAAAATTAAAAGGCATGAATTTAGGATTAATCAGTGCTATGTCTGTATAGTTACCACCCTCTTCTAATTTTTACTAACAATAGAAATCTTACTGAACTTGAGAACCTAAAACTGTAATCACTATACAACTGTTGAATTTCACGATGCCATTTATGTTCTGTAACTACTTTGGTTAATTTATTTATTACACATTTTGTTTCATTTTTCTAGGGCATAAAGATACTCAGAGGCCCTTATAAATACTTGGTACTACACAAAAAATATAATTACTGTTCACTTTTAAAGTACATATTTTTAAGTTAGTGGGTGCATCCTACGTGTATTTATGGGGTACATGAGATTTTTTGACACAGGCATGTAATGTGAAACACGCACATCAGGGAGAACCAGGTATTCATCCCCTCAAGCATTTATCATTTGTTTTACAAACAAATCATACCCCTTTCATTATTTTAAAATGTACAAGTAAATTATTGTTGACTATAATCACCCTGTTGTGCTATCAAATACTATGTCTTATTCATTCTTTCTATTATTAAATGGGGTGAAATAATATCTTATTATATTTTTGATTTGCATTTATCCAGTGATCACTGATGTTGAGCACCTCTTTGTCTATTTGCCATTTCTGTCTTCTTTTGAGAAATGTCTATTTAATTTTTCCCACTTCTTAATCAGATTACGAAGTTTTTTTCCAATAGAGTTGTTTGAGCTCCTTTTATATTCTCATTATCAATCCCTTGTCAGAAGAGTAGTTTGCAATTTTTTTTCAATTCTGTGGGTTGTCTATTCGCTTTGCTGATTGTTTCCTTCAATGTGCAGAAGTTTTTTAACTTGTTGTAATCCCATTTATCCATTTTTGCTTTGCTTGCCTGTGCTTGTGAGGTATTTTTTTTCCACAGGACGGAATGTATTTTATTTTCTGAACTTCAAAGTAAAAGCCATTACTCTGCCCTAGGAAATTTTTTTTTAATTTTTTTATTTCCATAGGTTTTTGGGGAACAGGTGGTATCTGGTTACATGAGTAAGTTCTTTTGTGGTGATTTGCGAGATTTTGGTGTACCCATAATCTGAGCAGTATATACCGAACCCAATTTGTAGTCTTTTATCCCTCACCCACCTCGTACCCCTTCCCCTGAGTCACCAAGGTCTGTTGTATCATTCTTATGCCTTTGCATTCTCATAGGTTAGCTCCCACTTATGAATGAGAACATATAATATTTGGTTTTCCATTCCTGAGTTACTTCACCTAGAATAGTCTCCATTTACACCCAGGCTGCTGCAAATGACATTAATTTGTTCCATGTTTATGGCTGAGTGGTATTCCATCATATATATACACACATATATATATGTATATATGTGTGCATATATATATGTATATATGTGTGTGTGTGCATATATATATATATATATATTCACAATTTCTTTATTCACTCGTTGATTGATGGGCATTTGGGCTGGTTCCATACTTTTGCAATTGTGAATTGTGCTACTATAAACATGCTTGTGCAGTATCTTTTTCTTATAATGACTTCTTTTTCTCTGGGTAGATATCCAGTAGTGGCATTGATGGATCAAATGGTAATTCTACTTTTAGTCCTTTAAGGGATCTCCACACTGTTTTCCATAGTGGTTGTACTAGTTTACATTCCCACCAGCAGTGTAGAAGTGTTCCTTATTCACTGCATCCATGCCAACATCTGGTATTTTTTGATTTTTTGATTATGGCCATTCTTGCAGGAGTAAAGTGGTATCATATCATGGTTTTGATTTACATTTTCTTGATGATTAGTAATGTAGAGCATTTTTTCATGTTTGTTGGCCATTTGTATATCTTGTTTTGAGAACTGTCAATTCATGTCCTTTGCCCACTTTTTGATGGGATTGTTTTTTATTCTTGCTAATTTGTTTGAGTTCATTGCAGATTATGAATATTAGTCCTTTATCGGATGTGTAGATTGTGAATATTTTCTCCCACTCTGTGGGTTGTCTGTTTACTCTGCTGGTTATTTCTTTTGTTGTGTAGAAGCTCTTTAAGTCCCACCTATTTATCTTTGATTTTGTTGCATTTGCTTTCAGGTTCTTGGTCATAAAGCCTTTGCCATCCTCTAGAATTTTTAGTTTCAGGTCTTAGGTTTAAGTCCTTGATCCATCTTGAGTCTATTTTTGTTTAAGGTGAGAGATGAAAATACAGTTTAATTGTCCTGCACGTGACTTGCTAATTATCCCAGTACCATTTGTTGAATAGGGTGTCCTTTCCCCACCTTATGTTTTTATTTGCTTTGTTGAAGATAATATAAGTATATAGGTAAGATGACATAAGTATTTGGGTTTATTTTTGGTTTCTCTGTCTTGTTCCATTGGACCATGTGCCCATTTTTAAACCAGTACCATGCTGATTTGGTGAATATGGCCTTAGAGTATAGTTTTAAATCAGGTAATGTGATGCCTCCAGATCTGTTCTTTTTGGTGAGTTTTGCTTTGGATGTGTGGGTTCTTTTTTGGTCCTATATGAGTTTTAGGATTTTTTTTTTTTAGTTCCGTGAAGAATGATGGTGGTATTTTGATGGGAATGACATTGAATTTGTAGACTTCTTTTCACAGTATGATTATTTTCACAGTATTGTTTCTACCCATCCATGAGCATAAGATGTGTTTTCATTTGTGTCGACTATGATTTCTTTCAGCAGTGTTTCATAGTTTTCCTGGTAGTGGCCTTTACCTCCTTGGATAGGTATATTCCTATTTTTTTTTTTTTGCAGCTTTTATAAAAGGGGTTGAATTATTGATTTGATTATCATCTTGGTGGCTGTTGGTGTATAGCAGAGCAACTGATTTTTGTACATTAACTTTTTATTCTTAAACTTTGCTGAATTCACTTATCAGTTCTAGGAGCTTTTTGGAAGAGTCTTTAGCGTTTTCTAGGCATACAATCCTATCATCAGCACAAGTAACAGTTTTACTTCCTGTTTACCAATTTGGATGTCCTTTATTTCTTTCTCTTGTCTGATTGCTTTGGCTAGGACTTCCAACACTATGTTGAATAGAAATGGTGAGAGTGGGCATACTTGTCTTGTTCCAGTTCGCAGAAGGAATGCTTTCAAGTTTTCCCTGTTAGGTATTACATTGGCTGTGAATTTGTCATAGATGGCTTTTATTACATTGAGGTATGTTCCTGGTATATCGATTTTGCTGAAGGTTTTAATCATTCATAAACACTAGATTTTTGCGAAATGCTGTTTCTGCATCTATTGAGATGATCATGTGATTTTTGTTTTTAATTCTGTTTATGCGGTGTATCATATTTATTGACTTGTGTATGTTAAACCATTCCTGCATCCCTGGTATGAAACTGACTTGATCATGGTGGATTGTCTTTTTGATATCTTGTTGCATTTGGTTAGCTAGTATTTTTTTAAAGGATTTTTGCATCTGTGTCCATCAGAGATACTGGTCTTTAGTTTCCTTTTTTTGTTATTTCCTTTCCTGGTTTTGGTAATAGGGTGATATTGGTTTCATAGAATTTTTTTAAAAAAGGATTCCCTCCATCTCTATCTTGTGGAATAGTGCCAGTAGCTTTGGTACCAATTCTTCCTTTGACTATCTAATAGTATTCAGCTGTGAATCCATTTGTTCCTGGATTTTATTTTTCCACTGGTGGTTTTTTCATTACTGTTTCAGTCTTACTGCTTGTTATTGGTCGATTCAGTGTACCTAATTATTCCTGATTTAAGCTAGGAGGGTTGTATATTTCCAGGAATTTATTCATCTCCTCTAGGTTTTCTAGTTTATATGCATAAAGGTGTTCATAGTACTCTTGAATGATCTCTTGCATTTCTGTGGTGTCAGTTGTAATATCTGGTAGTATCAGTGATTCCCCTCTGGCTAGGGCTGATTTAAATGCTCCCTCCATGAGTGGGCATCAGGTGAGTTTGTCTAGTTTTGTTTTCTGTTATAGCAGGACAGCACTGGTTCAATGTCTCACAGTTTTTGCACTCTCTGTCACACTAGGGTACAGAAATGCTTTTCACACCACACTGTTGTTGCCATGGGATGGCAGAGGGGCGTCTCTGATTCAAGGCTGTTTTTCCTACCTCTTCAGTACCTCTTTCAGGGATATGAAGTTAAGACCATGTATGGTGAGTACTCATCTGATTTTTGCTTTTTTGACAGTACTTTAATTTGTAAATAGTTGTTAAATTGGTGTCTTTGTGGTGAAGACTGGCATAGCCTTCTATTGTACTGTCTTTCTCTGCTCCTTGCTGTACTGTTTGTTTTTATGTCTTCAACATTATATATCCACTATTTAACTCATTTTCCATAATAGCTAAAATATTATTTCAAGTATAAGACCTTTGAATCAACCCTTTCCCTGAAGGAGTTTAAAAAGTAGGCCAGGAGCAGTGGTTCACACCTGTAATCCTAACAATTTGGGAGGCTGAGGTGGGCAGATCACCTGAGGTCAGGAGTTCATGACCAGCCTGGCCAACATGGTGAAACCACATCTCTAATAAAAATACAAAAATTAGCTGGGTGTGGTGGCAGGTGCCTGTAATCCCAGCTATTCAGGAGGCTGAGGCAGGAGAATTGCTTGAAACCAGGAGGCGGAGGTTATAATGAGCCGAGATTGCACTATTGCATTCCAGCCTGAGTGACAAAAGAAAAACTCTGTCTGCAAAATAAATAAATAAATAAATAAATAAATAAATAAATAAATGTATACATTTTTGAGTCAGTAATGATAATTTTAATTTTGTTAAAAACAATAACTTTATCAATTTGGTGATAAGTGTTAATTCCAAAAAATAATATTTGTAATTCTTAAAAGACAATGCTGTGGTCAGTTTAAGTTGCAATATTTGAAGCTGTCTATACCTGCAGATACCATTTACAGTCTTACTAAAGAACTGTGTTTTTTAAATGACCAAATATACTGGTTTAACTGAGGACTGAAAACAATATATTATTCATATTTTATAAACAAATGAATTATAAAAGAGTGGTTCATAAATTTTTTTATGTATTTTTTAAATGTCACTTTTAACTAGTTCAACTATTCTTTTTAAGGAGTAGCAAATTATGCTCATTCATGATGGTTTTACACTTGGATAGTTTTCTAGCAATCATTGAAAGGATATATTTATGCTTATAAAGATGAGAGTTTTCATTTAGCAAGTTTGCCTGTGTTTTTTTTTTTAAAGATGAGAACCAATGAATAGAAATCTTTTTAATATATATGCAATTCTTAAGAAAAATAAAGAAAATGTAACTTGGAATTGAACAAATAATCAATGAAAACAACTTTGGAAGAAATGGAAATATGAGTTTTTGTTAAAAATATTTTAAAAGTTAAACTGTAATTCTGCTATTAAATGAATCTGAACAGCATTTTCCTTGCATCAGGCAGAATCTTAAGATGGCCTGTGTAACTTCTGCCCTGTGATTATTTATATTATGTAGAAAAGGGGATTTGGCAGATGTAGTTAAAATTGTTAACTTGTTGACCTTTAGAGAGGGAAATTGCCCTAGCTGATCTAATGTAATCACATGTACCCTTACAAAGCAGAGCATCTTCTCAGGCTGGCAGCAGAGGAAGTAAGAAAGATTTGAAGCATTAAGAGGAGTTCAACACACTGCTTCTGGCCAGAGATGGAGGTGACCATTTGATCAGAAATGCAGTTGGCCTATACCACTAGAGTTGTCTCTGGCTGACAACCAGAACAGAAACAAAAACCTCAATTCTCCAACCATAAAGCCATGAATTCTGCCAACAACCCTAATGAGCAGATGACATCAGATTAGGAGTCTGAAAGATGATTGATTTGAATTGTGAAAGTTCCTTAGTGGAGTTTCCAGCTGAGCTTGACCAGACTTCTAACATGCAGACCTTTAAAGTGCCTTTCATAGGCCAATCCAATCATCACCTTTACTGATTACACACTTTGATATTGCACCAAAGAAATTCAAAGAAAAAAATAAATGTACAGCCCTTGAACTTAGCCTAAACTAACAGGGAAATTATACCAATATGTCTAGGCTACTCCTGAAACTACAAAGTACCTTTCTCACCACACACGCACACACACGCACACACACACACAAACACACATGCACACGCATGCACACATATTCTCTCTCTCTCTCCATTTTCTAACAAAGGCTTTAAGACTGATCTTCCAAAAGCATTTTTTTGATTATGTCATTATTCTGCTCCATAACCTGCCAGTTACTTTCTGTTTTCTGCAAAATAAAGATTTATTCTTTGGTTTGATAATTAAGCACTTGGAGATCTACCAGACAAATAAGCAAATTTATTTTTTAATTTTTTCCATACCAATATTCTATAGAATGGATAGTCTTTCTATTCTATTGGGTCTAATTTTTTGATCCAACATACACACTAAGATAATATTTTCTTTGTCATATATAGCATCTATAGTATTATTTCTTCATTCAAATTATGGTACTAAATTGTCTAAAACTTCAACACTAGGATGAAAACAATCAAGAGAGAAGTGGAAGAAATAAGGAAAGAAGACAAACATATAAACACTTCATTGAGCAAGGAAATTAAGATATATTTCATTTGTTCTTAATAGAATGACCATTGAATTCCTCATTTATTTCACAAATATTGGTTTACCACTTTCTATATACTAGGAAGTTGTATTAGTCCATTCTCAAACTATTGTTAAAGAACTGCCCAACACTGGGTCATTTATATAGAAAAGAGGTTTAACTGATTCACAGTTCTGCATGGGGCCTCAGGAAACTTACAATTAAGGAGGAAGGGGAGGCAGGCATGTCTTATATGGCAGCAGAAGAGAGAGACAGTGTGAGGGAGGAATTGTCAAATATTTAAAAAACCATGAGATCTTGGGAGAACTCACTTACTATCACGAGAACAGCATGGGGGAATCCACCTCTATGATTCAATTCTCCCACCAGATACCTCCCTTGACATGTGGGGATTATGCGGATTATAATTTGAGATGAGATTTGAGTTGGGACACAGAGCCAAACCATATCATTCTCCCCCATCCCCTCAAAATCTCACATACTTTTTACATTTCAAAACACAATTATGCCTTTCCAACAGTTTCCCGAAGTCTTAACTCATTCCAGCATTAACTCAAAAGTCCAAGTCCAAAGTCTCATCTGAGACAAGGCAACTCCCTTCTGCCTAGGATCCTGTAAAATCAAAAGCAGTTAGTTACTTCCAAAACACAATGGGGATACATTCATTGAGTAAATCATGCCATTTCAAATGGGAGAAATTGGCCAAAACAAAGGGGCTACAGGCCCCATACTAGTCCAAAATTTAGTGGGGCAGTCATGGAATCTTAAAACTCTGAAATAATCTTCTTTGGCTCCACGTCTCACATCCAGGGCATGCTGATTCAAAGGGTGGATCCCATGGCCTTGGGCAGCTTTGCCTCTGTGGCTTTGCAGGGTTCAGCCCCCATGGCTGCTTTCACAGGCTGGCATGGAGTGCCTGTGGCTTTTCCAGGCTCAAGGTACAAGCTATCAGTGGATCTACCATTCTGAGGCCTGGAGGACAGTGACTCTCTTCTCACAGCTCCACTAAACGGTGCCCCAGTGGAGACTCTGTGTGGGAGTTCCAACTCCACATTTCTGTTCTACACTGCCCTAGCAGAGGTTATCCACAAGGGCTCCACCTCTGCAGCAGACTTCTGCCTGGACATTCAAGTGTTTTCATATATTCTCTGAAATCTAGGCAGAGGTTCCCATACCTCAATTATTGACTTCTGTGCACTTACAGGCCCAAAACAAAGTGGAAGCCACAAAAGCTTGAGGGTTCAACTCTCTGAAGTGACATCCGGAGCTGTACCTTGGTTCCTTTTAGTCATGACTGGAGCTGGAATGGCTGGGACACAGGGCACCAAGTCCCAAGGCTGCACAGAGCAGCAGAGTCCTGGGCCTGGCCCACAAAACCATTTTTCCCTCCTGGGTCTCTGGGCCTGTGATGGGAGGGACTGCCATGATGATCTCTGACATGCCCTGGAGACATATTCCTCATTATCTTGGCGATTAACATTCTGCTCCTCTTTACTTATGCAAATTTTCACATTTAGCTTGAATTTCTCCCCAGACAATAGTTTTTGTTGTTGTTGTTTCACCACATCGTCAGGCTACAAATTTTCCAAACTTTTACACTCTATGATGTTTTTGAATGCTTTTCCTGCTTAGAAATGTCTTCCTCCAGATACCCTACGTCATCTCTCTCAAGTTTCAAGTTCTGCAAGTCTCTAGGGCAGGGACAAAATGCTGCCAGTTTCTTTGCTAAAGCATAGCAAGAGTGGCCTTTACTCTAGTACCCAAGAAGTTCCTCATCTCCAATGCAGACCAGCTCAGCCTGGACTTCATTTTCCATGTCATTGTCAGCATTTTGGTCAAAGCCATTCAATAAGTATTTAGAACATTCCAAATTTTCCCATATCCTCCTGCCTTCTTCTGAGCCCTCCAAACTGTTCCAATCTCTTCTCATAACCCAGTTCCAAGGTCACTTCCACATTTTTGGGTTATCTTTATAGCAGTACAGTACCCCACTCTACTGTATTGTTCATTCTCACAGTGCTATAAAGAACTGCCCAATACTGGGAAATTTACAAAAGAAAGTGTTTTGTTTTTTTTGTTTTTGTTTTTTTTTTTTGAGACGGAGTCTCGCTCTGCTCTGTCACCCAGGCTGGAGTGCAGTGGCGTGATCTCAGCACACTGCAAGCTCCACTTCCTGAGTTCATGCCATTCTCCTGCCTCAGCCTCCTGGATAGCTGGGACTACAGGTGCCTGCCACCACACCTGGCTAATTTTTTTGTATTTTTAGCAGAGACAGGATTTCACTGTGTTAGCCAGGATGGTCTCAATCTCTTGACCTTGTGATCCACCTGCTTTGGCCTCCCAAAATGCTGGGATTACAGGCGTGAGCCACCACGCCCAGCCAGGAAAGAGTTTTAATTGACTCACAGTTCTGCATGGCTGGGGAGGCTTCAGGAAACTGACAATCATAGCTGAAGGGAAAGCAGGCATGTCTAACATGGTGGCAGACAAGAGAGAGGAGCAAAGGAGGAACTGTCAAACGCTTACAAAACTATAAGATCTCGTGAGAACTCCTTCAGTATCATGAGAAAAGCATGGGGGAAACTGCCCCCCATAATCTTATCACCTCCCCTATGTTCTTCTCTTGACATGTGGGAATTATGGCAATAACAATTTGAGATGAGATTTGGGTGGGGACACAGTACCAAACTATATCAGAAGATACACAGCTAGGTGCCTGGGAAGTATAAGTATAAAGCACATTCCTGAATGTTTATGTTGAAATACTGAAAAATGCTAAATACTGATTTGTAAGTATTACTGACTGATTAAGCACATTACACACATTTCACCACTGTTGCCAAATATTTGCCTACATCTATAACCTTCCAAATGTAAAGCTTGTTTATTTTTAAAATTGTAGTTAAAAAAACAATGTAAGCAAGAAGGAAATTTGGGGACCTACCTAATTAAAAGTCAGTCAAGGATAAATTTTGATACTAAAATTATGTCGTTTTTCTGCCTTTCTTTTTCTCCATCTCTGGATTACATTTTACTTTATTTTAGTTTTTTTCATGCAGAAATCTGGGCTTAAAGGAATTTATGTACAGTGTTAAAGTTAAGATGACAAAGCCAAGCTAAATAGTAATTCCATCTGTCCAGAACAATATTTCTGTCTCTAGAAATCTCAGCAGTTGTTTCTTTTCAAGCATTAAAAATTATTAATGGACACTGATTGACATCTTGTGTCCACTTTTCTCTCTATAAGCAAATTACTTTGTCCAGGTCACAGAACCTTTGAATATATCTGACTCATTTATTTTTGTGTGTGTCTCAGGCAAAGATGATGCAGTAACTCTCACCAGAAAAGAGAGGGAAATCATATAATTACAAAATTTACTGTTTTCTACTAAAACTTACTATAATCCAATGTGGCATATCCACTTTGTTTTGATGGTATTGAGGTTTCCAATTTTTTTGTCATGTCATTTTATTTACACATCAAATTCTTTTTTCGTTTATGTTAGATTATGCTATTATCTTGAATGTCCCTTGCCTTCCTCTTCAATATTCTAAATCCTACCCGTCTATGGAAGTAAAATTCAATATATACACCTTCTATGAAAGTTTCTTTGCTCTTTTATGGTTAAATGATCTCTAATTCCCCTAACACTTTATGGTATTTAATATATCATTTAACTTTTTACCACTTTATTATGTTACATTTATTTAATGACAATGCCAATAAAACCTTAAACAATAGTATTGTATCTCCTGAAGTGTGCTGACATATGTTAAAATACTGATTTTCTATAGTTATCCAAAAGTTTCTTAAAGATCAATTATTTTCAATAAATGGAGTTTTCAACATGTATAGATATATGCAGATACATGCAAAGCTGGGTATTACCCAAGATGTAGCATTAAATATGGCTATTCAAAACCCCTAAGGTTACTTACTTTTATTTATGCAAAATAAAATTAACTTATTCTATCACAGCACTTACAGCCACCTATCTCATCACAAACATCTCAGGGCATTTTACAACACAGTTATGTTTTTTTTTATTATATTGGAATTCAAATTATACATTCAAAATAATTTAATAATTTTGTTGATTTAGAACAAAAATACTCAGGGAACGCCAAACATGAGTTAGATGAAAGCGGGGTTAATTAGATTTGTTAAAGAGATACTTAGCAAACTGTTACTCCTTCTTAAAAAGTTAAACCTACTTTAAAAATAGAACTCCTTCATTCTTGGGTGAAGATTTGTAATCATTCTTAGTTATACAATGTGTGAACGAGTGAAAAAAAATTATTTTCAACACTTTCTAAAAACCTGTAAGACAGGATTGTCTATTTTTTTTTAGAAAAGGCAGAGAAAGGCAGAGAAATAACCATATTTCTGTTTCATACCCTAAATTCACTGTTAGATCACGAATGATAAGATATCCGAAGATGCCGTTCTAATCTGTTCTGTTATTTGAAGTGCTATGGACTGAATGTTTGTGTCCACCCCCAAATGTCATATATTGAAGGCCTAATCACCAATGTGATGATATTTGGAGGTGAGACCTTTAGGAGGAAATTAGGTCATGAGCCTGATAGTTAGGTCTTGTTGTGTCCTCAAGAATGGATTTAGTACCCTTATAAAAAGAGACTCTTCTCTGCCCTGTGAGATTTTCTCTGCCATCTGCAAATTAGGGAACAGGCCCTCAACAGACACCAGTTCAGCTGTCACCTTAATCTGGGACTTTCCAGCCTCTGGAACTGTGAGAAATGCATGTGTGTTTTAAGCCACCTAGTCTATGTAGCCCATTATATATCAGTTATAGCAACCTGAACTGTCTAAAACACAGAATTTTACTACAGGGCATCATATTTGTTATTAAATTAGTTTCTGATTAGTTCAATGTGATTAAGGGAGATGGTGAGAAATTTTGTATTATTAAGTAAAAAAAAAAATTCATGTAGATATCTTAGAGAAAAATTCATATACATATTTTAAATACATGGTTAAATAGAAGCAAGACTAAACTTAAAATATTTGAAATAACTATGCAAAAATAAATAAATAAATAAAAAGAGCTGGGTATAAGTTTCTCTCTATTTGTAAGAGAAATGCTAAAGTGGTAATGCTTCATGTTTTGAGAACATGTTTTTGTTTGTGACCCATGAAGATTGTTCTAAAAGACAATGGATTTATGCAGAATTTGTAAATAAAAATCCACCTTCGCTTATGAGGATGTTTGTTTCTCTAAGTTTTCCATATACCACTCAATTAAAAGAATCATACTTGATTCTGTGATCCAAGAATGAAAACTGATTATATGTTAAAATTTTTTATTATAATAGCTATACAAGAAAAAAGAGTGTTATTTTTAAAGTAGTGATTAAAATGTTTAAAGATTTTTCAACACAGATAAGTAAATATATGTTTATATAAATAAGAATTTGCACATATATAATAATTGCATTGGAGGTTTCTGCTAATATGAACATTTTGAAAATTTAAAATCACAGAATTTTTAAAAATCTGTATGTTTTTCCTTTATGTGAATATATAGAAACTAGTATTTTTTAAAAAATATGTATTTATAAAACTTCACATTTTGGTATTGTTAAATGTAAAAGCATTTTTTCTTAATATAATAGTAATAAATAATATCAACAGAATATATTTAAAATAATCTTCTGAAATGTCGCTAGAAAAACTTTGTTTCATTGCTATAAATTGTATTTTCATATACTATAAAAATTATCAACTCTTTTCATGCATTCTTATTTTTATTTTTAATGACATACAAAAGGTTTATATCTTCGATATTACAAAATATTTTCAATTTGTGCCTCATAGAGTAAGTATTACAGTAAAATTTTTTCTCTCCTATCTTTAAGAGCAGAATGTTATGGGCCTATTTAAAATCTCAGGAAAGTTTCAAGGAAAAATTCAAGTATCAAACAGGTAGGACTTTAAAATTTTTTTCCCTATGCTTAAAGATGAACATCAATTCTTTCCACTTAGCCTCCAATGCACTTTGTTTCCCATTATGCATTGTAAAATTTTTAGTTTAAGTACTGTACTCAAAGATGTATTTTTCTCAAGTAGATATAATAATATATTTCTGAACCTTTCCCATGCATTACACTCATCTGTAAAGCTGACTAGTCTTACCGTGAAATTGATTACTTAGGCAATGAGGCAGAGCCCACTCTTTGATATATTATTCAAAGACATTTCTCTGTCCTGGTACAAGGTAGCTCTATTATATAATGGGACTATATATCTTCCACAAAGCTAGATGCTCAAAATAGGGAAAACCATTTGTTGTTTGAATTCAAACATGCACATCATTAATAAGATAATTTTGTGTATATCATCATGTTTTAGAAGAAAACCTCAGTGGTTCAAAGAAGATGATAAAAGAAAAACTTCAGTCAAATTAAATGTAAAGGAGTTTAATTGAGCATTGAATGATTCGTGAATGGGGCAGCCTTCTCAACCAGAGTAGGCTCAGAGACTCCCGTGTAGCCACAAAGTGGAATAAGATTTATGGACAGAGAAAGGAAAGAAATGTAGAGAAAACAGACATGAGGTACAGAAACAGGTGGATTGGTTACAACTTGGCATTTGCCTTATTTGAACAAGGTTCAAACAATTGACTACATTTGACTGTCCAAAACTCAGTGATTGGCACAAGTGTAGGCTGCAGTCTGGTTACACCTCCATTTGTTATAGTTGATGATGTACAGAAAAACCTTTAGGCTAAACTTAAACTATGCAACGGGACACCTTTAGGCTCATCTTGATTTAACGAAGGTAACACGTATTGACTTAAAAAAGACTTTTAAAAATAAAATATTTTTATATTTTAAAGGCCTATAGTATATTGATCGACTTAAGAGAAACGCCTAAAACTTAGACATACTCATCTTCGAAGGTCTAGATACATCTTAGTCTATGTAAAAACAGTATTTCTAAAATTTGAACTTAAGGATTAGGCATAATTCAGACTCTTATTTAAAAGAAAAACAGACAAATGTGCCAGTGCATTTCCCATTTCTTAACTGTTAGAAGTATCAATCCTAATACTGCAATTAAATTATTTTACAATATTCGCCTGGGGCCTGCTTGCTCATTGAAGACAGTAAAAGCTCCAAAAGGATGAGGGGAAACTTGTTATGCTTCTTAAGGAATAATCTTAGAACTGGTTGATTTTCACTTCTGTCCTTCTTCCATTGGCCAAATAAGTCTCATATTTCATCAGTGGAGTATGTGAAAGTCATATCAACCCACAGGGAAGTCATAGCAGGATTGAAGAAAATAGAAATAATTTTGGCCAAATAATACAGTCTCATACTACAGTGGACGTAAAGGTTTCTGTTTTAAGGGCTTTTTTTTTTTCGTGACAGAGTCTCAGTCTGTTACCCAGGCTGGAGTGCAGTGGCGCAATCACGGCTCACTGCAACCTCTGCATCGTGTGTTCAAGTGATTCTCCTGCCTCAGCCTCCTGAGTAGATGGTATTATAGGTACGCAACACCACGCCTAGCTAATTTTTGTATTTTTAGTAGAGATGGGGTTTCACCATGTTGGCCATGCTGGTCTTGAACTCCTGACATGAAGTGATCTACCTGCCTTGGCCTCCCAAAGTCCTGAGATTACAGGCATAAGCCATAGCGCCCAGCCTGTCTTAATGTTTTAATACCAAATAAAATGCAAATTTAACAATAAAGAGGCCTACCATACTAGTGCATTTCAAAATTTTACGATTTTCATTTCAGCAATGAAGAAATAAATTACTTGTTTGTTTATTCTTAAAATTGTCTTTAGTGCATTTAGTTTTTAGTGAAAGAGTTGACATTGAAAATATGAATGCTAACAGAAATAAAAGCCAGCCATCAGCTAAGGTCATTTTTGTTGACACACTGTTGTGTAAATATAAGAGAGAATTGTTCTTGTTTTAAATTAATGATAACTTAAAATGATTGTCTTTCGAGTATGTTATTTGAGGAACTGGTTTAGTTTTCCTTTGGTGAGTAACAAATTACCATTAAATTAGTTGTGAATTACTTAAAACTACATCCATTTATTATATGACAGTTTCTGAAGGTCACAAGTCCAGATAGGTTCAGCTTGGTCTCTGTTTAGTTTCTTACAAACTACAGTCAAGGTCTTGGTTGAGCTGAGCTCTTATCAGGAGTTTCTGGGGAGGAATTCCCTTCCAAGCTCATTCAGGTTGCTGGCCAAATTCAGTTTCTTGTTGTATCCAAGGGCTGTTTTCAGTTTCTAGATACCACCTGCAATCCTTCTCATATAACTCCCTCCATTTTTAAAGCCAGCAAGTACATGGTAACAGCCTTCTTGTGCTTCAAATCTCTCTGACTTCATCTTCTGTCAGCAGTGTGAAAACTCTGCTCTAAAAGGGCTCATGTGATTAGGTTAGCTATACTTGAATACTTTCTCTATTTTATAATCAGCTCCTTAATCTCACCTACATTTGCAAAGTCTCTTGGCATGTAGCGTAACATAGTCATAGGACTGATACCTGGGAGTAAATGTCACAGGAAACATCTTACAATTCTAATTCTGGTTAACACAGGAAGATGCATTTTCAGATACATTTGATATTCAAATTCATTTAGTTGCAAAATTACAGATTAAGTTTTACATATTTTTCTTCATAAAGGCATTGGATTTTCATTTCTCTAGGGGGTTTTCTACTGTTTGCTATGCAATTACCTGGGTTAAATTTTCTTCATTATTATTAAGAATTGCATGCTTATTAGAGAGTTCATCATTCATTGCTTTCTCATCTTTGGAAAAGACAGAGGCTGACTTGGTAGATGAAAACTGACACCTTTAAAAGCCCAAAAATATTACAGATATTTTTTCCCACAAAATTGTAGACACTCAAACTATCATCAATCAGCAGGCATATTTCGTCACTCTTTAAGTAGAAGAAGAGAACTAGTTAAAACTGGTGGTATAAAAATACATAAATATAATAGAATCACCATAGATGCATTGCATATATCCAGGGCCGTAATAGAGAATTAATCTGTGTGCTTACACAGACTATAAAGCTTAGAAGAAGAATTCAAGCAAAGGAATTCCAGCACAGTCTTTCAAACAAAAAGCAATTTAATAACAATACCCAGGACTTTAAAACAGGATACTGGAAATGCTCCAGTTATAGAGCATATTGTTTTATAAATGTCTGTGTCCATGGGAAGGTCTCACCACAAAGATTATCAAAGTCACAGTGACCACAAAGGTTTCAACAAACATCAAACTTGATCAACTGGTTTGTGAGATATTTTGCTCAAGGTCTATATCTCCTGTTCTTTTGAAGCCTGAAGGACCAACATTGTGACTCTTGACAACTTAATACATTTCCAATTTTCTCATGAAGATTTAATTTTTCTTACACAATGTGTGAAGAACAATAGCACTTAGTAGGACACATAGACCTTCTAAAATAGTTACTAATGCAGCCAGTGTAAATATAAGCCACAAAAGTAGCCATCTCCTCAATTTCTAGACTTCGTCTACATTTCATATCATGTTCATAGCCTCCATTGTCAAGCCATTGATGGCATAGTGAATCCTTCTTGTGCTTTAAATCTCACTGTCTTGATTCTCTGCCCAACTCCCAGTGATATCATCAGTCTATCTTGCTGCAGACATTCATTAAAACACACCTGCCACCCCTTAATGAGAATGAATAGATGGTCTTCTGTAGTCAAAGAACCACCAGTTATAACATCCCTTTACTGGTCATCCAGTACCACGTGCAAATATCTGAGACCAAATGCACTGCCTCCTCCTTAAGCAAATGTTAAACTGGTGCCTCCTCATTATGACTTGGGCTCTAACCACTCTCAGAAGCCAAGCCCTAGTACTTCTGAGGTTCTCGGCATAGCTGAGTGATGGCTTTAACTCTTTATTTAAAGAGCTATATAATTTAGTATGCAAGTAGATTTTGATACAGAGAAATGTGTCAGATAAGCACCTGGACATGCCTGTTGCTTTTTTTTTTTCGATCCGTTATTCTTGAAAATTATAAGCTCTGTGTAATTTATTTTAATTCATAATTTTACTCAAGGTAAATGATCTCAAAGCTTTAATCCAGCCATCTTACATGCCTCTTTTCCCAGACAGGTATCTCCTACCACTCATATTTTCTCTCTATCAGGAATCATACTTGCTTCTGAACAGATAAATTATAGATGACATGAAGCATAAAATCACCCAATCGTATACCCCTCCTTCTCCAGGACTTACTTCTCTGCTTCCTTGCTTACATTCATGTGGCTAATCTATCCAAATGAGGTTTTCCAAACCACAATTTATAATCCAGTTCATCACCTCATCAGCTTTTTTCACTTATTTCATTTAGGCATTTACTTTTACCTTTTCACTAGATGACTCATAAATGTGACCCCCATAAACCTACTGATTGCTCAATCAAATGGGTATATTTTAATTCTTAATCTCTCTGAAGCATTTTATACCTTTGGCATGTCTTCTTACAATGTGATTATCTTTTCTTTTTATTTATATTTCCAAGACATCAAGGTTTTTACTCCTAATTTTCTGAACATTCTTTCTCAAGTGTCTTCACTGAATCCTCTTTCTCTGACTGTCTTCTCATTGCTGGCATTCCTCAGAATTTCAAATTGAGCCTCTTCAAGATCCCTGTAAACAAACTACACATCCACTCCCAAACTGACCAATCTTAAGTGATCGGTTTTTTCAGATATCAAGAAGTACATATTTTGGCAATTAACTAAGAAATTCAAAATAATGTAGAAATGTTAAAATTTTAGTGTGACTGAAATTTTAGTCCTGACTTACTACAGGAAAGAAGAAGCAAAAGATTTAAAGGGTCAAATGAAATCTGAAATATCCCAGAAATATTTTAAGATAAGATGAATTTTTGGATTTTGTAACCACTGCTATTTTCTACAGTTTTAAAAATATACTATTTTTCTTTAAACTAAATCTAATAAGTTATATTTTGCAAATGAGCACAAGACTTGAGATTATGATCTCTCATGCTGCCAAGGAAATGTCTAATTGCTACTTTTTAACACAAATTAATTTTTTCATATGCTCAACTTAAGTATTATTCAATTTTCCCCTCTGTGGCCTTTTGCTTAAGGAGTAATTACATTGCTGACATTTTTAATTAAAACAGTGTTATCTATTTTAAAAAGCATTAAGCCTGCCATTGATTTTAGATCCTGAATTAATTTTTGCTTGATGAATCATTATATGTCTTAACACTCTATGAACCCTATATATATTAGCAAACAATTTAAATCCTGTAGTATTCAGATAAAATGTTAAATTTCTTTAATCAACAGCATCATTGGAAATTGACACTTTTATAATGAGACAGATTTTTAAAATATGTAGTGTATTATAATGAAGCTGTATATCACAAAATAATTTAATTTACAGTTGGAAAATTGGAGATTTACTATTTTAGTAATTTTCAAAGTTCTAAAAAATAATCTATGATTTGTTATATATTTATTAAAAATGTTTCCAAATGAAGGCAAATGTTTCAAATTATTATGACAAGGAGCTACAAGCCACTTAACCAAAACATTGAGAGCGTTGAAGTGTCATGGAGCATGCTGCTAAAATATAATGTTGGGAAGGGAATGCACGGATCAACTGAATGGCATTATGAATTCTGAAAATGAAGATCATAGTCTAAGTGAACAAAAGAATCTAGCAATCTCTAGATGAGAACAAAGCAAAGAATTAGCCAGGCATGTAAACAAAGGAATTTTACATAGAAATTCTCCCAACCAAGTTTCCAAAACCTAGAGGTAGATTCTTATCTTATGTACGTAGACCCACATTAGATAATGCAGGAGTGATTATGATCAATTTATGGCAATCATGTACAACACAACCTGATTTCAAGGAAAATCCTAAAGTGAACAAATAAAGTCAGCAAGAATGTCCTCAGTGACTGACATGAGGGAGAAGATATAGTTTTTTTTATTTTGTTACTTTATAGTACAAAGGGACTTTAAAACCAAAGATATCCCTGGAATATAATCTTTATGGGTACCTACTTATATCCCTCCTAGTATATTCATTTTTCTGTAATCTTTACATTATAATGTTAAACAGGCCTAAAGAATCATTTTCATATTTATGATGTATATGTTAGATTGTTACCTGCATTTAATGTTTAAATTTACTTTAAATATTCCTTAATTACAAACGACCTAATATTACACATAGTCAGATATACAGTTTCTCAGAAATGAGGCTTTCTATCTTGGATTCAGACATTGAATTAACTTCATCACATTTCTGAAGCTTATTTTTTTATTCTCTAGTCTTAACCCAACAATATAAACTGAACTTTTCTCCAATAATTTTCATTTATTTAAATTTCCACCACTATTAAGAAGTGTGATGCATTCCATGTATGGTTGGAGGCTGTTATTTTGCCCACTATGAAGTATTATAGGTGGCAATACATGTTTTCAAAGTTTTCATTTTATTCTTTAATTTGAGACTCCTTCAGCTAATTCTCATAATTTTGCAGCTCCAGGCATTAACCGGTGGGTAGAATTTAATGATGAAAGCAGCAGATGTTATTAATACAAATATATCAGCTGCATCAAATTTCTGTTTAGGAGATATGATAGTTGAGAAGAGGGAAAGTCATGGCCTTTGTTATTGTTTAATGACTGTTTTTCGTATTGACAGACACTAGCAAATTTATGCCCCATTAGGGAATTTTTCAAAATCATAATGATGAGAAGTAATAAAGAGAGGCCAAAATATTAAATATGCCACTCATAAGTCAACATTTGTATAAAAACTGCATATGTCAAGAACATTCCTCAGTAATCACTAAATTTTCTGGAATTAAAATGAAATAAGCTCTTTGATACCTCTTTAATCAAGCTAAGGAAATAATGATTCATTTCTGTTATTGAATTAAATTTATTTCAGAAGTATTTTGAAACTACAAAATTATTTTTATTTTAGCCAATATTACCTCTATGTATGGGTTTGAATTTGAATAATTTGCTCAACATAGAATGCATTTTGAATGTGAGTCTGGGATGTGTAAATATAGATCTGTGTACATATGTAAAATATTCTATACTACATTGAAAAATGTTGAGTGATATAAAAAATTGTGAAATCAGACAAATTCAAATTTGTTTGTATTTATATAAATATCAAAAAATATTCAATTATGAAATACTAAAGATCAAGACATTTTATAAAAATAGTACATATTTTTGTATTATTTTCATTGTATTATATTTAGTTAGTTTACTGAACATTCATATTTCTTAGCCCGTTCGTGCTGCTGTAACAAATTGCCACAGACTGAATAATTTATATGCAATAGAAATTTATTTCTCACAGTTCTGGAGGCTGGAAAGTCTAAGACCAAGACACCTGCACGTTCAGTGTCTAGTGAAGGCTGTTCTCTGCTTCCAAGATGGTTCCTTGTTGCTGCATCCTCCAGAGGGGAGGAACCCTGTGTCCTCACATGGTGGCAGGGACAAAAGGGCTACAGGGCTGAACACGGTGTGAAGCCTCTTTCTTCAATAAGGGCATTAATCGCATTCAGAGAGAAGAGCACTCATGACTTGATAACCTCCTAAAAAGCCCCACCTGTTAATACTACTGCATTAGAGATTCTGTTTCAAAATGAATTTTGGAGGAACACAAGCATTCAAACTGTAGCACACATACTGTTGGTATAGACACACGTTAGTAAAATCTTTCTGTGAAAGGATAGCAAAATGAGTGAAAGAAAAAATGCAGCATAGACTTTAATATACAAGTTGATGTGTGGCAAATACATGCTCTAGAAATAATTTGATAAATGGCAAAGAAAAAGATGCAAGAAACTTTATTGTAACGTTTCTTATGTTGGAAAGTATGCAATGGTGAATGGATAAATAAGTGAGTGAGCCTCAGATAGGAATGAATACTATAAAGGAAGTGAAATAGTGTTATAGTTGAGCATGATGAGAAGAGGCTAATTTAAGGAAAGTGTTCAGGGAGAGCTTCTCTGTGGATGTGGCATTTCATTTGGTTTTTAAATAATGTGGAGTAACTTGCCACTTCAATAATCCTAGACAAATAGTTATGTGAGACTGATCAAGAACTGGGATGAAAATAAGCTTGACATTTTCAAGGATAAGAAAATGGTCAATGTATGTGAGGTAAGTGTAAAAGTGGCAGGAGAGAGATAGGGACATTGCAGCATTAGATCGGGTGGTAGACCCTATGATAGGAAAATCTGAAGACAGAAACTTCTTTTTAATGAATAGGTAATTTCCAAAAGTTGTGCTCCAACTTTTAGAAATTATAAAATCAGAATATCAGTTTGTAATCAGATGATATACTATTTTAACCCCTAGGAAGAATTTTTGATCTATTTAAATGTGCAAGGAAGCCACTGGAAATGTTACAGGATCTCCATAAATGTATTAATAATTTAAAAGACCAGCTCTCCCTTTTGAAAAGGTATGTACTTTAATGTGGAAGTATATGTATACATATATATATAGCTTCTGTTGTGTCTCCCTGCTTCTATGGAGGCCTCCTGCTTCTATTTTATTGTATACATATGATTGCTAAAACACATTTAAACACTTAATTCATATATTTGTGTTTGTGTATAAATTACATGTAAACGTTATGATCTTAACAGTTCAATTGTAACAATTACAAAAAGCTCAAAGTATTATAAAAATTATCATTTTAAAGAAACTAAAGAGCAATGGAAGCAAAAGTAAAATAGAATTGAAATTTCAAGACAGGAAACTCTTCTTTGGTGAGCTAACTACCCTATCAGTGGCTATTATTTTTCTTGGTGGCAAATGCTGATTTTGCTCTGGAACCACATTTGGGCTTGGCTCTGGGTGAGGAATGATTTATGCAGAGGAACTCAAAGGTAAAAAAAAAAAATTGTCAATCTTTTGAAATTGGTTCAGGGCTGATAGGGGAAAGGGGAAACAGGAAACTTGAGAATACTCGAATATAGCCAGTTTTCTCCAGTGGGCAGATTCTGAATCTTGACCTGCCTGCAGGTGACTGGGGAGCTAGTAAGCTGAATAGTAAGCTCCTATAATCTTGTAGTACTTAGGGCAATTTCCCTTAGAGAAATGGGGTTTGCTTCCAAATACAGTTCATTTTGTCTTTGAGGCGTCTGCCATCTTTAGACGCCTCAGGAGCAAGAGATGGGTGAGTGAAACTGGTAACTTCTGTAGATCAGGATTTCCCAGGCTTTCAAAGTTGAGGAAAAAACATAATAGGCTTTCAACCCAAAGCTTGAGATTTTCCAAGAATATGCCCCAAGAACAAAAACCGACCAGTGTTAGATTGAGTCTTATGAAATTTGCAGCCCAGGGACAACAAATGCATTTCTTGTCTTATTTGTCTTATCAGTTATTTATCCTGTCTCTCTACATGGGAAAAGGAAAGCCCTCTTTGAAAAAAACAAACAAACAAAAACCAAAACAAAAAAACAAAAAAAACACTTTCTGGAGCCTCTATAGTTCTTTTAAAAATAACCAGACATTCAAAAAGGGAAGTGAAAGGTAACCAATTACAAATAGAAGCAGAACAATAATCAAAATAGTGAAGGAAATATAATAAAAATTTCTTAATATGTTCTATATATTCAATAATATAAATGACAGACAAGTGAATGAAAAGACAAGAATTACAACCGGAAATGGGAATCTTTAAAAACAGAACCAAACGTCATTATAAAACAGTAAAATACAATATCTGATAAAAAAATCAAACCCCTTGAATGATTTTACCAACAGGCTGCATGCAGAAGACAGGTATACACATATGTAAAAATTAGTTAAGCTGCAAATGAGATCTCTACACTTTATTATATACATTTTAATGGACATTAAGTATATATGCCATATATATTTATTTAATATATACCTATATATGTTAACACTGACTTTGTTTGGACTCGTTGCTGACTATTTTTTTTTTGGTTCCCTTTCTTTTTTTTCCCCATTCTCTATTTTGATTAACACCAGCTACCATTTTAGACAGAATAATTAGTATTAGCTAATGCAACAAATAATCCCCAACTTTCAGGTGCATTAACACGGCACGCTTTTCTTTGTCATAATAAATAAAATGTTAATATTTTTGGTAAGGTGATCTCCCTGGACAACTTTCCACTAAGAGGTGACTCCGAGATTCATGTTATTTGTACGTAATGGCTCTACATGGCGCAGGTCCTCAGATTCCTCTCCGATATTCACTGCTGCCAGAAGTTTGACAAGAACCAAAAGAACCCTTGGGAGATTGCAGTCACCATTTTAGCCCCTCAGTGACACACACTATTCTTCCATCCACTCCCCAACATGTAATTACTGTTTCACTGGGAGCTGGTAAATGTCGTGCCTGGCAGGTGGACCACTCCCCAAAACACCTCTGCACAACAGAAAGGGAGAATGAGTCTGGGCAGTTCAACAAGCAATCTGCCACAATTAATGCAAGCAAAGAAACAAATTATGCTCTACATACAAAGTGCATAGCCTCCACATTTAAACTCTCTAAATGGTTACTTAATCTATGTCTTATCTCTTGTTCTTCTCTAAAATCATCCCTTAAATTGGGCCTACTTACTTGAGTAAAATAAATTTCACACAGCTTTAATGTATAAAGAAATTGTCACTAAATGTTATAATTGCTTATAATTCACCAGAGAAAAGGGATTATTTGTCTCTTTCACATTTGCCAGTCTCTTTTTTAATGTACAGATTAGATTTTGTGCTTCTCTCATTCTGAATTTACAGGTGAAAGAATAAAATAATGGACCTAATCTGTAAATAGATGCATAGAGCATGATAAATCTCTTCATTTTTCAGTATTTTTATTCCCAAATAATTTTCCCCAGAAAAAACTTATAATTTCTTACCAATACATTGTCATTTCAACTTTTTTTCTGACTACGATTGCTTTGAAAAAATTATACCTTTTTCTCCCTCTCACACCTGTAATCCCAGCACTTTGGAAGAATGAGGTGGGCTGATCACAAGGTCAAGAGTTCAAGACCAGCCTGGCCAACATCGTGAAACTCTGTCTCTACTAAAAATACAAAAATTAATTTGGCATGGTGGTGTGTGCTTCTAGTGCCAGCTACTCAGGAGGCTGAGGCAGGAGGATCGCTTGAACCTGGGAGGCGGAGGTTGCAGTGAGCTGAGATTATGCCACTGCACTCAAGCCTGGGTGACAGAGTGAGACTCCATCTCAAAAAAAAATAATAAAAAATAAAAAAATTAATAAAATCTCTATACAGTAGTACCTCTCTGTATTCGTTGCTTTTCACATTGCTATAAAGAAATTCCTGAGACTGAGTCATAATAAAGAAAAGACGTTTAATTGACTCACAGTTGTGAATGGATGGGGAGGTCTCAAGAAATTGACCATCTTGGCAGAAGGTGAAGGGGAAGCAGGAGGCATCTTCACAAGGCAGCAGGAGAGAAAGAGTGAGAATGAAGGGGAAGAGCCCCTTATAAATCCATCAGACCTCCTGAGAACTCACTCACTAACACGAGAACAGCATGGGGAAAACTGCCTCCATGATCCAATCACCCTTTCTCCCTCCATTCGGGATTACAGGTCTCTCCCTTGACACACAGGGATTACAATTCCAGATGAGATTTTGTGAGAACACAGAGCCAAACCACATCACTCTCAAAGTATAATTTAGTGAGCGTCCATCTTTCAGATAGCTCTGTGTGCTCCTCCCAGTTCACTTGCCCATTCCACCCTCTCACACAGAAGCCTGACCTATGCGACAACTTCCGACTTCTATGCCTTTTCTAGTTATATCCAAACAATAAAAGCCCCACAGGGAGACCGGACAGAGGATGCATGCGAATGTCAGAGTGTTTATTGTTCTGGGTTGATCCATAACCCAACTCTATGGGCTGGCTGGGTCCCTAGACTGAACATCATTGCTTCTCTCAAAATGACCTCTTTTACAGGTGTCTATCCTTCTAGGTTCTGGTACAAGTCTTTCCACTTGTTCTTTCAGGCCTGGAGTAATAACAGCTCCTTCTGCTTTCAATCCTATATACTACTCTATCCTCTACTACTCTATCCTCTACTGTCTATTGCTTTATATCTAAAAAATACATAATTTCAAATGCATTGAAAAAAACAAAAATACCCATCATAATGTAAATATGTATTAGATGATTACCAATATATCCACACGGGATTGCATTGTTATTTGGCCATAAAAGATTTCAACCATATTATCATTGCGATTTCATGTATATTATTTTAAGAGGATACTACAGTCATTCTTCTTTTTAAGTATTAACAGTGATTGCAAAATATTATGTATGGGATCAAAATTCTAGTGTAGCAGTACAAAACTGGATATGCCATTCAAAAATGATAATCACATTAAAATTGTATTTAGTATTTTACTTCTTAGCATAAATATGTACTTTAGAAAAATTATGAAAAAAACCTCTAGAAGAGTACACGAATACAATAAGAATAGTTCATGTTTCCATTACTGAAAGATAACCAGTTTATTTATTTATGTCTATTTTTCAGCATTATTCACTGCATGCTAGAAAATAATGCACAGAGGTGATAGAAAGCTAGAGATTTTATAAAACCCTTCATTTTTAACATAATATCTTATAAACTGATTATTTTCAGTAATTATTTGTCTAACTTCATTTCTTTCTTTTTGATCAAACTGTATTTTTAAATAAAATATTATTTTGGTTAGGTAACACATGATCCTGGCTCCAAGTTTAAAATAAAGAAAAGTATATTGTTTTAGAATCTAGTTCTGTTTATCATGATGTCTGGTTCTCTTCCTTCTGAGAACATGAAATATCTGCATTTTCATAGTTCCTGAAAGGTAGGTAAAGCCATGTTACTTGCTCTGTACTGCCAAATAGCTCTATGTGTATATGAATAGATATGTGTCATTTCCATGGAGAAGCATTTACTTGCTGGTGCTAGTCTTTCGGGTCTCTATTCTTCCCTTGAAAACAATCTCCGTTCTCTACGCATTTGCCTATTCTGGACGTTCTCCAGAAATGGATTCACACAACATGTAACCTTCATGCCTGGCTTCTTTCAGGTCTCTCTTCTTCCCTTGAAAACAATCTTCATTCTCTACTCATTTGCCTATTCTGGACATTCTCCAGAAATGGATTCACACAACATGTAACCTTCATACCTGGCTTCTTTCACTTAGTATAGCATTTTAAAGATTCCTCCACACTGTAGCATATTCTTCCCTCCTTGGTTTTGACTCTCCATCAATAATCCAGGTTTCTGAAATTTTTATTAAAACCAAATAATGAAATTATTAATATGTGGTATCTTTTTATTGAGTTATTTTTCCATTTCATAATGTCTATCTGCCTTTTCAGAAGTAGAACACTTTAAAGGCACATATATATTTGCTTCTCCAGATGATCATCATTTAACTAAAAAGTACATGTTAACTCAGTGACTGCATTGGAACTTAGAGGAAATTGCAAATCTATTTTCTCTAGCTGTTGTAATACATTCTTCTAAATGTTTATGAAAACATATTAGACTTTTAATGACTTATTTACCTTCTGTAACTCAATGTGAAAGGAAATGTGAATCATACAAAATTTTGAAAATTGAGTTGATACGTTCTAAGAACAAAAAGTAGTAAATAAAAGCTTTATTTTGCTAACTGAGGTAGTCTTAGACAATTTCCATGAAATTTAAATTACATAAACCTCCTTCTTTTTATAAATAGAAATGAACTGTATCTTAAAGGCTTCGGATCAGAAGGTAAAACATTTTACTTTAATATATGTGAAGTTCTGAGACTCAACTCAGCAGTGAAAAAGCTACAGATGAATTCTTCACCCTGGGTATCACTGACAAAAAGGATTAAATAAATACATTTGATTTCTTTTCTTTCTTCCAAAGTATAAGCTAGCTACAGTAACAGAATAAGGCTTTAGATTTCTTTTTTGTACTATATTGCAAAATTCTTATTTAATGTAAATTGATATTTAAAAACTTTTTCTCAATCCTATGAGGATTTTGTGTTTTTAAAAATCAATCCCTCTTTCAACAGCCCTGAAGTTAGTTTGCCTACTATAAATTTTCTTTGCTAAAAAATATATATTTTCTGTTATGTTACTGCTTGTTGCTTCTATCTTTCCCTCTACCTCCTCATACACACGTTAATTCTTGAATATTAGGATCATGAGTTTAACCTCTTAGTTATTAATCATTGCATAATCCCAAATTTTAAAAAAGTTTTTAAAAGAAGAGTTAAGCTGTAAAATGAGTTAGATATATAAAAAACAAATGTTAGGTAAGACATAATGTGAGTCATCAAAACTTTGCCATCTCCAATGACTCAGGGTCTTTCAGTCTTGTCCTTTGTATTTTTGTGTGATTATTTAACAGGAGCTTTTTGAAATACTAGGACTCCTTGATTGAGTAGGTAGGTACAAGCAGCCACCAAGGCAGTTCTAAGATAGTAGCCGTGCACTGCTGCTCATAGGTGAATGTAGTTCCAATTTCTAAAACATAGGGGTTCGGTGCCAAAAGCATCATTTGCCCTGGTACCTAACTGTCTGTTTTCCCAACAAGTATGCCAGTGTTGATCCCCACCCCCACAACAACACAACACAGGATTTTCCCCTATTCGGTAAAAATTTTACCTCGATACATAATGATTTTCAGTAAACTAGCCAGCATTGTTCTGCACTTGCTACTCTGCAAAATCCATAAGAAAGAGTAACAAATTTATCATTAGGGTATAGCAACATCTTTATAGTGTCGTAACTTTTTATAAACTTTGCATGTATAAATTAATTTCATGTGCAAACTTTTCTAGGCTATAGTAACTAGTTTTTTAATTGAATACAATTCTAGGCTTTGCTGTGAAGGTAATTTGTAGATGTTATTATCTACAATCAGATTACTTTAAGTAAAGGAGATCACTCTTGATAATGTGGGTAGGTCTCATCCAATTAGCTGAATGCTTTAAGAGCAAAAACTGAGTTTTCCTAGAAAAGAAATTCTGCCTCAAGAACACAACATCGACTCTTGCTTGAGTTTTCAGCCTGTGTCCTATAAATAACCAACTTGTCAGCATTCACAAATGTGTCAGTCTGGTAAAATAAAATTAACATGTGTGTGTTTTTGTATACTTTTATATATTCATAAGTATACACAAGTACATATATATCTATATTTATACATATGAAGTATTATATTTTATTATATATATTTTGATGTATAAACATAAAATATGGCTTTTCATATAAAATATCATTGTTTCATGTCTATTTATCAATAACAATAATAAATGAATATTTTATATGTTTGTAAAATATTATACATTTTTACACAATTTTATAAATACAGAATACTTTCAAAAATATAAAATACTACATATTTTAACTACATATTTGCAGCACATATATTTTATATATATATAAATAATCTATCGATTCTCCTTCTGTGGAGAACTCCGACTGATACAATCACCCTATCTCTCTTCTGCAGCATCCCCTTTCTCTCCTTCTCTTCTTTCCTCTCTCGTTTTCTATGCAGTGTTTGTAGTGGCCAAGATAATTGTTGAGATTGTAACCAAGGGAGTCACTCCCTTCTTAGAAGTAAATAGTCGTTCCTCATTTCACAATGCCTAACTGTGTGCTTGCTTACGAACTCTGACAATTAACCTTGAAATAAAGCCAGGGCTGTGAAATGTAAAATATCCAACCCTGGAAAAATGCTGAGCAGTTAATCTTCAATCATGCTGCAGTCTCACTGATGCCTGCCAGACCGCTAGATGATGGCCCATTACTCAAGATAATCATTGGAACAACACCTGCTGACCTACACATAGCAAAATTCTGCACACAGTTTCTCAAGCCCCTTGCCTATGAATCCCCTTTGGCCAGAATGATAAATGAGAGATGGTCTCTGTGATGCAAATCTGCCATCTCCTGGGGTTGTGGGCTCATGAACAGACCTGCTTTTCCTCTCACTTACTCTTGTCTCTTTAGTTTTGGCTTTTGAGCTTTTGAGTAGAGAGCAGCTGAACCTGAGTTCAGTTACAGGATCTGGGTTAAGGGGAACATGAGTTGAAGATCTATTTAGTTGGGTTCAGTGGGATATTTTCATGCGGTTTTGGAGTGACTTCCCTCTAGATTGATACTGATATTGATGGCCACCCCATTGTAATATCCTCCAAGGAATATACTTTTTTGCCCTCTGCGGTGACGCTGTGACTAAATGTGCAGGGCAAGAGGTTACATCACATGGGAACATGCCCTTCAGAACCTGTCTCTAGAATAATGTCAGGAATAGAGAAAGAAAAAAAAATTTTTTTTGAAAGACACAAGAAACTAGTCTTCAAAAAATTCTGTCACATCTTACAGCTCATATAAAATGTTAACTAGACAGGAGTTTTTTTTCTAAATTAAAAAAACACTAAAATTTGGATGAATGAATATGAAATAAAATAAATTTGAATAAAAAGAAATAAGCCTGAACCTAATTTATGTAAGTGATCAGTGAGAAATACATTGTGATTAACCTTGATAGAAAATGAAAGTTCCTATTAACCCTCTCTACAGAACATATTTAAAAATTGTCACATGATAAAGTAATCTAAAAGAAGGCAGCAAAAAAGTTAAAACAAAATGCTATAGCTTTGTTTCAGGAAGTTAATTCAGAAACGTTTATCTGTATGGATTTTTCTGTTTATGGGATTTGTAAGCTTTGTACAAATTTATTTGTAATTTGTTACTTTTTCTCATTCTAAATAATTGTTTCTTATCATACCTAATTTTGTATTCACCATGGTGTACACTTTGTTAAATCAAGTTTAGCCTAAAGTTACCTCCTTACATATTTTAAGTTTAGCCTAAAGGTTTCTCTGTACATTGTGAACTATATATCCTAAATGAAATTGTCAACAGGCTGTAGCCTACACTTGTGCTAATTACTGAGTTTTGGCCAATCAAAGGTGACCAGCTGTGCAAACCATGTTCAAATAAGGCAAACGCCAAGCTGTAATCAATTTGGCTGTTTCTGTACCTCATTTCCATATTATGTACATTACTTTCCTTTTTCTGTCCATAAATGTTTCACCAGGTGGCTGCACTGCGGTCCCTGAGCCTACTCTGGCTCCAGAGGCTGCCCAATTTGCAAATTATTCTTTGCACAATTAAAGTCTTAAATTAAATCACCTAAGGCTTTTATTTTAACAGATGATGTCAGAAGTAGGATCTGGAGTACAGTGTCTAACAACTCAAATGAGTGCTGAGCGACCACGCGAGGTACCCACCAACCCCACTGCGTCCACTGCTTTCCCCAGGTAGCTGGGGATCACGGTAAGTTCTCTTGGATTTCAAAGCTCCACAGATTTGTGTTTTGAGCTCTCCAAGTTTCTTTGAACATATTTATGATCAAAACTGGGTTTGGGAGTAATGACAAAACTGGGTTTGGGAGTAATGACAGAAACTGGACTGGGTCCAGGATCAGATCTGGTAATTAACTGGATTGGATCCAGTTACAAGGCTCTTAAGTCTGACTTGGTCAGAAAGAAACTGGTAATAAATGGAAATATTACAAGACATGTAAAATTCGGCTTTTGGAAACCCGTAAAGATTTTTGTGCTCTACATCCTTTGTTTAATGTTTTGTGTGTTTATGTAGGGAAAAAATTATTGGCTAATTAGATCGAGGGAATCTGAGAGCCAAAGCCAATATTTGAGTTAAAAATGGGATCCTAAATTTTTGAAGAACTGTGTTTCTTCTGGGTTATACATACATAAATATTAGGCACCAGAAGAAGGAAAGTTTTACAGAAATGGTGAAATCTTGGTAGAGGTTAGTTACAGTGGGACATTCCAAATGAACACCACTGCTCTGAAGTGCAGTTGAAAATTATGGCTCCCAAATTTGCCTCATCTAGGGATGCCTATTGATATGCAGCAGCTTCTAAAAAGATTTCCGTATTTTTATTTAAAGACTTTAAAAGGCAGATAAAAAGCTTAAGTGACCAATTAATAGATAAAATGAAATCTGCTACCTTTTGGCTTAGTTACCATCCTGTCCCCAAAGTGGAAAGAAATATATCTTTGGCAAAGCCTTTATAAAAGATAGGTCCTTGAAAAAAATTGGCTTGATTCTTTTATCAATATATCCATGCTGAGTCTAGGAAGGAAAAATGGTTTCTTGGGCCTATTCCTTAATGAACTTCATCCTGAAATCAGTAATTTTAGCTAAACAAAAAGAAACAAGCAAATAAACAAAAATAAAACAGTAGCTAAGTAAAAATGAACACCATATTAAACTAAAATACACTTTTATGGAATTTAATTGATTGTCTTGACACCCTTTTGTAAAACAAATTTACATCTATAAAGAAAATCTCCATTTTAAAAGATGTCTGCCTATGTACATTAGAAATTCTTACCAGCCTTTTAAATTTACAAAATAAGTCATAGCTTTGTTTAAGGTGATTTTTTGGCCATCTTGTCTTAAGTGAACTTTTATTTGGACAATTGTTTTTGCCTTTTCTTTGAGCAAATAATGACACAATACTTAGGCCTAATATCTCAGCTCTGAACTAATGAAATGTAATTTTTTCTACCTAAGAGCTGTCCCTTTAGAAATGCAAATTTGTTGCCTAGTTAGCAATTGCTTACAGCAATAAAACAGGTAATTGAAAGATTGATAGACTGAATGGGGAAAAAAAACGATTTAAAAGCCTGCAAATAAAGATCCTTTGTGAGCTGTAAAATCTACTTCTGTGTGTTTGTATGTCTGCATGTGTTATGTGTATATGATATTTGGTAAATAAAGCAAGTTTTTAAATTGTTGATGAAATAGAAATGGCTTCAAAATTATTGGTTAAAAATAATTCGATATTTGTTTGATTTGAATGTGACCTTATGTCTTTGGTTTAAAGTCTCTGGATTCAGGGGTCTGGGTAGGTGGCCACGATGAGGTCTAGAGACATGTTCTTCGTCCCTAGATCAGCAGCTGCAAGCCAGAATCAAGCTCAAAATAGCCCCTTTTTCCTCTGCTTTCCCTGTTTTGCCTCCTGGCTATTTTATGATGGACTGGATTCTTAGGTATAGTCTTTACAGCTGTTTTCTGTCCTGGTGGACTTAGACAGGCTTTGATCTTCATAGTACTCCTGGGTACCTCGTGGCTACCTGAGACCTAGAATTACTAGAGAAAGATGTTAGGAAGGTTACCTGTGTCAAAGCTTCAAAATTCTTTTCATGGCTTAAAATCTTAAAGTCATGTTATGTTAAATTAAGTAATAGACAATCATAAAATGTCTGAGTCATCTGCAAGTTAAGATACCGATATACTAATTATTAAACATGAGTTTAAGTCTATATACCTTGATATATTATTTTCATATGTTATAAAAAAAGCTAAATATATGTATATCTGTTAATAAACAATAATTAGAGAACTATTTTTTAAATTATAAAATGGTTTTTATCTACAAATATTGATATAAACAATTTAAAATTGGTTTCTAGGCTTTCCACTAGAATTTAGGGTTGCTGAGAGTTAAAAACTACTACATATAAGAGAAACAATTCTGTATACAGAATGTAGAAACAAAAGGAAAATATGCATTTGATGAAGAAAGTTTTAAAAGGCATAATATGTATGTTAAAATTTTTATCTGGTTTAAGGTTACTTAAAGGTTTCAAATTGAAGGGGTAAAAAATAAATAAAACAAGATGAATATAAAAAGTTGAGGAAAAATGTAAAATGAAATTTATGGAAATTGTGTGTAGTTAAAAGATGATAGATTTTATAAATTTATTTATGAGGTTTTATTAAAATTAGTGTTAGTGTTAATAATACACTAATCCAAAAGTAAAATTGCGTTTTCTGTTTTGAATGAAAATTTGGTATTGTTTTAAGAAGACAAAGTCAAATGTTTTCATTTACTTTTTAAGTAAACTGCAAAAAGGAAAAAAAAAGTGGAAAGAAGAGACAGATTCTCTTTCATGCTGTCTTAGGACTTTTGATTGTTTGGAAAACTAAGTGTCCTTTATCAAAGGGTACAAGTTTTTATTTTTAAAAATCTTTTAATTATCACTTTGGTTAAATGAATGACTATTGTTTTATGGTGAACTGTGAACCTTTTTTGGTCAAGTGTTTCAAACTTTTAGCATATTTGACAGGCTTTCCAAAATCAAATTTGAGATTTAAAATTAAGTCTTTTTTGACCTATAACTTTGGGATGCTGCAGAGTGTCCCTAAAGCATCCAAAAGGTTATAAAGATGATTATTTGCCATGTTAAGTTATATGAGAAGCATTGTCAAAAAAGAAATAAGGTTTTCTTAGGTTATATATTTTTCAGGTTATATATTAAGGAATATAATATATATAAATGTATTTTCTAAAATTGTATGGGATTTCTAAAATTCTAATATGTCTGAGTATATGCCATCAATCATAATTATGTTTATTATGTTAAATTATTGTAGACAACAGAAATCATCAAATTTCCTTGTCAATTGTGTCTTTATGACACAAACAGTTGTCATAGTTATTTAAAGTTATTTTCACAGTTAATTGCTTAATTCTGATGCAGTTTCTCAGAACTTCACAAGCAGGCAAAATCCTAGAATATGGTGTCTTTAAGGAAACTTACGGAAGGACGAAAATGACCCTGAAAGGTACTCGTGAATACAGGTTAACTTTAGAATCATATTACTTGGATTGGGGCCAAATTCCTAGAACTTTAATGAAAAGGTTGACTGGTTTATAAACCTGCTAACCCAAACAGAACAAAGCTTAATTAAATACCAGTAAAATACTTTGCCAGATACTTAAGTTACATCAGCCAGTACTGAAATTGTTTAGATATACAATTTGAATGAACTCCATAGTCTAATTCAAATCACCAGTGATGACGCATTAGTTATCAGTGTGAGGCATCTAAGTTGGAGAGACAACTGGCATTCAAGAGGGTATCTGTCCAGTGTTAATTATGCACCACTGAAGAACCAGGACAGCTGTCTTATCCTTTCTGAGTCCTAAAAGCTTTTGTTATTATAAATTCTGCATTCCATGATTTATCATTATAAAGATAAAATGATCCAAATTAAATATCTGTGTATGTGTGTGCTGACTTTTTTGTTGTTGTTGTTGTTGGAATCTTGCTCTGTAGCACAGCTGGAGTGCAGTGGCATAGTCTCGGCTCACTGTAACCTCTGACTCCCTGGTTCAAGCTATCCTCCTGCCCCAGCCTCCCTAGTAGCTGGGATTACAGGCACGCACCACCACAACAGCTATTTTTTGTATTTTTAGCAGAGACGGGATTTCACCATGTTGGCCAGGATGGTCTCCATCTCCTGACTTCGTGATCCACCCGCCTAGGCCTCCCAAAGTGCTGGGATTACAGGCATGAGCCACCATGCCCGGCCTGCGTGTGGTGACTTCTAAATTGCTAATATGGTTTATGACAAATGTTTGGTTTATCAAACCCATATTCCTGGAAAGACTATCAAAATTTCAGGTACATTCTGCTACCTGATGGGCCATTCATATATTTATGAGGAGATTTCATTCCATTGTTATTTTCAATGCATGTTTTCTGGTTGTATAAAAGTTTTTCCATGCAAGAAGTTTGATGTTATAAGAGTCGCTCATTATGCCACAGTGTATTTTCACCAGGTAAAGAAAGCTTTTCATGGTTCACTGACAGGACAATCAATCCCTTCACAATCTAGAACCCAAAGACTGGATCTTCTGAGAATATCAGAGAAAGACTGACCTTGCCATCTACACTGCAGCAACACTTCGGGACCTTGAACCTTGAGTTCATAATCTCACACCTCATAAGTGTATTTCCACACTCTTGAAACTGTACACCGATTGAGAACCTTAAGTTAAAGTAATCAGGGAAGTTTCTCCCCAGAAGAAGATGGCGTCTTTGATGTGGACAGCTTTTTCCCAAGATCATGGATCAAGACATCTCTAATATCTTGAGGCTCTTATCCTTCTTTTTTTTTCCCCTTGTTTCTGCTTCTATGAACAACAGAGTGAAAAGAGGGTCTGTTGTGCGCACTCATGGGGTGTACTTTCATTTTTTGAATAATTTTGTGGCCAGTTTTTTTCCATGAATAAGCTTATACCTTCATAGATGAAAGATGAAGGCCCAATGTAGGCAAAGAATTTTAATGGTTCATGTGTTGCCCCACAATCAGTCAGAAACAGAACATTCGTTCACTCCGCTTAACTCACATCATGGATTAAAGAGAACTGTTCCAAGAGGCCTTCACTATTCTAGAAGGGCATCATTTGTTAGGTCTGTTTTCCCCCCATGGTTTGGAGTAAATTAGGCAATCACCAGGAATTTATCCCTCATGATAGGCTCTACAGCAGATTCTACTGTAAAGCCTATGGATGCACAACAGACTGAATTCTCTTGTGAAAGTTATGATAAATAAATAGATTTGCTCTAGATTACTTACTGGCTAAACGAGAAATATCTGTGCAGCTGCTGGGACTTGTTGCCCATAGAAAAATACATCACATTGGGTATTATAGAGATTCAGTTATTGCAATTAACAAAGAGACTACTTAGTTGAAGTGAGTAGACTCTATCTAGCTCATGTTTTGATTTACTTGATTTTCATTAGTTTGGTTTATGGGGACCCTGGCTAAGGAGCATACATCAAACCATTGGTATTTTCCTCCTGATAGTCATAATAGTAGTCTCCCTGGTGCACTGTATTCTCTCAAAAGTTTTAAATGTTTGCTTGCAGCCATCCCTAGAATGTCAAACCGTCTCTCTTTAACTAGAATGACAAGAGCTGAAACAAATTTGTGGCCATGATGGCAATGTAACCAATGAATGACCTGCTGAGACTGGAAACTCAAAATTATGGTAACTGAGAATGATGTGAAGGCCCTAAGTTTTGGCCACACTCTTACCTAAGTGAGAACTTGGCCAAAAGGGGCAAATTTTTAAAACAAAATTATGGGAGGCCATTGTTTTGGACTGAGCTTAGGCACTAAGCCCCAACAGACAAAACTAAACCAAAATGGAGTCACTTGTGCTAAACGTGACATATCAAACTAAGGCTTTAAGGAAACACATAGATCCTAGAAAAGACTAGGCTTTGTTTTTATCCTGTAAATAGGACATTCCAGAATAAGGAGGTACCCTCTATTGTAACCCTTGCAAAAAATAACCTAAAGTCTTTGTTCCCACCTTACAAAACTCACCGTTCTATTATTTTGCAGTGGGCTTCAAGACTAAATAAGTACATTTACAATAGTGATAATGACATCAATGACTAATGTTTTGGTCAATCTCAAAATTGAGAGGATGACCAATGGGGAAGAATTGTTAAATCAAGTTTAGCCTTAAGATACCTCCCTACATATTTTCAGTTCAGCCTAAAGATATGTCCATACATTGTGAACTATAACCTAAATGAAACTGTAAACAGACTGTAGCCTACTCTTGTGCCAATCACCGAGTTTTGGCCAATCAAAGGTGGCCAACTGTTTAAACGATGTTCAAAAAAGGCAAACACCAAGCTATAACCAAATTAGTCTGTTTCTGTACCTCACTTCTGTGTTCTGTACATCACTTTCCTTGTTTTGTCCATAAATCTTCCACCATGTGGTTGAGTTGGAATCTCTGAACCTACTCTGGTAAAGATTTCTAATATCTTAAAAAACAAAACAAAAGAAAAAAACAGGAAGACTGGTAAATTGCATCACATTCTTATACTATATAGACTTGCAATTTCACATTTTAATATGATTTTATATTAATAAAATTAATTGTTATATGACCACTGTAGAAAGCTGTTTTATTGATCAAAGAGACTTTAGGAATAATCTAGCATGATTCTATATTAGCAACAAGACAATTTAGATTTAGAGATACTAAGGAATTAAGATCACACACTTGGGGCAGATTACAACGAGTATGCAATATTCAGCCATCTTGACACCCCTTCGTGGTTGTAGTAATACAATTATTCTGTTAAGATTCATTCCTGGCTGGACACAGTGGCTCATGCCTGTATACCCTGCACTTTGAGAGGCAGAGGCGGGCAGATTACCTGAGATCAGGAGTTTAAGACCAGCCTGGCCAACATGGTTAAAACCCCATCTCTACTATAAATACAAAAATTAGCCAGGCGTGGTGGCAGGTGCCTGTAGTCCCAGCTACTTGAGACACAGAGGCAGGAAAACCTCTTGAACCCAGGAGGTGGAGGTTGCCATGAGCTGAGATCATGCCGCTGCACTCCACCCTGGGCAACAGAGCAAGAGGCCATCTCAAAAAAATAAAAATTATTCTTTACGTTAACAAATTTATTGTCATTTTACAGCAGTAATTTGCATATATACATTATCAATATAAAAATTCAACAAGTAAGCAAACTTATATATATGCTTTGCAAGCTTAACAGCTATAAAACATTTATTTTAAAATATTTTCATTAATACTTTTAGATATATTCAATAATTGCCAAATCAATACTCTGTATCCATAATAATTTGAAAATGTAACATTAATTTATAGAGTTAGGTTAGTAGCATTATGGACATTATCAAACTTCTATTTATTTGTGTGATATTCTCATCAATACAATTATATATATTCAGCAATCCCCAAATCCACATCTTGATATCTATAATATTTTAAAAAGTTAACATCAATTTGTAGATTATGTTAGTAGTTAGTGTTAAGGAACTTGGGAACAAACATTGAATGTCACATTAGGAGAAAAAAATTCCTACTTCTTTTGAAAACAGAAACATTCACATTCTCAGATATTATCGCTGCATTTGTACATTGTTCTGAGTGATGAGAAATTACCTAATGGGTACAATGTACACTATCTTCGCAATGGTTACACTAGAAGCCCAAACCTCACTACTATAAAATATATATATTCCTGCAACAAAACTGCACTTATACCACCTAAATTGTTTTTTTTTTTTTTTTTTAGATGGAGTTTTGCTCTTGTTGCCCAGGCTGGAGTGAAATGGCATGGTCTCAGCTCACTGCAACCCCCGCCTCCCGGATTCAAGGAATTCTTCCACCTCAGCCTCCCAAGTAGCTAGGATTACAGGTGCCCACCACCACGCCTGGCTAATTTTTGTATTTTTAGTAGAGACGGGGTTTCACCATGTTGCCCATGCTGGCCTTGAACTCCTGACCTCAAGTGGTCTGCCCGTTTTGGCCTCCTAAAGCGCTGAGATTACAGGCGTGAGCCACCGCTCCTGGCCTACACCACCTAAATATTTTCAAAAAATTAAAAACATATTATACTAAAATTACAATTCACATAGTGATTTTTAAAACATATCTTAAGCCAATATATTTATGATGACACAGCTATGACTTGACACTTTATTTTCCTAAATGTAATGGTAGATGTAGCCACTAAACAAATAGTGAAATACAGTTTCTTTATTTTTTCTCTTCATCAAAAGAAATGGGTTTCTAAAGTAAGAGAAGATCTCAGAATAAATGTAAGCATGCTCAAAATAAAAAAAATTAAATACAGAGGCAAAAATGACAAAGTTATCAAATATTTAGATGTTTATTAATATAATGATTTTAGGTTTTTATGCTACTTTTTCTAAAATATTACTCAACTTTCTTGATTGAATTTTTTTCACCTATTTTCTGCATTATGAGTAGCTTTGAAATTAGAACTAAGTATAGTGACAGTTACTGTCTTTCCACTTGAACGAGGTCTCAGTCCACAACAAAGCTCTATTCCCCAAATTGAAACACACCTTATTTAATTAACCTAGCCATAAAAGAAAAATGAATCTTGTAGTTGGATTTTGTGTAATAAAAACAATAAATTTGTTTTTCTACATTGTTGCACACTTCAATAAACGGTGGTTTTCTTTTAGTTATATTGCCATACCTAAGATTGTGATAGAAGATTGTATGCATTTATTTAGATTGCAAGGTGCAATGTTGTTTAACATTGTAGTAGTCTTTGATATATTTAATAAAAGTGTTCCAAATTTATTTACTGACTTAAGGTCTCACATCACATTCAGAACTTTAGTGAATGATACTTTATATAAAGAAACATCATAGATTCAAATCTGTCCAACCGTTTTCCAAATGAGTTTCAGTGTGATTCAAATGTGTAATTTAACAGATAAAAATGCAACACTCTCTAATTTGTTTGCAAAAATAACAGAGTGACCAAAACAAAAAAAGCACACACACACACACACACACACACACCACATACACACACAAAATCAAGAAAACAAGAAAGAAAAAGCTGATTTTGTCATGCAAGTTTGCAGTATGAGATAGAAACTGCATACCGTAATATTTGTTAGCCTGGCAGAGGACAATCTTCTTCCATATGATAGTTTTATAGTAATATTGTCAGTGGGAGCAGAAAGAGCTGCTCCACTGATGAATTAAAAAATGTTTACTTCACTCTTATTTCATTGTTTTTAATTTTATCTGGTATATTTTGATAACATATGCTTACAGTTTGTATACTTATTCAATTACTAGTGTAAGTAGACAAATGTTTATGTACTGTGGAGGAGTACTTAAAATTTTTTAACGGTGGGATGTGCATTCAAAAAAAATTTGAAGACCACTATCTTCTATTTGTTCTCCTCTCCCCATTGTTCTTTGTATTTTTTCATTAAAAATTTTGTTATGGATACATTATAGTTTTACATATCGATGGGGTACCTGTAATGTTTTTGATACAAGCATATAGTGTGTAGTAATCAAATCAAGGTAATTGGGATTTTCATAACCTCAAGTATTTATTATTTAATTGTGTTAGAAACATTCCAATTTTACTCTTCTAGTTATTTTGAAATATACAATAAATTATTGTTAATTATAGTCACCCTGTTGTGCTACTGAACATTAGATCATATTTGTTTTTACTTCATTGGATTTTTAGTTAATGGGTACAAAACAACAGCTTGTTTTGTATTTTACTCAGAGCCTTATAATTGTTACTCAAACCTTGCTAAATTAGGTTTTTTTCTCATACTATACTTCTTTGTGGAACCCCAATGTTTATATTCACCCCCAAGAACATAAGCCCAAAAAGCCAGCAAATATGACTCTTCAGAATGAAACCCCTAAGATATAGCATACTGCAGTGTGCATATTGACAGTAAATATATTCTACTCAAATGAAGGATTTTTTGATGAAAGTTTTATATACAAATGTTTTATATATTTGTATGTTAAAAATATATATGCATATATACACATAAGCTTTAGCAAGAACAAAAAAAACAAAATAATAGTAGTGCTTTAAAAGACTGAAACCTTACATACACCTTACAGTTACTTTATTAGAGGACACATTTAGCATTAGGACGGTGCTTTACATACATCCATTAATTAATACTCAAATACCCCTGAAGAGTACTTTTGGAAAGTGCCATTTAAAGAAAATAGAAAAAAAAAAAAAAAGAAGTTAGTAATTTGCCAAGTGTCAAAGATTTGTTCAATAGCAAACCTTTTCCAAAGACCATAGCCTTCATGTTTCTTATTCTTGTGAAAATGTTCAAGAATGGTACTCGGATTAAGTTCTTTAACATTATAAAATTCTGGTATGTTTTTTATAATTATTATATATAACTAGTATTATTTTGAAGTAATACTTGTATTTGTTTTTGAGCTATTTGACAATGGCATGATCATTCTGTGATTCAAATAAATTCCTAAAGCTTCAGGAGAGTTTTTTCGTGACTTTATTTTAAAAGATTGCTTTAAGGATGCTAAGACTAAGACTTTTGAGAGGATTTGCTGTCTTTATTTAGACAGATCCCCAAAACTGTGCTGGGTGCTTGCAATTGCAAATCTTGGCTTACTTGATGTTTTAGTTTATTTGAGCTGCTACAACACAATACCATGAACTGAAGAGCTTTTAAACAATTGAAATTTATTTCTCACAGTTCTGGAGACTGAGAAGTTCAATATCAAGAGCTGATCTGGTGTCTGGTCAGAGCACACTTTCGGCCTTAGAGACAGCAACGTTTTGCTCTGTCCAAATGTGGTGGAAGGGGTGAGCAGGGTCTCTCTTAGGCCTCTTTTCTAAGGTCACTAATCCTATTAATGAGACCCTGCCCCCATGACCTAATCATCTCCCCAGGGCCCTGCCTCTTATTACCATCACCTTGTGGGGCAAGATTTCAATATAGGAATTTTGAAGGGACACAAATATTCAGACCATAGAACTTGATGAAAGACCCAGTTACCTGGTTTCTGTAAAAAGTGCCTAGGAGGCAATATAAATTGGATTAACAGATTTGTCCCTTTACTAAGACATGAGAAGGAATAATTTATTTAACTGAAAAGCACATTAGACTACAACTGTTTTAATAATCATTCTCTCATTCAGTAATGTTACTCTTTTGAGCAAAGTTTCTAACCCCTCTCTCTGTTTTGATTTCCTAATCTAAAAATAGAGACCACATCCTTTTACCATTTCTTCTCTTTTCTTTCTTTTTTTCTTTTCTTTTTTCTTTCTTTCTTTCTTTTTTTTTTTTTTTAAGACAGAGTCTCCCACTGTAGCCCAGCCTGGAGTGCAGTGGCACAATCTCGGCTCAAGGCAACCTCTGCCTCCCAGATTCAAGCTATTCTTGTGCCTCCGCCTCCCAAGCAGCTAGGCTTAAAGGCACGTGCCACCATGCCTGGCTAATTTTTGTATTTTTCGTAGAGACGTGATTTTTCTATGTTTGCCAGGCTGGTCTCGAACTCCTGTACTCAAGTGATCCTCCCTCCTCCACCTCCGGAAGTGCTGGGATTACAGGCATGAGCCAGCATGCCCGGCCCCTTTTACCATTTCTATTTCTTAGATTTGGGGGAAATATTAAGAGCAGTAATGTTGTTAAAATGTGTAATGCCATTGCTTTTGTTGTTGCTAAGTAGCATTTTGGAATACTATTATAGAACATCTGTGAAAAAATTATGCTATGCAAGCTAGAATGACATTCTAGAACACTATTTGAAGTTATCATCTGTTGCCAGTCTGCAATATTTACCATAGAAATATAAATGTCAAGTAAATTGATAAAATTTATTTATTGAAATAATTTTATCTATTATCTTAAAGAAGGTATAATTACTCTAGATTTTCTCCAAGTTTGTGCAAATTTTCTTATTTTTCTGAGTCTTACATGATACAAATTGTTTTATGGCTTCCAACAAAAATACTAGAACAGAAAATGGAGGTCAAATAATAGAAGTAGTACTTATTTGAAGTTCTGTATACTTAATTATTAATTAACCAATACTTTTAATAATATAGTCTTAACACTATTCATAGGTTATGCAAGTATGTATGGATGTGTGTCTAGTTGAATTCTTCTCTTGGTAAAACTTCTTTGTACAACTTCTTGATTTCTCTCAACTGGAATTACAACAAGGGTTTCAATATACTATCAATGGTAATAATGATAAGCGGTGCCTACCTATAAACTGTAATGAGAATATAAACAAGAAATACAATTTCCAGTAAATAGAAGTTTATTTAGTTTTATAATAAGTTTAATTTGGTACTAAGAAATTTAAATATATGAGTTAAAGTATTCAATAGATATACAAATGTTTAATACTAACAAGTTTGTAAAGCTCAAATATACTCTTAAAACATAATTACTGTTAATAATGAGGCAATGTTATAATTAAAGCCAGAGATAAAAGGAGGCATATATCCAGAACCATCCTTTAATTTTTTCAACAAAATTAATAGTCTAAAAATTACTGAGAACAGATGTCTTCAAATCCTAAACCAGAAAAGAAAGTGTAAAATCTTTCTCACCCTCCTTTAGTAATACTTGAGACCCCTCAAATTTGACTAGTTCTCTCCGAAAACTAAAGAGGCACATAGAAATTCTAGACTCAAAGATGGAAAGCTGTCCCAGCATTAAGGTAAATTCTCTATCTGCAAGCAAAAATGAACAAGCAAGAAAATAAAATCTTTAAGAAAAAAATATAAAACTAGAGCATTCGTTGCATTTCCAGTCACTGAAATTCTGAAGATGAATTGGACTCTGCAAGCAGCTGCTCTCTTGGGCTTAGGTGTTGTTTCTTCGTGGAATCCATGCCTGAACCTGCTGTACACAATTTTTAGCTGCCTCATTCAACCAGTCCCAGTGGTATTTTGTCTTTTAGCCTTGGCACTCCAGTTATACTTTCTCCTGTGCTTGGCAGAGTAGCCACACTTGCCACAGGTCACTTCTGCAGGTGATAGATCTTAGACCACAGTGGTGGCCCAAGAGCGAGTGTTATTGCAACACTACAAACAAGGGCGTTCCCTTTGTCATCTTGCTTTCACGGCAGATACCAAAGAGACTGGAAAAGCAAATAAAATCATTAACCAATAACTTTCCAAGAGAAAGACACATTACAAATATGCTTTAAATTATTCTCAGAATTTTGGCCTCCTAATCCTTTCATTTAAGTTTTTATTGTCTGTAGTCTTCATGCACTCCAATATTTTGACATCTCAAACTAAACAACATATTTGGATTTGATCACCTTTGAATATTGAAAAAAATTCCTCCATATATTCTCCCCAATTAAACCAAAATAATATTCATTGAAATTAACCCAATTTGCTCTTGTCTAATCTTTGCTACTTCAGCATCTAGATACTGTAAATGATTAAGTTCCAGTTTTTGTTATAGGAGTTCATAATTTGATTTTTTTCTTAACAGAGAGATTGACGACACATAGTCAATATTGAGCTTTATTTCTTTAGAAATTTTAGAGAAATATGGAACAACAGATGGATCTAAATCTTTGTAATACAAGATATGCTCTAAATAAAAATACACAAAAGGGTGCTCTCTGTTTTTAAAGAAGAGTTTTCACTAATGGTTTAAGAAATCAGTACTACTGGATTATTCCAGCAGTGTGTATTTTTATTAGTCATGCTGTCTACCTATGCTATTTTATATTTCATTTTGTTCTTAAACTTAACAAATATTTTGCAAAATTCTATTTTGACTGTTCCCTTTAGCTAATTTAGCATATCCTCTCATAGATATCATCAGTAGCTTTGTATATTTGTTAACCATACTGACTTAGTAGAAAATATATTCACCATTTTAATAAAGGATAAAATATAATTATATTGAAGCATATTCTCCTTAGTTTACTTTCCCAGGGGATAACATTAAAAACTGGCTATAAACCTATAGAGGACTCCTAGAGGATGAATTAATTTATGTGAAATAAGAGATGGGAAAAACAATTAACACTCTCCTCGATTGTTAGTCTGCAAACAGCATAGAAAAAAATAATTTGATAAAATTGAGGACTATAATCATTACTCTCTGATGCAGAAACTCCGTACTCCCCTTTCCTCTAATATGGTGACCAGGGATGTCTGGGATTGTGGCTGGCTGAATTGCCAACCTGCTTTCTGAGTTACTTTGATGCCTCAAGGGTATGGTTGTCAAATAAAATACACAATACCCAGTAACATTTGATTTCCAGAAAACAACCACAAAAACAACATTAGTAAAAGTATATTCCAAATATTGCCTGGGACATACTTATACTAAAAAAGATGTCCATTGTTTACTTGAAATTCAAATTGAACTGGTTGCCTTTTATTTATTTATTTATTTTGTTAAATTTGACCACCTTAAGGCATTCTAACAACAGATAATGAAACATGGAGCATGAGCAAAAAATAAACTGACTTTTAAATTGAGATTCTGCAATAAAAATTAGCTAATTTACAGAAACATACCTATCTATATGCAAATTTGCTTTTAAGTGCCAGAAGAAGAAGAATTATACTCAATCAGTTTATAGGATATTTGAATTCATATCTTGCCACTTCTTCTAATAGGTCCAATTTGCTTTATGTTTACTTTACAGAATTATCCTAATTTATGTCCATATAGCATTGAACCTCCCCAATAGGTTTATAGAAGTTTAAGTGTTACTGTTCATTTTACATTTTTAACATAATGTATATGTCCAAGTTTCAACTTATGAGATGTTATACAGCAATAAAATTCATATTTTTAGTATTGACTAGGTATTGATAAACAGGTTTCTAACTCTACATTGTACTAAATCACTGGCAAATGGCCAGTAACAAATTTAATGCACTATAGCCAACCATCAGGAAAATCTGGCCAGGCGCGATGGCTCACGCTTGTAACCCCAGCACTTTGGGAGGCCAAGACAGGTGGATCACGAGGTCAGGAGTTCAAGACCAGCCTGACCAACATGGTGAAGTCCCGTCTCTACTAAAAATACAAAAATTAGCCGGGGGTGGTGGCAGGCGCCTGTAATCCCACCTGCTCAGGAGGCAGAGGGAGTAGAATTGCTTGAACCCGGCAGGCGGAGGTTGCAGTGAGCCGAGATCGCACCACTGCACTCCAGCCTAGGCGACAGGGCAAGACTCCATCTCAAAAAAAGAAAAAAAAAGAAAACCCAACAAATAGCAATATTGAAAAGCAATGCTGGAGATATCTACATAATTATTTTAAAAGCCTACAAGGAGACAGATGTTGAATGCAGAGATTCACTTTTGCAAGTATGAATCTTACTGTGTTCGGATATTCACATTTTTATATAACCATGGGGAAATCACTTCTTAAAGAGGTAAAAGAAGAAAGAAGAAGCAGTTTAAGAGATAACAGTTTTGTCTGCTCTGCATGCTTCTGCTTTCTGTTTTCACGTAAGAGTAATAAGCATATATCTTTGAAATTGTAGCTAGGTAGGATGTTTAAAATTAGTTCATTTTAAACAGAAAAATTTCATTTAAAAAAAGACAATGAGAGTTTTTCAGTTAGTGTATACATAGGCTGTTGCATCAGCTTTGAAATATATCTCATAGCAACTTGGACTGGCACTGATTGACAACATAGAAAATCTTACCTCTAACTTGAGAAAAATTCTTTACGACTACAGAGGTTTTTAATATTGCTTTAAAAATGTAATAGTTGATCAAAGAGAAAAAAAAGGAATATAGTCAAACACCAGGAAATAAAGAAAGTTGCATATGAAAGCTTTCAAAAAAGCTACATAACTAATAAACTTTATTTCCTTACAAGATATGGATCAAAATTTTATAATAGGATATTTGCAAACACTAATCATGTTGCTTGGAAACAAGGAGGATTTAAAATAAATCAGCAGTACATTTGCTCTTTTGGGAGGAAAATATTGAATAACATGTAACTGAATTACTGTTGTATTATTATTTTTGTTCTCATTTTTGAAATTCTAAACTTCAATCACTTGTTCAACAACAATGTTAAATTCTAGGCTAGGAACCATCTAAGTATGAGCTTTGAAAAGACAAAATAATAAAAATATATATCTTTATGTTATTTTCATTCTAGTGGAAGAAAATAGAAACCAAACAAAGTAAAAAACTTACAAAAAAAAAATTGCTTGCCAAATGGTAATCATTGCTAAGGAAAAAACGTTGAGAAGGAAAAATGAAGTTGTTATCCTGGACCGAAAAGAAAACCAAGTGTAGTTTTAGAGTGGGTGCCACGCAAAAGATCACCAGGATGGCTAAATAGTAGAAAGGAGAATTTTACTGGCTATATCAGTTTGCAAACCAGGAAAAGACAGTCTCTGGCATGGACCTAAGGTGCTCTCTTTTTAAAGAGGTAAAAGACAGGTTGCTTTTTATGCTTTACCACAGGATCTGTGCCACAAAATATTAATAGAATCATACATAATTAGTAGGTTTTGGAGAAAGCTATACATAATTAACAGAGGAGAAAAACACATGTGTATATTACTTTAGGGTGGAGTTTTAGCACTAAAATGAGATGGATGTTGGCTCTTTACATCAAAAGGTTAACTATAGGGCACAGAGATAATATTTACACAGTCAGTATATTCTGGCTGAAACAGGCTTGAGATCTGCAGTTTCCTAGCAGAAAAGAATGTAAGGCCAGTCCTCTGTTCAATCAGTTGTGGTTGTCTGGGTTGTAAATTAGTGATAGTTCCTATTGTTCCAGAACTTAGGAAGAGTGTAGTTTTTCTTGTATCCATAGGAATTTAGGAAGTTGTTATGCCAGCTAAAGCCTGAACCCTCAATCTGTAGGTGTTTTTCTTTTTTTTCCCTTAACCTCAGAGTCTGTCTTCATTGATAAAGGTGTTTATTTTGGTCTCTCTAATTACATGGTGACAATGAAGACTATACCAATGCCGGTTATTTTTAATATGAGAAATTTGAGCAGCTAATTAGTCATCTAAGTGAAGATATACAGTAGGAATTTCAATATACACAACTAGAATTCAGAGGAGAGCTGTTGCCTGAAGTTATCAGTTTGGAAGTCATTAACACACAGAAGACAAGTGAAGCTGTGGAATTAGATGAAACACCACAAGAAACAGTTCTGATGCAGAAAAAAAGGGGTCCAAGCACAAAACCTGGGCAATTATCAGAGATTTGAGAAGCGATGAGAAAACAGAGAATATGGAGATGGAGCAATGGAAGGAGGAAGACAAACGACAAGGGGTTGTAAAATTCTGGAAAATATTAGGAGAAAATGTTTAAAGACAAAAGAGGACCAACTGTGACAAAACCTCCTGGAAGTTCAAATAAGGTGAGTACTGTAACCGGCCATCTTCTTGACCTGTCAAACTGGCAACTTAAAAGGAGAGGAAATTTTTCAAAGTAAAAAAAAAAGTATAGATAATTTTCTATGAAAGGAGAGAAAATAAAATTACATTAAATTCTCAATTAAAATAACAAAAGCAGGAAAAGAGTGGAAGACAAAAATAAGAACAAACAACAAGGAACAAATAGAAAAAAGTAACAAAGGCCAAGCACAGTGGCTCACACCTGTAATCCCAGCACTTTGGGAGGCCAAGGTGGGCAAATCACGAGGTCAGGAGTCTGAGACCAGTCTGGCCAACATGGTGAAACCTTGTCTCTACTAAAAATACAAAAAATTAGCTGGGCATAGTGGCAGGCGCCTATATTCCCAGCTACTCGGGAGGCTGAGGCAGGAGAATCTCTGGAACCTGGGAGGCAGAGGTTGCTGTGAGCCAAGATCGCACCACTGCACTCCAGCCAGGGCGACAGAGTGAGACTCCATCTTAGAAAAAAAAAGGTGGGGGTGGGAAAATAACCAATATGGCAGCTATTAATGCAACTATACTAACAGTCACTGAATGTCAATGGTCTAAATGTACCAGTTAAAAGACAGAGATTGTCAGTGAATTGGAAAATATCATCCAACTTTAATTTGTTTTAAAAAGAAACCCACTTTAAATATAAAGACACGTATAAATTAAAGGTAACAGCTTTAGAAATATACACCATACTAACACTAATCAAAACAAACAGGAATAGTTATATTAAATTCACACACAGCAGACTTCAAAGCAAAAAAAATTATTAGGGATAAAGGATGGCATTACAAATAATAAAAGGGTATATTCTCCAATAAGATATAACAATCCTTACTCATATGCACCTAACAACACAGCATCAAAATACGTGAGGAAAAAGCTGGTAGAACTTCAAGGAGAAATAGGTGAATCCACTATCATATGTGGAGGCTTCAACATACCTCTATCAGAAGTGAACAGATCCAGCAGGTAAAAATCAGTAAGAACACAGTTGAACTCAGCAATTCTACTAATCAACTAGATATAATTAACATTCATAGACTACTTTATCCAACAGTGAAAGAATACACATTCTTCTCAAACTCACACAAAACATTCACCAAGATATTCCACATTCTGGGCTATAAACCACACCTCAACAATTTAAAAGATTACAAATCATACAATGACTACTCTTAGAAAACACGGGAATTAAACTGTAAATCAATAACAGAAAGATAATTGAAAAATTCCAAACACACTTCTAAATAACATATGGGCAAAGAAGAAATCTCAAGACAAGTTAAAAAACATTTTGAACTAAGTGAAAATAAAAATACAACTTATCAAAATTTGTGAAACACAGTGAAAGCAATCCTTAGAGGAAATTATATAGCATTGAATATATATACTAGAAAAGAAGAAAATATCTGTATTAGTCAGGCCTTTCTAGAGGGACAGAACTAATAAGATAGATGTATATATGAAGGGGAGTGTATTAAAGAGTATTGACTCACAGGACCACAAGGTGAAGTCTCACAATGGGCCGTCTGCATGCTGAGGGGCAAGAAAGCCAGCAAGAGTCCCCAAACCTCAATAATAAGGAAGCTGACAGTGCAGTCTTCAGTTGGTGGCTAAGGCCCAAGAGCCCCTGGCAAACCCCTGGTGTAATTTCAAGAGTCCAAAAGCTGATGAACTTGGAGTCTGATGCTCAAGGGCAGGAAGTATCCAGCATGGGAGAAAGATGAAGGCCAGAAGGCTTGGGAAGTCAAGTCCTTCCACTTTCTTCAGCCTGCTTTATTCTAGCTGCACCAAGTGCACCAAATGCAGCTATAATATTCAGCTAGATGGTGCCCACTCAGACTGAGGGTGGATTTGCCTCTCCCAGTCCACTGACTCAAATGTTAATCTCTTTTGGCAACACCCTCACAGACACAAGCAGAAAAAATACTTTGTATTCTTCAATCATAATTAACCATCACAAGATCTAAATTATTAATATAAATTTCCACCTTAGGAAACTAGAAAAAATTGTATCACAAGTAAGATGCAGAAAATGAATAATAGTAATTAGACTAGAAATTAATAAAATTGAAAACAGGGAATCAATAGAAAAAAGACAATGACAAGAAAACCTGGCTATTTGAAAAGATTAATAAAATCAACAAAACTTTAGCCAGGCTAACCAAGAATAAAAGGGAGAAAAAACTTTGTAACTCATTCTTTATATTCTTAAACTTTGTAACTCATGTCTCTATTTAGATATGCTCTAAATAAAAATACACAAAGGGTGCTCTTTAAACCCAGCATCACACTAATCCCCAAGCCAGACAAAGACATTAAAATAAATCTACAGACTAATACCTTTTATAAATATAGATGCAAAATTTCTCAATACTAGCAAATTGAATGTAACTATGTATAAAAGTGGTTATACATCTTGATTGAGTAGGATTTATCCATGGTATAAACTGGTTTAACATTTGATAAACAATCAGTGTAACCCATCATAGCAACAGCATAAAAGAGAAAAAAGTTACATAATTATATCAATATACGTGCATAAAACATTTGACAAAATCCAACACCCAGGCATACTAAAAACACTCAATAAACTGAGAATAACGAGAAACTTACTCAATTTAATAAAGAATATGTTAAAAAAAAAACCCCACAACTACCACCAGAATTAATGGTGCGAAGCTTAATGTTTTCCCAATAAGATGAAAAATAAAAATAAAGCAAAGATGTCCCCCTCTCACCCCTCCTTTTTTTTTTTTTTTTTTTTTTTTGAGATGGAGTCTCGCTCTGTCACCCAGGCTGGAATGCAGTGGCGCGATCTTGGCTCACTGCAACCTCCGCCTCCCGGGTTCAAGCAGTCCCCCTGCCTCAGCCTCCCAAGTAGCTGGAATTACAGGTGCCTGCCACCACGCTTGACTAATTTTTTGTATTTTTAGTAGAGACGGGGTTTCACCGTATTAGCCAGGAAGGTCTCGATCTCCCTACCGCATGATCCACCTGCCTTGGCCTCCCAAAGTGCTGGGGTTACAGGCATGAGCCACCACACCCTGCCTCACACCTCTTTTTAAACATCAAGCTGGAAGTCCCAGCTAATGCAATTAAGACAAAAAAAAATAAAGAATATACAGATTGGGGAGAAAGAAATAAAATTGCTCTTGCGCACACATGACATGATCATCAGTGTAGAAAATACAGAAGAATCAGCAAAGAAACCTCCATGAACTAATAAGCAAAAGTAAATCACTTTCCTATATACCAGCAAAGAACAAATGAAATTGTAAATAAAAAAGGGTAACATTTATATTGGCATTCCAATCAACACATAGGTATAAATCAAACAAAATAATTTTTATGAGAAAAACAACCAAATTCTGATGAAAGAAATTAAAGTACTAAATAAATTGAGAGATATTCCAAATTTATGGATAGGAAAAATCAAGATTGTCACTATGTCAGTTTTTCCAATTTGCTGTATAGATTCAATCCACCCCCAGTAATAATTTAAGAAGCTATTTTGTGGATATTGGCAAACTGATATTAAAGTTAATATGAAGAGGCAAAAGACCTAGAATAGCCAACTTGATATTGAAGGAGTAGAACAAATTAGGAAGACTGAAACTACCTGATTTTAAGGCATACTATAAAGCTATGGCAATCAATACAGTGTGGTTGTGAAAAAGAATAGACAAATAGATCAATCCACCCAAAATAAACCTACATAAATATAGTTAATTGATCTTTGACAAAGGAATCAAAACAATAAAGTTAAAAAAATCATCTCAATAAATGGTGCTGGGACATTTGGACATCCACAGGCAAAAAAATATACATTTTTGTAGACACAGTGCCTTACATTATTCACAGTGACTAAGTTAAAATAGATTATAGACATTAACGTTGTTTAATGTATAAAACTATAAAGTTTCTAGGAGATAACATAGGAGAAAACCAAGATTACCTAGGGTATGGCCATGCCTTTTTAGATACAGCAACAAAGACATTATCCATTTTTAAAAAGCTGGACATTACTATAATGAAAAACTTCCATTCTGCAAAAGCAATTTCAAGAGAATAAAAAAGACAAGCCACGGGCTAGGAGATAATATCTGCAAAAGATATATCTGACAAGGCACTACTAGCCAAACGATAAAAAGAACTCTTAAAATTCAGAAATAAAAAGAAAAATTAAAAATTAGATCAAAAGTCTTAACAGATGCTTCACCAAAGGAGATATACAGATGATAAATAAGCACACGGCTAGATTCCCCAAATCACATGTCAACAGGAAAATGCAAATTAAAACATAAATGAGATATCACTACACACATATTAGAATGGCCAAAATCAGAACACAGACTATATCAAATGCTGGAGAGGATATAGAACAAGAGGAACTCTCATTCATTCCTGGTAGGAATGCAAAATGGTACAGTCACATCATAATATTGTCTTGCAGTTTCTTACAAAACTAAACATGCTCTTTCAGTATGATCTAGCAATTCTGCTCTACAGTTTCTACCCAAAAAGAGTTGAAAATTGCTAACAATTTGAACCAACCAAGATGTCATTCAATAGGTGAATGGATAGATTAACTGTTGTATATCCAGACAATGGAAATTATTAACTGCTAAAAATAAATTAGCTATCAAGCCATGACAAGGCATAGAAGACAGTTAAATGCATATTACTAACTAAAGTAAGCCAATCTGAAAAGCCTCCATATTGTATAATCCCAATTGTATGGCATTCTGGAAAAGGCAAAACTATGGAGACAGTAAAATATCAGTGATCGCCAGGGCTTGAGCAGAGTGGGAAGAGTGAGGGATAAGCAGAGAGAGCACAGAGAACTTTTTAGTTAGTAAAAGTATTCTATATGATGCTCTAGTGGTAGAAAATGTCATGATACATTTGTGCTAATCCACAGAATAGACACGACCAAGAGTGAACCCTAATGTAAACTATGCACTTTATATTGTGATGTGTCAATTTAGCTGGTTTACTTGTGTTTTGTTTTGTTTTGAGACAGAGTCTTGCTCTCTTACCGAGGCTGGAGTGCAGTTGCTCAGTCATAGCTCACTGTAATCTCAAACTCCTGTGCTCAAGCGATCCTCCTGCCTCAGCTTTCTGGTAGCTAGGACTACCCACCACACTGGCCAATTTTTTATTTTTTTATTTTTTCAAGAGATGAGGTCTCACTCTGCTGTCCAGGCTGATCTCAAACTCCTGGCCTCAAGAGATGCTTTCACCTTGGCATCCCAAAGCACTGGGATTATAGGCATGAGTCATCACACCCGGCAATTTAGATAATCCAATTGTAACCAATGTAGCACTCTGGTGGGGGATGTTGATAATGGGGGAGTCTATGCATGTATGGGGGCAGGAGCTATACAGAAAATTTCTGTATCTTCTGCTAAATTTTTCTGTGAACTTGAAATTTCTATTTTTATTTTTTTAAAGTCTATTTTTTGAAAATGAGATTATTTAGAAAACTACACAGGGTTTCCTTCAAGTGTTTGATAGAGTTGCTAATCTCTATAATCTTCCAAGGAGTAAGCAATTGTTTTGATTGACGATACTTTTAGGGAAAGAAACTTTCCTGGGCATTGTCCTTTCCATCATAAAATCCATACTTCAAAAGTCAGGGAACCACAATGGAAATTTTTCTTATTGCAGAATTGTTCATTCCAAATATTTACCAGACTAGAGAAAATAACCATGAGGATATTTTGGTTTGTGGTCCCACTGGGCCTATCATGCAGCAGACATGGGCTAACAGGCCACTTACCATTTCACTCTAACTAGCAGATTTGAAACTCTTAGAATTAATCATAGCAGGAAACTACTATTCTAAAGATCACATACATCAAAGTATTTTTCTTTACCAAGAGCATACTTAGAAGCTTGCTTCATTTTCCAGTGGAATAGTAAGAAACATTCTGAGTATTTACAGCGAAAAAGCCTTCCTTTACCACAGACTCTTGGCCTATGCGCAGACTCACTCACGTTTTGCAGTAATTGACAAACCAGGGGTAGATTTCACAGTAGAACAGATAAGCATTTATTGAGCATTCCTGTTATTTCCAGCCATTAAGTCTGGTATAACCATGATTTAATAGGAGCAGGGTTAGAATGGTCAGAGTAATGATCCAACAAGAATTTTTGACCATGAATTCCTGGGATCTATTAATATACTCCACAAAAGAAAATCACAATCTTTCATAACTTCCTCATGGAAGTGGTGTCCTTCCCCTTGTGCTGTACTGTGTTAAATAGAAGCTAGCTGTTAGGTTCAGCCCATATTCAAGAAGGGTTTACGACAAATGTGAATATCAGGAGGTGGAGATCAATAGGGGATGTCTTCTATGTTTACCTAGCACACACATACTTTTGAATATGTGTGAGGTTTGAATATGCATGAGGTTTAAAGATGCATGAAAAAATTTGAAGGATTTGTACAAGATTAGTGTCATTTAAAGTTATATATATATATGAGGAGGTACAATTTTGCATTTAATTTATGAATTATTTTATTAAAAGATACTATAATTGACTACTACTATTTACATGACTTAAAAAACATGATTGTATTTTTTAAGGGAGGTGAGGAATTTATAATTTGGAAAAGGATGGATGGAGGATGGAGGCTCATTGTCTTTCTATCTCTTCTTTAGGTTAAACATAATATCTATCCTCCCTACTCTTCATGTCTTTAAAATATTAATATCAATGCTGACCATATTACGAATGTAAATTAAAAATAATTGTCAATAAAGTTAGTTTTGATTGTACATAATGTTAGTTGACAAAAACAGGAATATCTGAAAACTACTTTGCTAATTGACGCTTCTCACAAAAACTGTATGAAAAAAGAATAAAAGAAAAATTAAATCCAAGAATCCCATGATCATAAGTTGAGTCTATGTAGAATGGCCATTATTGCAGACCCCTGAAAAAGTTCTTTTAAGGAAAAGGGGGAAAATAAAAGTGATTGACTGAATAACCGATTGATGATTGATTCAGGGCCAACTAAGAAATACATATCCTGGTTTTTATTACCACTTTGAGGCAGAAAACAGAAGAATTGAAAGAACAAGGTGACTTCACAGCATTTTACTGTCCTGCCATTTTTTTTTTTTTTAGTTTGGCAACATTAAAGGAAACTAAAAATTTTTTATATAAAAGGATATAAAATGAAAGATATCTTTGAGGAAAACATTTAGCTGTTTGGAGCAAAATTATTAGTGATAATGAGAATATACTGACAAATGAAAAACTCAGCAATTATTCATATAGATTTGGATAATTGTTTATAGTCTTTAAAGAAATTTTGCGAAGTACTACCTAAAAGACATTAAATTAAACAGAAATACATTCAGCATTCAGAACAAATGGAACAGGAATTGAAAACATATTACATCATCTCCTTCTTTGAGAGTAAAAGCCTATTTTCACATTGAATGTTCTAATTGAAATAAAACTTTTTATAACTTCCATGTAAGTGTATAATATAGATAAAACACCAATCCAACTGAAGTAAAAGTGAAGATAAACTTACTTCCTTGGACAAAATAATCTTAGGTAAAGTTTTCATGTTCAAAAATGGATAAAGCCTTGTAACAGAAATGTCCTGTTTGGCCTACTTTCTGTAATCAGTAATTTGGAATATTACATAGTTTTCATCAGAAACTTCTAAAAGACAATCAAATATTAGATAACAGATATTTAAGGTGTAATATATATTGCTTAATAAAAGATTAAGATGAAATAATTTTCTTTATGTTCATTTGTCTTCTGTTTATATTTTCTATAGCTGGAACCCTAGGCAAAGGTGTAAATATTTGATTGAGGGTCCAGCTTCTGGGACACTTCTAGAAGCTGAGATGGTATAAGTGTGCAAGATTAGAAGAAGAGATGAGCATTATTTTACACTAGAACATCTCTAATTAGATTGAAGCAAAACACACAGGTGAAGTTGTAGCTACCAGGAACGCCAAGATTATAAATCTGGAAAGACAGGATTGTAGAATGGGTAATGATTTAGTGACATAATTTACACAAGAATAAATTACCAGAAGAATTACAATTTTGAGCAAACATTCACCTTATGAAGAGAAGCAATAATACAATGGAGCAAACTAGATCTCAAGTATTATGTATGCAGTTATAAAATCCAATTAACAGCATAAACAGTAAGGCTATAGCATAGTCATAGTGGGCCATTTTTAACAAATACTATTAGAATTTGAAAGAAAAAGACATAGAAAAATTTGACAGTGCAATTAACAATTTGCTCACATATGTGTCTATATTTGTGCTTGTGCGTGTGTAGAATTCTGTTCTCCAAAATTATATTACTCATATATTTTCAAGTGCACACATAAAAAGTGTATCAACTATGTATCTGAGCAATAGTCTCTAAGTACCAATACATTGATGTTATATAGACTACATTCTTAACAAAAAGCACTCAAATTGTAAATCAGAACACAGTTCTAAATCAAAATCTCTCATGCAATTGGAAATTAAAACTAAAAAAGAAACAATTTGAAGATATTTATGAATGAAAGTATTTATTGAAAACATGAAATACCTACAATCAAAAACCTAAATAAAACTTATCAATACTTATAAGTTGGGCAATTTCAATACTATGAAGGAGAATTATCATTTTAAGTGCATATATTAAACATTAGAGTATTTAAAAATTACTGTGTGGGTCATAATCCCAAAAGACAAAAATCTTGAGCACTATAATCCCGAATGTTGGAATTTCAAATAATCAAAATCTCTAAAGATTAAAATCTTTAAAGTCTAAATTTCTAAAGTCTGAAGTCCCTAACATCTAAAATTCTGAAAAATCACAATCCCAAAAGATGAGAATTCTGAGAGTTGAAATCCTAAAATCCAAATGCTTGGGAAGGTATTACTGTGGTTTTCGATTGTACACAGGATAGCTGCATCATGCTAGTTACATCGTATTAGGCAGCATATCACCTTGTTGTTGTCTTTATTTGCATTTGGCAGAAAATTCAGAAGAGTGGATTGGCAACTTCATAGGCACACAACAAAAATTTTAGTTTTAAAATGTGTCACTTGCTTGCATTGGCATTCCTTCCAGCCAATGAAATTCCAAGAGTTTTTAATGAATGAAAGCAGAATTTGCTGAAGAAGCCAGCCAGTGAAGTTATTGACTGGTTTGAAAATGGTTATGTGCACAGTAGGATAAGAAGACACTTATGCACTGGTGTTGCTGTTTTATCACCAGTATTGTGTACTCCAAATTTGTGTTCTGTATATGAGTGTCTGTGGAATAGAATTCTGAGTACCCAGAACAACACAGAATCAGGGCACAAAAAATATGAAAATTTTACAGAGAAGAATTCTGTAGGTGGATATAGAATCAAAATAATTTTAAAAAGAACAATGCCAGGTAGAAAATGAATTTGAATGTATCCTCTGAAGACAGCAATGCCCTAAAAGAAAAATGGCAGCTTTTAATTGCAATGCAAGACTTCAAAAAATAGTTCAAGATAATGAAAGTCGGTCAGCTCTTATAGATTACCTCCATGCAATTGCCCATAATCTATTCCTGTAATGCACTTTTTCGTATGTCTGTTTTTTTTTCTTAGTTTTTCCCCACTATTTTAAATTGTCAACATTATTTTTTACAATTCACTATGATACGTGGTTTATCGTGGTATCATTTCCAATACTGGAGGTATAAATTGTGTAAAGATTTTAAAAGAGTTCTAACTTGTTTTATGCATTTTTTGCTAATTTGACTTTACAAAAGAGCATTATCACAACATTGACTTTGTGTGTAACCATTGTGCCTGTAGGTGAAAATGTTGAAGCTTTCTCAGTAAATAAACTGACATTCTCTTTCTACATCTGCATTCACGAAATATAAAAATTGTTGACATCCTGGCTCTTTGGGCCACTGTTTATGTGGTGGTGACCAATTTTGTTTTTGATCTGTTTCATCAAACAGACTTAGGTTGTCCATCACAATACTTCAGACGACCAAAGTTAAACAGCTAAGTGCACACAATAGCCGACCAAAATTATATTTTTATATATATATATATATATATAAAATACATTCACTCTTTTCTCTTTCTTTCTTTCTTTCTTTCCTTCCTTCCTTCCTTTTCATTCTTTCTCTTTCTTTCCTTTTCTTTTCCTTTTTTTTTTTTTTTAGAGAAGGACTTTCCCTCTTGTTGCCCAGGCAGGAGTGCAATGGCGTGATCTTGGCTCACTGCAACCTCCGCCTTCTGGGTTCAAGTGATTCTCTTGCCTCAGCCTCCCGAGTAGCTGGGATAACTGGCACACATCACCATACCTGGCTAAAGTTTTTTGGTATTTTTAGTAGAGATGGGGTTTCACCATATTGGCCAGGCTGATCTCGAACTCCTGACCCTCAGATGATCCACCAGGCTTGGCCTCCCAAAGTGCTGGGATCACAGGCATGAGCCACCGCTCCTGGCCTTTACATTCACTTTATCTAACTATATTTTATGAACATGGTTTGTGTCCTCATAACTGTTATTCCCATGTGACTATTATAATATAGCTGAAAGTTTATGATTGCAAAAAAAGTAAAAAACTATTGTCTATTTCATTGTATAAAATGGACTATAAAGTGTTCTGTTGGGTTTTTATACATTTCTCAAATAAATCCCTTTAAAAATGTATATTTTTCTAAAAAAATATTTACTTTTTACAGAATTATATCTCTGAGATTTTGATCTTTTGGAAATTAATGTTTGGGATTATGGTATTCAGGACTGTGTAATTCAGGATTATGATCAGCTCCCTGTAAATTAAGACGCCAAGTTTAGAAAAAATGACAGGGCAAAGAAGTAGGAAAAAGAAAATAATGCAAATAAGAAAAATAATCATTGAAAAAGAAAGTAAACACAAAAAATTCTACAAACTAAAACTTTAGTATGTATAAAGAGAATGGAAAACAAAATGTTTAGTTTTTCAAACATGTAGTATGTGCTAGAAAAATGTTGTGACAATACCAAATGGGAAGAAATCCTACGGGCAAATTTGTAAAATTATTTGAGGTTGTTGCAAGCACAATGCCCCTCATTGCTTTAACCACAATTGTGACAGTAGGGGTATTGTTATGGGTTATGATTCAATACTCAACACCAAAGACAGCTCCTGGCACATGATAAGCTCTCAATAAAATTACCTGTTGAATAAATTTTGTAGGAATTCAAGAGAACATAAAAGGAAAGGAAACTAGGATACTATTCTATTATATGATATTATTATAATTATAGGATGTATTATAAGATGTATTAAGATTCATTTTCCACAAACAGAATAAATATAACTCTTAATTTTGACTTCAGGGAAATAAAATTATGTTTTTAATTTTAGCATATAGCCAAATTTTAGGAAGCCTCTTGGCCTTGACTATAAAATATTTTAAAATAAGAAAGGATTTATAAAATTATACCATTAAATTGTATATGCATAACTAAGTAAAAATACAATGTTTATTTAAATAGGGTAAGAATTTGCAATTGATATAATTTCACTTATATCTTTGTAATTTTCTTATGATTATCCTTTGTATGCTTCTTATATATCTGCCTATTTATGCATATGTGTATATATACATATATATATACACACATATAAGCTAGTTTAAACAAACATCCATATATGCTACTCAACTAGCTTTGAATAATATCTGATGCAATACCATGTACGCATGAACAGTAACTGAAAAACATTTAGTGATGAGAATCAAAGTGATTTTAGGTCATTATATGGAAATATACAAAAATGTAATTTAAAAAATTAGAAACATCTACACACTGAAAGAAAGTTCATACATCATAAGCTGACACTGAATTTTCAGATGGTTGCTCTGGTGTGAACCTAGACACCATTAAGACTAAGTTTACAAAAGCAATTATGGAGTATATGACAGTCGTGTGATAAAGCTGCAAGGCTAAATACTTACACAGCCTTATCTGGACAAACTCAGTAGTTGTCAAATAGAATGTTCGGCTCAAGCACAGATTTATATATGCTGGTTTTTTTTTTTTTTTGTCAACATGCGCAAGTTATGAGAAGATTTTCCTGGTTGATTTTACTTTTCTAAACTGAATGACCAAATTTCTTCATCCACTGAGCAATGTATCAGATTTTCTTGTAAGTTACTCAACAAAGAATCATGCGATATATGCACATATTTTCTGTGCTAGTGTAGAAGACTGCAGTGAACAGTTACCAATACAGTAGATATATTTATTTTTTTATTTGAAAGTTTTTCATTTACAGATTTATCTTAGAGGGCTGGCACATACTTTGTCAATAAGTGATTAAATAAATTGAAGTAAGAGGAGAAAAATTTGATGAAAACCAGTAGAGGTTAGTAAAGCCGATCCATAAAATATTTGATCATAGAATATAATGTCCAGTTTATTTAAAAGGAGGAAAGGAGAAATAACCACCCACAGATTTTTAGCATACAGAAATTTCCATGGAGATACATTTTTCTTTGTTTCCAATACTTTTCTTCCTACAATACAAAATGACTATCTAAAAATGTAGCTACATGTAGAATTTTAGCTACATACAAAATTAAACTTTTAGTTATATCAAGTGTTTCTTAGTCATCATCAATGAACTCTGTATAACCTGGGGAATAGATATATGTGCGCTGATAAAGATAAATAAGTAATGTGTGGAAAACTCTTAAAAAAAAACTATAGATTGCATCAAGAATGAAAAGCACAAATGACTTCATATCTTTAAAACTAAGATTACCTGTAATAAAACAAAAACATTTATGATCCTTTTCATAGAAGGATGATTTAATTATTAAATTTTACAAGGAGGTGATATCTCACTTTCGTATATTAATTGTGTGCAAGGCAATCTCTTTGCAATGGGAGAACAGACTATTTATAAAATAATTTATCAAACTTTGTTGGTTGAGCAGGGAAAAATAAGTATAAACTAAAAATAGTTTATTTTACAATCAAACAATTTATAAAGAGACTGTAAAATATGTTTCTTGAATTCAGTAAAAAATTATGTGCTTAGAAATTCTAGCTACATTAATTTCTGTAGAATAAAGATTTGTGAAACTAACTTCATAATATTTTTATTAGAAAAAAATAGATGTAGGGCTTAGCCGTGCTTTTGTCAATAGAATGTGAATACAAATGATAGTGTATAATTCTCTTTTCTTCTTTTTAGAGAAATCCTATATTTCTGCTTGACCCTCTTGTGCTTCTGCCATCAGATGAGAAGCACACGCATTATGTAATCCGTAGAATCAACGTGTGTGGATGAGAGACATGCGGTGCTAACCAGACCCAGCCTACAGCTTATAATGAAGTCTATCTCTGCTCAGTCTAGAACAGCCACACCTCAGCCAACCTCAAGACAAATTATCAAAATAAATACTTTTTGCTTTAATTCACTGAATTGTAGGATGGGTTCTTACTTAGCACCATTATTTCATAATTTTAATAACCTTTATTAGATTCTTTTACAACACTGGTTTCCTTAGACCTCAATTTACATCTAGTTTCTATACTTTCAATAAATAGGTAAACAATTATTTTCTTTGATAAAAATTATTTGTCCTTATTGTAGATCATTTGCCATGTGGAATAGATGGCAGAAAAGGAGTCGCTGCTGTTAATATTTTTCTTCATCCATCTGTTCTAAAAGAATCTAATAAAGGTTATTAAAATTTGTATGTACAAAATAGTGTATGTGAGTTTAGAATATTCCACACAGGCAGACAAATGTACCAGAAGACAAAGGAAAGTTTATACTCCCTAAGGACTCTTATCTAATATTAACTATTTATAAATCTTACATTTAATCCCTCCTTCCCCCCAAAATGCCTCATCTATCTCTTCTTATCTCTCCAAAAAGATATTCTCCAGTGATGCCAATGATATGAAAAAGGATAATTTGATCACATTAATTCCACCCTCTAACCATCTACTGACAGGATGGAACAAACAACATTACTTTCTTATACTGTAATATGATGTCATGTAATTATTGTAATTCCAATATTTTTTACATTTTTATCAAGTTTATGCTCTTAAATAAGCTCTGCATAGTTTTAAAATCCATCCCGTCTTTTTTTTTTTTGGAAATTTGACTTTTAGCTTTTTTCAAAAGTAAACCTCTGCAGTTTGGATGGTCTTAATGATTAAATTGAGCTGATACATTTATATTAACTTGCTATTATTTGCTTCTCTGTTATTGTTTCTTGACTTATTAGATTCATAGTCTCCTTTGTTTCTTTTTTTATTTAAGTGGACATTATAATTTAATAGATACACACACGATCTTTTGATTTTGCAAGTATATTTGACTCAAAGAAGATAATTACAAAGCACATATGACCATTATTTTAAAAACACATTTGAAATATCAAATATATGGAACATTATATACTTAGTTGGAGATGGAATAGTCAGAGGAAGAGTATAGGATATTTATTTAAATAGGTCCGCAACTAAATTACTGTTATATTCTTAAGGGTCTTCATGAGACTGAACAAGGAATTACATTTATTGAGCTCCAGTATCCTTTTCTACAAAAATTGAGTTTTAAAGAGCTCAGTGTTTTATTGTGTCTACTTTCATAAACAATATTTAATGGGATAGAAGATAGCAAATGCTATTCATTTTTTAAGGTTTTCATCTCAGTAGGGGGAACTGAAGAAAAAATGTGGAAATAATATAAAACATATAATTTTACAGTTACAAGACACAGAGATAATCTGCTCCAATCCCCTAATTTTATAGATGACTAAACTGAGGTCAAGAGAGATTTAGTGTTTTGCCTGAAATCCTTCAGGAAGAGAGTGACAAGAAGAAGATGACTTGTGCGTTGCTATATAATAAATCTAGGGGCTGAAAATGGGACTTAAGACATTCTCACTTTCCTCTGGAGCAAAGGAGGCCCACATATGTTAGCAAGACTAAGTTTTAATACAATTTAGTATTATCTCAAAGGAATGTAAAAATATTTTGGTCAATTATTACATTATGCAGTATTACTAAAACATCTAAGTTTTGTCATATCTCCCCATTGAATTCTTCTTTTAAAGTTTGCTGGCCGGGCGCGGTGGCTCACGCCTGCAATCCCAGCACTTTGGGAGGCCGACGCGGGCAGATCACAAGGTCAGTAGATCGAGACCATCCTGGCTAACACGGTGAAACCGCGTCTCTACTAAGAATACAAAAAAAAAAAAAATTAGTCCGGCCTGTGGTGGTGGGAGGCTTGTAGTCCCAGCTACTCCGGAGGCTGAGGCAGGAGAATGGCGTGAACCAGGGAGGCGGAGCTTTCAGTGAGCCGAGATCGCACCACTGCACTCCAGCCTGGGTGACAGAGCGAGACTCCGTCTCAAAAAAAAAAAAAAAAAAAAAAAGTTTGCTACGACAAGTGGCAAGTGACTGTTATGCAAAAGAAAAAGAAATCCAGCAAAATGAGTCTTATTTATTGAAAATAAATAAGTCAGCAATAACTTATCGGACTGCCTAAAAACTTCGTTTCTGCTTGAACTCAATCAAGTTAGCTCCTTCAGATCACTGGAAGGGTCAGATGATACTTTCGAGATACATATTATCATTCTATACATCACCTCTAGAAAACAGGACTGAAGATCAGATCTTGATTTTTAAGAATCAAAATAGATTTGAATTATCTGTATTTTAGCTATTAATTCCTAAAACTAGGTGCAATGAATTTGATAAGTGGGGAAACTTCTTGGAGTAAATAAAATTATAAATTCAGTAAGCACACATAATTTAATCCTTCTTACATTTATGGGCTTTGGGAAGACCTGATATTCTTGCTCACGTGAGGATTTCTATTTCCTTGGGTCATGGATTTCCTATTATTAGCTGAAACCATAGAGAAAACTGCTCATGTCACATATTCTCCCCAGACACACTCTGGATTGCTAAAAATCTCACAAGTCATCTTGTTTTTGAAAGATTTACAGCAAGATTTTCTGATCAGATAAGTTGGATAAGTTAGCTTCAGATCTGTGTCTGAAAATGAATTTCCTCACCATTTGAGGTTTATCATGGGCAATATCATCAAAAAGTAGCACACAGCTTACTTTCACTAGCATGAAAGGGCTTTGGAAGGCTGCCTAAAGAGAAAATACCTACAATTCAGAGAACTATGATGACTTTTTTTTAAAGCTTCTATACCTTTTCAAAGTTTCCACTGTATCAGGTTCATTTTACTCTCTACTTCCAATTGACTTTAAACTTCTCATATGAACTTTAGTACAAAAAAGAAACCCGTGATAACCAAGATTTTCAATTATTTCTCTCCGGTTCTGGTTGGGGATATTGACATTATCAGTCTGCTAAATAATAACACTCCCAGAAGTGAGGAGGTAGCTCTGGAAGGCAAGAATTTTTTTCTCTCAAATTAATGCTTTTTATTTGTTTCTAAATTGGCTAGCATCCAAATTTCTTTGTTACATTTCCATAAATTACTGTTCCTTTACTTTTGTGTTTGAAGAATAATACAACGGCAGCCATTTGTGCTCAAGCACATATTTTTTATTCTTTTATCTTGAATTTTCTTTAGACTTAACATTTGAAATTAAATAACAGTTTCACAAATTAACAATTGTTCGTTTTGCTTTCCACTACTCAGGGTCTCCTCCCACTTCTCCTTTTACTAGGTGATGAAATTGAAATTATCAAGCAAGTCTGGAAAATAATTCTTTGAGGCGAAATCCTTGTGTAGAGAAAATAAGAAGATAAAAGCTTACTTATAGATCTGTGCTTGTCTCTGAACTACCGGAATATTGGATATCAGCTCTTTTCTTCCTAATACCGCTGGTCCTTGAATACATTATTTTGGTCAATATTTTTTCATTATACTGTTGATGAGAAAAGAATCAATCCCAGCTAGGGCCATTGTCTGTGTGGCATTTGCATGTTCTCCCCACATCTGTGTGGGTTTTGTCAGGGTACTGTGGTTTCCTCCCTAATTCCAGAGATGTGTGCGTTAGGTGAACTGGCGTGTCTACACCATCCCAGTCTGAATATGTGTGTGTGTGTGTGTGTGTGTGTGTGTGTGTGTGTGTGTGTGTGAGAAAGAGAGAGAGACAGAGAGAGAGAGAGAGAGAGAGAGACATAGAGAAAGAGAGAGAGCGAGCATGCAATGGAATGACACCTGTCCAGGGCTGGTTTCCATCTTGTGCTCTCAGCTGCTGGAACAGGCTCTGGTCATCCTCGACCCTAAACAAGAACAACTGGGTCAGTAATGATCATCCTTGTTTTTATTAATTTTTTGAATGTATGTATAGCTCATATTTATTTCAATGACAACATTTAGTAATCTTTTGGTCTTTCTTTTGAAGTTTGGTGATGTTTTGTGACCAGAAATATGCCATAGAAAGTTAACTCGTGTTTACATCAAATAGCCTAGTAAGACTGGCTTTGTTATATGCTGCTTTGCTTAAAATTTCCAAAAACTTATCACTAACATCAAGTGAGGACTTACTGTAGTCTCCACATACACACACACTATGTTGCTAGACTGCCAGATGTCTACAGGTGAGATTTAATATACTTAATCTCTCCATGCCTCAATTTTCTCATATGTAAAATGGAAATAATAGTAGTAATTACATGGTAAAGTTTTTTTAGGATAGTTACAACAGGATGTGATCCAAAATAACCACTATATAGCGGTGGAATATTTTCTATTTTCTATCATTACATGATGCAAGAAATTAAGTCTAAATTAAAATGAACCAAATTTTTAGAGATGCATCATTTGATAGAGAAAAGAGAAGTGAAAAGTAACTTGGAAAGCTCTAGCTTAAATTCTCATTTTTTTAAATTCTATCTTGGTTTCATTTGTCTTATTTCTAAAATACAGCTTTTGACTTCTTCAGTTTCGTATCGTGAATTTGACTTAACCAACTTGGAAGTCGTAGAATCACAAATAATCACTAACCAACCCATTTCTTCCTGGGAGGTCCTGTATTTAGACTCTGGGAACCAGAGAAGTAGTAAGAATAAATTAACCCTATTGGATTCACCAAAGTAAATCACAAGGAAGAGAATAAAGTAAAAAATGAAAGTAGCATGGCTAGGTGGAGGAAGAAAAGGAAAAATCAGTAGGTACGTAAAAGAAAGAAAAGAAGAGGAAGGGAAAACTCTCAGTAGAAAATCAGACCCGGCTCTAGAGAAATAAATCAGATTATGAGTTCTCTCAGAACAATCATTACAATGTTTTATTTATTTTGCTACACCTACATAGCACATGGTACATTTTTAATACATTTTAATTAAACGAATGCATGTGGCTTACATGAAGTCAAGTGCCAGTGATTGTCAATAGAAGGAAAAACTGGCAATGAGTTTTTGTATTATTATTTTATCTATTTCCTTCCCGAGGGAAATTATCTATTACATATTTTATGTATTTCCCTCCCAAGAAATTTTAAACGCATTTCTCCAGTAAAACGACAAAAGATCTTCAATTCTTTGTTATAGCTGTGTTGAGATTTAATTAGAATAACACTGTGCGCATTTAAAATATATAACGTGTACATTTTGACATACGAAGCCACCAAAAACTAAGATGTTGAACATATGCATGACTCACATGAGTTTCCTCATGTCCCTTGCATTCCTTTTTTCTTATTCTCATCTCCTGGACCTCATTAGGCAGCCACTGATCTGTTTTCCGAGGAAGATATTACATTGCATTATCTAGTGTTACAGAAGTGTAATCATACAATGTGTATTCTTTTTTAATCTGTTTTTTTACTCAACATAATTATATTTAGACCCATCTGTTTATTTGCGTATGTCAATAGTTTACTTTCTTATTATTATTGAGTGCATTGTATCAATTGTATCAATACACAAAAATGTGTTTAATCATTCTGAAAATAGACACTTGTGTTCCTTATGTTTTGAGACATTAGAAATAAAATGTACATGTCTTGAATAAACATGTGCTTTCATTTCTCACCTAGGAGTGAAATGTCTGTATCATGTTGCATTCGTATATTTGCCTTTTTTTAAAGAACTACTAAATTGCTTTCCAAAGTGGATATATTATTTTAATTGTTCACCAGCAGTGTATAAATACCCCAGTTCTTCCCCAATCTTTACATCACTTGATGTATCTAGATATTTCCTGTTTAATCAATCAAATGGATGTCATCTATTTGTACGACGTTATCTCATGGTAGTTTTGATTTGTATTTCCCTAAAGGCTAATGATACTTAAGGTTATTTCAATGTGTGCATTTGCATTTCATATCTTGTCATTAATGAATTTACTTTTACAATATTTTGTCCATTTTTTAATTGGATGGATTTTTTTTAAACTTCTATGGATATGTAGTTTTCAACAAATTAGAAATTTTTCTGCCATTAGTTTTTCATGTTTTTCTTACTTCTCTCCTTCAGTGAATCTAATTACAAGCATATTAGCCCCTTGAAATTTTCACACAGCTTGCTGATATTTATTTTATAATTATTTTTTGTATATTTCAGTTGGAATTATTTTAATGTTGTGTTTTCAAGTTTCTTAATCTTTATTTCTCAGCGTAGAGCTTGCATTATATCCATCCAGAACACCTTTCATCTTAGACATTGCAGTTTTATCACTATAAAATTTAGTTTTGATTTTATCTTCCTTAATTGTACTTTTATGTCTCTTCTCAACTTTTTTAACATACGGAATATTCACCAAAGTAAATCACAAGGAAGAGAGTAAAATAAGAAATGAAAGTAGCATTGCTAGATGGAGGGAAAAAAGGAAAAATCAGTAGGTATGTAAAAGAAAGAAAAGAAGAAGAGGAAGAGAGAACTCTCAGTAGCAAATCAGACCCGGCTCTGATTTTAATAATTTTCTTCTACTTTTAACTTGTCAGTTTTTTATTAGCTTCAGTTGCTTGATTTTCCTTATTAATATAAGTTGCATTTTTCAGCCTCTTTTCATGACTGCTAATTTTTTACTGGATGCAAGATTTTGTAAAATGTTCCCATTCCAGGTATTTTTATATTACTATTTGAACTTTGGATACAGCTAATTTTTTTGTAGCCAGTTTTGCCCATTTGGATATAGCTTTTAAAATTTGCTACATAGGATCAGAGTAGTGTGTAGTTTAGGGCTATCTTGCCAGTATTAAGGCAAAATATTTCTGACTACTCTGCCTGATTACTCATAATATATGAGGTTTGTCACTCTGGTTATTGGGAACAGACATTGTTTCTCACCGTGGGTAAGTATGATCTACTGTTTAATTTTTTCTAATGGCTATTTTCTTAGCTTCTGATAGTTTCTTCACACATATGCACTGATTAGTAAGTACTCTGTTGCACTCTTGAAGAGCAACCTTTGCATAGCTCTAGCGAGCTCTTTCTGTGCCAGTCTCTTCTCTGTATTACTCTGTCTTCTGACCTTCAACTGTTTTATTCCTCTCAAAATATGATCTCTATCTTCTCAACTCACAGAATCTGTGGGGTTTTACCTGCATTTCCCGCTCCTTATCTGTTATGGTTTGGATGTCCCCCAAAGTTCATGTGTTGGAAACTTAATCCTCAATGCAACAGTGTTGACAGGTAGGTCCATTAAAAGGGGATTTGGTAATGAAGGCTCTGCCCTCCTTAATAGGTTAATGGGAGTGGGTTATTTATTGTGAAAGTGGGTTCCTGAAAAAAATAGAGTTTGGCCCTCTGTTGATGTCTGGCCTTGGCCTTCTGTTTTCTGCCATTGAATGATGCGTCATGAAGGCCCCCACCAGATGCTGGCACCATGCTCTTGGACCTCCCAGCCTCCAGAATGTGAACCAAAATTTTTTTATTGTGTATAAATTAATCAGTCTGTGGTATTCTGTTATAGCAGCACAAAACATACTAAGTCATCATGTCATACCCTGGAAATTCTCTCAAGTGTGTAATCTGGGACAATCATTTGGGACAATCAAATAGCTTATCTATTTTTATTTTCTCCCAATTTGTCTCAGTCCATTTGGGTTGCAATAACAAAATACCATAACTTGGGTTACTTATAAACAATAAATATTTGTTTCTCAGTGTTCTGGAGAATGGGAAGATTTGGTGTCTGGTGAGGGCCCACTTTTTGATTTATAGACATCATCTTCTCACTTTGCCCTCACTTGGCAGAAGAGGAAAAGGAGCTCTTGGTGCCTCTTTAGCAAGGGCACTAATCCCATTCATGAGGACTCCATCCTTATGACCTAATCTTTCAAAGGCTCCATTTCTAAATATCATCACATTGTGAATTAGGCTTCAAAATATAAATTTGTGGGGACACAAGCATTTAGTCCTCGTTTCTCAGGTATCGTTGTTCTTTGTTGCTTGATATCTAGTCTTTTGAAGTCATGTGTCTGATATATTATGAAGGGGTTATTTTGGTGTTATTTCATGCAAATTGATAAATTTGGCTCCTTTTCCTATATCTTGGTCAGAAACAGAAATTCCCTTTTTATCATCAAGCATGAAGACCACCTTGCATAATATTTAGTTTGTTTATTAAGTGATAGTAATATATATAACTCATATATACTTATATAAGTATATACTACATATATATCACTTATATATACTTATATAACATATATACACTTATATAACATATAAGTATATATACTTACATAACTTATATATACTTATATAACATATAAGTTATAAGTTATATAACATATAAGTATATATAACTTATAAGTTATATAACATATAAGTATATATATGTTATATAAGTATACATAAGTAATATGTATGTAGAATGTGCTGGGAATGTAACATTCTGAAATGAGAACAAATTGACCAAACAGTGTAGGCTCTGTTCCCTTTGCTCCTAAAACAGGATGTCTTGCAATGCCTTGGCCCAGCCATTCAAGTGCTCCCACATAGATAACCCAGGGCCCAGAGTACTTTTGGTATCTATCAGCTGAGGTACAAGATGGAACATAGGGAGCCAAAAGTTTATCCATCCTGGGCAGCTTTCTCAGCCTTAGAGGACAGGATCGCCATAAATCCTAATCTCTATTTTCCTTTTCTGCCTATCCATGAGTAATACAATTATTTTCACTTAACTTGTTGTGTGAGTGTTGTCTCATCAGCCCTCATGCAAGTGGATTCATACCAGTGCACAGTATTGACAAGGCATTTAGAGCCTTCCCCTGAGATTATTACAAGTTCCTGTAAACCTGCTTTGCAATATGTTATTAAATTTTTACTTTTTGTTATACAAAATCTCATGGAGTCCTTAAAGTGTTTGGATTTCTTGACATGACATTTGGAAGTTGTCAAGCTGTCCCTAAAGAGCAAACAATACCACAGTTGCTAGGCTGGCTTATCACAGTTCCATAGACCTGGCCAGTAAAAATACAATGAGCCCAAATGGATTGAGAGAGTTTATGAGTTTTATTATTATTATATTACATTATTATACATAAAGTAAGCAAGATCACTAGAGTGTCTGTTTCCTTTGTCCACAAGGTGACATCAAAGGGGAAGGTGCAGATGATAGATGGCATTGGTGGTGGATTACCCTGTCTTGGAGCAGCCAATTCTATCTGCAACTAAAAGGTTTTATAGCCTACAGCTGTACCCTAAGGAGGGTGAAGCAGAAGGTGTGTTTGCTCTCCAGAATCAGGGAGACTGAGGAGAAAACACTTCATAGCAGTCTCCAACTAGACAATGAAGTGAATGAGTAATAGCCTTGTGACAACTCTTTACAAGACTATTTTGCCATGTTCCTGAAAGGATTATGGGGTATTCCACAAAGATTTGGGTCAGATTGCATGTGAGCTTTGTCTACCTGGCCTCTGTGGCCACGTGCAATGTGACCATGGTACCATTGTGGAAATATTTTCCTACAGCAGTTTGATAAGTTACATAATAGGTAGAGGATAAATCAGATCAAGATAAACAAAAATGTAGAAATGGGGGAAATCCTGAGCCTACATTTCTTGAGAAGAAAAACAAAAATAAATAAACTGAAATGGGTAAGATACTAGCTCTGGAAAAGAAAGTAATCTTCAATTCCTTTAAAACCAACAAAATTAGAGGTAAATAATTATTTGAGGATGGAAAGTGGGAAGATGGCAGATCTTTTGCTTGAAAGTTTTCAATAAAACAGGATGGTGCATCATGCTTTTCTTGACACAGACTGCCCAGCGACAATGGTAAAATCTTCAATGGTAGTACATATATTAGCATCTTACATAAAATTTAGGGTAAACTAAATATTCCAAATTTAGTGAAGGCTAAGTAATAATCACCCTTGATCTTTCTTCTACCACTGAACAAGGAAGAAGTCCACTGCCATTTTATCTCAAATTTTGAGTAAGTTTATTCGTTAAGGTATTCAATGCTCATTTGAAATGTACAGGTTCTCATTTTTCTGATTTATTAAATTATATGGCCATCCAGTAGTGAAAGAACCATAAAGGCTATCTGGACCAATATCATCATTATATAGATGAGGAAACTAAGATGTTTTAAAGGCGAATTTTACTAAATGCAGTGGCTACCCATAAATAAATAAATAGCACACTCTCAATAGCATTTAAAAACATCCACAAAACTTGTGAATGTTTATGCACAGAAATAAAAGCTCCATTACAAATACTGAGAAGGAAAGCAAGGGAAGCGCATTAAAAGTTTTTGAATGCGTTACCATATTTCCAGTAACTCATAAGTCTAGTACTGCCATCTTGTGTCTTTAGGACTATTTACCAAAAAAGTATATACTTCTATTGATATTGCCAGCATGGCTTATTGATTAAAAGTACATTACGCAGTATACCTGGTTGTGCATTTCTAATGTGTTAATTTGAAATGAAATTATATTTAACCTTAATACTCAGATTATAAATTGTAATTGGATGAGTCATACAGGATTGAAAGAAATAGATGATTATACAATCAAAGAAAATGTGAATATATTTACTTTTTTTTTAATATCATGTAGTTTAAGTGACTATGTTTACATTTGAAGGTATATAATAATGTATGGACAAGAGACAGAAAAACAAGAAGAAGTCCACTGCCATTCATATACAATTCTGTATATTAATACATATAGTACGTACATATAAAGTCTTTATACATGCATATTAACTTTACAAACAATACATTTTAGGGTTTGTCAAAATATGCTCTGTTAATATAGACAAATGTCATATTTAACAGAATTTTTTTCAAGGAAAAACCTCTATTATTTTAAAACTAGGAGAAAATTTTAAATTTCACAATCATAGAACAAAAGCAAAATGAATATTTTATTAATGCATTTAGTTATTATTAAATTTAGTTAAGTATATTACAGACCAGATACATATATTAGTTTTAATGAATATTTACCAGAACCATTGCAGAAGCAAGGGTTGGAGTTATTCTTCTGAATATCAAGGACTTAATGCTGTGAGAAGTAGACGAGTATTCAAGGTCAAATACTTAGAGTAACTAGAAAAGTGAAGACCTCAACCCAGGTGTTGCTATGCTAAATTAATCTGTCTTCCAACATCATAGCTGCCTCCCCCAAAGCTGTCTATAATCTATTCCTTACTAAGAAATACAGTTTACAAAATCAATGATGTATGTGCATGTTGTATAAAGGAAACTATTCTCATGCATTCTCAGCAAAACAAATAGATTGATGATACGGGCAATGCTAGCTATGTACTTTTATAAAATACTTCGTTCTCTGCCATATTTTATTCAACAATTTATTTTTCAATTCAGATTGTTATTTGTTCTGAGCATGCAGAATGATTTTATTAACACATTTAGATATGTTAGTAATGGACTGCTGCTGTCTGTAAACTACAAAATCAAAAAGAAAAAATACTAGATAAAAGCGATACCACTTTCCAACATTTTGAATTCTTTACAAATTGCAGAATAAGTGAGTGAGTTTACGGTTATGCATTTCTATTCAAAAAAGTTTCTAAGACACAAAATAGGAATGAATAATAACCATAATTTAAGTTTTACAAATAGCTCTTGCATACATTATTCCAATTGTTCCTTAAAACAATCTTATAAAGCAAGTGCTATCATTGACATTTTACTGATGAAACTGGGCTTCAGAGAGGTTAAATTACTTTGATAATCTCACACAGCTGGTAATCGATAGAATCAGGCCCCAAACACAGAATTTTAGATTCTAAATATTCATGAACTATCACTCTTCTGTTACTGTTCTGTTTTCTCCCCCTTTAACACCTGTAAAAGTAGTTTGCTTCTTTTCTTAGCGATTTTTGTGCCATTGCCCAAAAAAGAGGATTGTCGTATCCACGTAGGGATATAAAGTGAGGTTGGTGAATTTTTGATCATTCTAACTACAGCGTGAACAAACAATTTAGGGACTGGTAAGCAAACCCTTATGAATGACAACATTCTAGGTTAGATATGTCCTCATTCAATGACAACATATTTTTGTCTATTGTGTATGTGTGTGTGTGTGTGTTCTTATTTTTTACTTTTTATTATGGAAAATTTTAAACATAAAAGCCAAGACTATAATGAACCTCCATGTTCTTTATCCATTCATCACCCAACTTCATCCAGCCTCAAAAAGTATCAGTATTCTGCCATTTTTGCATCACTGATACCTCCATCCACAGTTCACCCTATCACTGGAGGAGAATTAGGATGAGGATGATGATGATTATTATGATGCTGATGATGGTTACCTGTGTACTGTTTCCAGTCATACATATTTTTATTTAGGTATAATTTACACTGAGTAAAACTTAATTCAGTTTTGTACAGATCTATGAATTATGACAAAGTCAGATATTTATGTAACCATCACCACCATGCCCAAATAATCCTAATGTTGGAATAAAAATTGATGAAACACCAGGAGTGGAGGTTCATGCCTGTAATGTCCGCACTTAGGGAGGCTGAGGCAGGAGAATCACTTGAAGCCGGGAGTACCAGGCCAGGATTTTGAAACCAGCCTTGGCATTACAGCGAGACCTTGTCTCTATAAAAATTACAAAAAAATTAGCTGGGTGTGGTGGTGCACACCTATAGACCTAGCTCTTTGGGAGGAGGAGGAGAAAGGATCGCTTGAGCCCAGGAATTTGAGGTTGCAGTGAGCTATGATTGTGCCACTGCACTCTAACCAGGGTGACAGAGCAAAAAAAAAAAAAGTGAAAAATAGAAATATAATAATATGATGTCTATTATGTCAATGGTCTAAAGTAAAAATAAAATATGTTTGGAAGCTATAAAGCCATATGGATGGTATCAAACAGATATATTTTAATAATTAAGACATTTTTGTTCCCTGAAGCAGGCTGGTTCAATTACTCTAAAAAAATGGAAGTTTATGTAGTCATCTAAGAAAAAGGTGAAATCTTTCCTTATGGAAAGCAAGAACCATGCTCAGGGCAGAGCACAGGAAAGCAGAACTTGACATAGACACTAGTTTGGATGATCTAAAATCTCACACTCCATAATTACTATGACTTAGCTTCTCTAGCTGGTCCTTTTCTTCTCTAACTTGCAGTTACATTAAGAATTTTTTAAATTTTATTTTAAAATATCAGTTCAAGAATCTTTGGAGGCTGTCTTATCTCTTGTTTTCAATCCATAATTGTTGAGAACCTTATCTATGGATCCAAATGACAGCAGATACTAACCTCTCTTCTAATATTGGTTAATCCTAGACATGTTTCTCTGAGCAGAAGGCTGTGTGAAGAGATGACAAATCTGGCCAGGATGTGAGTTTCCACTTTTTGCTTACCAAACAGGCAAAAAAGTAATATAAATTGAGTTAGATTTTTTTTTTATATCTTAAAATGTTCACTGGCTAGACTGACATCTGTAGTGGCCAGCATAAAACAATAACGCAATATTATGTGTGATTTTAGGTCTCATGCAGGGGAGTTAGTGGGAATTATTCCCAGTCACGATGGAATGAAGTTATTATAGTTCATGAGTTCTTCACTTTATTTCTATCTCCCAGGAGCAGAATGTCTTCACTGAACTTTTTAATCAGGAATTTCTCAATCATCCCTCCAGATGATCTTCAGCAGATTCAAAAGCTCCTGTGGAATTGTCCTAAATCAAATTCAAAAGCCTATTGGTCCATATGCTTTCTGGTGTCTTGACTATTCAATTAGAGATACCTTGACATAGTCAAACTGTGACCTCTGAATTCTTCTAATATTCAAAGCCTAGCAAAATTCACCATACTAAGGAGATACAATCTAGCAATGTGTCTGGCATGGCTCTATTCCATTTATTTTAGATCATGGAATACGCACCAGATGCACTGGTATTAACTTTGAATCAGGAGTAGGGGTATTTAAATTCTGTCTCTTCTTCGGGGGGAAATTTTTATGGACAGAGAGAAATGAAGCTTTACCAAATGTGTCTACCCTAAGACAAATCCATCTACCAAGTTACCACTAAACATGCAGTTGCAAATAGCTGTAAGAATGAGATCTGAAATTCTGAAAACCTGTATAGGCTTTCAGAGAATCTGTAACAGGTATCTCACTGAGAATAAATACATTAATCAATACATACCAAAAAAGTAGCTGTGAAAAGTAATATTTATGGAGAAAAATCTGAAGAATATGTAGTCTTTCTTTGTTTATATAGAAGCTTCTAAAATTAAATTGTTCTAAAGAAAATTGACAATGTATGTTCCCTCTTCATACATAAATGTGTTTTATTTTTTAAATAATCAAAAGAAGTTGTGTATGTTTTTGTGAGTTTAACTTCAGGACTTGTCAGACTGCTAAACATTGCTAACACGGTATATAACTCAGTGCTATTTACAGTTACAAGCTCTTTATATTTATGAAATCATTTAATGTTTAAAACAATGTGATGAGGGAAATGCTATTACCATTGCTATTTAAAAGGTAAGCAAACTGGCCGGGCGCGGTGGCTCATGCCTGTAATCCCAACACTTTGGGAGTCCGAGGCAGGCGGATCAGGAGGTCAGGAGATGGAGACCATCGTGGCGAGCACAGTGAAACCCGGTCTCAACTAAAAATACAAAAAAATTAGCCGGGCGTGGCAGCGGGCGCCTATAGTCCCAGCTACTCGGGAGGCTGAGGCAGGAGAATGGCGTGAACCCAGGAGGCGGAGCTTGCAGTGAGCCGAGATCGCGCCACTGCACTCCAGCCTGGGTGACAGAGCGAGACTCCGTCTCAAAAAAAAAAAAAAAAAAAAAAAAGTAAGCAAACTGAGATATAGAGAGATTAAGCAACGTATTCAAGGTCATACAGATGGCAAATATCTAAATGCTTATGATGACTTTTCAACAATGAGGTTTATTAGGTAATGTTTCTAAAGTTTATGCTACAATATCACCCCCAAATGAATGCCTAATGTTTCTCAAAGTATTCTAAGAAACAAAGTGTAATTAATTTTTCTTGTATATTTCAAATATGGTCATAGTGCTAAATCAGGTTATAAGGAAAATGTATAATAAGAACAAACCTTTTTTGCTCCTGTTAGATTCACTTTGATCAAACTGTGGTTTGGATACTCTTTCTTCTACATACTTTCAGACATGCTATGGAAAACTCTAAAGATAAGATCTAGAGTCATGAAAAAGTAACAGGAACAAGATTTATTCTCCTACATTAAACAATTAACACGATGTACAAAATGTATGAGAAAACTAATTTCAGCCCTTGGGCAACAGACAGTTGAGGACAGCCATCTCCTAAAGGAGAGGAAATGAACTAAGTGAGCATAGCAAGTGCCCAGTACACTGCATGGAGAATTTCTCAGCCACAACCCAGGAAGGAGAACTAGAAGAAAATATGGGAATCTTCTGAGTTGAGGAGAAAGAGATTCGTATACAGGTAGGCAGAGTATCTGAGAGGAGAGGGTTACATATACAGGAAGAAGTCTTAGCTCTTGCAGAAGTTTCCCTTGAGTCTTTGGCTACATAAAAGGCACTGTAAGAAGCACCATAAATGTGAAGGTATAAAAATATTTGAAATCCACACACAACTAGAAAGATCTCCTAATACAGGTTAGCCAGTTGCGCCCTCAGAAATATTTTCTTCCAGTAATGGGGACAAATTAGCTAAAATTAAAGGTCACTCTCCCCTACCTAATAAAGCCTAAGGTCAAAAGCAAGACTCCAATTGATAAAAGAGTTCCAAGAAATGTAACTGTGTTCTAGGGAAAAAAGACCAACATATTCAAATGTGTACAAAAGAGTTCAGTACACAATTAAAATGACCAGGTGTACAAAGAAGAAAAATATGATTCACAATGAGGTGAAGAAATCAATACAAATATATAAATATGAAAGATAATATAATTATAGCCAAGGATGTTAAGCCAGCTCTTTTGTTAGATCTCATATGTTCAAAAAAGTGGAGTAAAACATGGGTTTGGTAAAAAAGAAAATGAAAGTATAATAAAGACTCAAGTAAATTTCTAGAAGAAATACAATATCTAAGATGAAAAATGCATTGGATGAGATTAACAGCAGATTAGAAAATTTAGAAGAAAAGATGAGTGAGTTTGAAGATGTGGAAATCATCCAAAATGCAACTTAGAGGGGAAAAAAGGACAGAAGGAAAAGATGAATGAAAAGAGAATAAGTGGTCTATAAGACAACATCAGGCAGAATAATGTAACTATAACTAGTGTACTGAAAGAAAGAGATGGAATGCGGGAAAAAAATAAAAACATAGCTGTCAATAATTTGATGACAACTATATGCCTTCAGATCCAAGAAGCTCACTAAACTTCAAGTACAAAAAACATGAAGAACCTCACAAATACACGATAACCAAATCACTGTGAAAGGGTGCTAGACAATCTTAAGTGCAGCAAGAGTAAAATAAGTAAAATAAAACTGAAAAAACAGCAGACTAGTCATCAAAAACAATGCAATTAATACACAAATGATTAAAGGAAAATGGAAAGGTAAATATTGAAGTCCATATAAATGACAGACATTTATAATTCTGTAAGATATTATTGACATTGAAGGCAAAAATAATAACATATGCAGAAGTAATGTAACTGAAAAAAATAGCATAAAGCTTGGGAACATGGGTGGGGATGGAGTTATACTATTATAAGATTTTTATGCTTGGAGTGGTATAATATTATTTTGAAATACACTGAGAAGTTATAAATGTATATTATAAACACTATGGTGAACAGTATAAAAGGAATATAATATAGCTATTAAACAAAGCCCAATAAGGGAGATAAAATAAAATCATAAAAATTATTCTATTAATCCAAAAGCAGAAAAAGAAAAATATAATGAAAGAACAAATAGAACAAAAAGAAAACATATAGTAAGATGTCCAATTTAAATCAACCTTATCTGATTTTATATTCTATATAAAAATGATCTAAAAACTTTCATTAACAGGTATAAACTGTCAAATTGGAGTTTTTTTTTAAGTACAACCCAACTAAATACTGTTTAAGAGAAACCTACTTTAAAATATGAAGACAATGTTAGTTAAAGTTAAAACCTTGAAAAAGATATAGTACGCAAACATCAAAAAAATCAGAGTGGATATACTAATATCAAAGAAAATAGATTTCGGAAGAATGAATATTATCACAGACAAAAAGATTAATATTATAATAATAAAGGTGTCAATTCTTGAAGAAGATATCACAATTCTAAATGTAAATGCACCTTTTAATAGAGTTTTGAAATATATGAAGCAAAAACTGGTAGATTTCAATGGAAAAAGAGAGAAATCCACAATTATAGTTGGATATTTCAGTATTCCCCTCTCAATGACTAATAAATCAAATAAAAAGAAAATCAATACAGATTATATAACTTGTTACACACTATCACCTATATTGACCTAATTGATTTTTCTGAAATATTACACATAATAGCAGCAGAATATACATTCTTTTCAAGGGCACATGGAAGATTTACCAAGATAAACTATATTATTTGTAATAAAATGAGACTCAATGTACTTAAAAGAACTGAAATCAAGTATATTATCTGACCATAAATAAGTTATATTAGAAATTTCGGCTAGGAATGGTAGCTCACACCTGTATTCCCAGCACTTTGGGAGGATGAGGTGGGTGGATCACTTGACATCAGGAGTTCAAGACATGCCTGGGCAATATGGTGAAACCCTGTCTCTACTAAAAATACAAAAATTAGCCAGGTATGGTGGTGGGCACCTGTAATCCCAGCTACTTGGGAGGCTGAGGCAAGAGAATCACTTGAACCTGGGAGGCGGAGGTTGCAGTCAGCCGAGATCGTGCCACTACACTGTAGCCTGGGTGACAGAGTGAGACTCCATCTCAAAAATAAATAAATAAATAAATAATATCAGATATTCTATTGATAATTTTTTAAGAAAGTGATGTTAAATTATTGGGCAACAAGAGAACATAAATTGCATTTTGCAGCGTGTTAGGGTTGTATAATAGTCATAAAATCAATCTGGAGTGACATTAGATGACTCACTCGCCAATTTATAGAGATTCTCTTAGGATACAGATGCTTTCCCTGAACAAGTTCTAGTACCACCTTCTTTGATTGTGGTCTAGAATTACAAGTAAGTAATAATACCCATGTTTTCTTGTCTTTTTAAGGTGATAGGGACTTTGCATATTCTCCAAATGGAAACAGTTTTGCACAGAACATTTCTGATCTTTCTTTCCACTCATATTACTTTGCTTTCTTCTCTGTAAGAGTAAGAATGGCCTTCGTGAGCTAATAGACTCGACAGAAGGAGCCCAAATATCACGATTGTTGCCTCCTTATCAAGACTGGCTGTCTGTGGTCTGTGTTCTGTGTGTATGTGTATGTCTTACCAAGATCGGCTGTCTGTGGTCTGTGTTCTGTGTGTATGTGCCCATATTCTTTCCACTTCACCTGCATCAGACCAAGACAGCTTTAAGACTCCTCTTGGCTTAACTAGGCTCTTGAAAAGATCTCCCTTTTCCTTTGAGTGTTTACTTTAGAAAATATGCAGTTGTAAAATATTTCTCTGGTCTTTAAGATTTAATTCTACAATCCAAGAATGTCTTTCACATTGAAGTGGGATCCATTGAAATGTAACATCAAGAAAGACAGGGACTCTGTTTCCCAGTCCCTGTGGGAGGTTAGGAGACTAACTTAGGTAGACAGCAATTACCAAACACAGAGCACTTAATCACATTAACCACCCTCCCCCTGAATATCGTCAGTATTTCTCTACCAGCTTATCTTAACCTTTAAAAATCCTCTTACTTTCTCTTTCAGCCACCTATTTTTCAGGTCTGAGTTCAACCTTTCTCGCTACTGCACTAGTCCTGACTGTTAATTGCAACGGTCTTGACTGTAAAGACTACCTTGTGGTTTTCAGCATGTGCCCGGTGAAATTGTTCTTTTAGGAGTATATATATATATATCAATAGTTTGTGGTGGGTAAGTTAATTTAGGTGGGAAATTGAAGTTAAAATTTTCTTCTGGATGAAGTAGTTCAGGAAATGTTACCCAAAATTATCCAGCTTTGGTATGCTGATTATTTCAAACTGATGGCATTTGAAGAAAAGCAAATTCAGAAAGGGGCTTTCTCTGAACTTCCTTTGTCTGCCTAGGAACAGATCCTCCAAAGGGAACTCAATTATCATCAATCTCCTCTCCAGGAATTTTATAAGTGATATGGTTTGGCTGTGTCCTCACCCAAATCTCATCTTGAATTGTAGCTCCCATAATCTCCCCGTGTTCTGGGAGGGACCTGGTGGGAGGTAATTGAATCATGGGGGTGGGTTTTTCCCATGCTTTTCTTGTGATACTGAATAGGTCTCATGAGTTCTGATGGTTTTATAAAGGGCAGTTCCCCTGCAGACTCTCTTGCCTGCTGCCATGTTAAGACGTGCCTTTGCTCCCAATTTGCCTTCCACCGTAATTGTGAGGCCTCCCCAGCGAACATGTGGGACTGTGAATCCATTAAGCCTCTTTTTTTTTTTAAGTAAATTACATGGTCTCGGGTATGACTTTATTTGCAGCATGAGAACGGACTAATACAATAACCCAGGAAGATTGACTTCTATCCCAGGAAAAAAAGTACCGGGAGTCAACAATACTCCCAGACAAACTATGTCACAGGCTGTTACCTATTATTCTGAGGGCCTACTCATCTTTCTTCAAAATTATTTGCTTTCTCCTTACTTGTTTACATATTCCCATCTCTTTTTCTCTTAGGAAGTAGGTATTTAAGCTTCTAGATCATATTCAGTTTGGGGTATTTGGTTTTCTTTCATGTAATGCCCCCATATACATGATAAATTTTCTTGTCTGCCTACTCAGTTTATTTCAGCAACCCTATTATCAAATGCTTGGAGGGTGGAGGGAAAATTTTCCATTACCTATGTGAACAAAACCACTTCTGATCTGACTCTTAAGTTTTCTCAATTGATATGGAATGTAAAAGGAAAATAAAACTTGGGACCCCAGTTCACCATGCCAAAAGAAAAAATTAAGCTGATGGTTGCGTCATGCAAGAAGCTGCTTTTCCTTTTATTCCTAAGCAGATAGCTACAGATAAAATGTTAAATATGTCCACAGATAGCTACTGTATGTTCACCTTATTTTGTGTAAAATGCTGCTCTACTGAGTGCCAGAAGAATACATAATTGACTCTTCCCTTATCTGCTTCTTTTCTCTTGCAATATGTGGATTATTATGCCCTCTCTCTTTCCCCTTCAGCTCACTTTTCTCCTTTAAATATTGAAGCCCTCAAAGTTATCTTTGGAGAAAGGCACAGACCACAGACTGTTTATGTGATTCCATCTTTATTTCTTCAGGGGAAATCCTTAGCCTTAGCAAAATAAACTTCTAAATTGATTGAGACCTGTCTTAGATAGTTTTTAGTTTACAGAACAATATAGAGGGAAGAGATATAACTGAGAACTAGAAAATCTAATATTGGTTATCAGAAAATTTTCCCAGACAGGACTGTTTCAGAGCACTATTTTGCACACACATACACATATACAAATCTTAGAGTGTTCTTTCAATTTCTGAACTGTCAAATTGGTGAGGGAGAAAGTTAAATCCCTGTATATACATAGGGTACATAAATTATTATAGATCTGAGATTTTAATGAATTGTGGAATTTTAAATAAATTTCATTTATTTAAAAAAATCATAATTCTCTTTATGAATTTCTACTTGGCTGCACTGGAAGGCATGTTTAAGTCAGGATCTTTTATAGATAAAGCAAGGGAAAATAGTTTTATATTTCTAACAGATAATTCCAATAGGTGCTGGCAATTAACATGAACTATGCTCATTAGCACACCTTAACTCCTCCCTCTTAAACATCACCAGGAAATCTACTGTGTTCAATGTCCTCCAACATTTTATTGATCATGCACCTCAAGCTGTCTTCCACATGGACTTGAACAGAGATGCATAAGCCAAACAACAGGGTAAGAATAAAAAGAATCATACAATTATCAGCATTCAATCCAGTTAATTCTGAATTGGTGCATACTCTGCTATTATCTTTTTTTTTTCTCATAAAACACAATGATAGAGGGTCTACCAGTTTGCAAATTGCCTCAGTTATGCAGGCTATTTGTTGCCATACTGGCAAAAAATGAGGGAAGAGATGGGTTTTCTTTATGTTCTCATATAAAATTTATTTTGAAAAGACAGTGAATGCCTCTTTTCAGACTTTTTATGGTCTCATATTAACATCATTTAATTGAGATTCAAGTCTCATACAACAAACACTAGAGTATTATGCATATAAATAATGTGCTTGCAATTTATACATTTGATTATTAAACACATCATGTAATTGTTATTTAGTATTTCTTATTTATCAGTAAATGACGTTAATATAAGTGTTCCTCGATCATATACTGATAGATTTACCTAGTAACCAGGTAATTTTTGCTAAGCAAATCATTTCAAAAACAATACAACAAACCTCCTGCCTCAGACAGCAATTCAAACAGTGCCACGAAGTATTTTCTGGCACTATTCTCGTTAGTCTTTCTCCAGTTTTGGCTAATAGCAATTCACAGTCTCAGCTTAATGTCTGCAATGATGCACCCTGATGAGTGAGAGCTTTTCTCAGCATGAGTCTTATTAGCATTTTTCTGTGCTTGGCATTAAGCAACTCAGTACTCCCTGTAGCCTCACCCCTTCATTGCCCCCAGCAGAAGGCTCTGATTTCTTTAAAGAAAGAAGCATTCTCTACTTGCTGTACAAAACATTTTTTTTTGTTAAGTTTAACCTACTGGAGACAGGTGAAAGACTGACTTTCAGCATCTGCACAAGAGACTACCTCCAAGAGTTCTTTGCATTAGTATGTAAAGCAATAATCAGTAAGTAGTACCTTTTGACAAACAACAGGTGGCTTTTCATTCTAAAAGAGGCAGTATCTTATTGTGAATCAAAGCTACCCCATGGTTCTGCCATCACTTCACTGTACCTCCTACCAGCTCAGAGCATATAGATATCTTTGCAGACTAGAGCAGCTCCACTCTCTCCAGTGTTGCCTTGCATGCTTAAATTCAACTTCAATGGTCTGGCAAGTCACTTCACCAGTGTATGCTTTCCTTGCACTCTCAAATCACAGGGGGCTTTTGAACTGAAAAAACAGGCTTCCTAATCAGAGAAAAGACACCATAATAGAGCATTCTCTGTAAGAATACTCAACACAGGAATAAGCACACACAATGCAGATTTCCCTTTGCTTTTACCCCATACTTGCTACTCATAACCATGTGCTCTGCAATGAAACACTCCTTATTGAATGAACATGTAATTCGGCTATGAAAAACTTTTAACCATTGAACTCTATTTAGTTGAGTACACCAGCAAGATTAGATGTGCCAAGATTATGTCTGCCCTAAATGAATAAGAAATTAATTTCCAAAGAATAAAATACCAATACTTCAATTTTCCCTGAGGTGTCAAAGACTTTATTAACAGGTGTAAGGCAAACGAAGATGAGTTCAATTACGTATTTATGCCATATGGAAACCAACCCAGAGGTTCCATGGAGAATGAGAGACACTCCCCCTATCTGTTGTGCTTAGTCCCATTCCCAAAACAGGCATTACTATAGATGTGTGAATGTTGTGCCTTTCTTCCATATAGCCAGTAAATCACTGAGAAGGGCTACTGTATTTTAACCAGTAAAACCTTAGAATTTACAAATATTTATAACCTATATGATACATACTTGGTTAAGCTTCTCTTGATTGTGTATGTGTGTGTATGTGTGTGTGTCCAAACATACTTTTAAATAAAATACATATTGTTTTCATCTCTACTTCTATTTAATTAACAATTACATTTTGCATAAAATGATAAATTTTAAAATGCTCCCATATTGCCAAAATTTACCGATATTCAGAGATATGTTTAGTGACTTAAAGTGCTAGATTAATTGCAGAGTGGAAATTAGTTTATTATAGAGAATTAAAACACAAATAAAACTCTAAATGAATATATTCAAATCTGATTGAATGGAGAGTATTTAGTTTATAAACAGGCAAATATGCAAGTTACTTCATTAGAGATGGGGGAAAGCAATATTAACAAGGGTACGTCAGGGACAGAATTATTTCCTTAAAATTATTTAGAGAAAAGAGAGATGATAACATTCTAGAGTAAAGAAGCCAGTAAACTATGAAAGGTAAAACATGAATTCCTAACAAAGATGACTAAACCAGAAATAAGATGCAATTATAAACTTGATTAAAAGATTGATGGCCTCATCTTCTTGGAGTATGAGGCACAAGAATATTTAATACCCTTTAATCTTACTATCTTTTACCTTCAGACAGTCTTTACAAAAGTAATGATTTGATAATTCAACACCAGACCTAAGATTAAGAAAGAAACTATAATTACATTGAAATTTATCAATGTTGACTTTATTTATAGCCTAAAAAAAATCAGATAATTTACAACAGGCAGTGTTTACATTTTTATTTTATTTCTGTTGTTTCTATCCAAACCTGGGCTTACACTTTATCCTTCCTAAAATGAAAAAAACAGAGGCTGTAAAAGTTTAGATCAAGTTTATTTAATCTTATTCAAGTAAAGATTCAGGATAGTCCTTAATGAGTGGAGAAAAGAATTTTCCAATATGCCAAGGTAGCTATAAAAATATTAATTTAATAATAAGTAATGTTTATTTAGTTTCCACTCTGTTGTAGATACTTTTTGATCATGATACTCTGCCTTTAGGGTAGCTTTTTTCTGGTGAATTTTATTTCCATCCTATAGGAGATGAAACTAAGGCAAGTACAGAATGAGAAGTCTGTGCATCTCACACAATAAGAGTCAAATGCAATCGTTAAATTAGTCAGGATTGAAATAAAACACACTCACATACTAAAGTTTCATCGTAATCATCCAACAGGTTCTTCTTTACTGCACAGATAAAACCAATTCACTGAGACAGCAAGATTGCAGAAGAGAAGAAGTTTAATAATTGCAGGGCCAGACGAGTGACAGGACAGGAGACATTTCTCAAATCTGCTTCCCCAAAAGCTCAGAGTTTTTGGGGAAGGAGGCCAGGAAAGGAGCAATGCTGATTGGTTGGGCCAGGGATGAAATCATAGGGGGTTGAAGCTTTCTTCTTGTGCTTAGCCTGGGTGAGGGTCACAAGACCAGATGAGCCAGTTTCTTGGATGGATTACTGGTCGCGGTGGTGCTACCTGGTCCATCAGAATGCAGGGTCCGAAAAATACCTCAAATACTAATCTTAGATTTTACAATAATGATGTTATTTATGGGAGCAATTGGGGAGGTTACAATCCACGTGACCTCTGGTTACATGACTCCTGATACATAATCTTAACCTTGTGGCTAATTTGTTAGTTTTACAAAGGCAGTTTTGGTCTCCAGGCAAGGAGAGGGTCAGTCTTGGACAGAATCTTTTATCATCTTTGCTTTAAAGTTAACCTATAAACTAAATTTCTCCCATAGCTAGCTTGGCCTATGCTCAGGAATGAACAAGGACAGCTTGGAGGTTAGAGGCAAGATGGAGCCAGCTATGTCAGACTTCTCTCACTGTCATAATTTTTGCAAAGGTAGTTCATGATGTCATCAGGGATAGAGAGAATTCCCCATATTTTTGGCTATTCTCTGAACACTGAAACAGATTCCTTTCAACAGTTTACCAAAATACTCTGTGTGCTAGGATGGTATTGGAGATAATTAATATTTTTATTGAGCACTGAAACATTTCTGTATGTAAGTCTAGGTTGTTCCAGTAAAGAGAACACTCAAGTAAGGAAAGGCTGTGTACCCTGATAAATATAACGATGTTTTAAAAGGAACAAATCAGATCACAGTATAACGTGGATTAAAGTTGCATATACTCTATCTATCTATCTATCTATCTATCTATCTATCTATCTAATCTATTTACCTACCTACCTATCTATATTTTTCAACCATTTAATAGTAGGAAATAATGAAAGCTGATGCACATCTCTTGTTCAATTAATCAGTGAAATCGTTATGTAAACCATACCTGCAAACATACCATACTTGAAAAAAATGTTTAAGGATTCTGGGAGAGCAAACATTGTAATTAAAATGAATTTATTTCCAAAGTCACTCGTAATAGTTGTAATATAGTCACACATAAAACATAACAGAATGGCAAAAATAAGTAGTTAACACCACATCCAATGATCTCACCTGGTGACTGTTATAACTGTGTCTGAATTTACTACTTAAGCTCCAGTGGCTATCTATGCAGATAATTCACTTGGATAAATTAGCCACTTAATTTAATATAATAGCAAATCTGTTGTCAATCTAAATGTCCTACAACCAAGAAAACATCTTAACCTTCTTTTATGCAGGAAAACATCCAGTTGCATTAACGAATATGCTTTACCGCTAATGAAGAGTGTTGTCTAAGATTGTTGTCTAAGCTGGTTTTATACTCAGCATGGGTAAAAGAGATAAGTGGCTTGAATAGTTAGCACAATGATCCCTTCCACGTTCTTAAAGTACCAGCAGACTAAATATTATAATTTAATGTATTTATGCAAGAAAATTAAAATTTAAACTTGTTTGTATGCATGGACATTATTTTATTTTTGTACTATGTAGTAATTGTTCTGATCTGACAATTTCTATATACGGTTTTAAAATTTTTAAAAGCTTGACTTTTTTTTTTTTTAAGTTAATACATTCCCTTAGCACTTAACCCATATTTAATACAAAGACTTAGATGTGTTTTCTTCCTTTCAGATTTTAGGCAAATTTGTTGAGACAATTCTGTTTGTCATTTCTTAAACAAAAATGAAAATTTACCAAAATACTCTGTGTGCTAGAATGGTATTATGGAAAATTAATATTTTTATTTTTATTGCAAACATTATTATAATCTGTTTAATTTTTGCGATTAACAAGTATCACGGCTCCACTAAAGTACACATTCATTTGATTCACACCTTTCTAAAGGACTAACTATAGATTGTTTTATTTTCTAACAAGCAACAGATGCAAGAATGCAGTTTGAAATAAGGTAGCGTGGAATTGGGCTATTTTCCTTTTAACTGTGTTCTAACTTTGAATTGCTTTTTTATGTTCCTTGTAAACCTTATTTTGCCACAGATTGCTTTCTACCTGTCTTTTTTATTTTACACCAATTTTGGCAATCCAGGTGCCTTTAAGAGTCCATCAAAGAAATTAGATCATCTTGGCAGCCAACATGCTTGGGACTGCTTTATATACATCCTTTGCTTCACAGTGCAAAATACTTTTAACATGGATGTCTAGCCAGTAGGTGTGAACATATATACAAAAAATTAAACACCAATATTTGAATACATTGAGAAAAGGAGACTTCCTGCTGAATATATGGTAGGTACAACAGCAGGCAGAGTCACATTTTTGCCATCTGTGCATTTTAAAATATGAATAAATAAAGTTTCTTAACAAATAAAATGATTACTCAACAGATGGAGTGAAGTTAGGAAATTTAGACAACATCCTCATAGAGTAGAATGTTCTAATATAAGCCTAGTTTACAATAACAAAATTTGGTTTACCCTTTAGAGTTTTGAAAACAAAACACAACAAAATTTCTCAGACTCATTTATTCTGTCCTCTTGTTGCTTTCCAACAGGACAGTTTCAATCACAGGGAGACTTCTGCACTCTCTTTTAAAACAGCTATTGCTTTCATACTCTCAAATGTCAATGCATTTCAAGATTTACATAAGTTAGAGGGAAAAAATTATATCCTGAAGTTGTTTTATCCAGGTTTTGTGAATATGATAATTTGCATAGGAAAATGTGTGTGTGTGTGTGTGTGTGTGTGTGTGTGAGAGAGAGAGAGAGAGAGAGACAGCGCACAATCTTTTTCTCTGGTCTCGAGTTCTTAGTAAACACCAGATTGAACTTACATATATTTGAATCTCTTGCCTCTTGACTGCTTCTTTGAACCACACTGCCTGCTCTTGACATGTGATTGGCAACGAGTAGCCAACCATATCCAAGCCAAAGAAGGAAAGATTTATAACTGTTTAATAGAATACTATCATAAAAAATAAATCTGTAGAAAAGTAAAGTGAAAAGGTTCACTGGAGCATTTTGCACATAATTCTGCAAAAAAAAAGGTAAACACACAAACACAGATAATACACTTTTTGTTTTATTCATACATAGATTATCTCTATAAGAACAAGTACATCAAATTCAGTTGTAATGCATGTGACTTTTAAATGTCTATGATTTCTAAATATTAGAGTGAACGTGCTGCATTGCTATGTGAAGCTGTAGGCCAGTTTGTAATTTTTCTCGATGTAATCAAGCGATAACTTTTAATCACCCAGAGCCCTAGGTACGCTATATGTATGTAAGAGTCATCGGAGGTGTAATTAGATGTAAAATTGAAATCCAGTAAAATATTTACACTTTCATCACTTCTATGATCACTTTAGGGCAATTAAAACTAATTAAAAACACAGAGAGAAAGCAAGTACACATCTGGGTTGACAGTGAGAGCCATGGGATATGTTTATGTTTCTACAACTGATTATTAAGGTTCAAAATAGAACAAAGACCTTTGTCCCAAGCCATTGTTAAAGCATTTGGCACAGTCTTTATTTGATGCTTACCAAGTAGTACAGCCATGCTCTACATAAACACTCTTATAATTAGTGGAAGCCAGTGACATTCCCACAAGAAATTAAGAACTGACAGACTCAGATCAACAATTTAGTATTGTTGAAAGAAAAAACATAGGCAAATTAAATTTCACAGAGTTTAATTGGGCAAAAACATGATTCGAATCAGGCAGCCCTCCCAAACCAGAACAGGTTTAGACAGACTCTGGCATTGCCGTGTGGTTGGAGAGGATTTACAGTTAGAAAAGGAAAGTGACTCCCAGAAAATGGAAGTGAGGTACAGAAACAGCTGAATTGGTAGCAGCTTGGTGTTTGCCTTATTTGGACAGTTGGCTGGCTGTGAGTGGTTGAAACATAGCTTCTGTCATTGGCTGAGACCAAGCCATGTGTTAAAAGAGTAGATTACAGACTGTTTACATATCCAGTTAGGTTACAGTTCTCTATTTACAGAGAAACCTGTAGGCCAAACTTACAAGGAAGCAGCTTTAGAGTAAACGTAACATTATATGAAATTCTTAATTATGCTACTGATATTTAATATTTTTAAAAAGTAAATATTTGAATGTATTCAGATTTCACCACTTTTTCTGTTAATGTCCTTTATCTGTTGCAGGATCCAATCCCAGTTCCCACATTGCATTTAGTTGTACTGCCTCCTTAGCCTCCTCTGACTTATGATAGTTTTTCCATCTTTCCTTATTTTTCATGACCTTGAGAGTTTTGAGACATATTTTGGTATGCATTTTGTAGTATGTCCCTTAAATGAGGTATGTCTGATGCTTTCCTCATAGAACCTAGACTCTTAAATTCTAGAATACCACAGTTTTTTTCTCATTATCTCACTTAGTTTCTCAGTAGTTAGAAGTTAAAGAAATAAAAATATTTTTCCCCAAAATATATTCCTTTGATATATTTTTAAATGACCAGAAGATTGGAGTGGCTCTGAAAAGCTGTCTTTTGGAGAGAAAAATTGTAGCTGTAGAGAATCTTTATTAATGCACCCAAGCTTTCCCGTTCTTTCCCCAATCTAGAAGAAATTAATTGAGAGTCTGACACTGTATTAGCTCATTTTCACACTGCTGATAAAGACATACTTGAGACTAGGCAATTTACAAAAGAAAGAGGTTTAATGGACTTATAGCTCCACGTGGTAGGGGAAGCCTCACAATCGTGGCGGAAGGCAAGAAGGAGCAAGTCATGTCTTACATGGATGGCAGCAGGCAAAGAGAGAGCTTGTGTAGGGGAAACTCCCATTTTTAGCACCATCAGATCTCAAGAGACTTATTCACTATCATGAGAACAGCATGTGAAAGATCCACCCCATAATTCAAATACCTCCTACCAGTTTCCTCCCATTACATGTGGGAATTGTGGGAGTTACAATTCAAGATGAGATTTGGGTGGGGACACAGCCAAACCATATCAGGCTCCATTAAAGATCTGAACAGGAACACTTACCATCTATTGTCTCTGAGGCCTGCTACCCATGAGATTTCACGTATACATCTGACCACCTTTGCTAACCAAGCCTCTTCCTTTCTTCCTCCAATAACTTGTCTCACCAATAACACCAAGGGTCTCAACCCCTACAGCAGGGAAAGAACTAAACTGAACAAACTTTGACTCCTTTCTCCTGCTACACTCTCAATAGTCCTGGATATTTCACTCCTAATGTTAGATGTATGGAGTTTTTCCCACATGTCAATTCTCTAGTGGACACAAACTAGATGTTCTATAGTTCAATTCTGACTCTAACTGGAGTTAGACTCCCATCCCACAGGTTAAGGGCTCAGTCCCACAAGACTGTGGCACCCCACTTTAGATACCAATATGGACTTCTGGAATTTCTGACATAATAGCTCTAAATTAGGGTTTACCAGGAACCCCTCCTCAGGTTAATTGAAGGAAATGAAAATATTTTAAGTCAAAATATACTTATTTAACATATTTTTTGAAAAGGCTGTTCAGAGGGGTTACAGACAAAAATAGACCTGCAAAGCTCTCTTTTCGTGTGTGTATTTCTTTTTTTTGGGGGGGGGGGTGATATTTGCATCTGTAGAGGAAATAAATGAAGTAAACAACACATGCATACAGTTTGTCTCCAAAGACCCTCTTGACAGGGTATAGGAAAGATTGAGAGTTGGACACTTTTAAGTTCTAACCTAGAAACATTGACCAGAGGTTACTATCTATTGTCTCTAAGAACTGCTATTTGTGAGGTTTCATCTGTATAACATGTCTTTTCTCCTCTTTTCCCCCAACCATATCCTGCTTTGTGGGGATTCCAAGCCCTTAATCTTTCTGTAAACCCAGCACTTGGGGAGGTTGAGGGAGGAGGAGCCTATGAGTTCAAGACCAGCTTAGGCAACACAGTGAGACCCCTGTCTCCACACACACACACAAAAAAAGACAAAGTTATCTGAGCATGGTGGTACATGCCTGTGGTTCCAGCTACTTGGCCACTGAGGTGGCAGAATTGCTTGAGCCTAGGAAGTAGAGGCTGCAGTGAGCTGTGATTATGACACTGCACTCCAGCCCTGGCAACGCAGCAAGGATCTGCAAAAAAAAAAAAAAAAAAAAGTTTAAAATTGTTGCCCTTCTTTGAGTTTTTATATTTTGTATTACTCTGGTGCACAAGTTACATGTAATTAAAATTTTTATACCTTTTTTTCTGTTAATCTATCTATTATGAGTAAGTTTTATAGACACAAATTATTGAATCTCCAGGGGAAAAACTTAAACTTCCCTACATCATCATTTTCTCTTTGCCTGCTGCCACCCATGTAAGACATGACTTGCTCCTCCTTGCCTTCGACCATGATTGTGAGGCTTCCCCAACCACGTGGAGCTGTAAGTCCATTAAACCTCTTTCTTTTGTAAATTGCCTAGGCTCAACTATGTCTTTACCAGCAGTGTGAAAATGAACCAATACAGTGTCAAACTCTCAATTAATTTCTTCTAGATTGGGGAAAGAAAGGGAAAGCCTGGGTGCATTAATGAAGATTCTCTACAGATATAATTTTCCTCTGCAAAAGACAGCTTTTCAGAGCCACTCCAATCTTCTGGTCATTTAAAAATATATCAAAGGAATATATTTTGGGGAAAAATATTTTTTATTTCCTTAACTTCTAACTACTGAGAAACAACGTGAGATAATGAGAAAAAAAAATTGTGGTATTCTAGAATTTAAGAGTCTAGGTTCTATGAGGAAAGCATCAGACATACCTCATTTAAGGGACATACTACAAAACGCATACCAAAATATGTCACAAAACTCTCAAGGTCATGAAAAATAAGGAAAGATGGAAAAACTATCATAAGTCAGAGGAGGCTAAGGAGGCAGTACAACTAAATGCAATGTGGGAACTGGGATTGGATCCTGCAACAGATAAAGGGTATTGTTGGGGTGAACAGACCCAACACCAGGTCGTGGGGGTGACAAAGTCCAGCGGAGTCAAAGGATTGAGAAAAAGACAGTTTGAGAGAGAAAGGTGGGACACCAGGGGCCCACTGCAATCATGGAGGCTGTGAAGGTCCTGAGCTGTGGGACCCCACGCTATTTATTGGTAATCCAACAAAGAAACAGGTGGTGAGAATGTGGAGGTCATCTTGCATTAAGCACATGATTTATAGCTGTCATGGTTTAGCGTTTGCTCTGCTGCTTGAGAAAATGGAGAGCAGGTTCTTTTAACTCAAGATACAATTGATCCTGGGAGAGCAAGGAGCAAGGAGCCAGCAAGTCTAGACACATTCCAGAGCCACGAGCCCTGGATTCTATCCAAGCCACAAGGAATTTTATGCCCTGGGCTTAGATTATGGTGTGTCAGGGTAGCCTTCCACCCTTTAGCACAGAGCTTGATGTTGCAAAGGCCACAAAGGGTTTTAGACCCTGGACCCCGGACATGTTCCAAGACTATTCTACATTATGTCAGACATGGAAACCCTGCCTCAGCTTCTCCCCAACATTCAAGTTTTTCCCAACAGATATTAATAGAAAAAGTGTTTTACTTATATTGACCTGTTTTTTTAAAGAATATTATAAGTAATGCACATAAACAGCAAGATGACTGAGAAGACTAGGGTAAGGTATGGGAGAAAGGATACAGAGCTTCCATACCCTCTCTGGATGTGCCACCCTCCTGTCACTTACATGTGTTCAGTAACCTGGTTGCTCTCCAAACCCTATCCTTTTGGGGTTATATGGAGGCTTCATACACTGAGAAATGATTGATAAAATTGTTGGTCATTAGTGACCTACCTGGAGGTCAGGATTGTGGCAACGAAAGTTCTAACCCTCAAATCACTTGGTTGAATTTCCCTGACAACCAGCACCCATCCTGAGGCTATACAGGAACACACCAGCCATCAGTTATCTCATCAGTATGCCAAAACAAACAAACAAACAAAACAAAAAAAAAACAAAACAAACAAAAAACCCCACACTCATTAGTTTGAAGATTCCAAGGATTTTAGGAGCTTTGTGCCAAAAAAACAGAGATCGAATATTTACTTCCGATTATGTCACACTCAGTTACATTTGTTGTGTTTTCCTTTTCTCTCCTAGCTTTAAAGTTTGGCTGGGCGCAGTGGCTCATGCCTGTAATCCCAGCACTTTGGGAGGCCAAGGCGGGTAGATCACAAGGTCAGGAGATCAAGACCATCCTGACTAACTTGGTGAAACCCCGTCTGTACTAAAAATACAAAAAATTAGCCGGGTGTGGTGGCGGGCACCTGTAGTACCAGCTACTCGGGAGGCTGGGGCAGGAGAATGGCATGAACCCAGGAGGCGGAGCTTGCAGTGAGCCAAGATCGAGCCACTGCACTCCAGCTTAGGCTACAGAGTGAGACTCTGTCTCAAAAAAAAAAAAGTTTGAGTGAGTGACTCAGAGCTCACAATGGGTCCTGGACCCCATCATCTTTTTTGTATCTACCTCTCTTCTTTGGGGTTCTTAGCAAGTCTTATGGCTTTAAGTAACCCCTATATAGAAATAGTTACCAAATGTAACTCTAGCAATCACTACGGTGGAGGTAAGTGGCTGGGGCCAGCATGGTAGTTGGTAAAAGAATTTACCAAGACAATCATAGGTAAATAAAGGCAGGTTTATTAGAGGAAGTACAAAGACACATGGTGCAAGAATACAATGGGTAGCGCAGCAGAGAAGGGATTGTCTACCAAGAGGCAGGGGCTGGAGGGAAGTTTTAGAGGGTTGTGCTGGAGGGACTATGCGCAGATAAAGTTGTGCTGCTGTTACTGCCTGCAGAATGAGGTATTTGGGAACAGGATGTTATGCCAGCAGGTTGTCTGTGATTAGCTGTCTCTCAGAATAATTGTTCTCCCCCACCTGGGGCCCCTTCCTCATTGTTGCTTATCTTGTCAGGACTCCACACTTCTCTAATGAATTCCAGATTCATTTTTCAACGGCCTGCTTGACAGTTTTTGAATGTCTGAAAGACTTGCAAGGACAAGGTTCAGAACTAAACTCCTAATCTTTTCTCAACCCCACTCCTTGTCAAAATATGTTACATCTACACTTTTCCCCCATCTCACTCAATGGTTTCTCCATTCATCCAAGTTCTCAATCCATAAAACTTGAAACTAGAACACATTAATAATCATCATAATAAGTCTCAACATTTTAAACTTCACAAGACATTCTTTATTTAACAAATACCCAGGTCCCTAATTAAAACAAGTTTAATAAAAAAAAATGTAAAAAAGAGTAATTCAAAATCTAACCTGTTGGAACTCTAAATTATTTTGAGCCTTAAAAGAATGTCAATTATGGAGCCTCAGTCATGTGACAAGCAGCTTGTAACCTAGCCAGCTGCAACCTTTTGATTACAGATTAAGCTTTTTCCCTTATCTGCTTTGTTTTGTCAAATGTTGTGAAGGGCCCGACAGAACCAAGAAAGACCCCTTCTCTCTCCACGGTTGACTTTCATTATAGATTAACCTTCCTCTTAGGAAAGGAAATGAAAACCAGCTATAAGGAAAACAAACTGCACAGAAAACACACGGTAACTAACTAATTTGTTGTAACTCTGTAAACCAACTTTGTATTGAAAATGTTATAATCCTGTTAGGTGTCTTTGTCTCCTTACTATATAAGCAAGAACTTAGCTTTTAACTTTAGAGCACTGACCCTATTTCTCTGGAGATCATGCATTCTGGAATGACCATTTCCAGCTTTTCACTTGAATAAACTCTTTAAAACGGGATTCTGACTCCTTTAATGTTTTCAGGTTGACATGTCAAAAGTTTCTTTCTTAAGGCTCCCAGAGAGCCAATTTTTTGTTTTAAGTAAAATTGCGTGTGCTTCTATATCCCATTAAACTACCGTAACTCCTAAATCTTAGGTCAATTGCAGAGGACGTGATGTTAAAATGCTAAACTTCCAGGCCCAGAAGTTTTTCCTAAACAATCTTTTCTTTCTTATTTTTTTTCTTCTGAAATGGATTCAAATGTATTGAGAAAGGAAGTCATCATTTATTAAACAATTACTAGCTGTCAAAATCTGTGCTTGGGACATTTATATTTCAAGACCGCAAACCTCAAGACTAGGTCCAGGAAAGATTGACATTATTGGATGTGCCCAGCATGGTATAATTTTCAAAGAGTGACCTTCAGGCTGGTATTTGCCTAGCTGAGTCACACTACGAGGCCTGTCAATAGACATCCAGACAAGCCCTGCTGGGAGATAAAGTATGTTCCACTGTTGCTGGAAAAACATTTATCTTGAATCTAGGGCATCAGGTCTACCTATTACAGCAATTGGAGTGGTCAATCCATCAAATAACACAGTAAAACATAGTCTTTTGATTTTCATAGTTGGCACAAATGTATATGAAGCATTCTTGATGCTTCTATATGAGCATTAAAACATTTTTCCCACAATTCATTCAATCAAGTCAGTCTTGGAAGAATTTTTTCAGACAAGAGTTGCTAGATAAATACAGACACCCAGTGCAATTTGAATTCCAGATTTAAAAATTTTATTTTAGCAATGAAATATTTAGGATGTATTTATACTAAATAGATTATTCATTGTTTTACTGAAACTCAAATTTAACTGGGAGTCCTATATTTTTGTTTGTTAAATCTGGCAATTATAATTCTGAAAAAAAGACTCATTCTTGAAATTTTCATTTATTTATTCATGCAATAATTATTTATCAAGCAACTAGTATGTAGCAGCAGTGCAAATGAACATTCAAGTTCCAGTGAATAAAAGTTGGTTCAGTTCTTTAGAGAGCTTACTGTGTAGTAGAAAAGAGACAAGTGAACAGGTACCTATGAACAACATAATAAATGTAACAAGTGTTCACTGGGTATCAGGGCAGCTAACTGTAGACTTATCTTGGTCATTAATGGCCAAGAGTGAATGGGGGTTAATAGAACATATTGGAAAGGGATCATCATTTCAGTTAATTCCTAAAAGACAAGTAGGGTTGAACCTGGTAAGGCGGTCATAGGGAGAAGTAAAATATGATGGAAAAGATCATATCCAAATATGATAGAAAAAGATCTCCAATTTGAATAATGAACACTATATTTCAAAGTTATCAAATAAAAATAATTGCTGAAAAGAGCTTAGAGCTCTAGGTTTTATATCAGTCAGGGTCCAGTTGGGAGACCAAAATAAGACCAATTTTTGAAACAAAGCAAATTTAAACAATTTTTTTCCTAGCTATACAGTGGCTAGCTAGGTGACTGAAAGGTAGGAGAGACTAAAGTGTCACAGGTGTGACAACTTCAGAAAACAGTTCCCATTCCAGTCCCCCACTAAAGAACTAAGAGGAGGGTCTCCACGGAGCTGAGACTCTGGCCTTTGAGGAAAGAATTCTGCTTTCTCAGCTGGTGGTGTTGTTTCTGAGGAGAGTAGATAAAGGTGATTCTACAAGGGTTGGGAAAGCTGCAAAGTAGACTCAGCTGATATTGTAGAAAGGAACTGCTACTTCCAGGGTGAGTAAGCATTGCTGGAGTGAAGTTTACAAGAAGGACACACCAAATGGAAGTCTACAAGAAGCAAACAGGAAGCGACAATTCCCTTCTTCCTCTTCCAGCTTTTCTGGCTTCTACTGCTCCCCCTTGGCAGAAACTAATGGAAAATCTGTAAGCAAAGTAGAAATGTGGTTTGCAGAGCCCTGCTTCTGCATGATAAACAGTACAAAATAAAAATTTGGAGCTGAAAACAATTACTTGATAATTAGCAAACTTTATTTTTTTTTCTCTTCAACTCTTAGTTGAAGTTTCAAGGTATGTGTGCAGGATATGCAGGTTTGTTACCTAGGTAAACATGTGCCATGGTGATTTGCTGCACAGATCATCCTATCACCTAGATACTAAGCCCAACATCCATTAGCTATTCTTCCTGATGCTCTCCTTCCCCTCTGCCGCAATAGGCCCCAGTGTGTGTTGCTCCCCTCCATGTGTCCATGTGTTCTCATCGTTCAGCTCCCACTTACAAGTGAGAACATGCCATGTTTGGTTTTCTGTTCCTGCATTAGATTGTATTAGTACGCTTTATAATTCACTAGATGAAAACACCCGGTACACACCGTCTTTTATCATGTATGTTTTTCTCTTTTAAGTTTTCCTTTTTCTCTGCAAGCTTTCCCATTACATCATGGGAAAAAGTAACCCCTTTAATTGATTCTTTTCATTTATAATCATATAGATATTTTTTGATACTTGCAACTTTCACATGCCTTACTTTATTGCCTTGCAGAATTCTCTCTTTTGCATGTCAATATTTTAAATATTTATATTTATCCTGCATTTGGTTTCTACTATAAGAAAAATTAATGAAACTATATTTCACTAGTAATTTGTTTAATTATAAGTAATACAATTCTCATGTTAGTCAGCTGGCACAAATTCACATTGAAGCATTTTTCCCTTCATGCCACAAATTGGAGTTCTAAATAAATATAAAAGAAAGTATGTTTTATCCCTAAAACTAAAGAAACATAAAAAAGTTCTTGATATTTTACATATTGATAGGGTAAACTGAGAATAGATTTGAATACTTTCAAATTTATACAACAGAAAGCATCTACTACTATTACTGACAATGAATGTAAGGAGCCATTCATGACCAGCCCCACCCCCACTCTTGCCCCATAAACTTTGGATCCAACCTTTGGGACAATCATGGATATAAACAGCGATGCTAAACATTGAAAAGCCTTTCATAAAATAAACTACAATCAAAGATATACATATCTCATGTTTAGTGCAGACTTATTTTTGGTTTCACATTGTACTTAAGGCCACAAATAGAAATTATTTTCTATATGTTAATGAAAAAATAAAATAAATTTATGGTACTACCATTAAAACACATTTAATTAAAGGCATGTGAAAATTAGAACTCATAGGCGTAATTAATTTAACCTGAGACTCATAACAATAAGCCAAATAAAACTTGTGACAATGAGAGTGAAAATGAAATGCAGAAATTAAATCTAAATGGTGGTTAAGAGAAAAGGTCAAAAAGAAAAGATTTTGTATCTTCTGGTTTAATATTCAACCTTCTGATAATAATATAACCAGCATTATTTTAAAGAAACTGAAGATGATCTCTATATTCATAAAATTTTTAAATTATGTTAAAATTATAGTTTTAAATAAAGAAAAGCATATTGTGTAGCACTGTCCAATTAATGGGTCACAGGTGGTTAAACATTTTGTAGTAATACTAATAGTTGTACAGATGGAGAACCCAACAATACAATTATCATTGTCTCCTACATAGTATGAAATGTTGGAGAATTTATTTGCCCTAATTGAATTGTTTTGCATATCAAAACTGGCTATGTAATAAATTTCCACTCCTTCTAAAAGCCACTCATGATCACCAGCATTGCTCTATCATAATACCAAGAAAATATGAAACACGGGGAGGGGGAGATTCCATCCACTAATTCATCAGGGTAATTAGCAACACGTTTAGAACTTCTCTACTTCTCTGATAGACTGGGGTGATCAGATATCACTGTTCTTGAGGTAGAATTGCTTAGAATGATGGATCACACTGCTAATTAGTCACTATCCCCATCCATGCCCATTAGAAAGTGCAAATCAGTTAATTCTGAAGTTTCCATTATTTTCTGGAAACAGTACTTCTCTGATTACCATGTGGAGAAAATGCCCTAGGAATTAAAACAGATGCAGAAAAGGCTGAGTAAGTTAACACATAAACATTTAGATTCTGTGTAGATTTAATACAACTATTTAGTTTGATAGAAGGAAAAATATGTGGCTAATAAAATTGTCAGAATAGATTTTATGTTCTTTATGGTTTAGGCCATAAAGGAAGAAGCATTAAGGTTTCTTTTGTGTCTTATCTTAAGCAAAGTCATAATTTATACAGAACATTTATAGTAGTTAAATATGTCTTCTATTTAAGAATATAGTCTCACTCTAATATAGACACAGGGTGAGTCAAAGAAATGTATTCCGTTACCCAATTTTTTTGAATGGTTTCTTAAAAGCGCAGTTTATAGTGAATTATGCTCTAGGAGAGCAGTGAGTTTTTTAAATGTTTACAAATATCCCTCTAGATAAAGTTCACATAATACTATTTTACAAAACCCTAAACAGGATATTCTTAGGAGGGAAATCTTTCATTTAATGAGCACACTTGAAAAAAATGTATTTCATATACGCTATTATTGCTCTCTTCTGAATATTGATCTATCACACTGTGAAATAAATGGGTTCCTGACTCCTTCTGTGTCTGTTTCAGTGACTTTATTGGGTCAAGTAATAATATGAAATCCAACATGAATTTTCTGTGTGGGAGACAGAAAAACCAAGCAAGAAAATGAGGTATAGTGGAGGAGAAACAGAAAAAGAAGGAAGAAGCACAAAGAAAGCATGAAGCATTTACCGAGGAGTATGTCTAATCCACAAGAATATTTATGAAATAAACAGAGACATCCCAACCTTTTCTGTGTGAGAGGTTATTATCTGTATTGATTTCAGTTTGCAAGTTCACAAGTTCTTTCTCTCTCATGCTCATTTTAGAAGGTAACATAAAATCCATAAATAATATGCATCCAGAGAGTCAGTCTCACTAGAAGGGTCCTGAGAACAGCAGCACATTAATCTTATGATTGTACATTGAGCTGCTCAGAGATATAAAATTTAGAATGGCTTTCTGAGGATCTAAAGAAATCAAGCTGGCTGAAATCAAGCTCACTCACTCATGGGTGGGAATTGAACAATGAGAACACTTGGACACAGGAAGGGGAACATCACACACCGGGGCCTGTTGTGGGGTGGGGGGAGTGGGGAGGGATACCATTAGGAGATATACTTAATGTAAATGATGAGTTGGTAGGTACAGCACACCAACATGGCACATGTATACATATGTAGCAAACCTGCATGTTGTGCACAGGTACCCTAGAACTTAAAATATAATAAAAAAAAAAATATATATATATATATAAAGAAGAAATCAAGCTCATGTTACTTCACCCTCCTCAGTCCCTTAGAGAAATCTTCAAAGATATTAATGTCAATTCAAGAATGTGTATGCAAACAAACACACACATGTATACAGTCAGAAACACACAGAGATACGTATGGCTGGGTAGAGGAGTTGAAACGTAAGTGTTACTTGAAATTGTGAGCAAATTAAATATTTACAAAATTAATAGTAACAATGTAGCCACTACTACAATCTTTGGCTCAAGCCATTATTTTCTGGTGGCTTGTTCCATTGTCAATATGTTTTTTTGTGACAACTGCTGCTACTAATACTGCTCTTTGAGACATGACCAGCAGTAAGGAAGACACTTGATATATAACATGTGGGGTAGAGACACAGATAACTAAAGGAAATCATGTCATTTGTAGCATAAGTCCTTTCAGGTTCAATGAGCAAAAAATAAAAGTTTCTTCACCCCTGATTACAAAAGCACAAATCATTAACAGCCTTCAAGTATTTCCTTCACTTACAGTAATTAAAAAAAAAAAAGGAGAAGAAGGAACAGGAAGTATGAACACAACTGTTTTCTTTAAGAATACACATATACCCAAAGGATTATAAATCATGTTGCTATAAAGACACATGCACACGTATGTTTATTGTGGCACTATTCACAATAGCAAAGACTTGGAGCCAACCCAAATGTCCATCAATGATAGACTGGATTAAGAAAATGTGGCACATATGCACCATGGAATACTATGCAGCCATAAAAAAGGATGAGTTCATGTCCTTTGTAGGGGACATGGATGAAGCTGGAAACCATCATTCTGAGCAAACTATCACAAGGACAGAAAACCAAACACCAGATGTTCTCACTCACAGGTGGGAATTGAACAATGAGAACACCTGGACACAGGGTGGGGACCATCACACACCGGGGCCTGTTGTGGGGTAGGGGGAAGGGGGAGGGATAGCCCTAGGAGAAATACCTAATGTAAATGACGAGTTAACGGGTGCAGCACACCAACATGGCACAATGTATACATATGTTAACAAACCTGCACGTTGAGCACATGTACCCTAGAACTTAAAGTATAAAAAAAAAAATACACATCTTAAAGACAGCATGGGGAGGACCAAAATCAGGCCTGGGAACAAATCACTGAACTAGACACCAGTGACGTGGTCCTTTCTGGCTTCTGTAACAGAATACCAGGGACTGAGTGGCTTAAACATCAGAAAGTTATTTTCTCACAGTTCTGGAGGCTGGAAGTCCAAGATCAAGGCACTAACAGAAGTGTTTCCGGTGAGGCTTCTCTAACTTGCAGATGGCTGTTTTCTCACTCTGTCTTCATATGGCCTTATCATCCCCTGGTGTGCTGCTTCTTCTTCTGATAAGGACACCGGTCTTATTGAATTAGAGTCATTATGATCTCATTGAACCATAATTACCTCCTGAAAAGCCCTATCTCCAAATACAGTCACATTGGAGGTAAAGCTTTAATCTATGCATTTTGCGGGGACATAATTCCATCCCTAATAGGCATCCAGGGGCTTAAGTAAGTGAATAGGGTTTGACATTGGAATGCCTGTTTTGAGTCATGGCTTTTCCACTTACTGCCACTATTGACCTTTGGGGACAAATTTCACTCCTTAGTATTCAGCATCTCATCACTAAAATGGATATTTCCTCATGTGATTTTTGTTAAGTTTAATAAGATGGATCATGTACAGTACATGGTGCTGGTTGGATACATTAAAATGAATAACTGGTATTTGCAAGTATTAGCTTATCTAGATGAAGTTTGCAGAGGGAACAAGTTATGGTGAGACTTTCTAATTTATTTCTTTAGTCAATTGGACAAAACAACTGGTTTGTACTTTCGTTTCTTCATCAATAGTATGGGGAAAAAACCTGCCTTTCATGTATCAAAATTATGGTGCCGAATCAATATGATAATGCCTGTATAGCGTTTTGAGTTTTACAGATTTAAACCCTATAGAAAATATATATCTTAATGCTAATAAACAGTAGTGCATATATATACATACATAGCAGTAATGTATAAGCACTAATAACTAATGCATTATAAGTAATGTATAAGCACTGCTTATTAACTAATAAGCAGTAGTGTACATATGTGTGTGTATATATATACACACATATATATATGTGTGCATATATATATACATGTATATACATAAAAGCTTAAAAGTAATTTCTTTATGAGTAAGAATTCACAATGAATTGGTATGGACAGGATATCCATAAATTATTGTACTGCACTATTTGCTATGTTGGGTATGCTTTTATTTTGTTTTATTTTGTTTTTGTTGAGGTATATTTTGTTTTGATTTAACATGAAAGCCTTTTCAAAAGGCGAGAAGAAAGAAGAAAGAGTTTTAATGTCATCTTATCTAGGTTATTTCCTGTTTAACTATTCTACTATCTGGTACTATTGGGCACTAATTCCCATGTTGGACAGAAGAACCCAAGGAGAAATCCTTGCTTGATAGGAAATTCTATTTTATATTTGCATGTGCAGAAAAAAGAATAAATGTATAAAAAATCAGTAATTACCAGCCACCTGTTACTTATTGGTTTGCATAAGTTGTAAATGAATTTTTCAATCATTCCTTTTATCAAATTGGCAGCATAGTATAAAATATATTTTTATGAATTTAAAAAATACAATGAAAAAGAATATATCAGTGCACTAACCTAAAAAATAAGAAGTTTGAAGTAAAAATTAGGAAAATCAACTCAGCTACATTAATTAGTCATTTTTAAGAGGATTATTACCTTAAAAATATAGCTAATGTCTAAAAATTACTCTGCAAAAATCATAGAAATACCACATTATGTTTTATTTTAATTTTTAAGTAGATAATATTTAAAGTTTTAGATTAAACTATTTTTAGTTTATAACTGACAAAAATCTGAACAATATACGGAACCTATTTTTTATGCTTGGCTTATTCAAACATAACATAACATTTTTATTATAGCTTTTGTCTTATTCTTCTCTTTGGATAGTGTGGAATATTCCAAATATTATCTCATGAACATTTTAAATTAAGAAAAACACATGAAAAATACAAGGATATATAAAAACAGTGTTTTGCAGCATAGTTATAAAATTATCTTTCTGAGCTTTTTTCTATATTAAAATATTTTTTAAATACATACAAATATTTTGAATTAGAGCCTTTATGTTATTTGGATAAAAGACTTAGCGATTTGCAAATAAAAATAAAAGATAAATTATCAATAAATATTTCTGTTGAATATCTATTTTCAAACCCCAAAAACGCGGCAATTAAGTCGTTTAAGATATATGTTTTAGTTATTAAAGATATCTTCTTTAGATGATTTTTTCATCTGGTTTATATTTCACTTTCATTTAACCAGAAATAATAATAGCAGATATGTTTACAGATATAGCCATGTAGGATACTAATTTCCTTTGAATTCACAGACTATAGAAATTTGTTTGTTTGTTTGTTTGTTTTGAGATGGAGTCTCGCTCTGTCGCCCAGGCTGGAGTGCAGTGGCGCGATCTCAGCTCACTGCAAGCTCCGCCTCCCGGGTTCACACCATTCTCCTGCCTCAGCCTCCTGAGTAGCTGGGACTATAGGCGCCCGCCACCACGCCCGGCTAATTTTTTGTATTTTTAGTAGAGACGGGGTTTCTCCGTGTTAGCCAGAATGGTCTGGATCTCCTGACCTCGTGATCCACCCACCTCGGCCTCCCAAGGTGCTGGGATTACAGGCGTGAGCCACCGCGCCCAGCCAGAGATGTTTTTAAGTCTCACAAATAGGTTGTGTGTGTGTGTGTGTGTGTGTATGTGTGTGTGTTGGGGGATGTGCGTGGATATGGGGTGGGTAGGTGTGTGGGGGTGTTATATGTTTAGAGATACTCACTTTTCCCAGATCCTGATATAACTGCCAATTCATTTCTATTACCTGATATCAGAAAGCTGATTAGACGCCAGAAACCTGATATTTGATTTGTAAAAAGAACACCTTCAGCACAGAAACATGCACCAAATTATGTACCTTTCCCTTGATGATATGAGTTTTTAAAATACCTACAGAACTCTGAAGGCAAGTCTGTAAAAATATAAAATAATAATTAAATAAAATACCGACTTAAGAATAATTTCTGCATGCAAAATAGACCTAAGAAATATTTATTTTTTGTATGAACAATTGTATTATAATTTTTAAATTTATAAATAAAAACATTTATTTAATTCTGTTTTTAATCTATTGAATTGAATCAGTCATTTTTGAGAGGTTTTGGAGTAGTTTTATCCATCTGCAGACTTAATACCTTCACACATTCTAATAAGCACTATAAACAATATATGGTGATTTTATTTTTAAGCAAGAAAGTTTTGTGACTAAATATGGTAGACTTTATTTTCTCAATAATGTTATAATTGTATCAACAAGTTTAGAAAGAGCTTAATCTAAAATCCTAAGTTTAAATCAATTCTGCAATTGAACCTGTAAATGGGAACTATGTATTGCAGTTTCAGGGCCACAATTCTCTTAACATTATAAGAATACAAAATGTCACATATGCAAAGTTTCTTTTTTAAATCTCAAATACAAAGGCGATGATTTCCATTTTCTTTATCATTGAATACGTTTAACATGTACAACATGCTGTTTTAATATACATAAATATAATGAAATTAATACTATAGTAAAGCAAATTAATTTGCGCATCATGATCCATAGTTGCTTGTGTGTGTGTGTATGTTCAGAGCACATAAAATATACTCTGTTAACAGATTTTCAGTATACAGTACAGTATTAACTATAGTCTTCATGCTGTATATCAAACCTCTAGCCTTTTTCATTCTACATAACTTCAAGTTTATTTTCTTAATGTTTTACACAGTATTTAAAATTAAAAGACCTTTAATCATTCAAAGAAAGTAGTTCTATCTAAGTTATCTGAAGATAATGCAGGTAGAGTTTTAGGCATAAGACCAGAGCAGCAGACACCAAGAGTGTTTCCCATACTACCAGACTGTCATATTGAGTCTTTTTTGAATAGGCTCAAGACCTTGAAAGAGAGGTGTTCTAATTCCCTTTCTTCTAACTCCAGTTTGGAACTTTTAGGTTCCAAATTGAGCAAGCAATTGGATTTTGCATTTTAGTGGCTCTTAAAATACATAAAGGTATTTTTTCTAAGTCAAAAAAAAGTCACTTTTTAATACCTATAAAAATATAAACTTCATTGAGTATTTAAAACAATATCCAAATAAACTCTAGATACAGTGTACCACATGGCATTGTTTTAATTCCAAGTTTTTTTTTTTTTTTTGAGTTGGAGTCTTGCACTGTTGCCCAGACTGCAGCGCAATGGCTTGATCTCAGCTCACTGCAACCTCTGCCTCCTGGGTTCAAGCGATTCTCCTGCCTGAGCCTCCTGAATAGCTGAGATTACAGGCGCCCACCACCACTCCCGACTAATTTTTTGTATTTTTAGTAGAGATGGGATTTCACTGTGTTGGCCAGCCTGGTCTCAAACTCTTAACCTCGTGATCTGTCCCCCTCGGCCTCCCAAAGTTCTGGGATTACAGGCGTGAGCCAAGTCTTAACATTTTGTTTTTCCTTTTTCCATTGTATATGACTTCTGCCTAGGCTTCTATTGGCTCCGTTTCTTCAAACTTTAGAGCACATGCTGCCTGAACACAGACTGGGGAGATGTCTCACAACATAGATTAGCTGTTGTCAACCCTTAAAAAATCTGGATCCTGTTCCTTGTTGATATTGATTTTAGTAGCATTCTTGAAGAAAACTGGTTAGACCACTGGGAGCCATAATTCTGTAATCTGCTGACATGCACACTGCCAATTGCCTAATGATGCATGGTAACAAGACTGTTCTCCCAATAGACTTTCTAGAGATAAGCATTTGCTTAAAATAAGTCCAAGGACAATTCCTTTTTTACAGACTATAATTGGTAATGCTATTCATTTATTGAAGGATTATTCCTATAGTTGGATAAGTCTTTATAAGACCTCGATAAACTCAGTTACAGTTTCTTTCTTTTAGTGATTGACCATGGATAAAGCACTAACAAACCTAGTTGCTATTCCCATATGATTCAAGACATATTTGGGACCATTGAAGATTATTCCAATTCAAAAAAACTATTTTCTGAAGCCTAAAACTATTTGACTGTATGTTTTACTGTCTTTTTAATAATAACATTTTTAAATTTACTAGTCTTAATTTACCTATTTTAAAAACAAGGACTCAAATAAAAGTAGAATAGATCACTTATATTTTCATCTTTAAATATCATTGGGTTTTCTTATTTTCTTATTTTCCAACTTGAGCACTTTTCTATAAAGCAGGTGCTTAGTGCATTTTAAATATGCATTATGTTGCACAAAAATATTACAATAGAAATATTTTACAATACCCAAGTATAGATTCTAATGTATGCATGGAAAAATTATACATTGATTAAACCTATAAGAAAGCTAATGATAACACTTTTTGAGAATGTGTTTTATATTGTTTTAAAGAATCCTTCGGGAAAGCATTCAGACCAATGTAGGGATCACATAGAAGTAATTATAACTCAAGAAAAGTCTGGGTCATGGTAACAAATGTGTGTTCCACACCAGCAGTAATGAAACTAAACTCTTTTAGGTTAAGAAAAAAGAAACTGAGGTTTATGGATTGCTATAGAATGATAGGCAAAAAAGAATGATCATTCCTTGCTCCTACTCAATATCTGAGTTAGGGCTTCCTTCCTTATGGAAATATAAATCAGGAATTGTTAGAATGCCAATCTAAGGTCTGAGGAGTAAGGAGGTTGTAAGAAGAAGGTGTCATAGGGGATCTTTGGAAAACCTTGCTTGATTGGTCAAGAACACATTGCCGTCTGCCATGTGAGCATCATTTATTCATCTGGGAAAGTGATAGACTTGATGACTGTTCCTAGCATACCATGATACATCGGTACCCAAGTCATTCTCAAGAAATGATTTGTGTATATTATATCAATCAGAAGGAATTAAATCATGAGAAGTTTTTCAGTTTTTACATCTTATTCTGTATCATGAGGAGTTTTGCATGCTTGTCATTTGTAAAGATTTTGATTGGAGAAATAAAAGATGTTGATATGTCCATGCTCTGAAAAAATATATTATTGGATAACAACTTCAGTGTCATTTATCTAAGGTATTAAAGAATGCAGCATTTCATCAAGGCTGTGAGTCAACTATACCTAGGCATTGTCTTCTGTGTTTGGCTGTGGATGAACCTCTCTGGGGTACTCCTCTAAAAATTAAGAGGAGATAGAGGTACTGAGGGAGGAAAGGATTCCTCACTGTACAAACTTTTGAAAAAAAATTCAAGGGCAGCCATTACGTAGCAGAAGTCTAGGAAATGAGAGTGGTTAATATTAGATCATAATCTTAAAATAAAAAGTAATTATTCACTGCCTTATGAAAAGAACAAATTAATTTTCTTTAGAGCATGGCAAAGACCATAATGTTTCCTCAGACAAATGATGATAACAATGACAGTAGCAATCAAGTAAATAAGAGAGTTTCTTAGCAGCACGTGGTAGGGAGGAGATGTTCAATCTCTGGGAAACAGCTGAGAGAACTTGAGGGGAAGTAATAACACATCAAGATTGAGAACAGAAGTTGACAGCTAAACAAGTTTGAAGCTCTTCTCTTATCTTTGCATCCTTCCTCCAGGCAGTCTCTGTCTTGCTTTCAGGGAAGGATTACTATTTCCAGAAAAGCAGGTTTGGTGTACACATGAAAAGCATATGAGAGGATGTAATGCAGTATTTCCACCAAGCAAATTATTGTCTCATTGGTACATTGTCTATTCCTGTAGAGACAATGGATAGAGGAATAAAGCTGAAATGCAACCATTTATCTCAATCTTCCAAACCCTTCTCATATGAACTTAAGTGGGCACCTAAGACCAGGTTTTCTAAAAAAATTAAATAAAGGAGTTTTTTTTAAAAAATTCAAATGCAATGAACAAAGAAAGAAGCAAATGGGGCATTTACCCCATCAACCAAATTTGCCACCTTTTTCCTGAAGGAGCATTATTTATCATCTCCATTTTTACCTGTCGTAGTAACTGGAGGGATGGATAGAAGCAGCTGGCAATTGGCCAGTATTACTGTCTCTTTTTGAAACATGATTTAGATGTTCATTGATCTTCATTTGCACATATTCATTCTTTAAGAAATTAGTAAACCATCTTTAAAACATGTTGACTGTATATAACAGAAATCTGAAACTATGAACAAAACAAAATCTTTTCATAGTGTTTGCTTTCTGTTCTTATTATCTGAGGTGGATGACCTGGCAACCTTGTTCATCACCCATAGGGCTATTCAATCAGAGGTAATAAATGACATGAGACTTACTCGTGAGTCTTTCTCAACTGAAACTAACACTTACTTTTGTTTGCCTCAACTTCTTTTGCGCTCCGCGTGAAAGCGACAGAAGTTGTGGCAAACTTCTGAAAGTGTTCAGTAACACCAACAGCTAAGTAGAAATTTTGAAGAATTTGCTTGGTAACCAGTTGAAGTGTGTTACCTTTACTTCCTCATAATACTATACTTAAATTCACGTACCGCATGCTGATTCTTCCTTGTAGGCTAGGCTAAGATAAAACTCTTAGGAATGTACAATTTTAAGAAATTCTCACCCAGTGTGACACGTGAAAATTGATTAAACTCTATGAAATATGTCCATATAGGGTTGCAGCAGAATAACAAAAATGTAATCATTATTTTTTAATACTCATTTTAAGTTTAGTCAATTAATATTAAATAAAATTTAGAAATTTTTTGACTGTGTTTAATTTCTTACTTATTGAAAAACATTGCTTAGTAGAAAATCTAGATGACCTCGAGTTTGGCAATGACTTTTAAGATACAAGACCAGATAAGGTATACTCAGTGAAAGATATTAATAAACTTGACTTCATTATAATCAAAAATGTTTTCTCTGTAAAACATACTGTTAATAAAGTAAATAGACAACCTACAAGCTGGGAGAAAATATTTGCAGAATACATTGTTTGATAAAACACAGATATCCAAAATATACAAAGAACACTTTAAAAAACCTTAATGGACACCTCACCAAAGAAAATATAAAGATGGAAAAGTAGATGAAAAGTTGCTCCATGAGGAAAATGCAAATTAAGGCAACAATGAACTACCATTATGTACCTATTAGAATGGTCAATATCCAAAACATTTTGGTGGCTCTTAAAATACATACTGATTTTATGTATTGACATAAAATTGACAACTGACAGCACCAAATGCTGGCTGGAACTCTCATTTGTCTCTGGTAGGAATGCAAAATTGCCAAGCAACTTTGGAAGACAGATGAGCAGTTCCTGACAATATTAAATATGTTTTTACCATATTTAGTAATAACACATCTTGGTATTTAGCAGCAATCACACACCTTGGTTTTTACCAAAATGAGTTGAAAACACAGTCTACGTGCATATTTATAGGCACTTTATTCATAACTGCCAAAACATGCAAACAATCAAGATGTCCTTCAGTAGGTTAATAAAGAATATGTGTTATATACACACAATGAAATATTATTCAGCACTAAAAAAGTGCTATGATGCCATAAAAAGACATCGAGGAAACTTAAATGCGTATTACTGAGAGACAATCTGAAAAGGTTGAATACTGTATGATTTTAACAAAATCACATTATGGAAAGGCAAAATGAGGGAGACAGTAAAAGAATCAGTGGTTTCCAGGACTTGGGGAAAAGGGAGGGATAAACAAGTGGAACACAGAGGATTTTTAGAGCAGTAAATCTACTTTGTATGATACTACAATGGTGAACACATGTCATTATGCATTTTTGCAAAACCATAGAACTTACAACACCAAGAACGAATCCTAATATAAACTATGAACTTTGGGTGATAACGATGTGTCAATATAGGCTCATTGATTATAAGAAATATACCTCTCTGGTGGGAGATGTTGATACTTGGGGAGGTTATGCATATGTGGGGGCAGAGAATATATGGAAAATATATACCTTCTGCTCAATTTTGCTGTAAAGCTAAGACTGCTCTAAAAAATAAAATTTATTTAAAAACACAACAAAACAAAAGCCCACAAAACACAAACAAGAAGTGACTTATTTAACTTTTTCAGGAACTCTGAAAACATTCAAAAAGTTTCATCTTTGAAAACATTTTAATAAATACAATACAAAGTAAGGGAAAACCATGGCTTGAATTTTATTCTAAACTTCAAGTTTTCTAATTTTGTTTTAAAATTAAACAATACTGGCCTATAGTTCTTTCAGATTTTTATCATGGAAGGGAAGATGACCCAGGATACCAAGTAACAAACAGCAGCTAATTTGTTTTTTACCAACTTTTAACTTTTTAATATATTTTTAAATAGACCTCAGGTACACTGAAAAGAATTATTTATTATTATTAGCCGTGGAACAGTGTCATTATTAATTCAAGCATAGCCCTCTTCTAGTCATTTATGGGTTACATTTATTTAAGCTATATGTTGACCCACACATGGACCCACAGCCCAACCAAAAAACAATGACATTGACAATAACTTGTCTGGGCAGAAATGGTGGCTTCAACAGGTTATTCAATTACAACTTCTACCTATTTTGCAGCAATGCAGTGCTGGATTTATTTTTGCTAGTATGGAAACATTAAGAACAAGTAAGGATAATTTTAGATGAAGAGAGACATCTCAAAGGTAATTTGCAAACATTCCAGACACTGTTCTCTTGTTGTAACAGATCATTTACATTCTGGGTAGGAACACAAAGTTTCCTGAGGAATCTTGCTTAAGAACAATGGACTGTGGTCACAGCCTGTGACTTCCATCTGTGTCTTTTCTCACAACAACAATAAAAAAAGCAAAATACTTGAGGAGTGTTCAGTGACTTTCAAGATCATAGGAAGAATGTGAAAAGTGTCTGAATATTTTCCCTTTTCAGGCAGCTGGATGAGACAATATCTCTTTCTTGATCTTCTCTGCATGAGATACTTTACCATTTGAGTGGTTATTGCCACACAGCAGTCAGCATGTGACTTTTATATTGGCATTTTCCGAACTCAGGTCACAATGGCTGACCCCTGATTTAGACTATGCTACATGTTTTTAGAGTGCCAATGCCTAACTGTTGTCAGGTCTGTCACTGTCCTAGAAGATGAAAATGTTGTTCTAGCTCTTGGAACTAGCTTCGAGGAAAAAAAACCTGTCATTTTAATTATGAATATAATATGAAAAATGTAGACAGTTTAGAGAAATTGTAGAAAGAAACATAAGTCACCTACTATAGCAACTGGAGTGATACTCTTAAAACCTATCATATTATCTCCTCCCTCTTATCACTTTCTTTGATATTTTCTTATTCTCAGACAACAGTCTTGGTTGTAACGGTGACTTAAAAGGGCTACTGTGGTCTTGCATCGCTAATCTCATCCCCTGCTAGGCACAAGTTGGCTCACTCTACACTAGCCACAGTGGCTGTCTTAGTCCATTTGTACTGCTAAAAGGAATATCTGAAGCCTGGTAATTTACAAAGACAAGAAATTTATATCTGGCTCTCAGTTCTGCAGACTGTACTTGAAGTTAGGCATTAGCATTGGCTTCTGATGAGGACCTCAGACTGCTTCCACTCCTGGCAGAAGCCTGTGTGTACAGATCACATGGCTGAAAACAAGAGAGAGGAGAAAGGGCCAGACTCTTTGACAACAAGTTTTCATGGGAACTAAGAGTGAGAACTCACTCACTGCCATGAGAATGGCACCAAACCATTCAAGGGGATCTGTCTCTGTGGTCCAAACACCTGTCATCATTCCTCGTGTCCATCACTGAGTAACAAATTTCAACATGAGAGCTGGCAGGTACAAAAAAACCATACTCAAATCATGGCACTGGCCTCTTGGCTATTTGGCTATTGGAAAATGTTCCAAGTGGGATCCCATGGCAGTATCTCTATATTTGCTGCTCCCTGTCAAGGTGCATTCTCACTTCAGGATATTTGCAAGGGCTGCTTCCTTTCCCTTTACTCTCTCTCCTTGTAGAGAGTTACCTACATTATTCACTCAGTCACTTTCTTTTTCTTTTCTTTCTTTTTTTTTTTTTTGAGGCAGAGTCTCACTCTGTTGCCCAGGCTGGAGTGCAGTGGTGTGAACTCGGTTCAGTGCAAGCTCTGCCTCCTGGGTTCAAGCGATTTTCCTGCCTCAGCCTCCCGAGTAGCTGGGACTACATGCTCTCGCCACCATGCCCAGCTAATTTTTGTATTTTTAGTAGAGACAGCGTTTCACTATGTTGGCCAGGCTGATCTCGAACTCCTGACCTCATGATCTGCCAGCCTCAGCCTCCCAAAGTGCTGAGATTACAGGTGTAAGCCACCGCACCCAGCCCACTTGGTCACCTTCTTAATCAATGTGCTCAAATGTTACTTTCTCAAGGAAGCCAGCCTTTCTACCCTATTTAAAATTGCAATCCTATTCCCACTCCCCACACATGCAAACTCACGGACTCTTGTCCTTGTCTACTTTGCTTTCTTTCTAAAATGTACTATTTTATGACATACAACATCATTTAATCATTTATTTGTTTATGGTCTCTCACCTGAGTGTGAGAAGTTGGAACCTGATGTATCCCCAGTGTGTAGAAGAGTTTCACTACATAATTACTAATCAATAAACATTCAACAAATGTTTTTGTTTCAATTCTTTTCTTTTAAAAATATCATCTTGCCTTTTTATTTGTGTTGTTATTTCTTGTCTTTCAGAGATGTATGTGCTATTCAGTTTTCTGGAAGCTCCCCCCAGCCCTCTTCTCTGTACCAGACAAGAGCAGAAGTCATGTTTCCCAAGTTGTCAGAAGACTTTGCTGTTTAGGAGAAAGCATTTTGACATAGTCCAATAATTTTCTGTGCCTGATGACTCATTGTCTGGCATAACTTTTCTCAGCACTTGGCAGCATTATGAAGCAACTGTTCTGTAACTGATCCCACCGTGACACCGCCACACCCCATATCCTAATGTAAGGAGGTCTTTCTGTCTGTCTGATTCTTGGGCTCTGGTATCTAAGTTGCATGAGGCTCTCTCTCCTCCTGGTTTTCTGACCTAGAAGGAAAACCTGTCTTATGTCCCCTGCTTGGTTGGGATGCACATCACATTCAGAATTTCTTTCAGTGATTTGCTTGTTCTCTGATAGAATATAAAAAACTTGAGTTGGCTCCTGCCTTGCTACGCTTGCAGAATGGTTACAGCTTCTCCTTCTCCAGTCCTGCAGATTTACCTCTTTCAACTTATGTGTGTTTCTCTAGGATTTATCCTTTAAGCCTTTGGAATATGCCATGTTGTTTACATGATAAAAATACGAAAGCAAAAAAAAAACATGAGACTTAGTAGAATTTAATTTTGCATCTATTATGAATGCAGCCCTGCTACAAATCTTTGGCTGTTATTTGGAAAGATGAGACTATCTGGGGCCAAGGTCAGGGTTGTGATATAGATTATGAATATCTCCAAATAGCCAGAGTAGAAAGGTGGCATCAAAGGCATAACAGTGTTTTCTCAAGAGGGAAAATGCCAAAAAGGAGGATCATCTCAGCTGCACTAATCTCCTCTCTCCTTTCTTATCCCTCGTGTAATCTGGAATTGTGGCTCTGCAGAGCTGTGCTGGCATTGCTTCTAATGAGCAGGGAGAGAAATATCTCTTTATTGTGCTCTTGTAACAATGAAGAAATTCCAGGGACCAGGCCCTATAATAGTCTAGCCTGTCTGTAAATGGAGGGTAAATTCTACTTTGACAGAAAAGCTTTCAATCATTTAGGGTAAGTTCTTCCTCCGTGGTCATGAATTTACCCATAAATATCGGAATAAATGTAACATTTTCTATATCCTACACAATAATTACCTCTTAAATCTGTATTTAAAGACTGTGTATTAGACACATAAAATATTTTGATTCTTTAACCCAGACTTCTGTGGTAGATACATAGATTAAAGTAAAATAAATGAACAATAAATTCAACAGTTGTCTCAAATTTATTCTTGCTCGAAAATATGGAAGAGTCACATGGGTATATAATGTTAAATGAACCAAATCGTTTAATGATTCTCTCAGCACATGCTTGTATAATTCAGATTTTCTCCTGTGCCTCTTCATGGTTTAGATGGTATACAAATTCTTAATCTCTTCATTACATCATCAGCATTCAAGACAATGAGGTTTTGACATGTCTAAAAGGGAATAAACCTAATGAAGAAACCACATACGCAAGTCAAATTACATTTAGATGTTTTTCCTACTTATCACCAGAATTAAAGGTGTAATTTAATATGGATTTTTGATTAAAAACAGATGGCTCACATCTGTTCTTAAAATAGGAAAAAAGTATTTTAAGTGAAAATTGTAAGTCACTGGGATAATATCTGATAAGGTAGAAATGCTCAATATATTTTGATTCTGTTTCCATAGATTGTCTCTGAATAAAAGTAATTACATTTTTAGAACAATATCCTTATAGGAATCATGCCCATGTTCCAAGTGATTTCAGAGATTTGTTGTGCCCATTCTCAGGCAACATAGTCTTGTCCAGGCATATATGAGAAGTTTCCAGAATAGACCTAACCAAGACTCAAAGAATAAGAGGTTGAGAAACTTGAAGAGAAAGTGAATTTCACACAGTTTTGGTGAAATAAGGTCCTTTGTTAGAGACAGATTTTAAAGTGGACCCCATGATCCCTGCCTCCTGGAATTCACAGCTTCGTGTCATCACCTTCCCTGGGGTATGGCAGGAACCATGAATGCTTCTATTCAATAGAATATGGCAAAGTTGACAGGATATATGTGATTACCATACATAATTATGTTGCATAAACCTGCAGCATTTATACTGGGAAGAGAATGTCTTCCTTGTTGGCCTGGAGGAAGCTAGCTGCCATGTTGTACTTCCACATTGAGGAGGCAATGAGCTGAGGGTGGCCTCTGTCCAAAAACTAGAAAGAAACTGAGACTGCTGTCACTTCACAGCCTAAAAGTAGTTAAATTCTGCAAACAACCACATGAGATTAGGAGGTGATTTCTCCCCAGTCAGATCTCAGAGGAATCTGAAGCCCTGGCCAACACCTTGATGGCAGGTTTAACACTGCAGCAGAGAGCCCCGCTAACCAAAGCCTGCAATCCTGATCTGCAAAAGTGTGATATGATAGATGGATGTTATATTAAGTCTCTAAATTTGTGATAATATTATTAGGTAGCAAGAGATAACTAATACAGTCATTTTTTCCATTCTATACCTAATGAGATATTCATTGTCTTTTTGAAAATTCAGTGCTTGGCAATGGTGTTGCAGGAAACAGATGAAGATTCATTTGAATGGTTCAAGGTCGCAAAGAGATGTCAAGCCTTCTCTTCCCCTTTCTGGAATGGTGGTAAATAATTTATCTAAAAGTACCAATGCTAAAACTTTTGTAGGAAGCCATGAGAATAAAGGTGGTCCCCAACTTACAATGGTTTGATTTAATTTTTAAACTTTAAAATGGTGCAAAAGTGATATGCATTCAGTAGAAATCACACTTTGAGCATACATCCAACCATTCTTTTCCCCTTACTATACAGTATTAAATGGATTACATGAGATATTCAACACTTCAATATAAAATGTGCCTCATATAAAATTATTTTGCTCAACTCTAGGCTAAGGCAAGTGTTTTGAGCATGTTTAAGGTAGGCTAGGCTAAGCTATTAAGTTCAGTAGGTTAGATACATTAAATGTATTTTTAACTTACCATATTTTCAACTTACAATAGGTTTATTGAGACTGAAACTCATCATAAGTTCAGGAGCATTTGTATAAGTTGTCTTGCTTAACAGGATGGTGGTACCTTGTAAGAAATAATCTCTTTACCTCATTGATTCAACTTACATCAAGAACAGCGAAGATACATAGATATGTCAAGGGTAGTGAAGATGGCCAGGGTGATGGCTCATGCCTGTAATCCCAGGTCTTTGGGAAGCCAAGGCAGGAGCATCACTTGAGCCCAGGATTTTGAGACTAGCCTGACAACAAAGCAAGATCCTCTCTCTACTAAAAATATTTAAAAAAAAAAATAGCCGGGTGTAGTGACACAGGCCTTTAGTCCCATCTACTTAGGAGGTTGAGGTTGGAGGACTGCTTGAGCCTGGGAAATCGAGCTTGCAGTGGGCTATGTGTGTGCCATTGCACTCCAACCCAGGTGACAGAGCAAGCCCCTGTCTCAAAAACAAAACAAAAAAAGATAGTGAGATATATAGGAAGCATTCTTCTGCTCTGTAGGGATTCCATGAATGCAACATTTTTGCAGGCTGCAGAGAACATAAAGGAACATAAAGAGCAACATCTCTGAAACCAAGAGTCCACATTCATTTTAGAAGATACCACCTCGAGGAACAGGTAGGCATGGGAGTAAGAATACATTCCAAATATGTGGCTAATAGCAGATTATTAGGTTGAAAGCAACAACAAGCTATGATAATTTTAACAGTGAAAATTCTTATTTGGTGATTAATAAATTCTAGAGTAAATCACATATTAATTCATAATGTATTCATTATAACTAATTAAAATTGTATTTATAATTTATCAGTTTCATTTTAAAAACTTTTAAAAAGTATGATATCTATAAATTATTTATTTTCTAGACTACAGAGTCAATTATAAGTATGTTTTTTTCAGATATGTGTTCAATTAGGTTAAGGATTTAGTATGCAACTGTATGAAAATAGAAATTTTCTATAGGCCTTTTAACTTATTTAAAACTTCTTATTTAACTCATTTCTTCATGAAAACATCTTGTCTGTAAGGTACTATAAATTATTTTCTTGTCATTTTTGTTTCATTTTCTCCTTTATAGAGAAAGCTTACAAGATAATGGATTGATGTACACGATACCATCAGTGTAATTTGTATAACTTTTAGCAGATATGCATTTAAGATTTTTTCCTCAATAACGCATGGCAAAAATTTAGATAATTATAAATTGTTACATGGGAACTATAATGTTATGGAAGCTAAAAAGAAACAGAAAGTGATCAATAATTTTGTTAAGAAGACAAGAAAGATATAGTTTAAATTTTATAAATCAAATGTTGTATATCATCACAGTATTAATTAAACTATACTATTCAAAATATCATCTAAACTACACAACAGGAAAGACAAAAGATACTGGAGAGATTGCGATGACAGCCTGGTGCACAAACTCCTAATCAAATCATAACCCTCTGCATAACTCATGGTCAAATCAACTTCGGCATTTGGCTTTCTGTCTCCTCAAGCATTGATGTGAGTCTCCGTGCACAGATCTCTTAAATGGGGAGGAATAATGGATTTAAACATTGAAAATAATGCATGACCCATGGAGAATAAGAGTCAAGAGCTATGTTTCTTATTACAAACTTTTTTTTTTCACATTTGTGATGTCTCCTAAGAATGTACTGATTTCACATAAAGCGGTAATAATTTTCTGCATGCTCACCCCTCTGCATTATCTGCCTTTTCATAATTGATGTGTTAATTAATGGACTCACGTGCTCAATTCTGACCAGAAAACACAAGGGGAAACCTTGAGAACTGAGAATTTGGAAAGTTGTTTATTTCTCGGGTATCCACAACTACTCTCTTGTTCTGTTCCTACTCCTTTCCTGAATACATCTCATCTATTTATTGCAAAGTTTATTGTTTCTTGCCTTTGTTTGAACAGAGCCACAAATACAGATACCCTACAACCCTATATGCTATTTTATACTTTAAAAATGTTTAACAGAACAAACTTTAAAATGCCTCATACAGGGCAAAAACAGAAGTGTAGGAGATCTTAGAAACTGGAACCAACACTGTAAATCCCTTGGCCTCTCTTTCCATGATTTTTTTTCTCTCCTGGTTTCTCTCTCTCTCTCTCTCTCTCTCTCAGTTATTTTCCACGTCTAGAAGAGCATTTTTTGCTTCCCTAGATTACAGGGCAAAACAGGTCTTTCTATATAGATGCAATACTCAAATTTTGTCTTATAATTTCAGCCATGTGAACTGGCCAATTGCTCCTAATTACAAATTTATGGAGATACAAGGTGATGAACCAGCTTGGAAAAAGGTCCATTGCTGGTTTAACTAGAGATGGCCAAGAGGATGAGCCAGGGTGAAATATGATAGCTCAGAGTAAATTTCCAGATAAATACCAGCCTGACTATAGTGTAATCTGATTTCACATATGAATCAAGAAACATTATTTTAGTGTCATGATTTTAAAAGTGTGAGCACATTTATCCTTACATCTTTTGCTACTGCTGTTTTGAATGCAGCAGTGCGTAATAGCTTTATGAAAGGAACCTGATTTTGATCTCTTCGCTTTCACATTCACAAATGTGAAAAGTGAGAGTCAGGTGTAAACTAAAGTTTTATCCCGTTTTGCTTTGTTTCTTTTGCTTGGCAATATTGATTACTTTTTAGTTCACTGAGTGCTCAGTGCAATGTAATAGGAGATGTGGGACAATTGCTTGAACCAGGTTATTTGTAAGCTAATGAGATAGTTGGTGAATAGTAAATGGAAAAATGACACGTGAAACACAAGAAGAGAAGCCATTGAGAAACAGAAAAATGTTTACAAATATTTTATTTTTAGAAGATAAATGGGCTAGGTAAGGTGCAGGTAACTCTTCCTTCTCTCATTAAATCTATATTACCCAATAGGCTTTTGGATTTAGACTTAATATTGTGTTCTGAGAAAACTGAGGTTACCCTAAGACATGGAAAAGCAAGCACAACCAAAACAATCCAGTCACATTCACCTTAAAAGTAGTTTATTATAGGTATCCTATTAAACTCATTCATTAACCCTTCTCTTTATTAGAAAAGAATGTTGAAAATCCATAATAAAAGTGACTACAAATATTTTAGAAATTAGTTATATTTTCACTATGTTTTCAACTCCCTTCTATAAATTACTATAGTATTGTAATCATATAAAAATAGGATAAGATTTAAAAGCTATTAATACAAAATCTGAAAATAAAATAGAAACATACATTTTTAAGTGACTTATTTTTCTGAGTTGACTAAAGGCTAAAAAGATATACTGAAATTATGTAAATTATCTCCTATGCATAGAGCAATAAATTTTAATTCATTATATGTACTAAAAAATTACCATATTTTTGAAGATAAATTTGTATGCTTCACTTGTTGTTAATAGTCAAATGTGTATCATAGGATATATCAAATATAAGAGCCACATTGAAAAAAAAAGCCTGCTTAAAAAAATCGCTTATATTCTGATTTTTGTGCTAGTTGACTATTCACTGAATGAGTTTACTTTTAAACTGAAGCATATTCAAAAATTCTGAAAAGAAAATGGACTCCTTTTCATTTTAAATGTCATTGAAATGAAAATACTGTACTGAAGTCCTCAATAAGTGATTTCTTTTCATAAGGTTAAATATCTGCCAAGAATATTAACAGAGTTTTCTGAAAATTGTCATCTAAATGCTATCACTGCCAAAAAAACAACACAAGGAAATGAAGCTGATGTTGTCTGAGAATCACAATGTCATGACATGGAATTGCTGTGATCCTGTTACAGCTGGGCCATCACTACTAAGGTTTATTTTAAGCAATTTGATAAAGCAACTTTTATTGTTATTGTTTAGTAATATGCTTACATACTTGAATACTGCCTTATAAACTGATAACCTAGTGGATGAGATATAATATAAACAGACCACTGTCAGGCAATGTGCTAAGTGCTGATAGAAGAATTAGCGAAGCCCTCTGGAGCATGAGGTAGGAGACTAAGAGAAGGCCTCATAGAAAGACAATTCTTGGATTGCGTTTGTTTTAACTTTTATGTTAGGTTCAGGGATACATGTGCAGGTTTGTTATACAGGTAAATTGAATGTCACAGGGATTCGTTGTACGGATAATTTTGTCACCTGGGTTATAAACATAGTAACCAATAGGTATTTTTTTCTGGTCCTCTCCCTCCTACTAACCTCTCCCCTCAAGTAGGCCCCAGTATCTGTTGTTACTTTCCTAGCATCCATATGTTATGGTTGTTTAGCTCCTGCTTATAAGTGAAAACATGTGGTTTTCACTTATAAGCAATTTGATAAAGCAATTTTTACTGTTACTATTTAGTAACATGCTTGCATACTTGAATACTGCCCTATAAACTGATAATCTAGTGGATGAGATACAATATAAACCTATCATTGTCACACAATGATCCTAATGCACATTCCTAACACACAATGAATGTTTTTCTGTTCCAGGGATAGTTTGCTTAAGATAGTGGCCTCTAGCTCCATTAACATTGCTGCAAAGGAAATGATCTCACCGTTTTTTATTACTGAGTAGTATTCCATGGTGTATATGTACCATATTTTCTTCAATCTACCGTCAATGGGCATTTAGGTTGATTTTATGTCTTTCCTTTTGTGAATAATACTGCGATGAACATACATATGCATGTATATTTATGTAAACAATTTATATTCTGTATGGTACATACCCAATAATGGGTTTTCTGGGTCGAATAGTAGTTCTGTTTTTGGTCTTTAAGGAATTGCCACACTGTCTTTCATAATGATTTGCTAACTAATTTGCACTCCCACCAACACTGTATACATGTTTTCTTTTCTCCACCACTCGCCAGCATCTATCATTTTTTGGCTTTTTATTAATAGCCTTTTTGAATGGTGTGAGGTGTATATCATTGTGGTTTTGGTTTACGTTTCCCTAATGATCAGTGATATTGAGCTTTTTTTCGTATGCTTGTTGGCCTTCTGTATGCTTTCTTTTGAAAAATGTCTGTTCATGTCCTTTGCCCACTTTTTAGCAGGGTTGCTTAGTTTTTGCTTGTAAACTTGTTTAAGTTCCTCATAGATTCTGGATATTTGACCTTTGTTTAATGCAGAGTTTGCAAATATTGTCTCTCATTATGTAGGTTGTCTGTTTACTCCGTTAATAGTTTCTTTTGCTGTGCAGAAGCCCTTTATTTTAATTAGATTCCATTTGTCAATTTTTATTTTTGTTGTATTAATAATTGCTTTTGGTGTCTTCATCAACAATTATTTGCCAAGTACTACCTCCAGAATGATATTTACTAGGTTATCTAACAGGGTTATTATAGTTTTAGGTTTTACATTTCAGTTTTTAATTCATCTTGCATTGATTTTTGTATATTGTATAAGGAGGGGGTCCAGTTTCAATCTTCTGCATATGGATAGCCAGTTATCCGAGAACATTTTATTGAGTGGGGAGTCCTTTCCCCTTTGCTTAACTTTTCATCTATGTTGAAGATGAGATGGTTGTAGGTTTGCAGCATTATTTCTGGGTTCTGTATTCTGTTCAACTGGTCTATGTGTTTGTTTTTCTACCAGTACCATGCTGTTTTGGTTACTGTAGCCCTGTAATATAGTTTAACATTGGGTAACACAATGCCTCCAGCTTTGCCCTTTTTGCTGAGGATTGCTTTGGCTATTCAGACTCTTTTTTGGTTCCATATGAATTTTAAAACAACTTTTTCTAATTATGTAAAGAATATCATTGGCAGTTTAAAAGAAATAGCATTGAATCTGTAAATTTCTTTGGGCAGTATAACCATTTTGAGGATATTGCCTCTTATTATCCGTAAGCATGAAATGTTCTTCCATTTGTTTATGTCATCTCTGATTTCTTTGAACAGTGTTCTGTAGTTCTCATGAAAGAGATGTTTCACCTCCCTTGTTAGCTGTATTTCTAGGTATTCTATTCTTTTTGTGGCAATTGTGAATGGGATTGTGTTTCTGATTTGCTTCTTGACTTGGATGTTACTGGTATATAGGAATGCTATTGATTTTTGTACACTGATTTTGTATCTTGAAACCCAGCTGAAGTTGTTTGTCAGATTAAGGAGGTTTTGCACCTTCTTTAACAATTTTTTTTATCTCATTTTGGCCTTGGAGAAACTGATAATTATGTGATTTGGGGATGGTCTTCTTGTGTAATATCTTGCAGCCATTCTCTGCATTTCCTGGATTTGAATTTTGGCCTCTCTAGTGATGCTGGGGAAGTTTACATGGATGATACAATGAAACGTGTTTTCTAAGTTGCTTACTTTCTACTCATCTCTTGCAGGGATGCCAATGAGTCATAGATATGAGGTCTTTACATAATTCCATATTTGTGGAGGTTTTGTTCATGCTTTATAATTATTTTTCCTTCATTTTTGTCTGACTGGGTCATTTCAGTGAGCCAGTCTTCAAGCTCTGAGGTTCTTTCCTTAGGTTGATCTACTTTGCTGTTAATAATTGCAGTTGCATTATGCAATTCTTGTAGTATAAGTTTCAGCTCTGTAAGATCAGTTTGGCGCTTTTGTGGATCAGTAATGGCTATTTTGTCTATCTGTTCTTGTATCATTTTATTATAATTCTTACCTTCTTTGGATTGGGTTTTGATGTTCTCCTGAATCTTGATTATTTTCTTTGCTATCCATAGTCTGATTTCTATTTCTGTCTTTTCAGCCTTTTCAACCTGGTTAAGAAATCGTGCTGGGGAATAAGTGCAATCATTTGGAAGAAAGAATGCATTCTGGCTTTTTGAGTTGCCAGAGTTCCTGTGCTGTTTCTTTGTCATTTGTGTGGGCTGATGAATTTGCTGTCCTTTTGATAGATTTTTTTTTCTCTTTCCTTCATTGATGCCCTTGGGGGTTTGATTATGGTATAGAGGGAGTTCGGTTGACTGGTTTCGATTCTTCTCCACTCCTGGGTCATGGAGGAACCCTCTGTGATTATGGTCTCTATGCCCACAATTCTTTTGTTGGCTATTCTGGTCCATGTGGTCCATGTGGCTCCCTCAGGCAGAGGCTATGGCTGGCAGACAAGCTGTATCTTTGTTAGGTCAACGCTGATATGCTGTTCATGTGCTTCCTGGGGGAAACCCAGGGTTGCTCCTGTCCACGGAATTCAGGTGGAAGCAGGACTGCTGCACTGGAAGATCTAGCAGATGTGACCCATCTGGCTATGCGAAGTGGAGGTGGATGGAGTTACATGCCTTGCCAACTGTGTATTTCTAACGCAACAGGAGGCTGCATTCCTCAGCAAATTCTGGCAGAAGTAGGACCACTGTACTGTTAGCTTCAGCAGGTGTGGCTTGTCTGGCTATAAATGGCAGGGGTGGATGGGTGTGCCTACCCTGCCATCCAGAAGCTTCCTGGGACAATAGAAGGCTGTGCTCACTGGCTAAGTTCTCACAGAAGCAGGACCACTGGGCTAGAAACTCTAGCAGGCATTGCCCACCTGGCTATCAGAGGCAGGGCTCAGTGGGGTCACCTGTGCTTCTGTCTGGGTGCTACCTGGGACAGCAAGAGGCTGCACCCAGTGGCTGAACTTACATAGAAGTGGGGTGCTGGCGCAGAAGCTGTAGCAAGTGTTGCCCAGCTGGGTAAAGTGTCACATGCTCTGCTATCTGGGTGGTGGTGTTTTCCAGAACTACAGGAAGCTGCACCCTCTAGCTGAGTTTACACAGAAGCAGAGCCACTGAACTGGAAGCTCTAGGAAGCAATTGCCCACCTTGCTACCAGCGGCAGTGGTGGGCTGAGTTGCATGCTCTGTTGTTCTGCTGTTCGGGGACAACAAGAAGCTGTTCCCTGTAGCTGAGCTCAGACAGAAGTGGAGCTGCCGAGCCAGGAGCTCTAGCAGGTGTTGCCCACCGGGCTACTAGTGACAGGGGCAGGTGGAGTCACGCACTCTGCAATTCAGGTGTTTCCTGGGACAACAGAAAACTGTGACCTCCAGCTGAGTTCACACAGAAGTGGCACCACTGGGCCAGAAGCTCTAGCAAGCAATGCCATCCTGGCTATCGCTGGTGGGGGTAGGTGGAGTGGCTAGTCGAATTTGGGCTGAAGGGGGACTGCTGGGCCAGAACCTGACACTGAGCCCTGTCCAGCAAGGAGGGGTGGAGCAGTCTTATTGCTCTCAGGTACTGCAACTGCAGCCTCTATTGAAGCTATGACGCTGGTGCTGCTCTACTCCAGGGCCAAAGTTTTGTAGAGGTCATTTGGACTTGAAGGTTGCCCCTGCAAAAAGTCCAGGTGGCTCTCTGCCTCAGTCTAGAAGTGCAGTGGAGGGGGACCCAGGGGATTCTCCTGTTCCCAGGGTTGCACAGGTCCCTGTGGAGAGCTTGAATCTCCGTGGGGCCTCTCATTTATCTTTTCTTGTGTTGGAGAGCTTCTCCTCCTCCACACTGAACCCAGACAGTCTGGTGCCCAGCTTCGCTCCTATCTGATCTCTGAATTGCCCTGCTGCCTTCAGGGATCCTGATGTCTTCTTTTATATGATTGACCTGAAGGGTCAGTGTTCACTAGCCCTTTTGTTTCATCTCTGTGAGAGGGGCACACAAAACCTGCTTCCCGTACACCATCTTGCCTTGTTCCCAAAATATCTGGATTGAATTTTTAAGGTGAGGAGGACCTTGGTAAATCAAGAATTTTCTGAGAAGAGGGGAACAGGCAAAAGGCAAAAATGTTCTAACAACCTCAGAAAGTTAATAGAAAGATGTTTAGTGCAGCTAACAATCAGACATTTTGTCTTAAAGATCCATTTGCAGTCATAGGGAATTTGTATTAGAAGAGCCTTTCCTCACAACTAGTAGACTAGCTCATGATCAACAAGGGAGCTGCAAACTAAATTGGGGTTTTTGGGGAGAAGGTCCCAGATACATTTATTTTCAAATAATTATTCGGGAGATTCTGATGCTTATTGCAAACATAAAATTATGACTTCAAAGCAGTGTTGTCTAGTATAATTATGTGATTTTTTAATGTAAAATTTCATGTTACAAATTTGCTTTATATACGGGCCAAACCTAATCCCACTGTGACTGTGAATGTATGAGGATATAAACTTGATATTCAAACAAACTATAGTGTTCCTTGATGTCTTTTGTGAGAATAGGGATTTTTTTTTAAATGCTATATTTCTGAGGTTCTATTTTTTTTTTTTTGAGACGGAGTCTTGCTGTGTCACCCAGGCTGGAGTGCAGTGGCACGATCTCAGCTCACTGCAACCTCCGCCTCCCAGGTTCAAGCAATTCTCCTGTCTCAGCCTCCCGAGTAGCTGGGATCACAGGCATGCTCCACCACTCCCAGTTAATTTTTTGTATTTTTAGTAGAGATGGGGTTTCACCATTTTGGCCAGCCTAGTCTCAAACTCCTGACTTCAGGTGATCCTCCTGCCTCAGCTTCCCAAAGTGTTGAGATTACAGGCATGAGCCATTATGCCTGGCCTTGTTCTATTTTTTAATAGTTTTATTGAGTGATGATTAATATACAATAAAACACACATATTTAATATGCACAATTTGATGAGTTTGGAGGTATGAAAACACCTTTGATACCAACACTACGATCAAGGTAATAGACATATCCAGCACTTCCGTGTGACTCTGATTTCTTAATCAATGGTTTTTCAAACTACAAATTGGAATTTGATTCTGATAAATTGATTAGTTTTATATTGAATTCTAAATCAATATGTTATTAAGAAAACAAATAAATAAGAAAGCTTATTACAATATATTGATTTTGATGGTCTGTTGCATTTTCTATTTGGCTTGACCTGAATTTTTGATTATTACACGTAGAAGCCATGGACCAGCACCTTTTTCATGAGGTCATATTCTTTGACACAAGTTTAAAGGGCTTCAAGAATGTTTTTACAGGTAGTTTAGATTAGTGTGAAGGGACCTTGGAGGCCATTTACTTTAACTCATTTTATAAGTGAAAAACAGCCTTAGGAGGAAAACCAAAACACAACAAAACCTTGCTGAAGTTGACCTGCTTAGTTAAGAAAAAAATGGGATTAGAAAATAAACTCAGAACTCTTGACAAATCATGTAGTTTTCTGCATATGAAATATACAGCCTCATATAAAAATTTTTTCTTTGATTTTTTTTTTTTTTTTTTTTTTTTTGAGACAGAGTTTCTCTCTGTCACCCAGGCTGGAGTGCAGTGGTGTGATGATAACTCACTGGAACCACTGCCTCCTGTGTTCAGTAGCTGGGATTACAGGCATGCAACATCACGCCTGGCTAATTTTTGTATTTTTAGTAGAGACAAGGTTTCCCCATATTGACCGGCTGGTCTTGAACTCCTGGCCTTAAATGATCCGCCTGCCTCACCTTCCTAAAGTGTTAGGATTACAGGTGTGAGCCATTGTGCCCAGCCTTGGAGAGGCTTTTTAAAATAACATGATAATCGTAAACTTTCTATAGCAGAAATTGTGTGAGGGACAATTTCACATTTCAAAGTAATTGCCAAAAAACCAAAAAACAAAAACTCACAAGACTTTATTAACAAACTCTGTTTTTGAGAAGGTGGAATATATTATGAATGAATTCTGAGGTTTGAAAAGTAAACTACTGTCAATGCATTTCTTAAATTAATAACATTTAATTTTTTTACAGACGTTTCAGCTTCACAGTAAAATCGACAAGTTTCACAAGGTTTCCACATACTTCCTGCCCCCGTTACCAAACACACATAATCTTCCATACAATGGGTATTCTTCACCACAGTGACACATTTGTTAGACTCAATGAGCCTACACTGACAAATCATTATCATCTAAAGTCCAGGATTTGCATTAGGTTTCACTTTTGGTATTTTACATTCTATGGGTTTTGACAGAGGTATCGAAGTATAATGACATGTATTCACCACTGTGGTATCACAGAGGCATTTCACTACTCTAAACATTCTCTGTGCTCTACCTCTTCATTCTTTTCTCCTCCCTAACTTCTGGCAACCATTTATTTATTCTTGTACTGTCTCCATAGTTTGTCTTTTCTAGAATGCCAATTAGTTAGAATGATACAACATCTGCCATTGGCTTCTTTCACTAAGTAATACATATTTATGTCTCCTATAGGTCTTGTCGGGGCTTGATTGCTCATTCCTTTTTAGCGCTGAATACTCTTCCATTGTCTGTATGAAGCACAGTTTGTTCATCCATTCAACTACCGAAGCACATCTCAGTTTTTTTAAATTATTGCCAATTATAAAAAGAACTGCTGTAAACATCTGTGTGCAAGTTTTTGTGTGGACGTGTATTTTTTTTTTTTTTACTTATTTGGGTAAATATCAAGAAGCAGGATTGCTGTATCATATGGTAAGAGTGTGTTTAGTGTTGTAAGAAACTACCAAACTGTCTTCCAAAGTGACTGCTCCATTTTGCATTCCCATCAGCAAAAAATGAAAGCTTCTGTTTCTCCACATCCTTATCAGCATTTGATGTTGTCAGTGCTTTGGATTTTGGCCATTCTAATAAATGTGTAGTGGTTGTTTTAATTTTCAGTTATGTAATGACAAGATTTTTCAATGTCTTTTTAATCCCATTCAGACCCTTTGGTGGACATTTTAGAGGGACTTGAGCTTAGAAAATATTAGTTAAATTTGGCAACTTCTCTGGGAATGTGTTAGCTAGTGACTTACAGAATAATCAAAATGTTTAGAACTTATAAAATGTATGTATTACCTGTTACTAATTTATTGCTTATTAATTCACCAGTTGGCCCAACATTCCCAAGCTGAGCTTCCAGCAGCAATTATACCTTCCTTGCGGGGCCTAGAGGCAATAGAACTGCTCTACCTAACTCTCCTCCTACTTTCTCAGGCAGGAGAACTTAGACATCTACAGTCTTTACCACTAGGGTCCCTTAAAGTCCTTCCAGGCACTAAGCCTAGGTAAGAAAAATTCCTAGAGGCCACGCAGTCATATTTCCCCCTGAGAAGAAACTGACACTCCTCCCCACTCCCTGTGGCCTGCAGAGCTGCTATGTTACACCATCCTGGAACTGAAACTAATGCTAAAGTATATCACGCTCCAGCAACAAGAAGCCACAGCACTCCTTCAACCCAGAGGCTAAACTGCTGTTGAACCACTCGTTCCCAGTGACCCAACATCCCAAAGCCCAGCTGTGAGCAACAATTACACCCTTCCCTATGGGATCAAAAAGGAGTGAAAGTGCCCCACCTACCCATCCCCCAACCTGCTCAGGCAGGAGCTGAAGCTGCACAGATGGAAATCTGGGGAAACAGTGATTTGGTAGAACAACTCCATCAGCCTCTCAGGCACAGTTGTGCCCTGCTTTTAGGAAGCTGATCAAAAACTGTGCATAGCCACCAAAGGAAACAGTGCTTTGGCAGAGCACTGAATCACAAGAAAATGGTGGCTGGGCTGCCCAGAATAGTCACACCCGCGTGGGCCTGAGCTGAAGTGGCACATTGCCCACTGGGGAAGTAGAGCCTTGGTTGAGCTGAGCAGCTGCACTTCCCAAGGCTGAGCTGAAACACTCTGTCCTAAAAGCCAAACAACTCTAGTATCTTGCTTCCTGGAGATGGAGTAGCCCCATGGAATTTGAGCTGCTGAGATGCTCCTCTTTCCAGGAAGTGGAGTCACCCCTGTACCGCCTTATGCACCCAGGGCCCAAACTGTAGCCAAGCTTGCCATTTCTTGGATACTTGTTGCTACACCTGGCTTCACAGTCTGGGATACTGCTGAACCCCGCAATGCCAAGATCTGGAGTGACTACTACACAGTACTCCTTGTCCCCACGGGTTAAAGTTGCCATTGAGCCCTACTGACTCAGAATCCTGAATTCCAATTGTCCCTAAGCTCAAATTTCTAGAGAACCCTTCTTTCCCTGGAGTTGTGGTAGGGCTGTTCTCTGCCTCCCCAGAAGGAAGGTCACATCTACAAGCCACGCCCCTGAAACCAAGTTGATAGAGGGTACCTCAGATCCTGGTGTGGGATATCTACATCCAATCCTGCCACAGACGTCAAACCTGACATGCACCCCAAGACAGGTGCCTCAATAGGTTCATAAGACACTCAGACTAAGACCCTGTCTCCACTGCTGCTCCAAGTACCTGCATCTAGAATCCAGTTGCTGTGGCAGCTGCTTATAGGAAATGTCAGAACTGACATCAAGAGGGGTCGTCTTGTCAAAGTCTCCCTCTTGTGGTGAATATGAGAATAGAAGGATTCCCAAAATCCCTTGCCACCAAAAACATTAAAAACCTAACCTGCTGTCACTGCTGCCACAAACTTCTACAGCCTAGGCCACTGAGGTGCCTGAATCTATTACTGAGGTTGAAAACAGCTGAAGAAGCTGCATGAAGACTAAAACACTGTACTCACCTGGAAAAAAAAGAAAGTCACCACATCCTTCCTAACTGGCACACTGAGACTCATCTTCAGGTAAAAGTCTATCTCTGTGAAAACCACTCTAGAAAATTTGGAAGAGGGTACTGTTATTTGTTATGCTAGATGGACAGACATCAACACAGAAACAAAAGAAATATGAAAACAGAAGGAAATATAACATGACCAAAGGAATATAAAAACTCTCTAATGAGAGTCCTTTCCAATGTAAAGGAAATCAATGAATTGCCAGAAAAAGAATTCTAAATAACAATCTTAAAAAAACTCCACAAGATATAAAAACAAAACAAAACAAAACAGATAGATAATTCAACAAACCTAGGAAAATAATTTATAACACGAACAAAGAATTCAGGGTATTATTAAAAAAAGAACAAAACAGAAATTCTTCAGCTAAATAATTTAATGAATGAAATAAAACATACAACAGAGAACTTCAGCAGAAGACTTTGATCAGACAGAATAAATAATCTCCGAGTTTAAAGATACATAATTTGAAATTATCCAGCAAGAGGGAAAAAAAGAATAAAAAAGAATGAAGAATGCCTATAGTACTATGAGACACTATTAAGCAAACAAATACCTGTATTATAGAGTTTCCAGAGAAAGAGTTGGAAAAAGTCACAGCAAACCTATTTAATTGAGATATAGCTGAGAAACTATTCAAGGCTGGGGAGAGATATTGTCACTCAGATCCTGGAAGCTCAAAGTTGTCCCAATAAATTCAACCCAAACATGCTCTCTTTGAGGTACATTATAGTCAAATTGTCAAAAGTCAAAGACACAGGGAGAATTCCGAAAACAGCAAGAGAAATGTTTCAAGTCACATATAAGGAAATCTCCATTAGACAAAAAGCTGATATGTCAGCAGAAGTCTTACAGGCAAGGGAGAGAATGGGATAATATATTCAAAGTACTGAAGAAAAATAAATTGCAAGCAAATAATACTATCCCTAACAGAGCCATTATTTAGAAATAAGGGAAAAGTATAATCTTTCCCAGGAAAGCAAAAACTGAGGGAATTTGTCATCACTGAACCAGCCTTCAAGAAATGTTCAAGGGCATCCTGCATCTGGAAATGAAAAGACAATAATCACCATCATAAAAACATGCAAAACTGTAAAACTCACTGGTAGAGCAGATATACAAAAGAAAAAGAGAAAAGATTAAGCATTTTAATTACAGAAAACAAAATAACAATAATAATAAAAGAGGAAGAAAAGAAAGAGTATACAAAACAAACAGAAAATAATTAGCAAAATAACAAGGGTAAATCATTACCTATCAATGATAACCTTCAACAAAAATAAATTCCTCCACTTAAAAAATATAATGTGATGAATGAATTAAAAAAAATGAGGTATCTATATACTGCCTACAAGACACTTACTTTAAAGACACATATAAACTAAATATGAAGTGATAGAGAAAGACATTTTATACAAACAGAAATGAAAAATGAGCAGGATTAACTACACGAAACAGGCTTCAATAAAAAACTGTAAAGAGAGACAAAGAGCATCACTATATAATGAAAGAGGGAACTGTTCAGCAAGAGGACATAATAATTGCAAATATACATGCTTGCAATACTGGAGCACCCAGATGTATAAAGCAAATATTATTTGACCTAAAAGAAGAGATAGATTCCAATAAAATAATATTTGGAGAACCACTGCACTTTCAGCATTCGACAGATTATCTAGACAGAAAATCGTCAAGGAAATGTTGAATTTAAACTGCAATTTAGACCAAGTGGTTCTAACAGACATCTGTGGAACATTTCATCCAACAGCTGAAGAATGCACATCTTTTTTCATCAGCCTTTACAGCGTTCTCCAGGAGAGGCCAAATGTTAGGCCACAAAACAATTCTTAACAAATTTAAAAGAACGGAATTCATATCGTGTATCTTTTCTGATCACAATGATATAAATCTAAAAATAAAAAATTAGAGAAACTTTAAACTGCACAAGATTATGAAAATTAAATGACACATTCCTGAATGACCAATGAGTCCATGAATAAATTTAAAAGGAAATTTAGATGTTTCCTGAAACAAATGAAAATAGAAATACAATTTTCCAAAAACTAAGCTATAATGCAAAAGTAGTATTAGAAAAGAAGTTTATCGCAATAAATGCCTACATCAAAAGAGTAGAAAAATTTCAAACAAACAACCTAATGATTCATCACAAAGAACTAGAAGTGTAAGAACAATCCAAACCCCAAATTATTAAAAGAAAAGAAATAATAAAGATCAGAGTAGAAATAAATGAAATTGAGACTAAAACTAATTCAAATTAGCTATAAAGTGAAATTTGGTTTTTTAAAAATATAAAAAAATCAACAAATCATCAGTTAGACTAACCAAGAAAAAAAGACACATAAAATCAGAAACAAACAAAAAATTATAACTGATACCATAGAAATTCAAAGGATCATTGGACACTATTATAAACAATTGTATGCCAATAAATTGGAAAACCTAAGGGAAATGAACAAATTTCTGAACACATAAAACCTACCGAGATAGAACCATGAAGAAATAAGAACCTCGAACAGACCAATTAATGCAATGAGACTGAAAAAGCAATAAAAAGTTTGCTATCAAAGAAAAGCCCAGGGCCTGATGGTTTCATTGCTAAATTCTACCAATCATTTAAAGAACAACTAACACTAATTCTTCTCAAACTCTTCCAGAAATTTGAAGAGGAGGGAACTCTTCTGAACTCATTTAATGAGGCCAGCATTACCTTGATACCCAAACCAGGCAAAATACACACACACACACACACACACACACACACACACACACACACACACAGCTATAGGCCAATATCCCTAATAAAGGTAGATGCAAAAATCCTCAACAAAATGTTAGAAAACCGAACCCACATTAAAAAGATCCAGCACATTAAAAAGATCATTTACCATGATCAAATAAGATTTATCACAGGGATGGAAGAATGGTTCAACAGACACAAAACAATAAATGTGATACACTGGATCCACAGAATGAAGGGCAGATACCATGTGGTCATCTCAATAGACTCAAAAAATTTATAAATTTATAAAATTCAATGTAGCTTTATTAAAAAAAAGAAACTTCAACAAACTCACTATAGAAGGAGCACACCTTAACACGATACAGGCCATCTATGACAAGCCCCCAGATGACATAATAATGAATGGGGAAAAGCTGAAAGCTTTTCCTCTAAGAACTGTAACAGACAAGTATGCCTTACTTTTACCATTCTTTCTCAACATAGTGCTAGAAGTTAAAGACGGGGCAATTAGGCAAGAGAAAGAAATAAAGGGCATGCAAATTGAAGAGGAGAAAGCCAAATTATACCTGTTTGCAGGTGACCTGATATTATATATAAAAAACACAAAAGACAACATCAAAGAACTCTTAAAACTGATAAACACATTCAATAAAGTTGCAGGATATGAAACTAACATACAAAATTGGTAGCATTTCTCTATGCCAACGGTGAACTAGCAGGAAAAGAAACCAATAAAGTGATCCCATTTACGGTAGCCAAAAAAATTAACTAAAGTGCCTAGATAAAAAATTAACCAAAGAAACAAAAGATCTTTACAAGGAAAACTAGAAATCAGTAGTGATAGAAATAGAATAGGTCACAGAAAAAAAAAAGTGAAGCACATCCCATGTTCATGGATTGAATTAATATTGTGAAAATGAATGTAATATCAAAAGTGATCTATAGATTCAATAGAATCTCTACTAAAATACCAATTATATTCTTCACAGAAATAGGAACAACAATCCTAAAATTCACATGGAGTCACAGAAGACTCCTGGTAGCCAAAAAGCATCCTGAGCACACAGAACGAAGCTGAAGGCATCACAATTCTTGATGTCAAAATATATACTACAAAGCTATAGTAACAAGAACAGCATGGTATTGGTATAAAAACATAGGCCAATGAAGCAGAATATTAAACCCTCTCAAAAAATCCACATGTTTTCAGCTAACTGATTTTTGACAAAAACATCAGGAACATTCATTGGAAAAAGGGTGGTCTCTTTAATAAATTGTGTCGGAAAAATTCGATATCCATAGACAAAAAAAAAAATGAAACTAGATGCCTATCTCTCACGTTATACAGAAATTAAATCAAAATAGATTAAAGACTAAAATGTAAGACCAGAAACTATGGAACTAATAGATGTAAACCTTGGGGGAATGTTTCAGGACATTGGTCTGAGCAAATAATGTTTGGGACTTAAAAAAGCACGGGCAACCAAAGCAAAAATAGACAATTTTTTTTTTTGTTTATTACATCGAACTAAATATCTTCAGCACAGGAAAGGAAACAATCAACAGAGTGAAGACACAACCTGTAGAATGGAAGAAAATGTGACGGAGTAATAACAAAAATATATAAGAAACTCAAACAACTCAACAGCATAAAAGCAAAAAAATAATCTAATTTAAGAATGGGCAAAAATATCTGAATAAACATTTTTAAAAAGAACACATACAAATTACCAACAGGTACATGAAAACTGCTCAACGTCATTAATAATCAAGGAAATGCAAATAAAACACATGAGATATTATCTCCACCCAATTTACATGGCTATCATCAAAAAGACAAAAAAAATTACAGATGCTAGTGAGAACGCAGAGAAACAAGAATGATGTTACACTGCTGGTGGGAATGTAAATTAGTACGAAATGTATGGAAAACAGTACGAAGATCCTTCGAAAAACTAAAAGTAGATCTACCATATAAGCTGACAATCCTAATACTGATTATGTATCCAAAAGAAAAGAATTCTGTGTGTCAAAGAAATAGCTGCATACCCATGTATATTGCAGAACTATTCACAATAGCCAAGTTATGTAATCAATCTAATTATACATCAATGGATAAATTGATAAAGAAAATGTGGTATTTACACACAATAAATGTTATTCAGCCATAAAAAGGAATTAAATATTGTCATTAGAAGGAACATAAATGGAACTGGGGGACAGAGTGTTAAGTAAAATAAGCCAGGCATAAAAGACAAATATTGTATGTTCTCACTTGCATGTGGAAGGAAAAAAAAATGATATCATGGAAGTAAAGAAGAGAATAATGATTACTTGATCCTGGGAAATGAGGGGAAATTAAAAGAGACTGATTAATGAATACAAAAAGTAGAAGGAATGAATACAGTTAGAGAGAAGGAATAAATAGTGTTTGGTAGCATACTAGGATGAGTATATTTAGCAATAATTTATGATTTTTCAAAATAGCTAGAAGAGTGAAGATGTTTCCAACACAAATAAATAAAGGTTTAAGGTGATAGATTTCCTTATTACCTTGATTTGATGATTACACGTTGTTTGTATGTATGTTTGTATCAAAATATCAACGTTACCCTATAAATATGTACAATCATTATTACAATGCATCAATCAAGAAGTCAAAAAACAAGTAGAGAAATCAGATAAAAAATCTATGAATGCCAAAAGTGCCTTGTAATGGTGTATGATGATGTTTGTAATGACAGCGTTTACAAAAGCAGTTGATTTGTAGTTTCCCAGAATTTTGTAAAGGTATCTGCCTCCTCATACTCTAATTGAATGTATTATCAAACATTCATCATTTGAGGGAATAGAGTATTTGTTTTAAACAATTGGCATTTAATAACAAGTGTATTTGATGGTCTTTTTTTATATTCATTAGCTCCATAAAGTCTATAAAGGCATTGTACTTGAATTAAAAAAAAAATAAAAAACACAACTTCACAGAGACAGGTCCTTCTTATAGGGAAAGGAATAGAACCCAGAGTGAAAAAGAGACATAAATCTCAGACTTTGACAAATATGAATAAAAATAAGTGGATTTATATAAACTTGGACATAGACTAACAAATGGTAAGTTAGTATAAAAAATAAATACATAATAATCTAAATGCAATCATCTTTCTAAGAAAAGGTTGGTAGGGAGAGTTGTGTTACATAATGTGACTTGCAACTAAGAGTCCCTAAAGAGCAATCATGTAATCACTTCAAACCTATGGGAGGAAAAGACTTGAACCATTAGCATGGTATTAAGATGAATGCTCAATGAGTGCAATGTTAAAAAAACTACTATTGTCTTCAGCTAACTTCATAGATACATATGTGTATATATATATGTGTGTGTGTGTGTGTGTAATTTGTGAAAATTTGTGCACACTCTGAGAGGGAGATTAGTGTGCCAAAAGTACTTTACGAGTATTTTAGGATAACATAGGTGAAAAGTAAGATTGAGTAATATGGTTTGTATCTGTGTAACCACCCAATTGAGTCATATGGTTTGTATCTGTGTAACCACCCAACTCTCATGTTGAAATGAAATCCCCAGTGCTGGAGGTGGGAATTGGGAGAGGTGATTGAATCATGGGGGCAGTTTCTCATGGTTTAACACCACCCGCCTTGGTGCTGTCATTGCAATAGTGAGTTCTCAGGGAATCTGGTTGTTTAAAAGTGTGTGGCACCTTCCCCCCTCTCTCTTTCTCCTTTGCCAGCCATGTGAAGTGCCGGCTCCCCCTTTGCCTTCTGCTATAATTGTTAAGTTTTCTGAGGGCTCCCCAGAAGTTGAGAAGATGCCAGCATAATGCTTCCTGTACAGCCTGCAAAACCAATTAAAACATATTTTTAAATAAAATACCCAGTCTCAAGTATTTCCTTATAGCAGCGAGAGAACAGACTAATACATTGGGCAAAGGGAGAAGTTGAACCACGATACATGCTAAGTGATGGACTCCAACATCCACATGGGGATTTTGGAAGACAGCATGGCCCTTCAGTATTGTCTAACATTTTAGTCAGGAGTCTCACTTTACACCAATCTCACTCACCACTAGAAACCATCTTTGCATACAGACATCTCTGGGAAGGAAACATCACCTTGGGCAAGCTGGCTCTCTACTGTTGAGACAATTTCAGAAGAAGGCCAACAGCTGACAACACTTTGGGGCAGTGCTTCAGCAGCTCTGGCAGAAAATTCTGCATAGTTGCAGTGAAAAGTTTACTACACATCACAAGGTCTTCTGTTCACTATTTTCGCCTTAGGTCTAATTGTTTGTATGACTCCAGGAACCACTCCTCAAGGACTGCTGGATGGATTGCTCTTCCTGGGGGAAAGCTAAAACAAGAGACATTACAGCCCACATCGACACAACTGGGCTTGAGGCCTCAATAAATATTAATACTAGAATGTCCCCAGGCCATACGATACAATCATTTCCAGGGGATTAAAAGTAGTAAGTATAAAAAAACACAATATCATAAAAATAAACAGAGACAAAAATATGAACCTTCTAAACTGGTGAAATTGTTTAATGTCATACACCAAGACATGAATAAATTTCTTAAAGAAACATTAAGATCTGAGATAAACAAAAATATACCTCAAACAAAAAGTCAACTTACAAATGTCACTCATTATCAACACTTATGACAGTCAAAGTATCTTAAAATCCATATTAAAACTCAATTTCTGATAGAAACATTTTAAATGTAAAGGAGTGGACAATTCTTAACGTAAAAATATTTAAAAATATTGTTCTTCTAGTCAATTTAGTGCTTCTCAACTCCAATTTCACCCTTCTGCCGGCTCTTTGTAAAAGGATCTGTGCCCCTTTCACTGTTTTTCCTTGCCAGCTTCCATTAAAGCTTTGCCAGTAAAAGATGGTGGAGAAATATTGTAGGAGAAAACTTTTGCTGCTTGGTCCTGGTGTAACTGCTTTTGCGGTGCACAGGGCATCCAAGGCCACAGCTCCCACAGCACTTCCAAATTTTCTAGTACCTAATTTCTGCAGTTCACTGTGGCCAGCAACTTTCAGTGGCCAACAGCTTTCCCCAGCACTTCCTCAGGGCAGATGATTTCTAGCTGAGTGCTCCCAGCAAGATAATTGTCAGGGAATAGCTGTCCCTGGCATCCTAGATAGTGAATTTCCAGCCAGTTTCATCAGCACAACACTATAACAACTTCCTTGCCATGACCGTGCCCCCTCCACAAAAGTCTAGATCTCAGCCTTGGGTTGGTAGTAGGGGGTGGAAATTCTTCCTTGGGTTCTCTATCTCAGCCCAAGTGGTAATGGCTCTTTTTATATCTACTATGCCTACATTCCTTAAATTAATATTTACTCCATACTAGTCAAACCCTCATTACTCTAATTTCCTGTTATAGTTAATAATTCTTCTTTAGATTTTCCCTTAACTAAGTGGTTTCTCTTTCTTGATTAGACCTAGACTGATACAGAACATGCATTTTTTAAAATGTCATCCTCACTGATTCTCAAGTACATTTATATTAAAAACCAGTGTATTGAGATATTGAATCTTGAACAAAAAAACTATCACAGATTTTTTGTAAAATTTTTGCTCTTTAAGGATTATAATCTTTTGCATAGCTGGATATGATAAGAACTAAAAATACACTGAAGATAAGTGTATAAATTGCTATAACAATTTATAAAAGCATTTATAATTTTGAATCAAAATTTTTTTAATTGGGCACTTTAACTATTTTAAAATTTATTTTAAGAAATAATAATATGTATAAGGTAGCATTTAAATCTTTACTGAGGGATGAGTCTTGAGCTAAGAAGGCTATATCAACTTACTTTTTAAAACAACCTCAGTGAGATTCAATTTATATGCCATACAATAGCAGTCCCCAACCTTTTTGGCACCAGGGACTGGTTTCATGGAAGACGATTTTTCCATGGATTAGGGATGGAGGGATGGTTTGGGGATAATGTAAACACGTTACATTTATCGTGTACTTTATTTCTATTATTATTACATTGTAATATATAATGAAATAATTATACAATTCACCATCATGTAGAATCAATGGGAGCCCTGAGCTTGTTTTCCTGCAAATTGTTCCCTGCAGAGTTTTCCCATCTGTGGGTAATAGGAGACGGTGGCTAATAATCAGGCATTAGATTACTATAAGGAGTGTGTCACCTAGATCTCTCACATGTGCAGTTCACAATAAAATTTGCACTCCTGTGAGAATCTAATGCCACCACCGATTTAACAGGAGGTGGAACTCAAGCGGTAATGAGAGCAATAAGGAGTGGCTGTAAATACAGATGAAGCTTCATTCATTTGCTGTGGCTCACCTCCTGCTGTGCGGCCTGGTTCCTAACAGGCCATGAATTGACATTAGTTCATAGCCCAGGGGTTGGGGACCCCTGCCATACAATTCACCCACTTAAAAAGTACAATTCAATGTTTTCAGGTATATTTTCAGATACGGGCAACTATTGTCATGATCCATTTTAGAACATTTCATCATCTCAAAAAGAAACTTCATGTCCTTACTTGGGTATTTACAATAATATTTGCTTATTAAACTAACAACTTCCAGAGAAAAAAGCGAATCCTTCTTGGCTTTAGAAGTTAGTCATTTCAAGGATCAACCCAAAGTTAAGAAAATAAATTATGAATAAACATAAATAATATATTTTCTTAAGTAATTTAAATTAGATTTTAAAATTTAATGAATTTAATATTCTTAAGGCTTCCAGTGTCAGGTAAACTAAGGAATATACAAATTCTTGTTAAGCGCTCAAAAAATTAATTTAACAAAATCTTCTAAACTTACCCACTTAGTAAATGGTATGTTCTCTTTATCATGATAACATAGTAATTCTACAAACTGACATGTCTTTCAACTTAAAATCACAAACTGAAAAACAATTAATATAATTGAAAATGCAAGCATGCCTAATCTTACATTTTGGTAAATTTTACAAACACTTTAAGAAAAGTTATTCACAATATCTAAATTTGCACAAATATATAAGACCATGGATATGACTTATTTGAAATTTTCCAAATTTGCTATATTCACACAAGGGTAACAACGTTATTTTGTCAAGGTATTAGATTATCATCCAAAGCACATATGGTTGAAGTATCAACTCTGTTAAGGATGCTATGGGTCAGAGAATACAGACCCAAATGCAGTAATGGACTAATTGTAGACAATGTGGAGTGTGTGCTGGGCGAGGATGGTGAATGTGTGTGTTTCTGTGATGACGTTTTGGAAATTTTACTTGACTGATATTCTCCCTCTGTCCTAAGGACTTATGACCATAGGGCATTTTTGTTTGTGTTATTGCCTTTCTTTTTCTTTCTTTCTTTTTTTTTTTTTTTTTTCAGACAGAGTCTCACTTACTTTGTATTCTCTGGCCCATAGCATCCTTACCAGAGTTGATACTTCAACCATATGTGTTTTGGATGACAATCTAATACCTTGATAAAATAACATTGTTCCGTTTGTATGAATATGCCCTTTGTTGCCCAGGCTGTAGTGCAATGGTACAATCATAGCTAAATCTTTTAGACTATACATGCTATTTGGAGCTGTCTTCTATTTTTTTAAAGTTTGTGATTATCTGGACTGCTCCGCTCTCCAGCCTACCTTATTTTCCTATTATCGTTTTATTATCAACCTTATTGATAACAACCTTATTTTCCTCTCATTAACACTGACCTATCTAAATCTTTAAACTTGCAAGATACTTTGGCCCACAGTACAAATGGACCAAAACACGTTAAAGATTCTAATTACAGTTCTAAAACTCACTTTCTGTGTAATCTCAGAAAAGACAATTAAATTCTGTATAATTAGGTATATTTATTCCTTATAAAATTTTGGAAAATATAACAATATTTTTAATTTGAGAACCATCAGTGACTAACTCATACAAATAAATCAAATGTAGAGTGGCAAAGACACAAGATTCCATTCAGAAAATATCTTTGTTGTTATTACTCACATTTACTCTTAAAATCTCTAACAGTATCTCCTGAATTTTATCATATAAAAATTTTATAATAAAAAAGACCCAAAGCATGGAGATTCTAGTCATACTTTAGAATCATTCTGATTCCTATTTTCATTCAATATAATACCAAAATCCAGTTGTTTACTAAATATCTACTTAGTGCTTGCTAAATGCATGAAACTGTGTTGATGAAGGCCAAATAATAAGCTTTTATATTCTTCACATTCATTATTTGCTTTTGATTTTCACATTTCATATATGGAATTACTTAATATGTACTACAATTAACAAAGAAGGGAGTAACTCATTTTAGGAGTCCAACAACTAGAGCATGCATGAGACTTTGGGCACTGCATGGGCTTGTCTGAGGTTTAATACCTTAATCTTTTATAGAAATAATTTTTTCTAAACTTGTTGAAAATTTAATCAAAATATACTGTTGATAAAAGTGATTATGCAGTGTCAAATAGGACAGAAATAATGACCGTTTCTGAATTCTATCACAGATACTGTAGTCTTCTGACTTCTTAAAATTTTCTGCTTTCTCACTGTAACAGAACTTAAAGTTTATTTTGAGAAAATGCCCAGGCAAAAAAATTCATCATCCTGTTGCACCCTTAAATGGGGGAAAGACTGCTGGCTTGAGCCCTGTATTTTCAAGGCCCAGTCCTGGCCACTGCTGACCATGCTCCTTATGGGGTAAAGGCTTTACAGATTCTAAAGGAATGTCCTTAGCCCACATCTGCTGTCTCATCCATGCTACCCAGCATCTTGGAATTTCCTATTCAGATCAACCCATGACTGCCCCAGAGATTATGCAGGCCTTATGGAGCTGTCCTCTTACGGACAATCCAACAGAGAGTATGTGCGCCCCTAGGACAAAGGGGTGCCAAGATTTGGCTCTTTACATAGGATATGGTTGGAGGCTGGAGTATCTGCACAGGTGTTTTTTAGAGTCCTTATTATGCAAAACAGAGACAGGTGTAGGAAAATAAATGGGGTGAACCCATGCCCATTAGAAAAGGGTGGGAGGGTGGTATACTTTCTCTGCACTACCAAGATCCTGGACAAAATTCTGAGGAGTCACAGAAGTCTCAAGTTATGTCCTTATATGTTGTTATTTACGTATGTGAAGCAAGTTCACCGTGCACTGGTTACCAGTTTGTTTGTGTCTGGTGAGATAGAACACACACACCTATAACAAGTTATGTAAAGTAGGTTTATTACTTATAGATAGCAATGGACAAGAAAAGTCCAGGATTCATTGAGACCTGGTGCCCCAAGCCTTGGGAAATCTACTCAGGTCAGATGGAGTCATCTGTACGGGCCCCATTTGCGCCACAGATGAGGGATCATGGAAAACAACCCTTCCTGGGTTTTGCACCCTGAGCGTAATATGACACGCTAGCCTAAAACACTGTAGGACAACCTGTTCTCGGGAGAGACTAGAACAGAACCTGGGCTGTTCCAACTACTTCCACATGTTCTATGGTTATTCTTGAGAACTACAAATGAGAAAAGGAGTAAACAGAGTTGGTACTAAGGCCATCTGGAGAACTGTCCTGTAATGTATAATTCTCAAGGTGAGAGGCTAAATCTCATCTTACTCAACAATCTTTTGGCTAGGTTTATCAATTTTAGACATGTAACCATATAAAACGTAGGCCCCTACGTTTATATTCTTGCTCTGGGTCCTACTAACGTCAGAGGCTAGCCAGTCTGCAGCCTCCCTTGTGATTACTTGGGACTGCAGGATGAGATGTAAACAGTGAACTTAAAATGGAAAAGGTCTGTGAGTTCTGTTTTTTTTCCCCAATTGCTTTCTTCTCTCCTTCTGGTCTCAAAAGACACTTACATCAGACCATTTGATTTTGCCCCATGTGAGGCTCTCTGGGTTTTTTTCCATTTATTGTTGTTATTCTTATTTGTTACTCAATGTTTAAAATCGCTGTTGTCAGGTTACATGGTAGCTATGAATCTACTTTCAAATCACCCACAATTTTTTAAAAATTTAGTTTCTACTATTGGACCCATTCGGTTGTGTCCGGAATTGGTGGGTTCTTGGTCCCACTGACTTCAAGAATGAAGCCGCGGACCCTGGCAGTGAGTGTTACAGTTCTTAAAGGTGGCGTGTCTGGAGTTTGTTCCTTCTGATGTTCGGATGTGTTCGGAGTTTCTTCCTTCTGGTGGGTTCGTGGTCTCGCTGGCTCAGGAAGTGAAGCTGCAGACCTCCGCGGTGAGTGTTACAGCTCTTAAGGTGGCACGTCTGGAGTTGTTTGTTCCTCCCGGTGGGTTCGTGGTCTCGCTGGCTGCAGGAGTGAAGCTGTAGACCTTCCCAGTGAGTGCTACAGCTCATAAAGGCAGCGTGGACCCAAAGAGTGAGCAGCAGCAAGATTTATTGCAAAGAGCAAAAGAACAAACCTCCCACATTGGAGAAGGAGACCCCAGCACGTTGCCACTGCTGGCTGGGGCAGCCTGCTTTTATTCTCTTATCTGGCCCCACCCACATCCTGCTGATTGGTCCATTTTACAGAGAGCTGCTTGGTCTCTTTTACAGAGAACTGATTGGTCCGTTTTGACAGGGTGCTGATTGGTGTGTTTACAATCCCTGAGCTAGACACAAAAGTTCTCCATGTCCCCACTAGATTAGGTAGATACAGAGTGTCGATTGGTGTATTTACAAACCTTGAGCTAGATACAGAGTGCCTATTGGTGCATTCACAATCCCTGAGCTAGACACAGGGTGCTGATTGGTGTGTTTACAAACCTTGAGCTAGATACAGAGTGTCGATTGGTGTATTCACAATCCCTTAGCTAGACATAAAGGTTCTCCAAGTCCCCACCAGACTCAGGAGCCCAGCTGGTTTCACCTAGTGGATCCCGCACCGGCGCAGGTGGAGCTGCCTGCCAGTCCCGCCCGGTCCGCCCGCACTCCTCAGCCCTTGGGCGGTCGATGGGACTGGGCGCCGTGGAGCAGGGGGCGGTGCTCGTAGGGGAGGCTCACGCGGCACAGGAGCCCACGGCGGGTTAGGGGGAGGCTCAGGCATGGCGGGCTGCAGGTCCCGAGCCCTGCCCCGCGGGGAGGCAGCTAAGGCCCGGCGAGAAATCGAGCACAGCAGCTGCTGGCCCAGGTGCTAAGCCCCTCACTGCCCCGGCCGGCCGCTCCGAGTGCCGGGCCTGCCGAGCCCACGTTCACCTGGAACTCGCGCTGGCCGGCAAGCGCCGGTTCCCGCCCACGCCTCTCCCTCCACACCTCCCCGCAAGCTGAGGGAGCCGGCTCCGGCCTTGGCCAGCCCAGAAAGTGGCTACCGCAGTGCAGCCGCGGGCTGAAGGGCTCCTCAAGCGCAGCCAGAGTGGGCGCCAAGGCCGAGGAGGCGCCCAGAGCGAGCCAGGGCTGTGAGCGCTGCCAGCAAGCTGTCACCTCTCAAGGTAAGTTTTAATTTTTTTGTTATAAAAAACATCCAAGTGTGCTTAAATTATTTCATGTGGTATATATACTACAATAATAAAATAGCTGCTTTAAATAACTGATTTGATCATTCCAATAACTAAAATATCTTACAGCTGGCCTATGTTGATTGATATTTCCTTGAGCTTTGATAAAATTTTTCTGGTTCTTTGTATATCTAATGATTTTGGATTTTGTGTATATTCTGGGTACATTTATAACATCCTGGAGAATTTTTTATTATTATTTATTCATTTTGTGCATAAATCCTTATAGGTTTAAGTCACAAGTTGTATCTTGCTTTCTGTAAGTGATAGTTTCAATCCCAGTGCAGTTTGGAGAGCCTTTGTTATGCTGCTTTGGATCTATCATGTGCAAGTGTTACTCAGGGGGTAATTGTAACTTTGACCATTGTCTAGATCTTATTTATTTTTCAAAGCCCTTGTCACTCTGCTTTGAGCTTGTCTCATGTGTGTGCCATTCAGGGGTAAATCTGAGTTTGGGATGGCAACTCAAATTTTAGTTCAATTCTCAAAACCTTTGCAGTGTTGTTTTGGAGTCTGTCTAATGCATGCTCTGGGATAGCCTAGAGACTTGTGTGGTTTATATGCAGAATTAAGGAATCCCTTTCTCCAACTGTTCCCCTTCCAGGATCCCTACCTTTCACTCTCCAGGCAACAGGGGACCTTTTATCTTATCCTGTTGTCCAGAAAAATAGGGTATACATCAGTGTTTTAGCCTTCTACACCATTGTTCCCCTGATCAGCAATGTGACTGAATCCCACCCTTGGGAATCAAGTTATGAGAGCTAAAATGAGAAGAAAAATCTGGAAATTCGTCCCTTTGCAGACTGCTTCTTTAGCTTTTAGGTTCCCTTTACAATCTGCCCACTTGAGTTTAACTTCTCAGAGTTCTCAATTGAATTTTAGTTTTTTATCAGCAGGGGACATAGGATGCAGTGCAGGGGGCTTGTCCAGTTTTAAGAGAACTAGAACTTGGCCACTTTTCTTTATACCCAGATTAGTTGTCCATCCATGTATACCACCAAAAGCTCTGCTTAATGAGATAATTTCTCCTCACTGCTTTATTTCATGACCACACCCGATGGGGCTGTAGACCAGCCTCCATTTACTTCCTTCTCTAATATGAATACTGAGCTTACTCGTATCAGTTAATGAACCGAGCCTGGGCTTTCCCTTTTTTTCATCCATTGACCATAAACTTGTAACTGGCTCAAGCCTGGCTGTTTGCCCCACAGATGCTGAAAACCTACGTGAGGTGTGGTGAAAGAAAAGCAGTTTTATTACTCAAATCTAGCAGTGGGGGAATCGCCAGACTGCCTTCAAAGCATGAGCTTCCAAATTTGGGGGCTGAGTGAAGGGGTTTAAGGAGCAAAAAGTGTGGGAGCAAAAAGTGGGGGAAAGGAGTGGCGCAGGTCTATGTGTCATTTCCGTGGTTATCTTGAGTAATTGCCCCTCTGGAAGTCCTGATCAGGCAATCCTGACTTCAGTGGGGTGTAGGTGGGCTAACTCTCCCTAACCCCCACTAAGTGATAGGATTCTACAGCTGAATATTTTTGCCTGGTTTGTTTCAAAATTGACCCCTGGAATTTCTAAGCAAGCATATAGTTAGGCAAGCAAGCACTGTTCACAGAAGTGCCTGGTGGGAAAGGGAGAAACAAAAATATTCAAGTATGTTTCAAGGCTGAAAGCAAGAAAAGAAAATGAGTTTTAAAATGCATTTTGAGGCAGGGATACTCAATTACAAAGTTACCTCACTACTCTGAAGCCACATGTGTTTATCTCTCACTTTCTAGGGTGCATGTTGTCTTACCAAGCCCAGCACATTATTTAATACTTTTGCTCATCTGGTTCAGATCAATTCAAGGATATATCACCTTAGTGAAATTTTCAGTAGTCTGGGTTATGTTTGAATATTCCCTCTGAAGTAAATAAAAAATTACTACATTTCAAATCTCCCAAAACAAGCAAAGATGTGTTAGGCTGAATAAAGGGCCCCCAGAGACATCTATGCTCAAATCTGCAGAATTGATGAATATGTTATCATATGTAGCAAAAGGATTTTGCACATAGGATTAAGGTTAAGGATCTTGATATGTGAAGATTATCTTGGATTATCTTGGTGGGGCCAAACTATTCATGTAGGTACAAAGAATCTTTCATATTTGTGGAGAAGAGAGAGAGAGAGAGAGATCGTGAGGAAGCAGCTTTGAAAAGATGCAAGCTAGCTGGCTTTGAATATGGAGAGAGATCATGAGGAAGCACCTTTGAAAAGATGCAAGCTAGCTGGCTTTGAAGATGGAGGAAGGAGGCCATGAGCCAAGAAATGTGGGCATCTTCTGAAACTTGGAAAAGGCCAGAAAAATGCATTCTTCCCTAGAGCACTAGAAAATAATGCAGCCCTGACAGCATCTTGATTTTAGTTCACAGGACATATATGCAACTACTCACCCATAGAACTGTAAGATAGTAAATTTGTGTTGTTTTAACTCCTCCAGTTTGTGACAATTTGCTGCCACTGTAATAGAAAATTAAGCCAAAGTACAAGGGCTCATATCCCTTTTCAGTTTTTGGAGAGTTCCTTTGATCTAGCATCTTTAGGCTTTGGCCCTCATGTGCTCTATCAGCTCCTGCAAGTTTATGTTGGCCAGTTCCTGCAGCTGCATTAGTGTATAGATAGGGTCCTTTTGTTCTCCTTGAGCCGGTCCAGCCTTGGGTTATGCTGTGACTTAACCCTACTTATCAGCATAGTGCAGGCACTGGCAAACAGTATCCTGTAAAGCGCTAGATAGTAAATATTTTAGGCTTTGTGAGCCAGGAAGAAAATTCAAGGAGAATAAGCAGGTACTCATATAATGATTTAAAATTTAATTCTTCTAAAATGTAACCATTTAAAAATGTAAAATTTATTCTTAGATTGCACATCATACTAGAAGAGACTAAAGCCAGATTTATTGTGTTTGCCTGCTATAGTTTGACAGCCCCTGGCATAGTGAGAGTGGGGAACATGGGCAAATAATTACAGAGGAGAGACTCTGCAATTCAGGGGATGCTAGTCCTAAAGTAGAGTAGAGGACCAGGCTTGCTGATTCGTGGTGTTCAGAAGACCTGGGATCAAACTTTTTAAGTGCAAAACTGAAATGATGTCATCTCAGAGCCCAACCCAGACCCAACCAGGGCCTTGAGCTTGACCTAAAACACCTGCCCGGTTGGACTTCTTTGGGGCTCTGTTAATTGTTTACTAACTTGAAGATTAAGTTAACCCAACCAGGATCCATCCAAGGCCTTGAGCTTGACCTAAAACCGTGCCCAGTTGGAATTCTTTGGAGCTGTGTTAATTGCTTGCTAACTTGTGTTTAAGACCACAGGCTTTTTCTCAGTATTCTTTGTTCCCCTAATCACCTTATTCCATTCTGTTTATCATCCAGTAAAGTAAATAGGATCTGTTTATTAGCTGCAAGGAAAGTCTTTTTGATTTCTCACTTAGATTTTAATGGAAAGATGGAAAAAAGCATCTAGAATATTTTTGTCAGTCAATAAATCTTGAATACTTCCAATTTTCTTCAGTGAGAATAGTTTTCTAGCATCTATTATGTGAATGACCTTCAAAATTCACCAATATAATCCCATTTTCTTAAATTCATAATGCTAATTAGGAAGCCATGTGTTTCTTAAGATACAGAAGGCAGATGTTTTTGCTTTAGCCAGTCACTGCAGGATGCAGGGGCTTAGGATGTGGATTCCTGATTGGGGCAATCCATCACACCAAGGGCAGAGAGTAAGCTAACTGCACATCACATTTCATACTTTCTACAGTGAAGCATTTTAAAGTAAATTGCAAACAAGTCTTCTCCGGTAAATAGTTCAGTATTTTTCTTTATAAAAAAATGAATATTTTTTAATGTTAGAATATTTTCAAAACCGGTATGATTAGTAGTAGTCATTCCTAGTAAGATACAATATTTAGACCTGGGGATCTGCCTATTTATATTTTCCTCCCCTATTCACTCCCCATATATCTTTTCTCTTTGTCAGTTCAAATCAGTCTGCAGTTCCCTATTATACTTTGTATCCAGCTGTTGTATTCTTCAGGTTTTTATTTTCAATCTTTAGCACGTTCTTTTCTCAGGTTTCTTTGACTTCCTAAAGAATGAGATCCTATTTTTCCTTAAAATTTTCTACTTGTTAGTTTGTCTGATTCTCTTTAAAGTATTGTTTAGCTACTTCCCCTTTCCCTGTAATTTCTCTAGCCTGAAAGTCAAGTTCATCAGAGAGAAGAAATCTAAATAACCAACCAGATTTAGCTACCTAAGCTAAATATCTCTGTGTGTTTGAGGGAGATTGATTGGTGGTATAGCAAGGCAGTTGATAGGCAAATGCATCCCAACTTAGTGACGTTCAAACTTGTGCTACTATAGGAAAAGGAGGAACTGTTTTACTAAATTCAGTAATACTCCAAAACACACACACACACACACACACACACACACACACACACACACACAAAACAACAAAAAACACCCCTGGTCTTTCCTGCCTACCTGTGCACTCAAAAATGCTGTAACATAGAGTTGAACATGTTCTATTTCCTTCCCTTGGCAACAGTTTTCCAGTTATAGTGGCACCTCAATCAAAAGCCTGTAGCTGGTATGCATTTTGAGCTGCAAAGACTGCCAGACACCATGTAGTGGGGGAAGAATTTTTAGTGGCTGAGAACAATACATGTTAATACATGAAAAGGACTTTACAGGAATCTCATCAGCATTTTGGGAGCCTTGAAATCTGAGCATGAAATTTAAATTCCTATGAGAACATGTGGGATGTGGAGATGTTAAGATTTCTACACTGATATTATTATCACCTTATTTTTATTATATACAGCAAGAGCCTATGCATATTTGAATAATATACACATAAAGTGCATTTGCCCTAATATTAAGAAAAAAGTAGAAAACTAAAATAAGCACTACAATAAAATGTTTGAAAGAAATAAAGTTATTGGGATGGAAAATGTAAGTAATGTTAATATAATTAATACATGAATGTAATAAATATATTAATATTGTAGAGGATCAGAATATGCCACTCCAAAATAGGTTATTTTACATAAAGATTTTTTAGCTGAAGGCAATTAAAAAAATAGCAGGCACCAAAAAACTCTCTGCCCTTTATGCCTTTATTTGCCTAAAAAACAAGACATAAATTCCATGTGTGTGTACCTCTCTTCTATACCAGGAAGAGGAAAGCAACTCTTAAACCTTTAATCACTGGGAACAACAATAGATTCTTATCAACCTAGAGATACCACAGAGAGAGAAGTTTATGTAACAAAACTTATTAAAATAACTCTTATCATTTACTGTATTAGTTTCCTTCCATGTGTCTGCCTTCTCACAGTTTGCTGCCTCTAAAAGACTTTCTGTTTTGTCTTGTTACTTCTCTACAAATTTATTGTTCTTTGTTAAAATGCTGTATACCCCCAGATTCTAACCACCTCTCTGAGTTACTCCTCACTGACTTTTTCCCATATGTTTGAATGCTACATGGTAATCAATTCTGTTTCTTTTTCTCTTGTTAACCGGTTTTTGTCAGTTTACTTTCCAGTGCCTCACCTGCAGAACCTGGGAGGGTGGAGGAGAGAGATTTTTTGTTGTTGTTGTTCCTCCCCTACAATATAGATGAACTAGAATCATTTTGCCATTCTCTTTTTTTGTGTGTAGTTTGTCACTTCTTTCCGATAAAGCAGAACCAGCAATGTGCTAGGCTTATGGTTCCAAATTTACCCTTCTGTATATCGGTCTGTTATGCTGGCAAATGGACTCTACAAAGTACATTTCTCTGATTCCTATGCCAACTTCTCATGGATTAAATTCTATCAATAGGGCACTAGGGAGAAAACTGAAGGTAGAACGGGGAAGACAGACTTCTCTGTTTTCTTGGCATTCTTGTGACCCCATCAGTAGCACTTTTCCGTCTCAGAAGCACTTTACCCAGCATTGGCACATTACCCCAGCTGTGACTGTTGGTTCTAGCCTCCAGCATCATTTGACATTCTGTAAACCAGCCTCCTTTATGTGTATTTAGTGGTATGGGCTGCAGGAAGATTGAATCCTTTGCTCAGAAGTCTGAGCCTCAGTGACATGAAGTACCTCCTGTAAGCATTTTTATTCTGGGAACCCGAGATTATTTTATTAGGCCTAATGCTGATGGTTACTTTGTGCATTTATTATTTCTGAATTATCTTCATCTTCCCCTTGCAACCCATTTATATATTTAAGTAGTAAGAAATTATAAATTAAAGACCTTCTATTGAACTTTCTATTTTTTTCTTTACCAAACTTAACTGTGTCATAAGGGAAAGCTTGCAGGGATATGACAAGTTCATAAAACTCATATATCCAGAAGTTTAATAGTAGTATTTTTTAAATATAAATGTCTTTTAATATCTGAATATTCAGTGGGTATAATGTATCATGAATTTGCATTTGTGCTAATTGTTCTTAACTCCATGATCTAAAATGTCATTATAAGTTTGTAAAACGGGAGGCAAAAGAATTCTCTCTCTACCAGCAAAATTACTGCTAAATACAAATAGGTAAAACGGGAGTATAATTACTATTTAATTCAAAGCAATCTTTTAATTAGATAAAGTATTTTTATACATGACTTGCATATATTTTCATGATTTTATAGCCTGAATTATATGTGGAGAACTTGGAGAGAAAAGGAGCAAGGATTAGAGATAAAGAAAATGTCCTTCTTTAGAATGGATATACTCTAAAGTTACTTCAGGTTAAAATAAAGCGTTGTCATATTAAGTTGAATAAATAACTTAGAATAAATCCTTATATTTGCTACCATTGTAGACAGGAATGATGGCAAAATTAGATTAAATTAGATGATAAAAGTGAGCCCAGTTAATGGTAACCACAAAACCTGATTGTTTAGAAAGCCTGTTATTCTGGAAAAGCAAATGTCATTTAACGTATTATATGTTTTTATAATAAATCTTTTCAAGTAAATCAAATAAATTCACTTTTTTGAATCTAGAGTATATATAAGTACAACATATGAGTTTGTCAATAAGGGAATCCGGCAAATACTAAGAACGATTAACCCAGAATGGTAAAAAAACAATGGAATGAAATGAGCTTACAACAGCTTTGCAGAAACACATACACAACACACACACACACACACACAAACACACTTAAACACAAATAAGACTTTCAAAGCAACATATAAAGATTTTTTTAAACAAATCTCTTGCCATTGTTTCTATAAGTAAATGTTTAAATATCTTCTGAATGTGAACTAGTACGAAATATTTACAGTCAAATTTAAAGTTAGGAAGCGTGGATGTTTAGAAACAACCTCTGTGCAGTATGAAGACCATTTGACAGCAATACTGTTTATTAACATGCTAACAAATGGATTAAAATGTAGAATGGTTCAATAACATCAAGAAGATTTTGGAAAAAGATGTATGAAAACAACAAAAGCAAAACCTAGAAATTGTAGATGTGAATAAGGCATGAGAATACTCCAAAATAATTTAAATTCATAGTAAAACTAAATAGGATAATAACATGAGGGAACTTAATTTGGAGGAAGTAATAAAAATATCAGAATAGTTTTCAAACTTTTTTCTTCAAAATAGCTTCAATACCAAAAGGAGTGGTAGAGTGACTGTCCCAACAGACATTGAGGATTATAGGAATATGGCCAGCTGTAAGTACAAATAATAAGCAGTACCCTGTACTCTAATCGAAAATTTAAAAATTTATATATAATCTGTAAAGTAACCAACTTATATATAAACATTTTCAAGTACTTAATATCTAATTAATGAATGCTTGTAGAACATGCTTTATATTTATCCTAAGACTTAACATCCCCTTTAAAAAAGCACTATGTGCTTACTGTCTGACAACCGAGATGTTCTTGCTAAGGGGAAAGGGGAAGGTATTGCAAACAATAATGATGCTTACAAATATGTCTATTAAAATTCTACTTAATTTTACTTTTTCGAAGAAGACTATACAAATTATTCAAATATAGTAAATGTGTTTTACTTATGCTATATATCTACACCTAGGGAAAATTTTTCAAAATCTGTAATCTAATTTTCAGTACCCCCAAGTTTAAGAAGATTAACACTATTTAAATTGAATAAGCATTTACTAATTACCAACTAGATAATAGGAAATATGCTAGGTGCTAGAGAATTTAGAAAACGTTTACTCCTGTTATTCAAGTAGTTCACATTGTAAGCATAATAATAATAAAATGTAAATATACAAATATAAAATGTATATTTCTCTCTTATAGATTTACGTATAAAATTCAATATATAACTTTTAATTTAATGTGTTTATTTTGAGGCAGAGTCTCACTCTGTTTCCCAGACTGGAGGGCAGTGAGACGATCTTGGCTCACTAAGGCCTTGATCTTCCTGAGCTCAGGTGATCCTTCCACCTCAGCCTCCCAAGTAACTGGGACTGCAGGAGTGTGCCACCTCGCCAGGCTAGTTTTTGTATTTTTTTTAGAGACAAGGTTTTACCATGTTGTCCAGGCTGTTCTCAAACTCTTGGACTCAAGTTATCCTCCTACTTTGGCCTCCCAAAGTGCTAGGATTACAGGCATGAGCCACCATGCCAGGCCTTATACGTTTTTATAACTTATCCAATTAGTGTGTCCATTTTACACATTAGAATGAAATTCGTTGGACAAAAACATGTACATGCTAAGTGAAAGAGAGAAAATCTGAACCAAAGTTTTCAGGTTCCAAAGCTACTATCCTTTTGCCAAAGGGGCAACAACATTCCTGTTCTTTATTCAGCACAGGGTTTGATGACAGTTTTAGACCATTTTCAGGAAAAAAATCTACCCTATACCTTTTGACAACGTTTATTGCATACAAGTTACCTGTAATTGTTACCAAACATGTAATACATAGTTTTTATGAAAATGGAGGTTTACAAAGTTAATTAAAATCCCTGTGGGTCTTGTCATTTTTGTCTTTTTTGATACCTATAATCTTCTGGGACTGTAAAAATGTCAACACTTAACTGTTTAAGTAACCATCCCAATAAAAATGCAGTGTCTAAAGAATGATACATTTAACTGTGTATGAAATGTGGCATGTCATTAAATATCTCAAATAATAAATTGCTACTACCAGATGGTATTCCATCTGACTGCCATCAATAAGGGGCACCTTTGGTGGCACCTAAGATGGCAGACCTGCTTAATTATAAGGCTGTATTTGGACATATGCCAAGAGGGTAAAAAAGCTAACAAGTCAGCAGTTTACAAACATAATCTTGATGGTCTTCCAAATTTTCTATTTTAAGTCTGAAGAATTTTTTTTTCCATGTGGAATTAGGTGAAAGAGAAATGCACAAGGATTTGCAGAATTTAAATTACTTATAGCAACAAACCCATGAATCATATTTCCTATATAAGAATTTACTCGTATCTTAATTTTTTAGGAATATTTTGGTGAATAAAAATTATAAAATTTTATATAATTCGAAATGTAAGACTACATCAGGGGACAAAACAATTATAATTAAGAAAATAGTTTCAGTTTAATATATCCGAATTTTCTACCTTCACTTTTGTTTCTAATTCTCCACATAAATACCATTAAGAACTTAGAATTGCTTGTAAAATACCCTTTTGCAGCTTTTAAATCATACATTTATTCTTCTTATATGAAATTCCATTTTTCAGTTTCAAATCGTATAGTAGATAAAGAAAATATTTATTAAAGTGCTGTGATTACATAGTAATAAGTAACAAGAAAGAAATGCAGGTGGGAGCACAACAAATAATCAAATGTAGTATGTGACTTTCTTTTATATATTAAATAACTTATAATTTGCTAGCCTACAAAAACTTTCACCTAACTTATAATGGAAGTCATGGCTATGTCAAGTTGGTAAAATGCTAAATTTTTTAAGTTTTAATTAACCAATAATATAAAGCAATTTGAATGTTGTTCTTAAGTAGTGTATCTAGCCCTAAGCTTAGCATGAAAAAACAGAAGTGCTTGTTAAATTTTCCTCTACTTCAGAACTAAAGTTAGTCTTTAACAAGTGCTGATGTTGATAGTTAGCTCCTAAATGACCCAATTCAATCTTGTTCACATGATTTGAATAAAGTTATAACTGTTTGGTTTTGCAGAATGGAGTAAAAATATTTGAATGACTATAGAAATAGTAGGCTTTCTATATACAGAAATCAATACAATTAGTAGAAATTTCTTATTGCTAAGTGTTAAGGAGTTATATGTGATCTCAGAGCAACTTATCTTGGGTAGATGGCTAAGCAAAGCTCAACTGGGTATTTGGAAGAGTGGAGATTCAAATTCACTGGGTCATATGCCAACATGTGTACCGAGTCAATAGCCTAAAGACAAAAGAGCTTTCTGTATGGGTATGACTGGTTTTACAGTTTTTAAAGATGTTAATCTCTCATTTTTCTATAAATATATGTTTCTGTTTTGTAATAGGAATAAGCAAAACATCACACAGGTACATGTCAGTTAACACCTCTATTCTATAAAGGTGAGGTGTAGAGGAGATTTACACAGCATGCACCACTTATATTTGCCTTCATTCAGTTCTCAACAACCTTTGAAAGCAGTTCTGCTGGGTGGACCAGAATAAGTAAAGTAGCAACAAGGGAGTAGACAGTCAGAAAAACATGATTTATTTATTTTAATTTTAATTTTAATTAATTAATTTATTTATTTTTTGAGATGGAGTCTCACTCTGTCGCCCAGGCTGGAGTGCAGTGGCCCGATCTCGGCTCACTGCAACCTCTGCCTCCCGGATTCAAGCCATTCTCCTGCCTCAGCCTCCCGAGTAGCTGGGACTACAGGTGCCCACCACCATGCCCGGCTAATTTTTTGTATTTTTAGTAGAGATGGAGTTTCACCGTGTTAGGCAGGATGGTCTCGATCTCCTAACCTCGTGATCTGCCTGCCTCGGCCTCCCAAAGTGCTGGGATTACAGGTGTGAGCCACCATGCCAGGCCAGAAAAACGTGATTTTTAAAAATCACACAGATAAAACTTCTGAGACTGATCAGCAACATTTTCACTCTGCATAGATGTTATACTTCATAACACTTTTAAGATTTGTAACATTTCCAAGTTTTCAATTAAATAGTAACAGTGATGCTGTCTTAAAATGACGAAAAGAACAAGGCACTAACACCGCACTGGTCTTCTTTTCTTGATATGATCCTTTAGCCATTGGATCTTTGCTGTTTCCCTGGTTTCCATCACCAGAATGCCAGGCAATATTGCAAATGATAGCAGAATAACCTTTGCTTCTTATCCTCAATATCAACTAATATCTGATTTATCACTCACTCTTTACTTCCTAGCCTTTGGTAAAGAAATTCATCACAAATTTGAATGTAACAAGGGAATAAGGGGGCAGGGGTCATTTTCAGTATCAGACTCCCTATTTGATCAGATCTATTTAAAGTAATCAAAGAAAAAAACTTATGCCTCACTTTTTTTTTTTAATTACCAGGGGGCTACAGGTGTTTTGTGAGACTGTGGTACTGTTGCAGGATGCTTAGCTATCTTGAGATCCCAGGTATTAAATACCATTAGCAGGTACCAACTGTCATCATCTTATCATTATGACAATCAAATCTGTCATGGTTTAGAATGACTACTAGAAATATATATATATTTCCTCATAGTCCTCAACACTATGCTAGTGCTGGAAATGCAGCCACTGGCAGATCTGGCCCCCAGACATCACCGCAGAGCCTCTGAAGAGTCAGGGTCTGCTTTAATTTATGGTGTTCCTTCCTGTGTTTACCCCCACTCAAGCTGACAACATTGTTTATGGGAACCTGTCCTCCTTTTAGACACATGGTAACCCTTCGGCTGTATTATGAAGCTTTTTTTATTTTTTGAGACGTGAAAAAAAGAGAGAAAACAAGTTATACTCCAAAGATGAATTCCTGGTCTTGGCAGATGGTTCTGGGCACAGTGAAGCAGCACAGAAGTCGTGGCCTGAGGCTGTTCTCTGGGTACTTGGGGCTAAATCACCTCCTGAGGGTGACTGTTGCTCGTTCTGCTGGATTGGTTTTTACATAAAGTAGATGGCATGTGACGGTGAGATTCCTTGTTGCTCTTATTGCAGTAAAAATCAGTTGTCTGATATCCTGTCCCTATTCTCCTGCTGCCCTGTCCCCTACAAAAAAAGGGCATTTGCTGATAAACTTTTGTAAAAAGCACCATCTCAAGGACTTATTTACATTAAATATTTTCAGGGGTATTTTTTTTTTCCAGTGTGCAGCTCTTCTTTTAAAATGTTTGCATTGAACATATAACTAGTGATTCAAACAAACAAACAAAAAATACATATATATGTTATATATACTTATTGATATGCTTTGGCTGTGTCCCCACCCAACTCTCATTGTGAATTGTAGTTCCCATAACCCCCATATGTTGTGGGAGGGACCTGGTGGGAGATAATTGAATCATAGGGGCAGTTACCTCCATGCTGTTTTCATGATAGTGAGTGAGTTCTCATGAAATCTGATGGTTTTATAAACTTCTTTTCCTCTTTTAATTGGCACATCTCATTCCTGCCATTATATGAAGAAGGACGTGTTTGCTTCCCCTTCTGCCATGATTATAAGTTTTCTGAAGCCTCCCCAGCCATACAGGACTATAAGTCAATTAAACCTCTTTCCTTTCTAAATTACACAGTGTTATGGTTTGGCTGTGTCCCCACCAAAATCTCATCTTGAATTCCCACGTGTTTTGGGAGGGACCAGTGGGAGGTAGTTGAATCATGGGGAAGGTCTTTCCCTGCTGTTCTCGTGATAGTGAATAAGTCTCATGAGATCTGCTGGTTTTTAAAAAAGGGGAGCTTCTCTGCAGTAGCTCTCTTCTCTTGTCTGCCTCCATGTTAGACGTGTGTTTTACCTTCTGCCAAGATTGTGAGGCCTCCCTAGCTATGCGGAACTGTAAGTCAATTAAACTTCTTTTTTTTTTCTTTAATTGCCCAGTCTCAGGTATGTCTTTATCAGCAGTGTGAAAATGGACTAATACAGTAAGTTGGTACTGGGAGTGGGGCACTCTATAAAGATACCCAAAAAAGTGGATGTGACTTTGGAACTGGGTAATAGGCAGAGGTTGGAACAGTTTGAGGGCTCAGAAGAAGACAGGAAAATGTGGGAAAGTTTGGAACTCCCTAGAGACTTAAGTCGTTGAATGGCTTTGACCAAAATTCTGATAATGATATGGACAATGAAATCCAGGCTGAGGTGGTCTTAGACGGAGAGGGGGAACTTGTTGGGAATTGGAGCAAAGGTGATTCTTGTTATGTTTTAGCAAAGAGACTGGTGGCATTTTGCCTTTGTCCTAGAGATTTGTGGAACTTGAACTTGAGAGAGATAGCTTAGGGTATCTGGTGGAAGACATTTCTAAGCAGCAAACTATTCAACAGGTGACTTGGGTGCTGTTAAAGGCATTCAGTTTTATAAGGAAAGCAGAGCATAAAGTTCTGAAAATTTGCAGCCTGACATTGCAATAGAAAAGAATATCCCATTTTCTGAGGAGAAATTCAAACCAGTTGCAGACATTTGCATAAGCAATGAGGAGCAGAATGTAAATCCCCAAGACGATGGGGAAAATGTCTCCAGGGCATCTCACAAGTCTTCATGGCAGCCCCTCTCATCACAGGCCAGGAGGCCTATGAGGAAAAAGTGGTTTTCTGGGACAGGCCCAGGGTCTTTGTGCTGTGTGCAGTCTAGGTACTTTGTGCCCTGTGTCCCAGCTACTCCAGTCATGGCTGAAAGGGATCAGTGTAGAGCTTGGCTCATGGTTTCAGAGAGTGCAAGCCCCAAACCTTGGTAGCTTCCATGTGGTGTTGAGTCTGCCAGTGCAGAGAGGTCAAGAATTGGCATTTGGGAACCTCCGCCTAGATTTCAGAAGTTGTATGGAAACGTCTGGATACCCAGGTGTAAGTTTGCTGCAGGGGTGGGGCCCTCATGGAGAACCTCTGCCAGGGCAGTGCAGAAGGGAAATGTAGGGTCAGAGCCCCCACACAGAGTCCCTACTGGGGCACCACCTACTGGAGCTGTAAGAAGAGGTCCACTGTCCTCCAGACCCCAGAATGGCAGGTCCACTGACAGCTTCCAACCTGTGCCTGTAAAAGCTACAGATGCTCAGTGCCAGCCTGTGAAGGCAGCTGAGAGGAAGGCTGTACCCTACAAAGTCACAGGGGTGGAGTTGTGCCAGAACATGGGAACCCACCTCTTGCATCAGCGTGACCTGGATGTGAGACATGGAGTCAAAGGAGATCATTTTGGAGTTTTAATATGTGACTGCCCCTCTGGATTTCGAACCTGCATGAGGCCTATAACCCCTTTGTTTTGGCCAATTTCTACCCTTTCAAATGGCAGTACTTACCCAATGCCTCTACTCTCATTATATCTAGGAAGTAGCTAACTTGCTTTTGATTTTACAAGCTGATAGCTGCAAGGGACTTGACTTGTCTCAGATGAGACTTTGGACTGTGGACTTTTCTGTTAATGCTGAAATGAGTTAGACTTTGGGGGACTGTTGGGAAGGCATAATTCATTTTGAAATGTGAGGACATGAGATTTTGGAGTGGCCAGGGGCAGATCATTTGGTTTGGCTGTTTCCCCAACAAAATCTCATCTTGAATTCCCACATATTGTGGGAGGAACCCATTAGGAGGTAATTGAATTATGGGGGCAGGTCTTTCTCTGCTTTTCTCATGATAGTGAATAAGTCTCATGAGATCTGATGGTTTTAAAAAAGGAGAGTTTCTTTGCACAATCTCTCTTCTCTTGTCTGCCACCACGTGAGACTTGCCTTTCACCTTCCACCATGATTGTGAGGCTTCCCCACCCATGTGGAACTGTGAGTCTATTAAACCTCTTTCTTTTTTAAATTGCCCCATCTCAGATATTTCTTTATCAACAGAAAATGGACTAATATATCCAGTCTCAGTCTCGGGCAGTTCTTTTTTTTTTTTTTTTTTTTTTTTTTTTGAGACGGAGTCTTGCCCTGTCACCCCAGGCTGTAGTGCAGTGGTGCAATCTCGGCTCATTGCAACCTCTGTCTCCCAAATTCAAGTGATTCTCTTGCCTTAGCCTCCTGAGCAGCTGGGATTACACATCTGCATGACCACACCAGGCTAATTTTTGTGTGTTTAGCAGAGACAGGGTTTTGCTACGTCGGCCAGGCTGGTTCCAAATTCCTGACCTCAAGTGATCTGCCTTGGCCTCCCAAAATGCTGGGATTATAGGCATGAGCCACTGTGCCTGGACTCGAGCAGTTTTCTATAGCAGCTTGAGAACAAACTAATACAGTAAATTGGTACCACAGAGAGTGGGGCACTGCTGTGAAGACACTCAAAAATGTGGAACTAACTTTGGAACTGGGTAACAGGCAGAGGTTGGAACATTTTGGAGGGCTCAGAAGTCAGGAAAATGTGGGAAAGTTTGCAACTTCACAGAGACTTGTTGAATAGTTTGATCAAAATGATATGGACCATGGTGTCCAGGCTGATATGGTCTCAGAAGGAGATGAGGAACTTTTGGGGAACTGGAGTAAAAGTTACTTTTGCTATGTGCAAAGAGACTGGAAGCATTTTGCCCACGCTGGATATCAGTAGATCTTTGAACTTGAGAGAGATGATTTAGGATATTTGGCGAAATAAATTTCTAAGTGAGACGCATTCAAGAGGAAGCAAAGCATAAAAGTTTGGAAAGTTTGCAGCCTGATTATGTGATAAAAAAAGAAAACCCAATTTTCTGGGGAGAAATTCAAGCCGGCTGCAGAAATTTGCATAAGTAGTGAGGACCCAAATGTTAGTCATCAAAACAATGGGGAAAATGTCTCCAGGGCATGTCACAGACCTTCACAACAGCCTCTCTCAACATAGGCCCGCAAGTCCAGGAGGGAAACATGGTTTGCTGGGCCAGGTTTAGGGTCACTCTGCTGTATACAGCCTTGGGACTTGGTGCCCTGCACCACAGCTGATCCAGCTGCAGCTAAAATGGTCCAATGTACAACTCAGGCTATTGCTTCAGAGGGTGCAAGTCCCAAGCCTTGGCAGCTTCCACATGGTGTTGGGCCTGTGGGTGAACAGAAGACAAGAATTGAGGTTTGGAAACCTCTGCCTATATTTTCAGAGGATGTATGGAAATGCCTGGATGTCCAGGCAGAAGTTTACTTCAGGGGCAAATCCCTCATGGGGAACCTCTGCTAGGCCAGTTCAGAAGGGAAATGTGGGTTGGAGCCCCCAAACAGAGTCCCCACTGGGGCACTGCCTAGTGGATATGTGAGAAGAAGGCCATCATCCTCAAGACCCCCCAGAATGGTGGATCTACCAACAGCTTACAAATGCTGAACGCCAGCCTATGAAAGCAGCCAGGAAGCGAGGCTTTACCCTACCAGGCTACAGGATCAGACCTGCCCAAGGCCATGGGAGCCCACCTTTTGCATCAGTGTGCCATGGGTGTGAGACATGGAGTCAAAGGGGATCATTTTGGAACTTGAAGTTTTAATGATTGCCCTATCGGATTTTGGACTTGCCTGGGGCCTGTAGCCCCTTTGTTTTGGCCAATTTCTCCCATTTGGAACTGGTGTATTTACCCAGTGCCTGTACCCACATTGTATCTCTGAAGTAACTAACTTGCTTTTGATTTTACAGGCTCGTAGGTGAAAGATACCTGCCTTGTCTTAGATGAAATCTTGGAATTTTGGGCTGATGCTGGAATGAGCTCAGACTTTGGGGGATCTTTGGAAAGGGAAGATTGTGTTTTGAAATGTGAGAATGTGAAATTTGGGAGGGGCCAGAGGAGGAATGATACGATGTGGCTGTATCTTCACCCAAATGTCAGCTTGAATTGTAGTTTCCATAATCCCCATGTGTTGTGAGCAGGGCCTGAGAGATAATTGAATCATGGGGTGGTTGCCCCTATGCTGCTGTTCTCATGATAGTGATTGAGTTCTCATGAGGTCTGATGGTTTTATAAGTGGCTTTGCCCCTTTTGCTGGGCACTTTGCCTTCCTGCCATCATGTGAAGAAGGATGTGTTTGCTTCCCCTTCTGCTATGGTTGTAAGTTTCCTGAGACCTCCCCAGCCATGCAGAACTGTGAGTCAGTTAAACTTCTTTCCTTTATAAATTACCCAATCTTGGACAATTCTTTGTAGCAGCATGAGGATGAACTAATATACTTATATATAGAGAGAAATATATATGGTATATCTCATTTATAATATATATAGTATAATATATAGTATATTTCAGTATGTGTGTATGTATATACACACACACATATATATATACATACAGTAATCATTGTAAGCCATGGATATATTATATATTTAAACATATCACATATATAGTGTGTGTATTAAATATTATATATATATATTTACATATGTGTGTGTATAAATATGTGTGTATATGTATGTTTGTGTATAACATATGGATGTTTTTAGAAATAATTGACTATAGGTTTGTTGTCATTTCTTTTTTAAAGAATCTTGTTTTCTTGGCTGCTATCTGGAGGTCTAATGACATTGCAGAGGCAGATAAGATAGTTATTTGGGAGAACATGCTATTATGATGAATCAGCATCTGTAGCTGGCATTTTCACGTCATTACTCAGTTGGAGTCTAATAAAATACCTCTTTTTTCCCCAAACACATTTTTGTTTTTTTCATTTGAAAACTTAAGGAAATGTAAGTGAAACTAAAATAATAGTTAAATAATGATGATAATAATAATATAATCATATGCTATATCCACTTTCCTTTTTATTGAGTTATATTAATCAAGAAGCCTATGTATTTGTTTTGTTCATATGTCATGACATTTCACATGCCTTAGTTGATTCTAGAAAATCCACTAATATTAATGTTCTTTCCTATTAGAATTCGCTTTTGTCTCATGGGCCTGATTACCATTTCGTAGAATCTCATATCTTACCACTATTGTACCTGCTGTGTTCTTGCTCTCATTATTTTCATAATAGGTCCTCTGTTAATTTGCTAAATATGTCAGTTTATACTTTTCAACACATATAATTCATTTTTAGGATAAAATATCCTGTAGAAAAAAAAAACAGATGTAAAAGATGTTCAGATTTTTTTAGGCAATAGCAGTTCATGAATTAAGTGGGCGTATCCATCAGATGAGATAACCATCTCAGTGATCAAAGTTGAGTTGACTTATACAAAGTGAGACATATTTAAAATATTTTCATATCAACTCTTCTTAGATTTTTCAACAAATACAAGCTAGAATTGTTATTTGAATCACTGAAATCAGTTATGACAATACACAAATCATAAAACATATAACTTATTGTGTAATTTTGATATTGATAATAAGTTTTGCTTTAAGCTGACATATTAAGGAGATAAAATAGATAATTAGGTTGGAGGATAAAAGTTTATGACTGTCAGTCCAAATTTTACACATGCCAATTATCTATACAGTTTCAGAGATTTGGAACTCCATTTTTCTTTTCCTTTCTCTTGCTTACTATTTAGCTATTGTTTTAGCTCCATTAAATAGAGTGCATATTAAAATAAGAGAAATTTCTCTTAATTATATACTTTTGTAATTATTTATATATAATGATATAGTTATATAACACTCATCAAAATTTAATAAACCAGAGGAAATAAATTATATCTTAAATGAGGTTTATGTGTGTCATTAATTTACCTGCTTGTTAAATGAAAATTTGATTGTAATTTAAACTGTTTATATTCAGAAATCATTCAAGTCGATTTCCCTGACCATACATAAGAACATACTAAAATTGCTAAAATGCAATTTCATGTCTGTTTCACCTTTAGAGAATAGAATTAGCAGTGTCTCCCTCAAGTATGATTTGATCTCATTAGATTTTTAGCAGGGGAAAAAAGAATGGAGAGGGGATATTAAGTGGTAAGATGTATGGTTTTAGAATGAGAAAATAAATGTACCAGATTAATGCAATTTCTAGGTAATTATATAATCTATAGAGCTATTAATCTATTCTTGATTTTTACAATGGGAATCCTAATGAAAAATTATCAAGTATTTTTTGACTTTTATATATGCCTCAGAATAGTCAAAGGTGAATTTTCATCCTTTATTCACTCCATCATCACTTCATGAATATGATAACCAGACCAGTTTGGCAGTAAAAAAAACTCTTTTAGTTACCTGTCAAGGACAGAGTTATGATTATTATAATTTTTTTTTGAGACAGAATTTCACTCTTGTTGCCCAGGCTGGAGTGCAATGGCAGGATCTTGGCGCACTGAAACCTCTGCCTCCTGGGTTCAAGCGACTCTCCTGCCTCAGCCTCCCAAGTAGCTGGTATTACAGGCACGTGCCACCACACCTGCCTTTTTTTTTTTTTTTTTTTTTGTATTTTTAGTAGAGACAGGGTTTCACCATGTTTGTCAGGCTGTTCTTGAACTCCTGACCTCAGGTGATCCACCTGCCTTGGCCTCCCAAAGTCCTGGGATTACAGGCGTGAGCCACCACACCGAGCCGATCATCTATTTTTTAAAGTGGAAAAACACAGATATTCTGAAGAGCCTGAAAGTAAGCAAGTACGCAAGGTATCTTTATTTGTCATGGTCAAATCAAGAGAAGAACATAACCTAAATTTTATCAGAAGTCATCAGAGCTTGGTGTGTTGAGAGAAGAAGCTAATAGGGAATCTCCTAACTCATTCCTGTTCCCCTGTGCACAAGACCATCACTTCTAAATTCACCATACCCCCAGGTTCCATTCCATGTCTTGGATGAGGACAGGTTAATGGTCACAAATAATGGACTCCACTCCAGATCTGTCATAGGAATAGCTTTATCAGTGCCCATGAGGATTGGCCTCTGGTGTTTTGGAGATTGTAAGCTTTAACATATAAATATCTATTCATGTATCCTAACTTAGAAAAGAGGTAGTTGACTTTTCTGCCTTTAAAGTGACTAGGAAAAGAAAGAAAATAAGCAGACACTATAAAAACAAACTGAGAAATAGGGAGTTCCTCTTCTTCCTCATCTCCTGGTTCCTGATGTCCTGGCTCAAGCACACTTACACACACACACACACACACAGACACACACATGATATATATCTAGATATCTATATAGACAGATACATAGATATCTAAATATACATAGATTGATAGATTGACATAAACACACAGACATCCAGGGAAGAGGTTGAAGTCCAAATAATTAACAGATCTTGGACTTATTGCCAATGATGGGAACTATGTCTTCAGCTGTACTTGATTTGCTTCAAGACAGTAAACAATGCAAGATGTTATACAAAAGTTTATGCCAACTGAGAAGACTTCAGAAATCATCTAGCTTCTGAAGAAATAGGCTATATTAATTGACTAGGGCTACCATAAATAATATTACAGATAATGTGGTTCAAATAATGTGCATTCCTTTTGTCACAGTTCTGGAGGCTAGAAGTCTTTTGAGGACACGTTCCTCGGCATGCAGATGGCCCTCTTTTCCCTTTTTCTTCACATAGTCTTTCCTCAGTGTGTGTCTGTACCTTAATCTGCTCTTCCTCAAGGATGGTCTTATTGGATTAGGGACCTCATTTTACCTTAATAACATCTTGAAATTCCCTGTTTTTGAATACAAATTCTGAGGTACTGATGGTTAGAGCTTTACCATATGGATTTTGGGGAGAACACAATTCAGCCCATGACATAAATTTTCCAGTGATTCTCAACCAATACATAAGTAGCATTCATTACAGAAATGACATTGAAGCCACTGTTACTTAGAACAATTAAATTTTCATGAGAGACTATTTGAAAAGTTACATAGATTAGGATTTTTTATATGAAAAGTTATATAAATTAGGATGATCAATGTAGGGTCATCCTAAGATTTTCAAGGTAAGCCTTAAGGTTAATCTATTGACGTGTAGTAAACAGTCAGAAAACTTAGCTAAAAACAATTTGACATTATTTCATGTCAGTATTCTGTGGATCAAATATTCAGAACTGGCACAGTTGGATGGCTTGTTTCAATTTCAAGTGTCTGGTGCCTCAGCTAGGATGATTCAAACAAAGCTTGAAATTCTGGAGGCTGACTGGATTGATCTCTCTCTCTCTCTCTCTCTCTCTCTCTCTCTCTCTCTCTCTCTCTCTGTGTGTGTGTGCTAGATTAAGCTCTCTCTCACTATACTCTCTCAGGATAGTCAGATGTCTTTCATGTCAGCTTGAGGATTCAAGAAGGAGACATGGGCAACTGTCAGTTCTCTTAAAAGTATGTCTGGAAGGGTCATAGCATCACTTGATCATACCCTATTGGCCAAAGCTGTCACAGGTTAGTTTATATTAAAAGGGTTGCTGCATAAACCTTAGCTTCCAAGAGGGACGAGATTCAAATACATTGCAGCAATCATCAATCCACCAAAATCCACCATCTGGCAATAAATTATTTACATTTTTTTAAAATACAAATGTTCCATCTCATTACAGCCCTTGACCCAGGCTCAAGCTCCTGGATGTCATTGTCTAAATCATTGTCTAAGTGCAGATCAACTGCCTTGGGTGCCACTCCTCAATTACAGGTCCTCTCAATCTGTAGATTACTAACTGGAGGAGGTTTTTGCCCCTCTCTTTCACACATTTCCAATATATTATGTGAGAAAGCACAGAATAACTTCAGTAGACACTCCCACCTAGCATTGTGGGAAACTGGGTATACCTGACGGTCACTGGTCCAAAGAAGTTCTGAAATCCAGTCAGACACATGTCATCAGTTAGTTGATCAGTGCCAATTCTCCTCCTTGGGAATAATTATCTGTTCTTTCCTGTTTTGCAATCTGTGCTCATTTTTTGCCTTCTGGGTCATTTTTCCTTTTTCATAAGAAATGGACCATGCTTGCAGCTGAATAGCCTTCTCTGCTTGCTTCTTGCCCATTGGATTTTAGAAATTCAAATTCCTTTTTTTATATTATGCTATCTCTATTTCTTATTTTAAACTAGAGAAGACTATACCTATAAAATTGTCTTAAAATCATTGGAGATTTCTTGATAAATTTACCGGGTATACTTTATTAGAAAGTGCCACATCTACAAATATCTTTAAGACAGTTACTTCTCTACTTTGAGCTCTCTGTTAGGTTGCTGTAGGACAATAGCCTTAAGTGCTTTAGTGCTGAGACCAGCTCGGTTGTGGAGACCCTAACCCAGTGGCACTAGAGGTGTTAAAGACACACACACACACAGAAATATAGAGTGTAGAGTGGGAAAGCAGGGGTCTCACAGCCTTCAGAGATGAGAGCCTTGAACAGAGATTTACCCACGTAATTATTGACAACAAGCCAGTGATAAGCATTGTTTCTACAGATTATGGATTAACTAAAAGTATTCCTTACAGGAAACAAAAGGATGGGCCGAAATAAAGGGACAGGTCTGGCTCGTTATCTGCAGCAGGAACATGTCCTTAAGGCAAAGATCGCTCATGCTATGGTTTGTGGTTCAGGAACACCTTTAAGCGGTTTTCTGCCCTGGGTGGGCCGGGTGTTCCTTGCCCTCATCCTAGTAAACTGAAAACCTTCCAGAGTGGGCGTCATGGCCATCACAAGCATGTCACAGTGCTGCAGAGATTTTGTTTATGGGCAGTTTTGGGGCCAGTTTATGGGGGCCTGTTCCCAACAGCTTAGAAGTCGTATGGTTAAATATATGTTCCTGTGAGATACATTCTAAAGGTATTTAGAAATGCTATTGTCTCTGAAATTGTCTGCAAAGCCCTGATTAAGAATTTGTGATCACTTCCTTGGCTTTATCTTTAATCTGATTAATTGAAAATATTTTGTATGTAATATTTTTCTTGAGAGTTTTTTTTTTTAAATTTTGAGAATGTTCTGCTAAGAAAGACATGAGAGAAGAAGATCTAGCTTTATTTTTATACCCTACAGTTGTGGTTCATAAATGATGCCCTCAAAGCCCTTAGAATACTTTTTTTCTAGCTGACAGCTTCTATGAGATATTATCTTAAATCTTTCTAAGTTCTCAACAGATTGACTTACTCTTACACCCTTGAGATTTTTACACTGAAGTCTTGAAGTGACATAAAATTTATACTTGCACTGAGGACTCCTGTTCATTTTCACTTTGTTAGTCCTTTGCTATGCAGAGAGAATAAAGAATAAGATACAGTTTTAGTTTTGATCTCAAGAAGTCTTGAGTTAGAAATATTTCCATCAAATTCTCCTTGAAAAGTAAACAGATTCTTTTGTAATTCACTTTAAGTATCTTGTAATTTATCATAAAATGCTTTAAGAGGACAATTGGCACTTTCTACATTCTGCTTAGAAATAAACCCATGCAAATCCATGAGTTCATTAGGCGTACCATTTTCCTTATAACAAGAAGCAACAGTTTTTCCAAACTTTCTACAATATAAAAGCAAGGTTCCTTTTCACTAGTCTCCAAGAACATATTCTTTGGTGTCTTTCAAGTTCTCACTCTGTCTCCTAAAGGTATTTGCAAGCTTTGAGTAACAATTTCTTCAAGACTTGTCTGTTTGTGCCAGCTACCCAGTTCCAAAGCCAGTGCTCCATATTAAGATTTTTATCAAGATATCACATCAATTTCAGGACTAAATTCTGTTCTGCACAACTACTGTGTAACAAATCACCCCAAATCTTTATAGCTGTACAACATTATATTATTATTATAGTTTGCAATCCCATGAGACAGGAATTTAGAAAGGGCAACGGTAAGTATGACTCATCTCTCCTCCAAGATATCTGAGGCTTCTGCTGGTCTGACTCGGAAGGTAGTTTTGGAACACTGAACAAAGTCCAGACATCTGTTTCCATCTCTCCACACAGGCTCTCAGTGTGGCTGAGAGTAGGCTTTATATTGTGACTTAAGGCGCCAAGAAGAATGTAACAGAAATTCTCAGTTCTCTTAAAGGGTACCCTCAGAACACTTTTAAAATCACTTTTGCTGCATTAGTTGAAGAAATGGCAAGCCATCCCAGATTCAAGTGGAGGAGTTACAAACCTTACCTCCTGTATGAGAATTGGCAAATAATTTAATCTACTAAGTCATGAATGCTCAGATGCCTAGATGAGACAGCTGCTTGTTTGAGTCATTACTACCACCCCTGCCACTTGACACTCATGAATCTGGACTACTAAATCTGGCCATCTCAATTTTACACAAATATTCACATTCCATATTTCACTTGATAGCAGTAAAAAATAGCAGACAGGTGGCTTTCATTTAACTTCTATCTTAGATATCTGATATGGTTTGGCTCTGTGTCCCCACCCAAATCTCATCTCAAATTGTAATCCTCACATGCCAAGGGAGGGACCTGGTGAGAGGTGATTGGATCATGGGACGGTTTCCCCCATGCTATTTTTGTGATAGTAAGTGAGTTCTTACTGGATCTGATGGTTTAAAATTGTGTCTCAGTTCCTGCCAACCCCGTCTCTCCTGCCACCATGTAAGACATGCCTTGCTTCCCCTTTGCCTTTCGCCTTCATTGTAAGTTTCCTGGGGCCTCCCAGTCGTGCTTCCAGCTAAGCCTGTGGAGTAAATTAAACCTCTTTTCTTCATAAATTATGCAGTCTCAGTTCTTTATAGCAGTGTGAAAACAGACTAATACAATATCGCACAAAACGTATCTAATTTCCGTGCAAAACTTTACCAGGGAGGGAACCCAGGAAAGGTAGTTATTATCTTTCTAAATTTCCAGGCTAGAGGAAAGGCAGAATGGAGGCTAAGACAGTCAATTCTTCATATTTTCTTTGAAGGATTTTCTTGAAAAATTTATTGAGGACTGTTGTAATGAGACCTGTAGTTAAAGTAAATTATAACTTTGAGAGTCATTGCAGAGTGCGGCATAAAAATCAGGTACATGACATACAGAGTTAAAGTAATTTCTTTGTTATGTCTTTATTTTCTGTAGATGTAAGAAATAGAGGAAATAGACAATAAATTAAAATACGGAGAGTTTCAGTCTCAAAAAAAGATTATTACAGTATTCTTATTGATGAGGAATTTGTGCTATAAAACACATCTGCAGCGCTTGCCAAACTCCCCTGAGAATAAAAATTAGCTTAAAAATGATAAAATCATCAATTCTCCAGAACTTTCTTCAAACTGACTGAAAAATAATTTGTGTAGAAAAGTGCTGAGAAATGTACTATCAAATGTCCCAGGTGATTTTTATCGTATTAAAGTTTAGGAAACATTATAGAGTATAATTTTCATTTTATTTATCTAATCTACAACTAAATTTGACTCAGCCTTTAGCTGCTGGTGGAATGGAGCCATATGGTTGATATAAAATATGTATTCGGTAAACGAAAGATTAGTAGTAAGGTGATCCTCTAGAAGCTAGTTCATTCATTGTATGTGTTATCTAATGGAACATAAACCCTTTGCTAAGATGTTTTTTATTTATCTGAATACACCTGTGTTTAGACAGCATGATACGCTTGTGAATGTAGTTTGTTTTACTCTGTGTGTAGCAAGTTACCATGCTCAGCAATTTATACTCCAGGGCTATGCCAGACACATTCAAATCAAGGTGGCTGTACTCCACTAGTGGCTACTGCAAGTACTCCAATTTCCTCTATCTTTAATATTAGATATTTTGCTCATCATTATGGCATTTAATAATTAGTTGCCATGGCTGAAAATATTGGCTTGCTAGCATAATGAATTAAGAGTCGGGCTCTTATTTACTGGTATCAGTGTTAAGATAAGATTTGGATAAATTATTTTAAAGATACTCTTTTATGTGGCATAAGGAAGAAAATAATCTAGAAAACCCTTTGGCTGTAGCTCACGGCATGATCTCTGTGTATTTCATTGTGCAAGCGTGAATTCAGATGAGTTTGTTGTCTGTTGATGACCATAAGAGTAGCTGAATTCTGCCTAAATAATACTGTTTTTTTAATTGTTTTTAAATAAAGTCTCTCTGTAAAGTGTGGTTGGAAGACATAAAAAGATAGAACGTTGGAACTAAATTAAGCTTACAAAACAACAAAGAAAGAGTATGTGACTCTTTTTGCACCTACTTGATAATATTGCCACCTGTGGCAAATTTGCTCTGTGACCTGCTTTTATTTAAGATTGGTGAGAAAGTTGGGGAAATTATTCAACCCTTACCTTCAGCTTTTTAAAAATAGCTTTATTGTGGTATAATTGATATTGCACATATTAAAAGTGTACAATTTGAAAAATTTATATACATGTACAGTTTTGAAATCACAAGTACAACCAACATAGTGCATCTGTCAAGCACCTCAAAACATTTGTTTGTGTTCCTTATTCTTCCTTCTCGCTAGTGTGCCATTCCCAGGCAGCCACTGATCTGCTTTCTAACACTAAAAATTAGTTTGAACTTTCTAGAAAATTTTGTAAATGTAATGGCAATTTATGAACCACTTTTTTCTCACTTCTTCCACTCAATGTAATTATTTTCAGATGCATTCATGTGGTTTGTGTATCAATAATTAATTTCTTTGTATTGCTGTGGAGGACTGCATTATAGATACACAATAGAGTTCATCCACACACCTGCTACCTATTCAGGGACATTCGATTATTTATTACAAACAAAGTTTTTGTTACCATTTTTGTAGAAGTCTTATGAACAGATTGAACACTTAGAAATTGAATGGCTGAATTATTTGTTTTCATATGAATTATATATTCGATTAATATTTTAAAAAATTGCTCAAGTGTGGCTGGGTGCGGTGGCTCACGCCTGTAATCCCAGCACTTTGGGAAGCCGAGGCGGGCAGATCATGAGGTCAGGAGATTGAGACCATCCTGTCTAACACGGTGAAACCCCATCTCTACTAAAAATACAAAAAAAAAAAAAAAAAAAAATTAGCTGGGTGTGGTGGCGGGCGCCTGTGGTCCCAGCTACTCCAGAGGCTGAGGCAGGAGAATTGTGTGAACCCGAGAGGCGGAGCTTGCAGTGAGCCGAGATCGCGCCACTGCACTCCAGCCTGGGCAACAGAGCGAGACTCCATCTCAAAGAAAAAAAAAAATTGCTAAAGTGTTTTCCAAACTAATTGTATCTTTTTAATATTTCCACCAACAGTGTTTGAGAGTTTCATTTCCTCTACATAATCACCAATATTTGGTATGGTCAATCTTTTTAATTTTAATTATTCTAATAAGTGTGCACTATGGTTTTAATTTGCAGGTCGTTAAAATGTTGAGCAATATTAACTGGTGATGGTGAGCATTTTCTATGTTCTTATGTCTTATATTCTTGGTGAAGTGTCTGTTCAAATATTTTGCCCAGTTTTTAAATTAAAAACTAGGCCGTTTGCTTTCTTAGTGAGTTTGACCGATTTTTATATATTCTGATACAAGTTTTCAATTAGCTCTAATTAAATGTAATTAATTTGTAATTTGCCACTATTATTTGTTCTGTATTCAGTCTCTTAAAAGTATCTTTCAAAAAGTAGGAACTTTTATTTTTTATGAATGCCAACTCATTTTTTTGGTTTGTGGATAGTGCTTTAGTGTTATAGCTAATTAATTTTTGCTTAACGCAAGGTCACAAAGATTTTCTCCTATTTTTTTTCAGAAGCTTCATAGTTCTAGACTTTTGACTTCAGGCATAGGATTCTTTAGAGTTTATTTTTGGATATGGTATGAGGTATGAAGTTTACCTTTTGGGCTTTGTGGTTGTTCAATTGTTCCAGCACAATTCGTTGAAAAGGCTATTATTTATTCACTGATTTGCCTTTCCACACTTGTTGAAAAACAAATCGTCCACATACGTGTGGGCTTATTTCTAGGCTCTTTATTCTGTTCCATCAATCTATTTTCCTATATTTATAACTAAATCAAAATTATATTGATTACTTAAAATCCAATAGTGTTTATCTCCCAAATATGTTATTTTTTTAAAGTTGCTTTGTTTCTTTGAGGTACCTTGCATTTTCATATAGACTTTAGAATAAGGTTGTCAATTTTTACCAAAAATTATACTGTCATTCTTGTATGTATTTCTGTGTACCTAACTTTTTTGTCTTTAGGTGTTTTCATGATTTGCATGTTATCATTAGTTTTGAGTAAATTGATAATGTGCCTTAGAGTAGTTTTTATTTACTTTTTTATGATTCTCATGCTTGGATTTTATTTCTCATCATGAGTTTGTGGTTTTATACATTTTAACATATTTGGAATATTTTCAGTCATTATTTATTTATTTTTTTATTTTTCTGTTTTTTTCCTCTACCTTTTCATTCTTCTTTGGAAACTAATACTACAGATACATGAGAAAGTTTGAGGCTGTCCCAATATGCACCAAATTTTTTCCTTCTTTTCCTATGTTTCATTTTGTATATTTTTATATTGTTATATCTTCAAGTTCACTAAACCTTTCATTTGCAATTAATTATTCATTTGCAGCTTTAAATTATTTCAGTATATTTCTCATTGCTTGCATTGTAGTTTTTATCTCTAGAAGTTATAAATGAATTTTCTTTAAACCGTCCATGTCTCTGCTTAACTCTGAAACTACGGAATATTGTTAAAATAACTTTTATTTACTTTACACTAATTTTAACACCTATGTTAGTTCTAGATTGATTGCATTTTCCTGCTTCATTGCATGCTTTTTAACTTTTGAATAGAAACTTGTAAATTTTGACCTTGTAAATTTTACCTAGTTACCTGCAGATTAAATTTTATTCCCACAATTATTCGTGATCTTTGTTCAGGACCTAATTAAGTTACATGGAAAAGTTTGATCGCTTCAAGTCTTACTTCTAAGGTTTATTAGTAGGTGGGACCGGAGCAGTGTTTATTCTAGAGCTGAATATTTCCCACTATTGAGGAAAGACCTTTCCATGTAATCTTTTCAATATCCCACAGATAAAGAGGCTTTCCCATCTTGATAGTTGTGATGGTTAATTCTGTGTCAAATTCACTGGGCCAAAGGTGCCCAGGTTAAGCATTATTTCTTGGCATGTCTTTGATGTTGTTTTCAGATGAGATTAGCATTTGAGTCAATAGACTCAATAAAATACATTGCCCTTCCTATTATAAGTATGCATCATGTAATCCACTGAGGGCCTGAGCAGAGCAAAACATGGAGGAAGGAGGAATTCACCCTTTTGCTTCCTGTCTGCCTGCTTGAGCTGAGATTTGTCATACCATCTCCTTCTGCTCTTGGACTGGAATTTACACCATTGGCCCCTTCTCTGGTTCTCAGGCCTGGTGACTCAGACTAGAATTACACTACCAGTTTTCTTGGGTCTCCAGATTGCAGATGTCGTATTATGAATATATGTTTGTATCCTTTATATATATATATATATATATATATATATGTATGTATGTATGTATGTATGTATGTATCCTGTCAGTTTTATTTTTTTGGAGAATGCTGACTAATGCAATGATGAGAACAGAAACTTTTCTAGGCCCTCTTTGAATGTTGAACTACCTTTTCCTCTAATCATTTAGGCTAGTTTGTTCCATGACCTAAGGCAATTTTCTCATATATATGAGCTAATTTGTATTCTGCTGAATTCTCAAGGCATCAGGGTAGGACTTCTGCGGATTTTCCATTTATCTTATTATAGAACTCTTTTCTCTCAAATATTTGTTACTGCTTTAGCCCCCTAAATTCCCAGCTCCATCTCCTCAACTCATGGACACCATCGGGCACAACCTGGGTTCCTCTTCCTATGCCATGGCCAAGAAACATTCCTAAAGGAGTAACCTGGGCAATGATAAGGCTCACATCATTTATTTCCTATCTCTGAGGGATCACTTTCCTTTATTGCCTGTTGTCCAGCCTCTTGAAACTGTGGATTTGATACCACTGAAACATAAGAGAAAGCAAAACTATATATATATATATATTTTTTTGTTGAGAATCTCATAGTGGTGTGGGAGTAAATTTATGAATGACTCTAGCTGGCTCCACTGATAAAGCAGCATGCAGCATGGATTTGGGCTTCGGGGAATTTCCCTTCTGCTTTTCTTAAAGAGTATAAAGGTCAAAGTGATCTTCTTGCACAGGCTGTTTTTCAAGAATCCTTAACTTAAATAGTCAATATACCAGAAGAGCATATTTTAGGCCCTTTATCACCTAATACTGAGGAGCATTAAAATGATTAAGAAGTCTAGGAAAGCTCCCTGGTGTCACACACAGAAAATGATATAATTAATATTTATGAACTAAATTGGGGGCAAAGGCAGAAATTCCAAATATCAGTGGAATGGTTGAGCAAAAAGATTTTAAATTTACTGATAAATCACGACAAACAGATAAGAATCCCACCAAGTTTATGTTGTATATTTAATATATTATGGTTAGATAAAAGAGTATGTGTGGCCAATCAACTTCTTCAGGGAAAATAAAAACAAATTTATTTTAATTATCACATCAGTGAAATTTTCTGTACATTTCTGTTTCATTCTTGTGGCAAATATTCATTAACTGTTTACTGCAAGGACGATACTCCTATCATAGGTGTTGGAAATACACCATTAAAACCCCCAAGCCCCCAGTCTTGCCATTAGGAAATTATTTTCCAATATGAGAAACATATAATAAGCAAGTTGGAAATATAAATAACATAAAGTAAAGTGAAATAGAATACAGAGCAAAGAGAATGAGGTGAGGTAAGTGGGAGGAAAGGCTCTCTTGCTTCACATTTAACTGTGTAAAGCAACCAATCAAATCCATCTTTTAAAATTTAGGAGGTATTTAGGAGTCCTGTAGACAAAAAAAAATTAGGTCTAAATACTATAAATTTGTTATTTTCTAATACTGAAGGTATAATCTAAATTGAAGAAAACGTTGAATTAAGAAAGTGTTAATAAACCACATATAACATGTACTGTTTCTTTCCTCAGTTATAAAGTTAGAACCTTATTACACAAAAACAGAAACAAAAACATTATTACCTTTCCAATTTAAGCTTTGAGCCAGCACTTAGTTGCAAGTTTTCTCTCCATGTTTTCCAGAAAATGCAATTCTTTTAAATCATGCTTATAACTAAGTTATTATATATCTTAGATTCTAGATTTTAGTAAAATGCCTTGTTTTACTCTGACTCGGCAATATGCCTGTACCTATGACTTGTATCAAAGAAAAAAAAACAAGTTTGTACTTTCAGAAATGTAGTCGAAAATGTGTAAAATAAATTGTATGTGAGGGAATATAGTCCAGATCTGTATTTGGTTATGTGTTCATCAAGTGCAATTTGACTCTGTGTTCTTGAGGCAAGTGATACGGGTTTGGCTGTGTCCCCACCCAGATCTCACCTCGAATTGCAATATCCCACACATGTCAAGGGCAGGGCCAAGTAAAGATAATTGAATCATGGTGGTGGTTTCCCCCGTAATGTTCTCGTGACAGTGAGTGAGTTCTCACAAAATCTAATGGTTTCATAACTCTCTGGTATTTCACCTGCTGGCGCTCATTCTCAGACATGACTTTGCTCCTCATTCACCTTCCACCATGATTGTGAGGCCTCCCCAGCCGTGTAGAACTGTGAATCAATTAAATATTTTTCCTTTATAAATTACCCAGTCTCAGGTGTGTTTTCATTAGCAGCGTGAGAACAGACTAACACAGCAAGTATTTAACAGAGTTAAAGAATAGGCATTAAACATGAATGACAGGAATGCATAAGCAATGACTTGGAATTTCATGTCTTGTCTCTCTCTCTCTCTTTCTCTCTCTGTGTGTGTGTGTGTGTATGTGTGTGTGGTGTGTGTGGGTGCATCTGTACTTGTGTTAGAGGAGAATATAATGTTTCTGGTGCTTGAAGGAATAAAAGAAATAAAATGCTATTTATATTAGTTTCCTACAGCTGATGTAAGAACATACAACAAACGTAGTGACTTAAAATGCATAATTTTTTATAGTTTTGGAGATTAGAAATACCAATGTTAGTGTCAGTGGGCTAGAATCAAGGAGGCAGCTGCCTTTCTTCTGGACTTTCTAAGGGATAGTCTGATTTCTTGGGTTTCTCCAGCCTTGGCTTATAATGTTTCCAGGAATTCTATCACTCTGACACTTGCTTCTGTCATCATGTTTCTGTCCTTGACTCTAACCCTCTGGCCTCCCCCTTACAAGGACCCTTGTCATTACATTGGCCCACCCAGATAATCCAGGATAATCCTCCCATTTCAAGGTTGTTATCTTAACCACATATGCAACATTTATTTTGCTACTTCAGGTAACATAGTCACAGGTTCTGGGGATGAGGACATGAACATTTGGGAAGGTTAATTATTCAGCCTATCTCATAATACTATTAATGCAAATTTAGATAAGTTCTCTCTTCCATGTAGCTCTGCTGTTTACTGGAAATATTGGAAGGGTAGCTACATGTTTAAATGTGACTATTTGGGGAAATTGTATGTGTCTTACAGATTCATGTATATATATGTGTGTGTGTATATATATATATATATATATATATGCAGGAGGATTATTCAATTATGTTTTCAGGTGGTTCAGAAAGGAAAAATAACCCTATAGCTTTTTCTCAAGACATTAACAATTGGTAGTAGGTACATTAGGACATTCTTATGGGAAATGTTACTTTTCCATACTGACTCTCAAGTGACAATATGTATGCTAGAATTCAAAATCAAATATAATTCTTCACATTCATTATTTATTCGAAATAAGAAAAGCATATTAGCTTGTTCTTTTCCTACTTGCAAGAAATTAGTTATGAAAAATCACATTTTCCAAAGGAACAAAGAATTTATATCAACATAATTATGGTTTATTGGAAAATAAATCGTATTTAATTATATAGTTACAAATATGATACTGCTATATTTTACTTTGTAATTGAGAGATTAAAATTTTTATTCATCTTATGACCTTTCATGAAAGACTTTGAAAAATGTAAATAAAGATAGAACCTCTTATAGTTTCCACTGAAACTAGAGAGGAAAATAACCCTTAAGCACTAAAAATTATGTAATATTAATTTGAATCATAAGACTATGTGATATTGATTTTTCGATAGGTCAAAAACATTTGAATATTGACAATAATAATAATATTAATATCAAGTTCACTCTCAAGCAATGGGATTACAAAAGTAAAACGGAGTGAGTTATCTGTAGTGAAGCATTCTGATAAATTATAATGTGAATTCCCATTTCCCTTATCAGCTCTTTCCTCTATTTTTTTACAGAATCTATTGAAAATTTGCGTGATAGATAAAGCTACAAAAATGAAAACAGTTCAATGCTGCCAAAATAATTAAAAAATTATAGATTTCTTGGGAAATTGATCATTTGTGTCAATTTCAAATTTCAGATTGTTTATATGTTTGAAATACTTCTTAATATGTCAGATAGTGGGCAACATACTTTATGCCATTTTACCCATAAACTTAGAAACAGCATATTTAAAGAAATAAAGGCGATAACTATTCCACTGTAGCCACTTTTTAGCTGTCTTGTGGTTTTGAGGCAAACTAGGTTGAAAACTATCTATATGGGGAAATTGCATGGCAGATCTCTTCAGATCCCGTCTCAAAGGAAGACTGAATTTGAGACCCACATAGAGTCAGATAAATGGTAGTGCAAGTCAAAGCTGAAATCTTTATGAAAAGAAGATAGAAACACCAGTGTGAAGCTATACATGACACATAGCAAGGGTTTAGAAAATACTGCAAAGAAAACCAGGGAAAAGAGACATTATTAGAAAGAAGAGAAAGATGAGAGGCCAAGGCAGGCAGATCACTTGAGGTCAGGAGTTCAAGACCAGCCTGGCCAACATGGCGAAACCCTGTCTCTACTAAAATTACAAAAATTAGCCAGGCATGGTGGCACATGCCTGTAACCCCAGCTATGCGGGATCCCAGGTTCGAGGGATCCCGCATAGCTGGGCTTATAGGCGTGTTCCAAGATCAGGCCACTGCAATCCAGCCTGGGTCACAAAGTGAGGCTCTGTCTCAAAAAAATAAAAATTAAAATTAAAAAGAAAGGAGAAAAAAAGAGATTAGGTAATTCAGGCTTATAGGGCAGTATAATTCGGAGCTGTTGCTGCAAGGACAGCAAGGAAAGTCCAGATGAATGGCACCTTTCTGTATGCAATGATGGAACTGATGATGTTGGTTTCTTTTTTTTTTTTTTTTAAGACGGAGTCTCGCTGTCGCCCAGGCTGGAGTGCAGTGGCGCGATCTCGGCTCACTGCAGGCTCCGCCCCCTGGGGTTCACGCCATTCTCCTGCCTCAGACTCCCGAGTAGTTGGGACTACAGGCACCCACCACCTCACCCGGCTAATTTTTTTTTTTTTTTTGTATTTTTAGTAGAGACGGGGTTTCACTGTGCTAGCCAGGATGGTCTCGATCTCCTGACCTCGTGATCCGTCCGCCTCAGCCTCCCAAAGTGCTGGGATTAGAGGCGTGAGCCACCACGCCCGGCCGGTTTCTATATTAAACAATTATTTAGTTCTTCATGATGGTTTACACTGCGACATTTGTGATTGTTTTAAGCGCTTCTTTAGTTTCCTTTGATCCCCACGAAAGTATCCATACTTCTTTAATTTTTGATATGAACTGTGTCATTCTTACTTCTTTGCTACTTTCAAGAGCTGTAGTACCTCAATATGATAAAATAGCTATGCCTACAATGCTGATATAAAAACTGTTAAAACAAAATGGGTGCATTAAAATGTTAAAGTGTTTACAAATGAACAAATGTTTATTGATGATTTAGGCAGTACAGTGGTCCAGGCCTCCATGAGGGAATGTGAAGGAAAAACTTTTATAAGGTGTTCATGGAACAAGGTGTTCAAAGGAAATATTTGATTGATTACAGTGGAAAGTCCCTTGTTAGAAGTTATTTGGCAGTTTCTGATTGGGAAAGTCCCTAGTTAAAGGGCAGTTGGTAGTTTCTGATTCGTTACACTTAAGTTTTGATTTCCTGGGCTATGACTGTTCATTCTGAAATGGGTCTTGATTTGATTAAGTTAAAACCTAGAGCCAAGTCAGTCTAATAGTCTCCCAATTAATTATTCTAACAGTATGAATTATTCTTACACTGTGAAAAAATGATTAGCCAATTATAAATACATTTCAAGTTAGAAGAAGAATGATATGAAATATGGACTAATTATATATAGACATATTGTAGAAAGAGATACATATATGTACACATGTGTATATAGTAGTAAAACATTGTACATTACCTAAAATTAACTCTAGGGCACTGTTTACATAACCACAAAATGCATTATTTTATGTCATTAAATATGTCATATTTGTCTATATCTATTTTAAAGTGTTGGAATTACAGATTATTTTTTCATGTCTTTCCTCTATTATGTAATTGAGCTACAGTGAATACATTTAATTTTAGTTACATAATTATCCATCTTTTTTTTTTGAGACAAGATCTCACTCTGTTGCCTAGGCTGACTGCAATAGCATGATCACGGCTTACTGCAACCTCAAATTCCCAGGCTCAAGTGATCCTCCCACCTCAGCCTCCCAAGTATCTAGGACTGCAGAACTATGCCCACATTCCTGGCTAACTTTTAATTTTTATTTTTTGCAGAGATGGAGTCTTACTATGTTGTCCAGGTTGATCTCAAACTCCTGGACTCAAGCAGTCCTCCCATTTTAGCCTCCCAAAGTGCTAGGATTATAGGCCATCATGCCCAGTAAATATATTTTTAAAACACACCAGTGTGAATTTGGGTTATTTCAAAATTAATATATTAAAGCCTTAGCCACCAGTACATCAGAAGCACTGTATTTGGAGACAGGGCCATTAATGAATTAAGTTATAAATGAGGCTGTCAAAGCAGGCCCTAATACAATAAAACTGATGTCCTTGTAAGAAGAGGAGATTAGGACATTCAAGAGAGATACCAGGGATGCATATAGACAGAGAAACAGCAGTTAAGGACACACAGTGAAGGTGGCCATGTGCAAGCCAAAGAGGGAGACGTCAGAAAAAACAAAGCTGTGACACCTTGATTTTGAATTTCTCCTCCAGAATTATTAGAAAATCAAATTCTATTGTTTAAGCCACTGATAGGGTTTGGCTTTATCCCCACCCAAATCTCATCTTGAATTGTAGCCCCCATAATTCCCATGTGTTGTGGGAGGGACTTTGTGGGAGATAATTCAGTCATGGGAGTGGTTTCCCCCATACTGTTCTTGTGGTAGTGAATAAGTCTCCTAAGATCTGATGGTTTTATAAGGAGAAACCTCTTCCACTTGGCTCTCATTTCTCTCTTTCCTGTCACCATGTGAGACATGCCTTTAGCTTTCCGCCATGATTGTGAGGCCTCCCCAGCCATGTGGAACTCTGTGTTCGTCAAACTTCTTTTTCTATGTAAATTACCCAGTCCTGTGTATGTCTTTATCAGCAGCTTGAAAATGGACTAATACAGCCACTAAGTACTTTGTTATGGCAGCCAAAGCAAACCAATGCACATATAAATCTTTATTAACACCCAAACTCTCATGTGTTAAAATGTATATGAGAATAAAAATACACATATATATTATACATACACATTAATTTAAAGAAATATAATATAGCCAACTTAACACATCAGGAAACAAACCAAAGTTTCTATGAAACATCTGTGAGTCATGAAAGATATTGGAAAATTAAGCTATAAACCTTTTGATTTACTTACTAAGAGAAACCACATTCAGCCCACATGAGACTGAAACCTTAGTTTTAATATTTGTTATTTAAATACATCTATACTAAATCTATTTTAATTGTCACTTTTTAGCATTTGTGTTGCTTTTGGATTTTGAACATGCTTTTTACAAAATTTGGCTTAATAGAGTTTAGATAATTAAGTTTGAATATTAATAATGATAGTTCAGAAAAAATCATTTTTGTGAACGATTAATTTTTTAATTAAAAATTTACTCACTACATGGTTTAATTATAACTTCTATAGGACAGTACAAAGAAATAATAGCCCAGAAAAAGTAAATTTAAATATATATTTACATTTAATTACACCATCAAAATATAAATATTACTAAAATACAAATTTCAGAATACAAAAATGAAGACAGTTTTCTATGATCACCATCTTTGTTGCCAGTTGTCACACTAGCTGTATGTATCTTTATTTTTTGAGTGTGTACCTTTCTGGTACTTCTTTTTAAGCATTTGTTTACATAAATCATGGATGTATAGGTCATATGTGAGAAGTTAGTCGTATACAGCCACACAGCACATTAAGACTATTCAAATGAATATGAGTACTATTGAACTGTCAGAGTTGACATGACTTTCATGCCAAGAAAAATTTTTATTCTTGGTGGATACCTGCCTCATTACTAAAAATCTTACTTTTTGTGCTTGTCTGTCTTCTTTGTCATAATTCTCTAAGAACAAGTTTATAAGAAGTAGGATTGGTAGAGGAAACAAGAAATTCCTCTTTAGCACAATCCTCAGGCCAGTGTGTTCAGGCGGTCTTCTCAGATCAGCATCACTGCAGGACACATTTTCCTTTGAATTCCATATCAAAAACATTCGAGAACATTCCTTAGTTTAGTCTTGTTTTGTCAGTGGGAGTGTGGTTCTGGGAGAGGTCCATCCTGCAGACTTTCCTTCTCCTGGGACTCACAGGTTGCTGTGTTTAGGATTTAAGACAAGCAGACCTTAGTTTACAAGCTCCAAACATAACAAGCAGAAACAAAACTTAGAGCCAACTATTACCAAACTTTCAGAGGTTTGATTCAGTCTAAGTATGCATGTCCTGTGGGTTACACTTGTGCTCATGATGCATAATCACATTATAAGCCACATTTCTCTATGCCTCTTTCTATATGTCATAGTTTTTCCAGGTAATTTAAGCTCCTGGTGATATCTTTGGGATTTTTTTTTTTTTTTACATAATCTTTTCTTTTGCCATTTGAAAGGCATTTGGCGACCAAAAGGAAGCAAAACATCCCATTGTCTTCTATTTGTCTTGGTATGAAGAAGGTTCCAAAGAAAATGCATATTTTACATTTGTTTTCTTAAAAGACATTTTAACCAAAACAAATTAAAAATTTGAAAAACTTAACCCAATAACCTTTCTCTCACAATTTTTGTTTTCCCGTCTTATGCTCCTTTATTTACCTCTCCTTCTACCCTTCATTTTGACCTGTTTGCATACCCTCCTATGTGGCCAGAAAACCCAGAATCTCAATTATTTACTGAAACAAAACCCATCAGAGCCATGAAAAATCCTGCATAAATAACTATAAGCCTTTGACTCAACTATTAGTGCTTATAAAACTTTCCAAAGCCGAAGGCAGAAATTGAGAGAGATTGAGAATAGTTACAGGAATAAAATCCTAGATCTCTCAGTACTACACCAACCAGGTCATATATCAGTGGAAACCTCAGATGCAAACGATTAGTTGGGAAAGACAAGAACAGAAAGAGCCTGATCATGTCTCTGGCTAAACCCACAAAAATTCTATTGATCCCAAACATGTACAATATCCTTTTAAATCACATAGCCTAATAGATAAAGGAGTCATCATACCTTGGATTTTTTTCTGGTGATAATTCTACTCTTTTAGCAAAGAAACCAACGATTGTGGATATAAATTTGTTCAAGATCTCAGGTCTATACTTAAAATAGTCATTTTATCTTTCCCTTTAGTGCCCAAACCAAGTATTTTGTTATTTTCAGTGTTACCTGAGGCTACATGTTTACCAATATACGAGGTCTACCTTCTTTAGTCTCCCTTAGATTAAAGTTATTTGATACTAATTTTATTTTCATAGAAAGCAATAACAGTATATACCTGGGCAGTCATGTCCCAGGTTTTTGTCAAGGCACTCTCCTAATTTATTCAGGCTTCATCACACATTAAGAACCCAGGGTTCTTATAGGTCAGAAAATGAAAGACATAATCAAAAGAGTTATTTTATTATAAATTAGATATATTTTCAAAACTACTTCATTTGAGAATTAAACAAAAGATGTGCTTGTTTTTATGTTTGTCAGTTTCTCTGAATGGAAAACTCAGACTAATACATTCTTGAACATCATCTTTCCAGGGAAGGGTTTGTGTTGTTGTAGAAGCCTTTGCTCACAAGAAGTTAGAAATCCACACCATATTAAAAGGGAACGCGAGCCTGAGTTTTTCTCCCCATGACACTAAAGGAACACCATAAAAGAGCCTAAGAAACATATGGAATTAGATTTCTGTTTACCCCCTCAACAAAAATGCTGTGTAAGTATGAATAAACCAGCTTTTAAAGCTATCCTGCAGTTTAGGGAATGGTCATGTCTGAGGCACAGATATGAGACACAGTCTGAGGTGGCAGAGGCAGGGGAGAGTGGATTTTGATTTTTTTCTGAGAAAATAGACATTTCATCCTCCAGTACTTCAGACAGCAAAGAGTGAAAAAGCAGGCCTTCAGCTGAGAGGAAACGGATTTTCTCCTATTCCCAAGGACAACCGGTTGGCGGCCTTGGGTCAGGTTTCTTCACAATATGAAGTTCAGCAAGTGATTCTGATGATATGAGTCAATGGGCTCCAACAATAACTAATTCTTACTTCATTATGATGACATGCTGTTATTTATTTCTAAATATTTGTTTGTTTTTTCTTTGATTGTTCATCGTTTTTAAATTACAATCTAGTGATGGCTGAGTTTTAAGGAATCAAGGGATGGGAAAGGTGATTCATGATGAGTCTTGTGGAAACGCATCATGGAGGTAAATGTTGGAGGCCTGAGAATTTAAAACACAGCAAGCAGTGGTCAGTAGAAAGTGGAAAAGACTGTAGTGTGGAGTAAGTATACTGCTGCTCAGTTGATGTGAGCCATAAAGATACCATGTGAAATAGATAAGCATATTTGTGAAATCCCAGAAAATCCTGGTAGAGGGAATTGGAAAAAGACTACACTTTATGGCAAAATGGATAGATTTTTGGCACGTGGTTGTTCCTCATGGGTGCTAATTTTATATATATGACTTATAAGTGGAAGAAATGTAAACTGATAATTTAGAAAGATTCCTGAGATATTATGTAGCGTTAGCTTAGATGACAAAATTATGAAACTAGGTTTCATTTGAACAGAACTTATTCCTTTTCTCTCCCATCACTGCAGGTGAGAAGATGAACATTGAATGGCTCTGAATGGCATGATTATAGTTTTAATTTTGTAATTTTCAGACAGTTATGAATTGTACGAAGTGCTTAGTGGGACAGTGAATATTGTTTCTTTTTTTGAATATGTCTGATGTATTTTACAAAGATTTTGGTGACATAAGTCTCGATTTTGTTATATATCTCCACCTTGTCTATGTGCGTAATATAAACAGGAAAACACACTATAGCATTTCCAGTATAAATACTTAAGCACAACTGCGTAAATGTACAAAACAAAATTCAAACTGGTTAGGACGTAATGGAGGCGAACTATTCAGGTAGACATTTATTCTGAAATTTTGTGTAAGTGAACTTCTAACACAATGAACTGCAATGGTGATGTACATTTCTTGGTTTATGAGAATTTGATTGCAGTTTTTATTAGAATACAGAAAATTCTTTTTATGTGAAGCAACTCACCCAAATTATATTTTTGTATGTCTATTTCTAAGGTGATTAGTTTGGCCTATATTTCAACATATAATTTTTGAAATAAGTTGAGGTTTCTGCATAGCAGTTTAATTTTGACTGAGAAAAAATTACCTGTTCTGTAATCAAAATGCTTTTACCTATTTTTCCAATTATACTTCCATCTTCCAAGTTTGCTTTTGCCTTTACTTCAAAACTTTTATTTCATTTGTATTAGATACTAGAATTTTATAACACTGGGCCATTCTACTTGTGGCTTTCTCTTACTCCTAGGATGTAGTTCTGTGAGTTGCAAACTAAAAGTCTGGTGTGTGTAAACAAAGTCTCTCCTCCTAGACGGTACTTGAATGTTAATATTTTTTCTTAACTCTGACAATTTGTGAAAATCTCTGCTTAGTTTTTTTTTATTTTTTCATCAAAATGTTGCTGAATATTAAACTCAATTATCTGTGTGTCCCTTCTCATTGGAATATCAGTCCTACAATTCTTTGATGCATTGAAAATTCTCTAATGCCCTCAAAAAGATTTGTTTTTATTATTTTACCTAAGATTTCTAGTAGTTCTCAATGTAATGGTGAATCTGCAGTAGATTATGGAAGGCCATTTGTAAAACACTTCCTAAAGATCCACTATTTGTAATATCCTCTTTCTTAAATAATATCCTTTCTTTAGGGCTGGTTTGGACCTAGTGACTATTTCCAAACAGATAGAATACACCCAAAGTGATAGGATGTGGGGACACAGAGCTAAAATATATCAACCTTATACACATACTCTGAAGGTAGTATTATACAGTATTTTAAAAAATTTGGTGCATAAAACAAAGTTTCTGTTAAGTACCTATGTGTGGAAATCTCCACTTGTGGCATTACATTGACACTCAAAAAGTTTCAGATTTTGGAACATTTCAGATTTTGGATTTTTGGATTATGGATTCTCAGCCAGTACTCTGATGGCAGCCTGAGAGAACTTTAAAGTGAAGGACCCAGCTAAGATATACCAATTTTCTTAATGCACAGAAAGTGGGTAAACATGCATGTGTGATATTTCTTAGGCTGCTAAGTGGTGGAGTAATTTGTTACAAACAATGGATAAGTGATATGGTGATGAACAATTTTTGGGAGGGGAACTCAGGGAATTTCAAATTTGAATTGCTCTCTTAACTGGCTAAATCTTATCACTCAGAAGTCTCTCTCTCCATGTTTGAGTTATTCAGCAATTGAGAATGTTTGCTTATTAATTTATTATTTAAGCATTAGCTGAGAATAGTATTCTTGGTTCATGCTCTTTTATTTTTTCCTGAGAATTTTGTAAACATTTTTCTGTTGTCTTGGTACTTTGAAAGCTCCTATGAAGAAAACTGATGCCATGCTTATTTCTGCCTTTACCAACCACCAAAACACATGAACTCTTCTTTTCTTTATTACTTATTAAGGACTTCTTGAATTCTACAGAATAACTTGTATTATTGAAAGTTCTATGTCAACTTTTGTTTGTTTGATTTATTTATTTATATAAATGTTGGATGTTATTTGGAGCTTCACCTAAAGTTCCTGCCATTCCTAAAGCTTTCATGCATTACACCTTAGGAAATTTTCTATTTCAGTTTTTCTTCAAATTTACTGTAATTGTTTTCCTATTAACCCTGTCATATATGTAAGAGTTCCAGCTTTTTCTTCATTTATTTGATTTCCTATAATGATAGTGTTTTGTCTCTCAATTTGTTTTTGTAAACTCACCAATGTCTCTTTTATCTCAATCTTTTTTTTTATTATTTACTAGTTAACTCTAATTAAATTCTTGTTGAATTTAAAGTGTTTCCAGTTTTAAAGCATTAGAAAGGAATTTGTTTTTTCAATTTTAAGTTCAGGAGTACATGGGCAGGGTTGTTACATAGGTAAATTGCATGTCAGAAGGGTTTGCTATGTAGATTATTTCATCACCCTGGTAAATGGCATAATACCTAACAGGTAGGTTTTCCATCCTGACCCTCTTCCCACACTCCACCCTCAAGTAAGCCTTGTTGTCTGTTGTTCCCTTTTTTGTATCCATGTGTACCCAGTGTTTAGCTCCCATTTATAAGTGAGAACATGTGGCATGTGGTTTTTTGTTCCTGAATTAGTTCACTTAGAATAATGGCCTCCAGCTCCATCTATGCTACTGCAAAGGAGATGATTTCATTCTGATTTATGGCTGCATAGAACTCCATGGTGAATATGGACTATGTTTTCTTTATCCAGTCTACCACTGATGAGCATTTAGGATGATTCCATGTCTTTGCTATTGTGAATAGTGTTGTGATGAACATACGTGAACATGTGTCTTTCTGTAGAATTATAATTATTGTTATGTTCTAATAACCTCATTGTTAGAACAATACCCAATAATGGGATTGCAGGGTTGAATGGTAGCTCTGTTTTAAGTTCTCTGAGAAATTGCCAGTGTTCTCCACAATGGCTGAATGAATTTACATTTCAACCAGCAGTGTGTAAGCATTCCTCCTTCTCTGCAACTTCACAAGTATATGTTATTTTTGATTTTTTTAATAATAGCCATTCTAACTGGTGTGAAAAGGTATCACATTGTAGTTTTGATGTGCATTTCTCTAATGATTAGTGATGTCGAGCATTTTTTCACATACTTGTTGGGCATATGTATGTGTTCTTTTGAAAAGTGTCTGTTCATGTCTTTGTTCACTTTTTAATAGGGTTGTTTGGTTTTTGCTTGTTATTTTGTTTAAGTACCTTATAGATTCTGGATATTAGACTTTTGTCACATGCATAGTTTACAAATAATTTTCTCCATTTCTGTAGGTTATCTCTTTGAGGTTTGTTGTTGTTTTGCTGTGCAGAAGCTCTTTAGTTTAATTAGGTCATATTTGTCAATTACTGCTTTTGTTGCAATTGCTTTTGATATCTTTATCATAAAATGTTTGTCACGGCCTTTAGGACAAGAATGATATTTCCTGTTATTTTTCAGGGAATAGTTTTAGGTTTTACACTTAAGTCTTTAATACATCTTGAGTTGATTTTTGTATGTGCTTTAAGGTAGGTGTCCAGTTTCAATTTTCTGCGTATGAATAGCCAGTTATCCAGCACCATTTATTCAATGTGGAGTCCTTTCCCCATTGCTTGTTTTTTTATTTTTTGTTTTTTGTTTTTTGTTTTTTTTGTTCTGTTGAAGATGAAATGGTTGTACTTGTGCGGCATTATTTCTCTATTCTGTTCCATTGGTCTATGTGTCTGTGTTTGTACCAGTACCATGCTGTTTTGGTTACTCTAGTCCTGTAATACAGTTTGAATTCAAGTAACATGATGCCTCCAGCTTTGTGTTTTTTGCTTACTATTGCCCTATTGCCTTGGCTATTCAGGCTCTTTTGTGGTTTCTTATGAATTTTAAAATAGATTTTTCTAATTCTGTGAAGAATGTCATTGGTAGGTTGATAGTAATAGCATTGAATCTGTAAATTGCTTTGGAAAATATGGCCATTTTAACAATTTAGATACTTCCTATTAATGTACATGGAATGTTTTTCCACTTGTTTGTTATCACTAATTTCTTTTAGCAGTGTTTTGTAATTATTGTAGAGATCTTTCTCCTCCCTAGTTAGCTGTATTCCTAGATATTTTATTCTCTTTGTGGTTATTGTAAATTGGATTGCATTCTTGATTTGGCTTTCAGGCCAGGCATTGTTGGTGTATAGAAATGCAGCAATGTTGGTGTATAGAAATGTTGGTGTACAGAAATTTTTGTACATTGATTTTGTATCCTGAAACTTTTCTGAAGTTTATGAGATCTAGAAACTTTTGGGCAGAGACTATGTTTTTTTTCTAGGTATAGAATCGTATCATCTGCAAACAGGGTTAGTTTGACTTCCTCTCTTCCTATTTGGATGCATTTTATTTCTTTCCCTTGCCTGATTGCTCTGGCTAGGACTTCCAGTATTTTCTTCTATAGGAGAGGTGAGAGTGGGCTTCCTTGTCTTGTTCTGGTCCTTAAGAGAACTGCTTCCAGCTTTTGCCCATTCAGTATGCTGTTGGCTGAGTTTGTCATAGATGGCTCTTATTATTTTCAGATATGTTCCTTCAGTGCCAGTTTGTTATGGGTTTTTAACACGAAACAATGTTGAATTTTTTCAAAAGCATTTTCAGCTTCTATTGAGATGATCATATGGGCTTTGTTTTAGTTGTTTTTATGCAATGAATAACATTTATTGATTTGTATGTGTTGAATCACCCTTGCATCCCAGGGATAAAGTCTACTTGATCATGGTGGATTGGCTTTCTGGTGTGTTCCTGGATTTGGTTTGCTAGTATTTTGTTGAGGATTTTTGCATCTATGTTTATCAAGGATATTGGCCTGAAGTTTTCTTTTTTTATTGTTGTGCCTCTGCCAGGTGTTGGTATCAGAATGATGCAGGCCTCATATAATGAGTTAGGGAAGTCCTTCATCCTCAGTTTTTTGGAATAATTTCTGTAGGAATGGCGCTAACTCTTCTTTTACATCTGGTGGAATTCAGTTGTGGATCTGTGTGGTCCTGGGCCTTTTCTGGTTAGTGTGCTTTTTGCCACTGAATCAATTTTGTAACTCATTCAATCCCTTTTCAGGGATTCAATGTCTGCCTGTTTCAGTCTTAGGAGATTGTATATTTCCAGGAATTTATGCATTTCTTCTAGGTTTCTAGATTATATGCATAGGGGTGTTCATAGCAGTCTTTGAGGGATTTTGTATTTCTATGGAGTCACTGGTACCTTTGACATTTCTGATTTTGTTTATTTGGATTTTCTCTCTTTTTTTCCTTATTATTCTAGAAGTCTATCAATCTTATTTATTCTTTCAAAAAACTGCCTGGATTTTTTGATCTTTTGTTTGTATTTAGATCTCAATTTCATTCAGTTCAGCTCTGATGTTTTGTTATTTCTTGTCTTCTCTTAGCTTTGGGGTGGGTTTGCTTTTGTTTCCCTAGCTCTACTAGGTGTCATGTTAGGTTGTTATTTGATATCTTTCTAACTTTTTGATGTGAGCTTTTAGTGCTAAAAACTTTTCTCTTAACACTGCTTTAGCTATATCCTGGTAAGTTGTATTTTTGTTCTCATTCGTTTCAAAGAATTTCTTGTTTTCTATCTTAATTTCATTGTTTACCCCAAAGTCATTAAGGAGCAGGTTGTTTAATTTCATGTAATTGTATGGTTTTGATGTTCTTAGTATTGACTTCTGTTTTTATTGTGCTGTGGTCTGAGCGGGTGATTGGTGTTATTTATTTTTTTTAATTTGCTGAGAATTGTTTCATGGCCAATTGTGTGGTCGATTTTAGAGTATGTACTATGTGAACATGAGAAGAATATATATTCTGTTGTTTTTAGGTGGAAAATTCTATATATGTATGTTAAGTACATTTGGTCAAGTGCTGAGTTCAGGTCCCAAATATCTTTGATAGTTTTCTGCCTCAGTGATCTAATACTGTCACTGCAATGTTGAAGAGCAGTATTATCTTCTTTCGTTCCTTCTCGGATGGATTCTTTGCATTTCTTCTATGTGCTAGATAATTTTAAATTTTCGTGTTTGTAATATATTTCAAGAATTTGTATTATGCTTAACATAATCAACTTTCACCAAATAATCTATTATCAAATTAATTTTCCTTTACTATCATTGCATTATATTTAATGGAGTTTGATTCCCTCTAGTTAAAAGTCAACAGTTTTATTTACTTTTCTGTAGCTTGAATGTTGTGAGTAACTCAACTATATTTGTGTCAATACTTCTTGGAATATTTTGCTACTGTTCCTCATCTGTTAATTTGTTACATTTCCTGCACAAAGCATGTTTGTTTATCCAGATAGTAGAGAAATATTTGTATGCCTTTTCTCTTCAGATTTTTTCCCTGTTTATATGAAATCCTGGTGTGCTTTTCTTGCTCTGTCTGTATTCTTTCAGTTTCAGCAGTAAATCATTCCACCTAATTATCAGAAAAGGAAAAAACACCCCCCGACAATAAATAAATAAATAAATATTCCCTGAGGTTAGCAACAGATTTAAAGATAGTAGTGAATCCTTGGAATCTGTTGAACTCATCAGTGGCTCCCATTTTAATGTCCTGTGTTGGGAGTCTTTTGTAATAGCCATTCAGGATTTCGTCTTCCCCCTCTTTTGTCCTATTTATCACTGCTTTTTATTTTATTCACATTAAACTTGGTTTTCTGCTGATCATTAAAAAATTGCTTAGCTGCTTTCATGTAACTTTACTTGGGTATCCATGTATCACTTTTGAGATTAAGAAAATAATAAAATTAACACACAAGTAACCATGTCTATGATAAATACTAGATAGATATAAACTGCCTTATTTTTAGTGGAAATACATAAAAGCAATAATGATAGTTCTTATTATTTTGATTATCTATTTATCCTAAGGATAAGGCTTTCATAAAAAAACTAAAAATAAATGTATTATTTTTACATTATTGAGCATTCCATATGATAAACTCTAGATTTAAATGTCAATGCAAATTCATGCAAAATTTAGAATATAGAATTCATACATAAAATTAAAAATGTCAATTTCTACCATTATTAAAGTATGCATACGCAATACATGTATAAATCATTAATTTGACATTAAAAACTGTTGTTCCAGAACAAAACTATGCAATTTCTTCTATTAAAATTTAGTTATTCGTTGCAATAATTAAATGTGTGTTGCAAAAACACCTACTTAAACTAATTATAGAAGAAAATAAAATCTTAAATCAGAATTAACTTGAAAGAAAATTGAAATAAAACTCACTTTTTAATTCAAATGTTATAATTGGCTGAGTTATATTTGGCAACATGGAGTCCTTTCCTATTAATCATGAAAGTTCAACTATACAGTAGAAAGAGCCAATGAAACTTTAAACTGTTAATGATATTGAATTATTCAAATAACAACTTGCAAGAGGTATTTCTGTGTTAAAATACATTCACCAATGTTTCATTACTCATTTTCATTGCAAAATGAAAGAAGTTTGTAATCATAACCAAGTATTTTCTGAATAGTCACTGATATATGAAATAATATGTTTATTTATAAATTATTATTTGCATTGCAATTATTTAAAATTAGAGGTACGTGTGCTACAGATACTGTCTCTATTAGAATATTTAATTATCAGAATATATACTTAGTCAAATATTGTAGAGGAACTGAACTAAGAACATGAGAAATTTGAGCACCATAACCCATTGGCTTTATTCCTGTAGTAATAAACTGAACTTCTGACAAATATAGTATATGTTTAATTAATGTTGCTCAAGGCTGGGCGCGGTGGCTCATGCCTGTAATCCCAGCACTTTGGGAGGCCGAGGTGGGTGGATCACCAGAGGTCAGGAGTTCAAGAACAGCCTGACCAACATGGCAAAACCCTGTCTCGACTAAAAATACAAAAATTAGCCGGGTATGGTGGCAGGTGCTTGTAATCCCAGCTATTTGGGTGGCAGAGGCAGGAGAATTGCTTGAACCCGGGAGGCGGAGGTCGCAGTGAGCAGATCGTGCCACTGCACTCCAGCCTGGGGAACAAGAGCAAGACTCTGTCTCAATCAATCAATCAGTCAATCAGTGTTGTTCAATAGATATTAGTTAATGACACTTTCAAATAACAAAGACTTAAAAGTAATACACTTAGTAATAATAACTGTAGCAACTATGTAGTAAATTCCTGTGATAATCTATAAATTCTAGCTAAGGGTTATAAATACAAACTATATTTTTATCTATCATCTGTTATCTATGATTTATATTCTGCTAACAATCTTGAGAGACTTTTATAATCCATATTTTTAAAATGAAAAAAATGAGGCTCAAGGAGGTTAAGTTATTGCTACATGAACTCACATTTTTATGTATTAGAATATCTAATTCAGATCTATTTGACCACGGTGTGTATGTTCTTTCTGTGCACCATCTTATATTTATTTCTAATTGCTCTAATGTTTCCTGGTAATATTGGTAGAGAGTTTATTTATTCTTAATGCTACCATTTGTTAGTCAATGCTGTAGTTGTTTTTACTTACTAAGATGCATACTCTCTAAAAATTATGAAAAATAAGAAATCCAGTTTCTGATGGGGTTAAAACATATACACATGCGCACTCTCATGCATACATTTACTTCTATATATACATTATACTGGTTGACTTTGAGTAACTCTTCTCTTTAATTCTGGACATCAGGCTATGTAATTATCACTCTAGTTAGATTGTAATTTGAATATGGACACTGGGTTATGTAATTATCACTCTAGTTAGAATGTGATTTGAATATGAAGTGAAATTCACCTCTGTAATCCTAATTCTAAATGCATTATATTGCCACAGCATGCTCTGTTGAAAATGCTGCTGTATTTAAATTTTAGGCACTTAATCTTTCTGGTTTTCAAAGTGAACTTGCATGTTGTCAAACAAATGTTTAGCTGAAAAAAGAAATAAAAATGTTTCACATCAACAAAAATCTTCATGCTAACCTTCAAACTCAAATTCATGATTAGGTTTTAGAATATTTTAGCAGAAAAAAGTTAAACATGTCAAGATAGATGATAGATATTTATGAAATACACAAATATATATAAATGTATATACACAAAAACGTATTTAAATAGTTATAAAAATAATAATCAATGAGATGCAATGACATTCCATCTCAAATTACAGTTTCAATAAAGCAGAGAAACAAGCAATGCTGATTTTTCTTTTGAGCAAGCATGGATGAAAACAAATTAAACCCAAAGATAGTAGGCTTATATCATTCAGAGAAGTATACTATTATGATTCATGGTATGAAATATATATTTAATTCCCCAATATTAATTTTTAACATTAATAAGCTATAGTCATGCACTACATTAGGATGCTTTGGTCAACAATAGACCACATATATGACAGTGATCCCATAAGATTATAATATCATATTTTTACTGTACCTTTTCTATGTTCAGATATGTTTAGATACAAAAATACTTCGGTGTGCTACAATTGCTTGAGTATTTAGTACAATAACACGCTGTCAAGGCCTGTAGCCCAGGAGCAATAAGATATACCATATAGCCTAGGTGTGTAGTAGGCTATATTATCTTGTTTTGTGTAAGCACACTCTATGATGTTCACACAATGACAAAATACTCTAATGATACATTTCTTTGAACATATCTCCATTTTTAAACAATGCATGGCTGCATCTCTAAAACAGGTATATTTATATGTGAACTTGGCAACAACAAAATTACTTTCATACTTCTTATCAAAGATATATGAGGAAAACACCTACTTCCTCCCGTTCCCCAAATCTAGCTTGATCATTCATCCTGCTACCATACACAGTGTTTTTATCCTTAAAGGAACAAAGAAGATTAACAATGGGGTAACTTTGGGAAAAGCTAGTAGGCCACATCCCCTCTCTCTTTCTGGTAAAGTTTTGGAGTCTTGTTCACACTGAAAGATAATAATCACATATACATCACACTGTGAAGAACTGCCTGAAATACTTCTTCATTGTTTATTATCAAGGATTTTCCTGATCATGGTCTCTTCCCTCTGGTTTGCTATTCATCTCTAAATATGTTCAAATTAGTGCAGTGTTATTTTATTTTCTTTTTTTTTAACTTACAAACTGTCACACTGCCTCTTATCTATAGTGATTGCTACAACATTCCTAAAATTTGGAAATGATAAAATTTTAGAAAAATTTTCTAAGAATGAGTATTTGTTTCTTTTAGTATTATAAGTACTTCTGGAATAGTAGAGGGAATAACAGGAGATCTAATCCATAGCTTTTCATCAATCTGGTTTCTTTGGTAGAGAATGGCTTCAATATTATATGATACATTTTAAGGCACCTAGAATCAAATGTCAAATATCGGTAAAATAACACCTTTAAAATACAGATCACTGGATAATGTAGAATTTCCAGTTCTTCATATTTTAAGTGATAAAGCAATAATTAATAAAAGGTTTAAGTTATGAATCAAATGTGAATTGCATTTCAGTGACTCAACTTTGTATTATTTTCTTTTCTTAATATGACTTTCATAGCTACAGGCCTACTGACAGTGACTAATTTTTTAAAAGTTCACATACATTTGGTCTAGATAATGTTTCTTGTACTTTTCCTGCAGCCTCTGTTTTGCTAAGATGTTATGGTCATGTTGTAGCCAAGATCAGGTTGTAATTTTTTTAGTACGGGGCTTATCATATATGATATAGGTTAAAATATGGAAACTAATTCAACTGTTTCTTGAAGTGAGAGCAGTGATCAACTGGAATAACACTTTTAGATTATTATTATTATTGTATTTATTTATTTATTTTGAGACGGAGTCTTGCTCTGTTGCCCAGGCTGGAGTGCAGTGGCACAATCTCAGCTCACTGCAACCTCCACCTTTGGGTTCAAGCGATTCTCCAGCCTCAGCCTCCTGAGTAGCTGGGATTGCAGGTGTTTGCCACCATGCCCAGATAATTTTTGTATTTTTAGTAGAGACAGCGTCTCACCATGTTGGTCAGGCTGGTCTCCAACTATTGACTTTGTGATCCACCTGCCTTGGCCTCCCAAAGTTTTGGGATTACAGGTGTGAGCCACCACGTCCAGCCCACCTTTAGATTATTATATCCCACTTACTAATTAAAATATTTGATGACAACCTTTGAAGTACAAGAAAAATGAATACATTTAAAAGAGTTTGTTGGTAACCTTTTGCATAATGAACACCTTTCTTTTACAGAAGGATTTGCTAGAAATTTTTAAACGATAAAAAACACTTAGCAACGTCATACTTTTTAGCTCTTCATTTTAATTTTCATCTAAGGAAATGACTAACATTAATAAAATTCAAATATCCTAACACCAATTCTTTATTTTTGCATCACCGTAAATCTCCAAAATTATCACAACGTAATTACACATTTTTTTAGAAAAACATATTTTGAACAAAACGAGTAATATTTACCCAAATATTTTATTTGTGTCTTGCAGCTGAAGTGAAAAAAGGAAAGAATATGATATCTTTTTTTTTCCCATTTCCTACAACTTTCTTTACAAACTTTCCTTTCAGAATAAATAAATGCAACCGCTTGGACACTATGCACAGGACTAGGAGGTAGGACTTAGTCTCACGGGAAATAAATGAGAAAAAAGCGTAAAGAAGGAAATTCAGTGGGCAGGATACAATAGTGTGCATAGCATTCTGAAGCAGTTTTTTACTCTCTGAAAAACGGGAAGGAAATAAATCTTACCACAAAAGAACTAAAATGTTTGCTCCCTGTGTTCTACTTTACATCAAACCTTGATTTGATTCATCATTCTCTTTGTCCACTGTTCTTCAGCCAGCTGCCGCTTTCACTTGGAAGCGGAATTCTAGGTCTGTAACTTTCAGATATCCAGCCAGCTTTATAACGTAATATTTTCAGCATCACATGGATGTCAACTCTCTTCACTTTGTTTGTTCTTTCCCCTTTTATCGTTAGAACAGCTCAGATGCTGACTTTACCAGCAGAAATGGCAATGCATACACCATGTGTTCAGTCCTGATAATGACTATCAATGTTTAATTATATTTTAAATTCATAATGGAAAGAAATTATTAATGAATTGTGATCAACATGCTATGTAAAATCTGAAACAACTTGGTGCTGACAAGTTTGTTGAATTTTATGACGGAGTTACCAGATTGAAAATCACTCATGCATGCCGAGAAAATTTACACAGTTCTTTGCCCAACATAAAAGAGGTTAGTCATTTTTTCACGTTTACATATGATTCCTTGCTCTGCCCTAGATTAGCTTCCTGACCTTGTTCAAGTCATTTATCTTCTCTAGAACCTCAGTTTTCTGTGTTTTAAAATTAACATAAGATTAGATTTTATGGTTTCTAAAGTGTCCTTGACTTGTATTATCTTGTGTTTCTATGGCTGAATAAAGACATCCTTCAGAAGGGTGTGATGAAATAAACATAAAATAGACATGCTATACACATGTCAATATTTGACATAAATGTCTTTGTTTTACTACTGATCTTAAGTGTTTATAGGCCAAAGTTGTCTAAGTGATTATTGTGAGGATTACAAATAACAGTCACATGGGAGATTTATGCAAGGCACAATGTGTCATAAAATAACCCTTTAATTATTGATAGGCATATTTTCAATAAAGAACAGTGAGAAAATTTGCTCTGTGTTTGCTATTTCTTCAAATTTTCATTTTAATTGAAAAAATTGACTTCAAAAACTTCTCTTATCGTATTGCCACTAATTAAATTTAAAATGTGATTTATCTCTAATATCAAAAAGTGAAAAATTCAATACTGAACAGAAACTGTAATTTAATTTTTCATGGTTATAATGCAATAATTGCATGCTCTGTGGTAATTTCTTTTTTTAACAGTTGCATTTAGAGAGTTTATTTGTGTTTTTCTGATACTTTATGCATTTGTTCAAAATAAACTGAATATGCAAACTAATATGTTCTTAAAATAGCAATATCACAATGACCTCAATGATGGTTGGCCCTAATGGAATTATATATTCTAAACTTCAAGATAAACATGGATAAAATACATTCGTTCAGTCAACAAATGCTTAGCTAGCACATGTAAGACCTCTTACTAAGAAAAATAATTACATTACTGTCATTAGTGTCTTGTTTAGCAAAATATTTCAAAGTAATATATAATTACTATATATTCAAAGTCCTGGGACAATACAAAGAAGCATATTATATAATTTTTGATTTAAAATGAAACTAATTAATTGATAAATTTATGTATATTGCATATCTAATTCATAATATGCATATCCAATTTTATTGTTTCCTTGTGGGTTTTTTTTTTTTTTTTTTTTTTTTGGAAACAGGGTCTTACTCTGTCACCAAGGCTGGAATACAGAGGAGTGAACACAGCTCACTGCAGCCTCCACCTCCGGGCTCAAAGGATCCTCCTGCCACAGCCTTACAAGTAAATGAGACCACAGGGATGTGCCACCATGCTTGGCTAGTTTTTAAATGTTTTGTAGAGATGGGCTCTCATCATACTCCCCAGGCTACTCTCAAACCCCTGGGCTGAAGCAATCCTTCTGTCTCAGCCTTCCAACATGTTGGAATTGTAGGCATGAGCCACTGTACCTGGCTGGATTTTTAAAAAATATGCCTCCATATGAGACTTTGGATCAATCTCACCATATACTTTCTATTATTATGGACTATGATCTTCTTTTAACGTGAAAGCAATGCAATTTCCTCTTGCCAAAAATTTATAGGACTCAGCCCCCATTGTTCAAAACCATCAAAATCAACGTTTGCTAATGTATTAATATACATTTACTGTAACTCCTCTAAATATTTTCTAAATATCTTAAATTTGTTCATATATACTTATATCAGTGCACTTTATGCCATATTTTAATGTCAGTAAGCTTTTTCAATACAATTCCCTCATATGATTTCATTAATTTATTTTTATTCTTTCAACATACTTGAAAGATATATATTCATGAGGAAAATATTTGAAATTCTCATGACCTCTAGATTTTCATAGCAAAGCATTATTTCCATTTTTTCTCTAGTTGTCTAGTATTATTATTCTATACTTCCTAACTTTTCTTCCACTTCAGAAGGATGTGTATTCTTCTTTTGTTTGGTGTAGTGTTTTATATACATTCATTAAGTCAAGTTGGTTAATAGTGTTCTTCAAATTTTCCATATCCTTGCCCACTTTGTGTCTACTTTTACAATTCATCAGAGAGAAGGGATTAAAGTTTGTCAGTTTAGCTTCATATACTTGGGAACTTTGTTATTGAGTGCACAAACATACAGTATTTATATTCTCTTGATCAATTGATCTTTTATGTTATGAAATGTACTTTTAAAATCTCTAGTAATTTTCTGGTCTTGACAATCTATTTTCTCTAATTCTAGTATAGTCGCAACAGGTTTCTTACCTATAGTTTTTGCATGTATTTTTTTTTGGTATTACTTTCAATTTGTTTGTGTCCTTAGGTATCAATTGTGATTTTTGAGGGGAGAGGGGAGAATAACATATAAGGTCTTACATTTTTACCAGTCCTTACAATATCTGCCTTTTAGTTAGGTTTGTAGGCTATTTACATTCAAGCAGTTATTGACATATTTTGATTTAAGTTCACTTGTTGACATTTAATTTCTATGTTTCTCATTTGCTCTTTGTTTTATTATTTATGTGCTGCCTTTTGAAAGTTGAATCAAATATTGTTCATTGTTCCATTTTATCTCCTCTGATAAGTTTTTTAGCTAAGCCTATTTGTGTTATTTTATGATGGGTCCTTTAGAGATTTCAGTACACATCTGTAATTCATTTGGTTTCTATTACAAGAATTATATTACTTCATCTTTTTAATAATTTTATAACAATCTATCACTACTTACTGCATTTCGAACTGTTGTATATTTATTTTTATATTTCTATTTTTACACATTTTTTGGCTTTGCTTTAGCAGCTAACAGTCTTTAAGGAGACGTACATTGAAAGAGACTAGAGTTTCTCAACCTTGTCACTATTGACATTTTGTACTTGATGCTTCTTTGTTGTTGGGGAGAAGTATCCTGTACATTGTAGTATGTTCAGCCCCATTCCTGGTCTCTTCCCATTAGATATAAGTAGCAAATCCCTTCCTCACTCCAGTCATAACAATAAAAATAATGTTTCCAAACACTGCCCTCTATGAAGAGGGGGACAAAATTGCCCTCATCTGTGGTTGAAAGCCACTGATCTTGAACATAGATCATTTATATTTACTAACATATTTAGACTTTCTGGTCTTCTTTCTTCCTGGGTTTCTGTGTGACATCATTTATTTAAGCCTATAGAGCTTCTGTAAAATAGTTCTTCTTTCAGTTTAGTAAAGATGACAGTTTTGTCTCTGAATGGTTTTGCTTATATATTGACAGTATTTTTTTGCCACTAACAACAGCAACAAACTGTCATAAAAATATAAGGAAAAAATATACATAAGGACATCTCACATTCGACATATCAACAATGTAGCAGTGGTCTTTTAAAAATCGGAATGTGCAAATAAAAGATATTATGTAAAATAGAAGAAGAAAGGAGCTTGAAAGAATGCCCAAGAAAATCAATGTCTTAGGTTGATATGAGAGGTGCTCTAGGGGCTACTCCACAAGACAGAGAAATGATGGGGTGGGAGATGACAAAACTACCCATATGTATATCTTCTTTATCTCAGATTTTTTTTCTTTCATTTTATTCTAGTTTATTTCAGGGCAAGAGATTTGCTTTCTTGTACAAGTATCAGGAGGCATCACTGTATATAACATGACAATTGCAACACTGTATTGGACTCCATATGGTACAAATGGAACGTTGGGGGTGGATTGAACCTCATTCTTTATTGCTAAATTGAGGCTAATTGTGAATGTGATCCCCTTGCCAAGTTTCAGGGACATTCTTGTAATTTTTACCTCTCAAATCACACTGGAAATTGGGTGAAGGAAGAAGTCCTGCTTTAACAATGTTATTGCCAGCTCAATGGTAGCCAGTATTTCTGAACCAGAATATTCTACTGGAGGAAGAAGGATATGGATAAAAATTATTAGAATATGAAAGAGGGGGACTATGACAGACAAGGCAACAAAATTCAAAAACAGATCATGATGTCAGGAAAAAAGTAGTAGCTCTTTACCTGAAAGAATATCTACAAAAAATAACAATATGCTTAGGTACTTTTGTCTCACATGTAGCAAAACACACAGCTCATACTGGGAGAGACCACATGACCTATTTTGTCTGGAGAAGATAAATTAGATGCTTATTGATTTTAGGCCCTGTCTAAAGACTACATTAGATAATCTAGAGAATAGCTGTGACTTAGCACCCATTTATCTCTGGACTGATTGGAAGCAAATTGGAGCTATTGTTTGGTTCCTGATTGACAATCTTATCACTATTTGTAATATTGTGATTTATATAAAAACATGAATATGTGATCTTCTTCACCATTTCCTGGGAAACAGCTTAAATTCCTTGGAGTTTCCTGGAAGTGATAGAAGCCTCTTTTGCTCTAATGAAGCTATTCTTTAAGGATTACTGGATAGCCTCAGGTGAGGTTTGGTTTCTAGGGAAACTAACCTTGTGATTAGAGGGTTGGAACTTTCACTGCCACTTCTGAACTTCAGGGAGGAGAAGGTGGCCCATGATTTAATCAATCATGCCTATGAAATAAGCCCTGCGTATAAATTCAAAAAGATTGGGTTGGGGAAGAGCGTCTGAACTGCTGAACACACAAAGGTGCCTGGAGGGGGTGCACCCAAGGAGGAAATGGAAACTTCATGCCTTTTCTCTTAGGCCTTACCCTATGCATCTTTTTCGTCTGGATGTTCATCTGTATACTTTGTATTAATACTATTCTTTATAATAAATAGATAAATATAAGTAATTTATTCACTGAGTTCTGAGGGGTGCTCTAGCAAATTAATCAAATCCAAGGAAGGGATTATGGAAACCCCTGATTTATAGCCAGAAGTTGGGCAGAAGTGCAAGTCACAACCTGGGACTTACAACTGGCAGCCCAAGCAGGCCCAGTCTTTGCAGACGAAGACTGAGCCCATAACTTCTCAGATTTGACTCTAACTCCACGCAGACTGTGATAGATAATGTCAGAATAGAATTAAATTATAAAACACCCAGTTGGTCTTTGCTGGAAAATAGATTAATATGTAGAAAGAGCAAAAACAAAAGTCACTCATCTATGTTGGAGGAGAAGTACTGTGTTGAGTGGGGAGTGGTGTGGGAGAGTAGAGAAAACACTTTGGTTTTTCCTATATCTCAAATACCTTTGAACCTCTCAAGGATAGATGCTGCTGAACAGATTGGAGTGTAGGTAGGGATTACGGTGTTCTGATGTTAATACGGTTACCTAGGTGTAATGAGAAGCAGATTGCAGTCACTTGCAAAGTACAATAGAGATTTCTTTGTTCTTCTGACAATAGCAAATGTGAATGTGGGTGCAATGACTTTAAGAAAGTGTCATGGGAACTTGAGAAGGCTCAAGGGGATTGGGCTGGGTTGTGCTGAGTGGTTGCATATTTTTTAAGGCTGGGAAGCGTCTACTTTTTTGAAGCCCTGTGACATTCCACAGCTGAGCTATATATTGGGATAGGATATATGAATTGATAGTTTCTTGGGTCAAGCAATACTTTATGAAGCAAACGATGTAGCCGAATTGTACCCAAGTTATAAGTGGTGTCTCAACTTATGCCAGCAATATTTGTGTTGGCTTATTCAGCAGTGACCCAACCAGTCTATGCGTAACTTGAGTAAATTGATGAATTTATCAAATCAAACATTTAATTACACATTTTGTTATCAAGTCAGTTTGGATGTTCTTGGTCATGCAAATAGGAACACTGATAGATGAATTTTGTTGATGGATATAGTCCCCTCCTTTATGAGGACAATTTTGATATCAATTTCCCTACTAGTTTCGATGTGGATAGATATTTTATTTTAGAAAGTCAATTTTTTTTTTCTAAAACAAACCAATAAACCACAAGGAGGCTTTAAGTCCTTCAGGAAATATATTAGGTTCATACTTAAAAACACTCAATTTTTAGGAAATTATCCATAAGAAACAACCTACATCTTTATTGCTGTCCTCAAATACTAGATTAGAATGCAAAGGGATGGCAATTAGGTCATGGAGCTCATCTTTAACTAGAAAAATAACTAGAAGGGGCAAAAGATGGCTTTTATGAGCTGTCAGCTTTATTCTGTTGGTGGAATGGGAAAGTACTTTGGTGATTTCAGACACTGAAGTTAAATCACTGGATATTTCTAGGCACTGAATTAGAGAAACTGCCTTGGGCAAATTGCCATGTGTTGTATTAAAGCTAATAGAGTTTTACACTAAGAGCCTGATGAAGCTTGTTTAAGTAATGGATTTTCCTTTAGTTTATTAGAAATCCTGAGATACTTGTACATAAATAAGGAAAAGGATGAGGAAAGGATAGGGAAAGAGAGGGAAAAGGAATGTAAAATTCATGAGCAGGAAAAGAAGTAAAAAGTTGAATAAATAAAATCAGATACAAAATGTTACTTTGGCTCTCCTAACAGTAACCTAGAGGGGATTTATCTGTGTTGTAAAGTGCCCATTGCATATGTGTTTTATTATTTTAATACCATGTGACACTGTTTATCTTATAATTATGTTCCTCTCATGTTAGTTTTCATTTTATGAAGTTAAATAATAGTTTTCATCAAAAACATTTTTAGTTTTTTAAAAAAGACTTAAGGCTCCCCTTTTGCTCTGCATATTATAGTAACCATTTAATAATCATATTAAACACATTTTAAAATAAATATTCTAAAAGATTATTTATAAAATGTATAATTATACAAACTATAATAATTTGTTAGGCATGTAATTTTAAGTGTGTCTATCTAGATTAAAAATATTTTCTTTAATATATTGGATTCGCCATTTTGATCTACTTTCCAATTAAGTGTTTGGTTTCGTATTAAATCTAGAGCTCCCTGTTACATAAGTCAAAAAGTCATGGACATTTATTAAGACAACAAATAGGCAACCCAGAGAATACTAAAAGATATGTGATATATATATCTATATATCTTTATTTTTTTGTCAACAAATGACTCGTATCTGAAATAAATGTGAGGACATCCTACAAATCCATAAAAGAGTGATAGACCAAGACACACCCCTTCCCTCACAAAAGCAAAATACTTGAATAGGCACTTCAGAAAACGGAATGTCAGAATGGCCAATGACATATGAAAGTGTATCCTATTTAACTGTTATGGAAATATAATTGAAGACTGCATTCATATACTACCATTACACATTCAAGAGGGTTCTCTGAGTGGCCTTGCGCCAACCCAGTTATCTCCCTTTTCCACATGTGGTTCTCAAGGATAACAAAGTTACTGGTTCTGGTGGCTTTGTAAAATGTCAATTGAACTGTGATTAGCCACGTTTCTCAGAATTCCTTTCTCTCTGTGTTTTTGGATAGGGTGGACCACAAGACATATTTTCACATAATATTTGAAGTCAGAAGAGGAGCCGCAATCATTTTGATTTTTGCTTTCAAAAGTTCAGACAGGCATTGGAGTACCTCACACATGTTACTACTTTGTCTGCAGGTTTATCTACTTGCTGTGGGGGAGCAGAGGGGACTGCAAATGCAACCGCTCTGTATTCCTCTTCAGACTTTCTAACTCCTGAGTCATCTGGATGGTTAGTGCCAGGAGAAAGGGTGCCAGCTTCTCCACAAGATATCATAGCATGAAGGTTGGAATGAGTAAGAATTGAGGCAGATCCCGGGGCACCTTTGTGGGGTCCACTTATACCTGTGAGTTCTGGCTTGCCATAGCCCTCATCGACTTTATGTCACCTTCCCTTCCTGACTGCTTGCCTGGTGGACTTCAAGCCCTGGCATCAGACATGAAGACAAGAGCCTTACACAGATGGGTTTAACCAGCTCCCTCAATCGTGAAAGGTCACATCTTTAGAATGAATCACTTAATATATCTAATAGAACACAGTGCAATGTACTGGTCAAGTTTATTTCTTGATCAGTGTGTCTGTTATGCAGGTGTGTTCCATTTTTGAAATAAACTAGCTATACATTTATAATTTGCATATTTTATATATGTTATTTAATAAAGGATTATTTGAAAGTTATGACTTATTCAGGATAAAATGTCAGGCTTCATAATTATTCACTTGTATGAGACTAAGAAAAGTGAAAAAGTATACCCGAAAAATTGTTAACATTGAATATGCTTTAATTAATTATGAGAGCTATATAACAACCTTTATAGGAAAGACAGTGTAAAACAATGTCTCTCCTTTGTGATCTTTAGAATTACGTGCTTACTTACTGAATTAGGTTACTGAAATCATTGAAAATTGACTGTATCTATTGTAGCTGAATATTTATTTTCTGAATTAACATTACATCAAATGAAGTTGGCTTGCAATTTTTAAATATGCAATTAAAGCATCTTAGCGAAATTCTCAAGATGACCTATAGATTAGTAATAAGGAATGTAAATAACTTAAGGTTATTATTATAATTCCAACAGTCTTGGGACCCTGAAGCTACATCAGTAGGAATTTATAGAGAAAAGAAGTGGAGGAAATGGAGGGATAGAACTAGAAAAGAATGAGCTGGAAGACAGAGCTAGAGCAAATAGGAAGAGCTTGCCTGAAAAGTATTAGTAAATTTTTAAAACACCCTGGAAGAGATGTTTCCTTTAGAAAATAATTATAGAGATTCAATCTGCATGTTTATCTTTTTAGAAATTTTGTGGGGCATTGAAGGCTTGAAATCATATAAATAAGTTGGAGAAGGAGTGAAGTAGAAACAAGGAAAAGGACAGGAGGGAATTAGAGGGAACCGTATGTGATCCATTTTGTCAATTTAGAGAATGAGCAACCAGTGAGTAAAATGTAGGGATTGGAAGCCTGACTTCATCTACTGGAGAAAAAATTCTGCAGAAAGCTAATATTTTATGGAGTCCCTACTATGTGCTAGATAGTTTACATAGCTTAAAACTTGAATGTTTGCAATTTCCTCAGAAGTGGTGTTCTTTTCCCCATCCCCACTGCTAATACTCATACACTTGACTTTAGAGCTGTGGGAAGAGAGGCTCAGGTATGACGCATAACCAGTCCAAGTTACTCTGAGTCAAGAAATGGAGCAAGTCCTCAAATTAGGTTTCACATGATTTCAAGGATCATGTTCTTCTCACTGCAGCCTACTCCTTTCGCGACTCCAGGTAAGTTTCAAAGCAAGTACCCACAGAGAGTACTAAAAAGAAAATCCAGGCAAAGTCTGCTCATATGCCCTGGATCAGCTGCTCCATTGTGAGAAAAAGAAATATGCATGTTCTAGTTCAAAAGCAGAAAACCTCAGTACCTGAGGCTTCTGTTGTACTCCTTGATCTGGTAATGATATTGCTACAAAAGACATTCTACATTGTAACAGAGGAGGGGAGGATGGCAGAAATTAATAGCCAGCAGTAGTGATTTTTTTCCTGTAATTTTGAAATCTTTATAACTTTTGCCATAATTTATAACTGAAAATGTATATTGTCTTTAGTAAGAATTCATCATTTGATATTAAACCATAATTTATTTTGAAAAACGGATTTGTAGTCCAGGTTGGGGCAAATTAATAATACGTTAATTTTTTTGTGTTTCATGCTGTCTTCCCTGAATTACATCAACTGTGCCCCCTTCACATTTCTTGAGAGCTAAATTTTCAGTGCAAAAATTTTTTTTAAGAGGTATTTTCCAAAAACTATCATTGAGATACTTTTGCTTCATTGTAGAGCTATTTTCTTGTTACTTTAGAAGTGTCTGAATTCAAAGTCGAACTGTTGGAAAGTAATAGAGTCCTAATTTAGAACTTCAGCTCAATATTCAGACTGAATTGAAACTCAAGCTCCACCAATCTCTAGCTGTGTGACTTTGAACATGTTGATTAACTTACACGAATGCCAGAGATAAAGCTGAGGTTTCTTTCACAGGGTTGTATGGAAATTAAATGAATAAAGAAGTATGATTAGGGCATATGTTTAATATTGACAGTTATTTTGGTTGAAGGTATTTGGTTGCTTTCCTAAGAGTCTTGCCCACATTTCTTATGGGGCTAAGCTTTGTTTAAACAGCAATGTGAATAGCCCCAGGGTATGGGTTATGATTAGTTTAAGTCCCTTATGGTAAATTCATTCTCCTTTATTAGACTAAAGGTTGATATGTGATCCAGTACTGGCAAGGGAATGTGAGAGAAAGGGTAATAGGGTAGGCCGGGCGCGGTGGCTCACGCCTGTAATCCCAGCACTTTGGGAGGCCGAGGCGGGTGGATCATGAGGTCAGGAGATCGAGACCATCCTGGCTAACAAGGTGAAACCCTGTCTCTACTAAAAATACAAAAAATTAGCCGGGCGCGGTGGCGGGCGCCTGTAGTCCCAGCTACTCGGGAGGCTGAGGCAGGAGAATGGCGTGAACCCGGGAAGCGGAGCTTTCAGTGAGCTGAGATTGCGCCACTGCAGTCCGCAGTCCGGCCTGGGCGACAGAGCGAGACTCCGTCTCAAAAAAAAAAAAAAAAAAAGGGTAATAGGAGGAATTATGGAAAACAGTATCCTTAGTGGTAAAAGAGAGACTTAAAGGGAAAGAAAGAAAGCTCTTTAATATTTTCCATTTCTTTCCTGCATTCACTAATATTTCATGAGGACAAAAGATTTGAAAATGCAGTCATCCTACTACCATCATGAAGGACAAATATCCAAGGGTAACAGAAGGCAGAATGAAAGGCCTGAGTCCTTGATGACATTGTTGAATCACCAAAGCAACACCAGGAGACCCTGCCTCCAACCATCTTAAGTAAGATCTACACAATATGTGAGTTAAAGTAGAACATTTATTTTTTATTATACTTTAAGTTCTGGGATACATGTGCAGAATGTGCAGGTTTGTTACATAGGTATACATGTGCCGTGGTGGTTTGCTGTACTCATCAACCCATCATCTGCATTAGGTATTTCTCCTAATGCTGTCCCTCCCCTTGCCCCCCACCCCCTGACAGGCCCTGGTGTGTGATGTTACCCTCCCTGTGTCCAAGTCTTCTCATTTTTCAACTCCCACTTATGAATGAGAACATGGGTGTTTGGTTTTCTGTTCCTTTGTTAGTGTGCTGAGAATGATGGCTTCCAGCTTCATCCATGTCCCTGCAAAGGACATTATCTCATTCTTTTTTAGGGCTGCATAGTATTCCATGGTGTATATGTGCCACATTTTCTTTATCCGGTCTATCATTGATGGGCATTTCAGTTGGTTCCAAGTCTTTGCTATTGTGAACAGTGCTGCAGTAAACATATGTGTGCATGTGTCTTTACAGTAGAATGACTTATTCTACGTGGGTATATACCCAGTAATGGGATTGCTGGGTCAAATGGTATTTCTGGTTTTAGATTATTGAGGAATCACCACACTGTCTTCCACAATGGTTGAACTAATTTACACTGCCGCCAATAGTGTAAAAGCATCCATATTTCTCCACATGCCCTCCAGCATCTGCTGTTTCCTGACTTTTTAATGACAGCCATTCTAACTGGCGTGAGATGGTATTTCATTGTGGTTTTGATTTGCATTTATCTAATGACCAGTGATGACGAGCTTTTTTTCATATGTTTGTTGGTCTCATAAATGTCTTCTTTTGAGAAGTGCCTGTTCATATTCTTTGCCCACTTTTTGATGGGGTTGTTTCTTTTTTTCTTGTAAATTTGTTTAAGTTCCTTGTAGATTCTGGATATTATCGCTTTCTCAAGTGCATAGATTGCAAACATTTTCCCCCATTCTGTAGGGTGCCTGTTCAGTCTGATAATTTCTTTTGCTGTGCAGAAGCTCTTTCGTTTAATTAGATCCCATTTGTCAATTTTGGCTTTTGTTGCAAATGCTTTTGATGTTTTAGTCATGAAGCCTTGCCCATGCCTATATACTGAATGGTATTGCCTAGGTTTTCTTCTAGGGTTTTTATGGTTTTAGGTCTTACATTTAAGTTGTTAATCCATCTTGAGTTAATTTTTGTATAAGGTGTAAGGAAGAGGTCCAGTTTCAGTATTCTCCATATGGCTAGCCAGTTTTCCCAACCATTTATTAAATAAGGAATCCTTTCCTCATTGCTTGTTTATGTCAGTTTTGTCAAAAATCAGATGGTTGTAGATGTGTGGTGTTATTTCTGAGGCCTCTGTTCTGTTCCATTGGTCTATATATCTGTAATTGGTACCAGTAACATGCTGTTTTGGTTATCATAGCCTTGTAGTATAGTTTGAAGTCAGGTGGCATGATGCCTCCAACTTTGTTCTTTTTGCTTAGGATTGTCTTGGTTATATGGGCTCTTTTTTGGTTCCATATGAATCTTAAAGTAGTTTTTTCTAATTCTGTGAAGAAAGTCAATGGTAGCTTGATGAGAAGAGCATTAAATCTATAAATTACTTTGGGCAGTATGGCCATTTTCACAATATTGATTCTTCCAAACCATGAACATGGAATGTTTTTCCATTTGTTTGTCTCCTCTCTTAAATCCTTGAGCAGTGGTTTGTAGTTCTTCTTGAAGAGGTCCTTCACATCCCTTGTGAGTTGTATATTTAGGTATTTTATTCTCTGTAGAAATTGTAAATGGGATTTCACTCGTGATTTGGCTCTCTGTTTTTCTATTATTGGTGTATAGGGATGTTTGTGATTTTTGCACATTTCTTTTGTATCCTGGGACTTTGCTGAAGTTGCTTATCAGCTTGAGATTTTGGGCTGAGACAATGGGGTTTTCTAAATGTATAATCATGTCATCTGCAAACAGAAACAATTTGACATCCTCTCTGCTTCATTAAATACTCTTTATTTCTTTCTCTTGCCTGATTGCCCTGGCCAAAACTTCCAATAGTATGTTGAATAGGAGTGGTGAGAGACAGCATCCTTGTCTTGTGCTGGTTTTCAAAGGGAATGCTTCCGGTTTTTGCTCATTCAGTATGATATTGGCTGTGAGTTTGTCATAAATGGTTCATATTATTTTGAGATACATTCCATCAATACCTAGTTTATTGAGTGCTTTTAGCATGAATGGGTGTTGAATTTTATCAAAGACTTTTCTGTATCTATTGAGATAATCTTGTGGTTTTTGTCATCGGTTCTGTTTATGTGATGGATTACGTTTATTGATTTGTGTATGTTGAACCAGGCTTGCATCCCAGGAATGAAGCCGACTTGATAGTTGTGGATAAGCTTTTTAATGTGCTGCTGGATTTGGTTTACCAGTATTTTAATGAGGATTTTTGCATCGAAGGTCATCAGGGATATTGGCCTGAAATTTTCTTTTTTTGTTGTGTCTCAGCCAGTTTTCCGTATCAGGATGATGCTGGACTCATAAAATGCATTAGGGAGAAATCCCTCTTCTTCTACGGTTTGGAACAGTTTCAGAAGAAATGGTATCAGCTCTTCTTTGTAACTCTGATTGAATTCAGCTGTGAATCTGTCTGGTCCTGGGCTTTTTTTGGTTGGTAGGCTATTAATTACTGCCTCAAATTCAGAACTTGTTATTGGTCCATTCAGGAATTCGACTTCTTGCTGGTTTAGTCTTGGGAGGGTGTATGTGTCCAGGAATTTATCCATTTCTTCTAGATTTTCTAATTTATTTGTGTAGAGGTGTTTATAATATTATCTGATGGTAGTGTGTATTTCAGTGGAATCAGTGGTGATATCCTATTTATCATTTTTTATTGTGTCCATTTGATTCTTCTTTCTTTTCTTCTTCATTAGTCTGGCTAGCAGTCTATCTATATTGTTAATCTTTTTATAAAACCAGCTCCTGGATTCATTGATTTTTTGAAGGGTTTTTCCTGTCTCTATCTCCTTTAATTCTGCTCTGATTTTAGTTATTTACTGTCTTCTGCTAGTTTTTGAATTTCTTTACTCTTGCTTCTCTAGTTCTTTTAATTGTGATGTTAAGGTGTCGATTTTAGATCTTTCCTGCTTTCTCATGTGGGCATTTAGTACTAGAAATTTCCCTCTAAACACTGCTTTATCTGTGTCCCAGAGATTCTGGTGTGTTGTATCTTTGTTCTCACTGGTTTCAAAGCACTTATTTACTTATGCCTTAATTTTGTTATTTACCCAGTAATGATTCAGGAACAGGTTGTTCAGTTTCCATGTGGTTGTGTGGTTTTAAGTGAGTTTCTTAATCCTGAGTTCTAATTTGATTGCACTGTGGTCTGAGAGACTGTCTGTTATGATTTCCATTCTTTTGCATTTGCTGAGGAGTGTTTTGCTTCCAATTATGTGGTTGATTTTAGAATAAGTGCTATGTGGTGTGGTGCTGAGAAGAATGTATATTCTGTTGATTTGGGTGGAGAGTTCTTTAGATGTCTATTAGGTCTGCTTGGTCCAGAGCTCAGTTCAAGAGTCCTGAATATCATTGTTAATTTTCTGTCTTGTTCATCTGTCTAACATGGACAGTGTGGTGTTAAAGTCTTCCACTATCATTGTGTGGGAGTCTAAGTGTCTTTGTAGGTCTCTAAGAACTTGCTTTATGAATCTGGGTGCTCCTATATTGGGTGCATATATATTTAAGATAGTTAGCTCTTCTTGTTTCATGGATTGCTTTACCATTTTATAATGCCCTTGTCTTCTTTGATCTTTGTTGGTTTAAGGTCTGTTTCATCAGAGACTAGGATTGCAACCTCTGTTTTTTTCTTTCCATGTGCTTGGTAAATATTCTTTCATCTCTTTATTTTGAGCCTATGTGTGTCTTTGCATGTGAGTTGGGTCTCCTGAATACAGCACACCAATGGATCTTGACTCTTTATCCAATTTGCCAGTTTGTATCTTTTAATTGGGGCATTTAGCCTGTTAACATTTAAAGTTATCATTGTTATGTGTGAATTTGATTTTGTTGTTATGATGCTAGCTGGTTATTTTGCCCATTAGTTGGTACAGTTTATTCATAGTGTCAATGGTCTTTACATTTTGGTATGTTTTCGCAGTGCCTAGTACCAGTTTTTCCTTTCCATATTTAGTGCTTCCTTCAGGAACTCTTGTAAGGCAGGCCTGGTGGTGACAAAATCTCTCAGCATTTGCTTGTCTGTGAAGGATTCTATTTCTCCTTCACTTAGGAAGCTTAGTTTGGCTGGGTATGAAATTCTGGGTTGAAAATTCTTTTCTTTAAGAAGGTTGAATATTGGCCCCTACTCTCTTCTGGCTTGTAGAGTTTCTACAGAGAGATCTGCTGTTAATCTGATGGGCTTCCCTTTGTGGGTAACTTGACCTTTCTCTCTTGCTGTCCTTAACATTTTTTCTTTCATTTCAACTTTGGTGAATCTAATGATTATGTGTCTTGGGGTTGCACTTCTCAAGGATTATCTTTGTGGTGTTCTCTGTATTTCCTGAATTTGAATGTTGGCCCGTCCTGCTAGGCTGAGGAATTTCTCCTGGATAATATCCTGAAGTGTGTTTTCCAACTTGGTTCCATTCTCCCCGTCACTCTCGGGTACAGCAATCAAACGTAGGTTTGGCCTTTTCACATAGTCCCATATTTCTTGGAGGCTTTGTTTGTTCCTTTTCATTCTTTCTTCTCTACTCTTGTCTTCATGCTTTATTTCATTAAGTTGATCTTCAGTCTCTGATATCCTTTCTTCCACTTGATCAATTCAGCTATTGATAATTGTGTATGCTTCACGAAGTTCTCTTGCTGTGCTGTGTTTTTCAGCTCCATCAGGTCATATATATTCTTCTCTAAACTGATTATTCTAGTTTGCAGTTTCTGTAACCTTTTATCAAGGTTCTTAGCTTTCTTGCATTGGGTTAGAACATGCTCCTTTAGCTCAGAGGAGTTTGTTATTACCACCTTCTGAAGCCTACTCTGTCAATTTGTCAAATTCATTCTCCATCCAATTTTTTTCCCTTGGTGGTGACAAGTTGTGATCCTTTGGAAAACAAGAGGTGTTCTGGTTTTTGGAATTTTCAGCCTTTATGCACTGGTTTTTCCTCATGTTTGTGGATTTATCTACCTTTGGTCTTCGATATTGGTGACCTTCAGATGGGGTTTTTGTGTGGGCGTCCATTTTGTTGATGTTGATGATATCGCTTTCTGTTTTTTAGTTTTCCTTCTAACACTCAGGCCCCACTTCTGCAGGTCTGCTGGAGTTTGCTGGACATCCACTCCAGGCCTTATTTGCCTGGATATCACCAGCCGAGGCTACACAACAGCAAAGATTGCTGTGGAAGCTTCATCCCAGAGGGCCAACTGCCAGATGCCAGCTAGAGTTCTTCTGTATGAGGTGTCTGTCAACCCCTGCTGCTAAATGTCTACCAGTCAGGAGTTACGAAGTCAGGGACCCACTTGAGGAGACAGTCTGTCCCTTAGGAGAGCTCATGCTCTGTGCTGGAAGATCTGCTGCTCTCTTCAGAGCTGACAGGCGGGAACATTTAAGTCTGCTGAAGCTGTGCCCACAGCCAGCCCTTCCCCCAGGTGTTCTGTCCCAGAAACATGGGAGTTTTATCTATAAGCACCTGACTGGGGCTGCTGCCTTTTTTTCAGAGATGCCCTGCCCAGAGAGGAGGAATCTAGAGAGGCAGTCTGGTTACAGCAGCTTTGCCGCACTGCGGTGGGTTCTGCACCCAGTTTGAACCACCCAGCAGCTTTGTTTACATTGTAAGGGGCAAACTGCGTTTGCAAGCCTCAGTATTGGTGGACACCGCTCCTCCCACCAAGCTCAAGCATCCCAATTTGACTTCAGACTGATGTGCTGGCAGCGAGAATTTCAAGCCAGTGGATCTTAGCTTTTTGGGCCTCATGGGGGTGGGATCTGCTGAGCAAGACCACTCGGCTCCCTGGCTTCAGCCCCCTTTCCAGAGGAGTGAATGGTTCTGTCTCACTGGTGTTCCAGGCACCACTGAGGTATGACAAAAACTCCTGCAGTTTGCAGACACCGAGTTAGGTGTCTGCCCAAATGGCCGCCCAGTTTTGTGCTTGAAATCCAGGGCCTTGGTGTTGTAGGCACCCGAGGGAATCTCCTGTTCTGTGGTTGTGAAGACCGTGGGAAAAATGTAGTATCTGGGCCAGATAGCATCATCCCTCATGGCACAGTCCCTCACAGCTTCCCTTGGCTAGGCGAGGGAGTTCCCCGACCCCTTGTACCTCCTGGGTGAGGTGATGCCCCACCCTGCTTCTGCTTGCCTTCCGTGGGCTGTACCCACTGTCTAACCAGTCCTAATGAGATGAACTGGGTACCTTAGTTGGAAATGTGGAAATCACCTGCCTTCTGCATTGGTCTCGCTGGGAGCTGGAGACTGGAGCTGTTCTTATTTGGCTGTCTTGCCCGCAATCAGTAGAACATGTTTTATACTCACCATTTGTTTTGTGGCTGTGTGAATTACATGAAGTACAGCCTAATAAGTGCAACTTCTCCTTCTATGTTTATTAAATATATTTTAAAAACCTAGAACATTTTAATGGCCTATTCACTTTCTCAGTTAACAGGCCACAAGCATGAGAAAATAATAACAAAAAATCAATGATATAACATAATGTGCTTATTGAAGTTTCTTCCTTAATCTAATAGGTCTGCATCATGAAAACCACTTATTTCTTATGACAAAGAATTAGTTTATTAATTTAATTATATTTTGTAAGATTATTTTAAAATAAAATTGTTCATATTTTAGTTTGGCACATCAATACTATTTTTTTAAATATTGATTTAGTATTTTTGGCTTTTTTAAAGAAAGAATGAGACACTTGTGTTGAATTCAAGTTTTGCTTTAGCAGATATGTCAACTATCTTTCCTGTAATTATAGCAGTTTACCTTTATTCGACATGAACAGTGTACTAGTGACGTGCTAATTACTTTGGGGGTATTACATCATTTAGATTAAACAATACTAGGAGATATACATTTATTATTATTTCTATTTTTATAGATGTGAAAACTGAAGGTTAAAAATGATATATAATGTAACCCATGTCACCAAGCTAATCAACATTACATTAGGAAGCATAGACTGACCACAAAGCTAATGTTCTAAATGAACACAATTTACTGTGATATTGGTAGGCCAAATCAATTCCCTACTTTATGCCATAAAGTACATTTATAAGCAGGAATTTTAAAACAAAGAAATGCAGATAACCAACATGTATGTTAAGACATGTTCACTGAATTAATAGGAATTAATAACAATACTATTTCTTGTTTTTCTTACTACACATTTGATACTGCCAGTGAGAGGTTGCAATAAACAGTGAATGATTGCAAAAAACCCTCTAATAAATTGATAGAGTGATTGTAAATTGGAATGAATTTTCTGGAGGGCAATTTTGCAATACCCCAAGAGTCTTTAAAAATTTTCTAAGTAATTGGTTCTTCTGAAAATGCTTCTTCAGGGAGTAATCATAGCTTTGATCACAGTTTATATATACCAAGATATCTACTAACAAAAGTACAAATGAGTACAACATGGCACATCTATACACTTTAATATATTACTTAAATGTACTTTTTACATCATTAGTGATTTTGATAATGTTTACTAAATGAAGCAAACTTTAAAGATATAATTCCGTTTATATATTTGTGATGAGTTATCAATATTCTGAGTTTGTATATATTTAAAGTGAGAGGGAGAATATTAGTCAACAAACTCAATTGTACACAAAATATAATTTTACTTTCTCTTTCCACTTAAATTTTACCTCTACACCTTGTGTTCCACAAAGGACATTAATCTAGACCTCATTTCTTTTTGTGGACCCTTCAAGGGTCATGCCACATACCTGGGGGTCTCACACAGAGCAGAGACCGACTGGGAGGATAGAAATCGCAGAGGAGTTGGGTTAATGTGTGGCTGAAAACTGCCATACCATGAAAAGTCTCTGAGAGTCCTAGGTTGATGTGGCCTCTGATTATTTTCTCATTTGAGAGACAAACCCATAACGTCATCTCTGCCACTCTTCCTCTAATTTTAGATATTGAAAAGGGTAGAGAGACAAGAGTGTCTTTTATCAATCAGGCTATTCATTTTATAACTATAAAAAGAGATTATTTTTATTGCTATTGCTTGTTTGTTTGCAATTAAAAGAAATTTAGAATTTCATACAAGGTCCTTAAAGATAATTGTACACAAAGTTTCTTTCCTCAGTATTCCGTGAAGTCAGAGAAATAAATCTCATCAAAGAAACCTTTCATTGATCTCTTTATTTCCCCTGCTATTCCTTCAGGTTGGTTGTTTTGTTTAGTTTTCACTGACTTACAGTTTTAGTTAAGTTTAGTTTTGACTATAATACTTTGAAATTCTGTCTTATCGGTGTTCTCTGACGTTTCTGAGCTGTGACTCCTGAGAGTCCATTTCACGTCTCAATATCAATGATGTAACAAACTTATGAGCATAAACATGTATGGATGTGTATTATCACCTTTATAAACAGCCCTTGATTATAATTGTTTTGCACATTGCTAGATAAGACCTTTTTCTATAGTAGGTAGGAAATTTTTAAAGTGTAAAAAAGGTAATAATTTCTCACTCAGACTTATACTGTCAGGTGAATAGAAAAGTTTACCTTTTACTGGATACTGTATTAGGCCATTCTTGCATTGCTGTAAAGAAATACCTGAGACTGAGTAACTAATAAAGAAAAGAGGTTTAATTGGCTCACAGTTCTGCAGGCTTCAGAGGAAGCATGGTGTTGGCATCTGCAGCTTTTGGTGAAGCCTCAGGGAGCTTTCAATCATGGTGGAAAGTGAAGTGGGAACAAAAGGCACGTTACATGGTCAGGGCAAGAGCAAGGAAGAGAATTGTGGGGAAGGTGTTCCACACTTTTAAATGATCAGATATTGAGAGAAATCACTATTGTAAAGACAGCACCAAGCCATGAGTGATCTGCCCCCGTGACCCAAACACCTTCCACCAGACCCCCACCTCTAGCACTGGGAATTACAATTCAACATGAGCTTTGAGTGGGAAAAAATATCCGAACTGTTATCAGGTACCTTCCAAAATTGCCATAGTTCTGTTCTTCCATTATTTGTCTTTCTTCCTTGCTGGGTCAGTTCTATCAATGGCTCACTGTGTACCCACAGTTCTAAAGCTCAGAGTGTGGTGGCTGCTGCCTTCGCCGCTGCGTAAGAACATTCCCCTTCTCTCTGTGCACTTCCTGCTAAGGAGAGGTCACAGGCATGAATAGGCCTGTGATGTCTTTAATTTCACCAATGGCTACTTTAAAGGGCTAGAAAACACAACCCAGAACTTAGTGACTGTGGGGGGTCAAGAGAGTTATCTATACCCCATACATATACAGAGACAGAAGACAGGAAAGAGACAGCAGATTAATTGCTCAATCTTCCTCCCCTCCCTTTCACTTACTGTGAACTGTTCTGAAATGCAGTAATTCCAAGCAGCCTCTTGGGAGATGCCTCCAAGTGTGACAGTTGTGTTTTGACGCTAAGCCGTCACAAGCTTAGCAACACATCACTTTGTATTTTATCTTCCTCCTTCCTTACTGCACTCTTGTTTGTTTTCCTCTTCATTCTTACTTCTCTGGCAATGCCCCTTGCCAAATAATTGTTAACATACGGGTTCTTTGCCTCAGGCTCTGTTTTTTTGTAGAACTCAGAGAACAGTGTCTGTTTTCCATGAGTTTTGTTGACTTCATTCAGATGCAAAGAAATAGCATATGAGTTGTCTCTGCTGTTAGAGTGCACAAATATTCTTCTTTTCTTCCCTTTTCCCCCAGACACTGTCTCTACATATTTCTTCCCACTCCACTGTCTGGGACCTATGCCTTTGCTCAAAAGACAGAATTTCGGTATACCAGTTGATTCAATGAGCAACTGCTAGAATAAAGAAAAAGAAAAGGAAGGAAAATAATGTTTACTATATCAACTTTTTTCCCTACTACAAATATGTGCAAACAAGTAGAGACTCATAAAGAAAAAATATGATTAAAATATTCTTTTTTTGTTTTTTTAAATGAGCACTGATTACATTACTTAAGTAACAAATCACTGATTTTGCCACATTGTTTTGCTATGTTACGAGAAAGGAAATGATAGGGAAAGGAAATAAGTCATAGATTCTTAATTATGAAGAAAATTACAATGAAATGAAAACAGCACATGAGATTATACACAAAATAAAAAAAGGGAGATTGGGAGGTGGGAGAAACATGCTGGAGCGTGGGATGCTGTCTTAAATGTATATTCAACCCCAATCGTTAACTTTAGGCCCGTTATTTATCTTCTTTGAATAAAAGATCTAAAATGAGATTGAGTTTTTCATTCAAAAGTATTACTTACAAAATCTAGTCTCTCTGATGTAGAAATCAAGCAGCAATTTAGTGCTTATTGTGTGATTCGTAAAGAAAGACTGGAATGGTCCTCCTTTGTTTATGTGTATGTTTGAAGAGGAGGCATGTCAATGCTTTTGGGAAAAGGTGGGAGGTTATGCTAAACGTATTCTGGCATTGCAAAGACATATCACTGGAACATATCTCTGGGTTTTCAGAACACCTCTCTAGAAAGGCAGAGTGTCAGTGAACATAGGGTCAAATGCCCCAAAAGGAGTATTCACCAGAAGAGATGGAAGAGTTTCGGCTTTACTCTGGCTCAAAATAAGCACCCAAATCTCAGGGACAGCGGCTGTTTTGGATATGACTTATGATTGCCCTGTGGAGCTTTTCCTGACCCTAAGGAAGAGCCAAAATAACTGGGCATGTCAACTATAAGCATGTTATTATTGGGGTTCAAACATGGGAAACCAAGAGGTAACTCAGCCTCAGAAGTTTGCATGGCAAGAATATCACTGTAGCAGTAACAACCAGTCCTTGAACTCTCCAGAACAACAGGCAATAGCAACAGGGAAATGATTAGATTCCCCTGTTTACCTGGGCGTTGCAGTAGGACTTGAATAATATCCCCACCCCTTATCTTAAGAAATTGGGGCCGGGCACATTGGGTCACACCTGTAATCCCAGCTACTCAGGAGGCTGAGACAGGAGAATCACTTGAACCCAGGAGGCAGAGGTTGCAGTGAGAGGAGATTGTGCCATTGCACTCCAGCCTAGGAGACAAGAGCAAAACTCCGTCTCAAAAAAGAAAAAAAAGAAATATACTTCAAGAGGAATGTTCTGGAATTTTCCTAATAGGAAAGATTGACTGTGATAGAAGTGGATGATTTACCATCAGTAGTAAAAAAATAAAAATAAAAAAAAAGAATCAATAACAAAGAAACAACCAACTGTTTTAAACCATGATTTAGAGAAGCAAGTCATAGTGGATGCATTTACAAGGATTATACTTTAGAAATCTGTGTGTTCTTCCCCTGTTTTGTCCTCACAGCATCCAGCAAATTCATTTCTTGTAATAGATTTCAATAATTATTAATAGAAATACCTAAAATAGTATTTAATAAGTATTTTAAAAAGAAATGTTAATTGACAAAACATACTAGATCATATAGAATAAATATGTTAAATATAAAAAGAAATACCTGTTATCTTATCATCAGATAATCCTGTTAATAATGTCTTTATTTCTGGTATCATTTTACTCATTTTTTTTCTTAAAAGTTATACCTTAGATATAAGAATTGGAACCCAATGATGTTTTATTTTTGACATATAGAATATCTTTTATGTGTGGAGAAATAATTAATAATCCATAGAATATCTCTTTTTCTTTATAAAGTCCTTATAAATTCCATAAATTTTGCTTATAAGCCATTTATTTGGAGTCAGTCCAATCTGAGTATGTCAGTTTGCTGGGGCTGCCATAACAAAATTCCAGAGATTGGAGAACTTAAATAACATAAATTTATTTCCTCACAATTCTGGAGGCTAGAAGTGCAGGACCAAGATATCAGTGGGATTAATTTATTTTGAGGTCTCTCTTGTTAGCTTGCAAATGGCTGTATTTTCCCTTTGTCTTTACATGCTCTAACCTCTGTTTCTCTATGTGTCCTACTTTCCTTTTCTTATAAGGACCACAGTCACGTTGGATTAGGGCCCATCCTCATGATCTCCTTTTGACTTAATTACCTCTTTAAAAACACTATCTCCTAATACAACTGCATTCCGAGGTACCAGAGCTTAGCATTTCAACATATGAGCTTTGGGGTACACAATTCAGCCCTTAACACTGAGATAAACTTTTGGCTTCACAGTTAAAGAGCTATGTGACATTAGGCAAGTTACTTTCTCTTTCTGATCCTGCTTCATTATGTGCATATTTGAAATGCAGAATGTGATATGTTGTAAAAAGGAAAAGACAAGCACGTATAAACCACTTTATAAAATACTTGAGACATGTCAAATAGTCATAAGTGTTGGAGAGATGCACGTTTCCCAGACATCTGCACCTTTCAGTAAAAGTGTAGCTTTAGTCAGAATAGTGTGGGCCGGGCGCGGTGGCTCACGCCTGTAATCCCAGCACTTTAGGAGGCTGAGGTGGGCGGATCACGAGGTCAGGAGATCGAGACCATCCTGGGTAACACGGTGAAACCCCGTCTCTACTAAAAATACAAAAATTAGCCGGGCGTGGTGGTGGGCACCCGTAGTCCCAGCTACTTTGGAGGCTGAGGCAGGAGAATGGCATGAACCCGGGAGGCAGAGCTTGAAGTGAGCCGAGATCTCACCACTGCACTCCAGCCTGGGCGACAGAGCGAGAACTCATCTCAAAAAAAAAAAAAAAAAAAAAAAAATAGTGTGAATGAGGATCCACACACTATGCAGTAGTGACAGTTCAACATGAGAATTCTTAGTGTTATGCTCATTTGTTTTCTCTTTACTGTCCCTATTTACCAGATTTCCACACTACTGAGAAATGCTATTCTGAATTGACATATAGTCATCAGTTTGTAAGCATAATGGAATCAGGGATTCTATCCATCTTGTCTACCACTATAATTGGAACATCTGGTATGGTGCATGACAGGTACTCAGTAAATAACTACTGAGTAAATTAATAAATTATCTTTTTTCATACCCTTAATATATCAGAATAGAGATATGTAAATATCTCTTAAAGTGATATTCAGTTTATAGTGCTCATCATGACACGTGTTCAGTAATATTCTTATTTGTTACTAATATGACTTGAAAAACAAAATTTCCATCAAAATGGAGTTTTATCCCATTCTTTAAAAAATTAAGTAGAATTTTACATAGAATTTACATAGACAAATATGTGATGTTGATCCAAGTATTTTCATATGTAGGACAAAACCTTAGTAATATGAATATTTGAATCTTCAAGATCCATATACAAAATTATACCTAATGTGGAGACTGATGGAGATGTTGAAATCTTTGGGTATACCAGCTAGTCATTGAGACTGATTTCTCTTTGGAAGTGATGTAATTGTCTAATAATGATTTTCTTCATTTTTTAAATTACCTTGAAAGACTGTCCCTTATAAATTTCAATAGGCTTTTAATATGTCTAGCAATTATTATTACTGTAAATTAATATATTGGCATTCAAGCTTAGTATTAGATTTCTTACAATTTGTTATAAGCTTTGATTTTATGAGTTTTCCTCTATGAAAATAATTAATTCTCAGTGTTGACAAAATCATGTATTTGATACTGTAAGGCTGAATATCAACCATAAGAAATTAGAAAAGTCATTTAAATAATAAATACCCCATTTAAGATCTCAGATGAGATTTTCTTGTTGGTCTTTCCTTTAAACTTACTGCATGTGTTATCAGAGAGAACCAATTCTTTCTTAATTTTTTAAATGATTTTCTGCGATTTTTATATTTGTGTCAGTTTATAAATACTTTTATGTAAATGTCCTCTATTTTATTAGATAAATTTTAGATATATTATATATAACATAAATTATAAAAATAACGTAACTTCTTTTGGCATTGCAAGTGTGTTTTTAACATTACTTAGTATCTATCATCTGTAAGTAATGAAGTACATGTAAAATTTATTGTCATCCTCTTAAAAATTCTTCAAGAAAACCTTATGTATTCCACTTTTCAGATGAAGAAACAGAAATTTAGAGTTTAAGTGACAAGTTAAAGTTCACACAGCTATTTAAGATAAGACCTCAATCTAACTTCATGTTTTTGCAATTCCATAGCTCTTCAAACTTTGTTCATTTCATACTAAAGTAAGCCATCACCTGCTACGTATATGTGATTGACTTGAGGCTTTGCATAGCAATGTGTGCTGTTACTCATTTGACAGATGTGATTATTTTGAGAGCTTTAAGCTTTTAAAAATTTAGAATACTCATATTTACTTCTAGTAAAATGTTTACATTTGGCTCTCCCAGTCAGTGGGTCCCACATCCATGGATTCAACCAACTGTGGATCAAAAATACTCAAAAAAATTAATAATATCACAGTAAGAAATGATATAAATTTTAAAACTACAATATAACAACCTTATACATAGCCTTTACATTTTATTAGGTTTTACAAGCAATCTAAAGATGATTTAAAGTATATGGGAGGATATGTGTAAGTTACATGCAAATACTACACCATTTTATATTAGGAACTTGAGCATCCCTGGATTAGGTACCCATAGGGATCCTGAAACCAATCCCCTATGGATATCAAAGGATGACTGTAATCACTTAAATCAAATAAATGACTCGGATTTTAATTGTATTTACCTCCAAAGCTTTAATGAAATTTTTATTTTGGATAGTTAAACAATATAAATATTTTTGAAAAAAATCCTATTGGATAAATAATTTTCTTCCCAAAAGAATTGTATGCCACTATGTTTCAAGGACAATTTGAAGCATCTGCTTCCAGTGTTATTGATTGTATTCTCATTTTAATATTGAAAAATGCTCTTTTTCTTTCTATGCCATTATTTAAGATCTACAAAAGTTTAAAATACCTCCTACACTACTGTTCAACATGGAATACTAAAAGCATATATTTATTTACCTCCCTTCTTAAAATCTAAGGCATACAAAAATAATCAAAAGTAGTTCTTAGACTTGTATGAAGAATGGGACAACAATGAGCAAAGCTTATTTTTTAAAGGTCTAAGGCAACTGGGCTCATATTGAGTGAGTGATACATTACAGCATTAGTTAGCCCCATCAGGAACCCGGAATTTGGCAAGTCAGTGGAGGTAGAATTGTTTCCTCCCTGTTGAGCCCTGGAAATGATTGAAGTCAGCAGGTCCAGTAAGTGGGAATGGACTAGTTAAATTTCTGAATTTTAATAGAAAAAGTGGCACTAATGACATGAGTGTACAGGTTAAAGCAGGTGTATCCAGTCTAAAGACCCCAAGTAAGATTGAACTCCTAGTGTAGGTATTGACAGTTTAGAATTAAGCCACGTTTATTTTGAGAAGACAGGACGGACAGTGGAGAAAGCATAAATCTGTGCTCCCAGCCCAAATATCATGAAGTAAAACCAATAGGTTAGTATATTTCACAGAAGTCAAGTTCGAGCCTTACATTTAAGGAAGAGGCCAAATGCCGAAACAGAGTTTCACAAGGAATAGCAATTCCAATCAAGCCTCTATGGCAACCAAGCCATTGTTTTCGTATTTTAAAATATAAAAACACAAATAAGAAATGTATGCCTATGAGGAAATTTAACAACCAAAAAGATAACTAACATTAGAAGAGCCTAAAATAATCCAGGGACATAATACAAGTTAGGTAATTCTAATTAGTATTTTAGAAAAATTCACGAAAAGGTAATATCTATCAAATAATAGGTTACTCTGAGAAAAAAGTAATCAGAGAATATGAGGGTATTTTTGGAAGTTAAGATAGTATTATTACCATGAGATATCAAGTTAAAAAGCTTGATGTAAAACTCTAGAAACAAAGAGTTGGGGGGAATTTACAGCATTTGAAAAAAAAGTTTCACAGTGGAATACTGTATTAGTCCATTTTCACACTGCTATAAATACATACTTGGGACTGGTAATTTATAAAGAAAATAGGTTTAATTGACTCGGATTTCTGCAGGCTATATAAGAAACATGGCTAGGGAGGCCTTAGGAAACTTAAAATCATGGCAGAAGATGAAGGGGAAGCAAGCACATTTTCACATGGAAGGCGAGAGAGAAGGGGGAGACACTACACAGTTTTAAACAACCAGATCCCATGAGATTTCATTCACTATTATGAGAACAGCAAGAGCAAAGTCTGCCCACATGATTCAATCACCTCCCACTAGGCCCCTCCCACAACATGTGGGGATTACAATTCAACATGAGATTTGAGTGGGAACACAGAGCCAAATCATATCATTCTGCCCCAGGCCCTCCCAAATCTCATGTCCTTCTCACGTTTCAAAACACAATCATACCTTCCCAACAGTCACCTAAAGTCATAACTCATTCCAGCATTAACTCAAAAGTCCAAATCCAAAGTTTTATGTGAGATAAAGCAAGTCCCTTCTGCCTATGAGCCTGCAAAATCAAAAATGAGTTAGTTACTTTCAAGGTACAATGGGAGTACTGGCATTGGGCAAATGCTCCCATTTCAAAAGGGAGAAATTGGCCAAAACAAAGGGGCTACAGGCCCCATGCAAGTCTGAAATCCAGCAGAATAGTCATTAAATCTTACAGCTCCAAAATAGTCTGCTTTGCTGCTATGTCTCACATTCAGGCCACACTGAGGGAACGGGCAGGCTCCCAAGGCCTTTGGCATCTCCACCTCTGTGGCTCTGCAAGGTACAGCCCCCAAGCCTGCTTTCATGGGTTGGCATTGAGTACCTGCAGCTTTTCTAGGTGCATGGTGGAAGTTGTTGTTGGATCTACCATTCCAAGGTCTGGAGGATGGTGGCCCTCTTCTCACAGCTCCAATAAGTAGTGCTCCAATGGGGACTCTGTGTGGGGACTCCAACCCTACATTTCCCCTCCACACTGCCCTGGTAGAGATTCTCCATGAGACCTCTGCCCCTGCAGCAGACTTCTGCTTGGACATCCAGGCCTTTCCTTACACTTTTTGATATCTAGATGGAGGCTCCCAAGCCTCAATTCTCACCTTCTGCACACCCACAGGCTTAAAACCACTTAGAAGCCACCAAGGCTTGGGACTTGCAACTGTGAGTCAATGGCCTGAGCTGTACTTTGGCCCCTTTTAGCTATGGATGGAGCTAGAGTGGCTTGGACACAGGGCACCATGTCCCATGGCTGCACAGAGTAGCAGCGTCGTGGGCCTGGCCCACAAAATCATTTTTGTTTTTCTTCTTCACTTTCAGCCCTGTGATGTGAGAGGCTTCAGTGAATATCTCTGAAATGCCCTGGATGAATTTTCCCCATTGTCTTGGCTATTCACATTTGTCTCCTCTTTACTCATGCAAATGTTTGCAGTTGGGTTGAATTTTTTTCCTGAAAATGGGTTTTCCTTTTCTACTACATGGCTGGGATGCAAATTTTCCAAACTTTTATGCTCTGCTTCCTTTTTAAATGTAAGTTCCAGTTTCAGATTATCTCTTTGCTCATGAGTATGAGCAAATGCTATTAGGAGCAGCCAGGTCACACTTGAAAGCTTTGCAGCTTAGAAATTTCTTCTGGGGGCTGGGCGCGGTGGCTCACGCCTGTAATCCCAGCACTTTGGGAGGCCCAGGCAGGCGGATCACGAGGTCAGGGGATCAAGACCATGCTGGCTAACACGGTGAAACCCCATCTCTACTAAAAATACAAAAAAATAATCCGGGTGTGGTGGTGGGTTCCTGTAGTCTCAGCTACTTTGGAGGCTGAGGCAGGAGAATGGCGTGAAACCAGGAGGCGGAGGTTGCAGTGAGCCGAGATCATGCCACTGCACTCCAGCCTGGGTGACAGAGCGAGACTCTGTCTCAAAAAAAAAGAAAGAAAGAAAGAAAGAAATCTCTTCTGCCAGATACCCTAAATTATCTCTCTCAAGTCAAAGTTCAACAGACCTTAGAGCAGGGGCACAGTGTCACCAATATATTTGTTAAAGCATATCAAGCATATCAAGAGTGACCTTTACTCCAGTTCTCAATAAGGTCCTCATCTCCATATGAGACCTCATTAGCCTGATCATCTCTGTCCATATCACTATCAGCATTTGGGGCAAAGCTATTCAACAAGTCTCTAAGATGTTCCAAACCTTTCCTCATCTTCCTGTCTTCTTCTGAGCCCTCCAAACTGTTCCAACCTCTGCCCATTACCCAGTTCCAAAGCTGCTTACACATTTTCAGGTATCTTTATAGCAATGGCCCACTTCTCTGGTGCTAATTTTCTGTATTAGTCCATTCTCACACTGTTATAAAGACATACTTGAAATTAGGTAATTTATAAAGAAAATAGGCTTAACTGACTTAAGAGTTCCACAGGCTGTACAGGAAGCATGGCTGGGTGGTGGAGTGCCTGGTGGGGAGTGCTTAGGAAACTAATAATTACGGTGGAAGGCAAAAGTGAAGCAAGCACATCTTCACATGGCCAGTGAGAGACAGAGAAGGGAGAAGTGCTACACACTTTTAAACAACCTGACCTGTGAGAACTCATTCACTATTACAAGAACAGCAAGGGGGAAGTCTGCCAGTATGATTCAATTACCTCCTATCGGGCCCCTCCTCCAACATGTGGGGATTACAATACACCATGAGATTTGGGTAGAGACACAGAGACAAACCATTTCAAATATCTATGAAGTTTGCAATTTGTCTAAATAAATATTACAGAAAAAGAGAGAAAGAGGGACATGGAAGAAATAATCAAAAAAACAATAAAAAGTTTGCAGAGTGAAGGAAAAATCCCAAAACTTCAGATTGAAAGATCTTACTGAATTTTAAACAGCATGATTCATAAAAAAATGGATGGCATTTTTGATACATCTTTTTCAGAAAATTTAGAACACAAAGTTAAAAAATTTTTAGAGTAACATTTCGTCTACAAGGGACAAAACTCAGAAATTCTACCATATTTTTCATCAGCAACACCATTTTTTGGAAAAATGTTTGTGAAAACATGATATTTAACCAAAATCCATGCATTCTCAGCAATTATTCAAAACATGAGAGCAAAAGGAAGATATTTTCAAATATAACCAATTCATTTTGAGGCCAAAAAATGAGAGAGAAAAGAATGTGTTCTATAAAATAAAAATCAAATTCAAGAAAGAGATTTATGATTCAGGAATATAAGGAAAGGAAAGCCTTGAGAAACATGGCTCTAAGTAAGAACAAGGAGTCCCAGATTGGAGAAAACCATGTTGAAGAAAAGAATCGGTGCATTGTTATTGCTGTATGTGATTAATAGAATGTTTCTCAGACATTGCTATTACTCCTCTTAGTTTCTTCTTTGTTTCTCTCATAATAATATTTTACTTCTAGCACATAATAAGCAAATAACTATATTTATTGGCTTTTTTGCAACAAGTTGTGTTCATATAAATAATGTCTGTTGTTTAAACAAATAAGTTAACACTGAAATTATTGAAGCTATATTATATATGCAACTTCCTTGTGGCATACTTGAAAGGTAAGGCTCCTACCCTCTTCTCCCACACCCATCTCCAACAACTAGAATGTGGATATTATAGTAGCTGGTACAACTAACTATATTAGACTGCAAGATGCAAGCCTAACTAAGACTATAGAAGAGAAGTAATACAAAAGGGGCTCAAGTTGCCAAAACCATGGAGTTAGCATATTAGCCCTCTTTCCTTAAGAATAGATTATTAGTTGCTGTGCATCGCTAATGTGATGTTAAGAAACTGGATGTTAGCAATATAGTAAGGGCATGTGATTCTTCTGTCAACAGGAAAGAAAAAATAGAAATTTCAGGAAAAAATATGTTAAAAAATCATGGTGCAAATGTAACGCAAACAAAGATATGGACTGATTTTGAAATATATGGAATGCAACAATGTGACAGGAAGATCTGTTCTTCAAATTTAGAAATGATCCTAATTTATATATGAGAACATATTTGAATAAAAATGATTATATTATAATATGTTTATTTTCTACAGATCCAAGTACACTAGTCATTTCTGTAATGAATACTAATTTTACGTTATTTCTGTTTTCTTGTCTCAACGTAAAATATAAATACAGCATGGGGACAAGATTTGTTTAATACATAAAAGTTATACAGCTTGTCAAGGTAAAAGCAAAACCAAAACAAAACAACTAGAAGGATTTGAAAGTTAGAGAAACATACCAGAGATGGAGAAAAGGTTACGAATTAAAATGTGCTCATCTTACTTAGCCAACATGTACTGCTGTGCAGTTAATTAACTACGAGAAATGGGTATAAATATATTATACAAAAGATTAAAGCAATAAATAGTGGAATCGAGAAAAATCTTAGGGATAATACTGAGAAAGAGAAATAGGGTTTATTTATAGTTCATTTACTGTTCATTTTTCATAATAGTTAATTCTCTTTTTTCAAGTTAATTGAAACTGTCCAAAGTTAAAGTACCAATAAGTGGAATATATGTACATATGCCTATACACACACACATATATATAATATAATACCATTATATATAAAATAAATTTATGTATATATATATATGTGTATCTATATGTAAAACAATGCGAGTGATCTGCAGATGAACCAAGAAAATAGGGAAGTTAAAACTTGTTGCCTCTGGGCAGTGTCACTGGGGATAAAGGTGACATAAAGCCTATGTAACACTTCTTTTGTATTATGTCCATGCATTTATGTTAAAATAAAATGCAGCCATTCATTGCTTATCGACATGATTGTATTCTGAGAAGTGCATTATGAGGCGATTTCGTTATTGTGCAAACGTCATAGAGTATACTTACAGAAAACTAGATAATATATATTTTTATATATAAAATGTATATGTATTTGAGTTTATGTATGTATATTTTCAGATGAAAAACTAAATGTCCAAGCACCATTACTTAATATCAATTATTGTCCCTAACTTGATCTGCAATGCTAATAGCAAGTTCCATGTATCAGGTTTCTCCATATGCTCCATTATAATCTTATGGGACTATCATCATTCTTCAGTATCCCTAGGGGATCAGATCTAGGACCTCTCTCAGATACTAAAGTCTATGAATGCTTAAGTCCCTGATATAAAATGGCATTGTATTTGCATATAACATATGCACATCCTTTCATATACTTTAAATCATTTCTAGATTACTTATAACTGCTAATACAAAGTAAAAGGTAAATAGTTTTTGTACTGTATGGCTTAGGAAATAATGGCAAGAAAAATCTATTTACAAGTTCAGTACAGACACAGTTTTTTTTCTTCTCTTTTCTTTTCTTTTTTTGAGACGGAATTTCACTCTTGTTGCCCGTGCTGGAGTGTAATGGCATGATCTTGGCTCGCCACAACCTCTGTCTCCTGGGTTCAAGCGATTCTCCTGCCTCAGCCTCCCGAGTAGCTGGGATTACAGGCGCCAGCCACCACACCCAGCTGAAGTTTCTTTTGTATTTTTAGTAGAGATGGGGTTTCTCCATGTTGGTCAGGCTGGTCTCGAACTCCTGACCTCGGGTGATCCGCCCACCTCAGCCTCCCGAAGTGCTGGGATTACAGGAGTGAGCCACCGCCCCCGGCCAGACACAATTTTTTTCTATATTTTTGATCTACATTTGGTTGAACCCACGGATGTAGAAATCCTGGATACAGGGAGCCAAATGTATTTATCTTGAAGCTCAAATTATCCTAAATTTGGCTAATGGTAGCTTTTTTCAAGTTGACATCTGTGTCCTTTCAACATGCCCCATAATTTTTTTAACACATTTGGCTTTCTGATAGAAATGGTGTTTCCAGTATCACTATGAACTTTTGCTTAGAATCAGCCATTTCTCTGAGGAGTCTCTTATTTAGTTGAAAATGATATATGGAAGCTAAGAGGAGGCAAGAGAAGGTGAACTCAGTGCTATTAGACTTTTGCTGCTCTCAGACCCTCTCCTGGTACAGTAAGGACTATATGTATATGTATATGTATATGTATATGTAGGAAAACACAAATTTAAAACCATATGTGTGTGTGTGTGTGTGTGTGTGTGTGTGTGTGTATCCACAAGTCTATACAGATATCTTCAATTTGATAAGGCCTACATATGATATACAGGTGTTCTGAAATTTCACATGAACACCAGTCAAATCCTGTAATCACTTTTTGAAAATATTTGGATTAATTTTTATTTGTTCAAGATAGAAAAAAATTATAATAAACATTGAATGCACACAAATTTCAGGAGGTGACTAATTTGTTCATATGTATCACCATTTCCATAATCATGGCTTTTAAATATATGTATAAAGTATAAGTTGTTATAATTTAGTTATTTTACTATCAATTTTATTTGTATATTCTTACTCATGAAGAATCAGTAGAGTATATAATGCTTGACTCATTTTATAATGATTTGGTATAAAAAGCCACAAAAACAACATACACAATGATAGAAAATTCCAGCATCAATTGTTTTCTGTGTCTTCATCATTTGAAGCTTCTCCCACTTTCTTTGCTTGTTGAAGAAAGAATACACAACTTTATATGTTTGTTTAATTTCACATAGATACTGTGTTCAACAAAGGAACTGATTATTTTCTTCTACTTTTCTGTAATTTTTAAAAAACATATCCAATGTTTTAAAATTATAATTATATTCTAATATGATTTAAATAAAGCAATCTAAATGCAGTTTTTATTTCTTCCCTTAGGGATGATAAAAAGTAAAAAGCAGTCTTTAGTAATGACATCATTCCCAGTGCTATTGTATTCATAGTCCAGTATAACATTCCATCTCATTATGATTTTATACAACATGGTGTTTTAAAATATCAGAAATGATATTGATAATTATCGTCAATATTTTAAACATCTATTCAGAATGGTACTTTAAAAAAATTAGAATGCTGATGCCAATAGAAAGCCAAATGCTAACATAAACTTAGAACTCTGATATACCTGCTATAAACCTTAAAATTTGAGAAATGATAGCGATGCATCTCTTATGGATTTTATGAACTTGTGATACTGATTTATATATGTGTAATATTCAAGGACGATTTAAATTTACATATTCTTTTCAAATCTTTAGGCACTTTTCAAAATTATTTAAAATGTTTTACTGCTGCCAGAATAAGTATTCTAAAATACTTTATTTCGTGCATTTATTCACCTCTTTATTTATTCCTGTATTCATTTCTTCATTTACTCACATTATGCTTTTTTACTGGCTACTTCTTTTCTTCAGACACTGTGCTTTTGCTGGGTATATGAAGGTAACGGAAGATTATTTATCCCATAGGAATAACTCATGTTTTTTTAAAAAGAGAAAACTGTAAATAGTAACTGATTTTGTGCAAAGGCCACTCATCATCATTCATAAAGTAGCTACACTTCTCATAACAGCCCTTGATTTCTAATATTCCTACAAAATTGGACAGTCCAGTTTTTCCAGGAAGAGGTCTTGCTGTCCTCTGTTTATCATATTCCCATCTACCTTTTGGAGTTTGCCGATGTGTTTCTCAACCTGGTTAATCCATCTTGGCTGATCTTCATCTGCAAAATTTTACTCCTTTAACAATGCCTTTTTTTGAATTTTATTTACTTTGGAAATCCTTTGTGATCTCTCATATTTGAACTCATTCTCAATAACTCATAGTTTAGCAATCAGTTATTTTTTAATTAGATGGGCATTTAGTATATGAGAACGTGTACCATCTTGCATTAGCCAGAGATTTTTAATTTTATCATTCATTGCCTTAATGGAGCCTCATAACTTGGGTTTTCAGAAAGTTTATTATACTGTGTCTTTCTCCAATATTAAGGAAGAGAATACAGGCTTCAAAGAAGTTTGAATGAGGATTTGCTTGGCTGGACGTAGAAATAAAGCATAATGAAGTCTCTATAAGTATCCTTATTCCACTGCCTCTTCTACCTATAGAAAGTAACCTCTGCAGAGGAACAGAAACAGCTATTCTGAAATATTTACATCAATTACAAGTAGAAGCACAAGAAAGCAAAACATTTTCAGGCTGTAGTTTAAATAATTCCATAGCACATTTCACTTTAATCATAAAATTCTAAAAACTGTGACTTCTTGACACCTGTAGTAAATAGAAATTAGACTAAAAAAACAGGTAAATAGAAGAACTAGTAAGAAATTAGATGCAAAAAGAATTTAGTTTTCTACTGTTTTTTGATGTTTGAGAGAACTAGGAATGCTCATTTTCATGAATGAATGCTGAACTCATCATACACACTCTGAGATAAGATATAAAGTTATCAACTTATAACTGTCTTCGCTATTTCAATAGAAAAGAATTGAAATACGTGAGAAAGACATAAACTATTCAGAAAACAACATTGCAAATTGAAGTAACAAAAAATTACAGTACAATGTGAACTACATTTCTTTTTTATTCTTTTTTAAATTGATACATAATATATGACATATTTGTTGGGTACCTGTGGCATTTTGTTACATGCATAGAATGTGTAATAATTAAGTTGGGGTATTTGGAGTAATCATCACCTCGAGTATTTCTCATTTCCATGTGTTGGGAATATTTCAAGTTATTTTTTCTAGCTACTTTGAAATGTGTAATACATTGTTGCTAGCTATATTTGCCCTATTATTGCTATCACACATTAGGATTTATACCTTCTATCTAACTGTATGTTTGAACACATTGACCAACCTCTCTTCACCCTCCACTCTCACCACTACACACTTCTAAGCCTTAAGTGTCAATCATTCCACTTTCTAGTTCCGTGAGATAACCCTTTTAGCTCCCACGGATGAGTGAGAACATGCAATATTTGTTTTGTGTGTCTTTCTGTGTCTCTTTTTATTTCACTTAATATAATGAAATGAAATTCTATTCTGAACTACATTGCTTTATATTATATGTGCTGTTATAACAAATAGATTCTGGGGACAGGGAGTTTGTGTGTGTGTATGTGCATCTGTGTGTGTACGTGTGTGTGTGTGAGAGAGAGAAAGAGAGAAAGAGATGGTTTTGTGTAATTTATTTTCCAAATAATACTTAACATCTCCAACCCAAATTTTAGGAAAAGTTTAACTTCTGTTCTTTGTATGGCAATTTAAATAGAATTACCATGATGGCCTAAAAATGCAAGCATTCATTTATTTCCCATTTTCTCTTCATCCACTTGGAATTGCAGTGCAAACTCTATGTCATTTTAAAACCCATAATTGTAAAGCTAAATTATCAGCCAACTCAGTGTGATGTTTGAATACATATGGAGAAAATGTAATTAAGAAATAAGAAATTTTTAAAGAGATTATGTACTCTTTAGATATCTTTGTCTAATTTTATGATTTATACTATAATACATCAATGGGATAGATCAACTGGTGTAAATTTTCAGTATATATCAACTGATGTCCTTAGTTAGACATAATTAAACATATAACGGAATATACTTTTTTGCTTATCCCTATGTAGCTTTCACTATTATGGAAAATAGAGTAAAATAACACCAGTACTTAGTATCATTCATAATATGTGTCATTTCAACTTGAATTCAATAATTTTTGATCAAGTAACTTTTAAAAGTTTTCAAATTTTATTCTGATATTTAATAATTCATAAACATGTGCTAAAAGTGTTTATATGCAAGCAAACTTCGATATTCCTTGGCTATAGTTTGTGAATATTTGAAACAAATATTTTCAAGGTTTATATGACTAAAGAAAATAAAGGTAAAGAAAAAGAAAACAGAGGTAAGGCCAATATTTTAGTTATATGTACTTATAAGAACACACTACTTTGCTTAAAAGGAAGGATTACATCTTGTTGTCTAAATCTAAAAAAGAGGAATAATTTCTTGTTGTTGAATAATTTTACTTTCATTACTCTCTATTGTGGTATTGGCAAATTTTACTTTATGACATAAAATACATGTTTCTCTTAAAGTTCTTGCAAAAACTTGAGTGTTTCAGTTTTAATATGCTATAATAGATATATATTTGTTAATATGTCATGCTGTCCTATAGTCCTTACATTTGCAGAAACTATTCCCTTTGAAACTTCATCACAGTAGGAATGAGCACACAGACATAGGTGTTGATCCCTTCTCCAACAAAAAATACAATATATAAATTGTAATCTCAGAGTAACTCCTATGATTCTTCAAGATTTCTCTCAAGAGCCTCTTTATACATGTAGGTGGATGTGGAGTCCCTTTTGCAGATGACATCATTCAACTTGTTATATATTTTCTATATGTCATGACAATTTTAATCTTGGTTTTTCCAAAATGTTTATCTTCCCACAAACCATTTCTGTTATTTTGAGAATTGTTCTACATGGATATGGTTGAGAATCAGAGAACACTCCATCGATACTTTATGGTAATTTGTTCCAAAATTCTTTGGATACAGCCTTGTTTCACTGTTAACATCTGTCCAAAAACAAATCCTTATGGATCTTTCTAAAAAGTTTATTTTGAACCCAGTATGTGTATCAGTGACTTATTTGTATCAGTGATCATTTGTATACTTGGAATGCAAGCAGGTACATATTAGCAAATAGAGAATGTTTGCTGGCATTTAAAGACAGGTCAATAACAACAGAAAGAAAATGAAAAATAATCAGATTTCAGATACAGAGCTGGAGCTCTGACAACATCATATGAGCCTCTGGAAAAGGCTGACTGAAGCCAGACGTACTCAGGTACCTTCAAGTTACACTAGCTAATAAATCTTTCTCATAGATACTTGAGATCATTATAATTTGGAATAAAAAAGCATCTCCAGTATTTTACTTTGAAGCTTACTCCAATTATCTTTCCATATAATTATTTCATAAAACACTATTGGCTTTGTATTTGAGTTCTCCAGAGAAACAGAACTTATAAATAGATAGATAGATAGATAGATACATAGATAGATACATAGATACATAGATACATAGATTTATTATAAGCTATTGGATTCACAGTTATGGAGGCAAAAAAAGTTGTATGATATGCTGTCTGTAAGCTGTAAGATTAATATTTCAGTTGAGAGAGAGAGAGAGAGAAGAGAGAAGAGAGAGAGAAAATGCAAATCCAACATTCCTCTGCATTTTTGTTTAAGGCCCTCAACAGATTATATGTTGGCCATTCACACTAGGGAGGATTATCTGCCTTATTCAGTTTACCAATTTAAATGCTAGTCAGCAAATACTCTCACAAGCACACCTGGAAATAATGTATAAGCAGTTATCTGGGCATCCTGTGCCTCAGTCAAGTTAACAGATACTATTGACAATCATAGGACTCTACTAGTAGTGATTAATGCAATGATTGTGCCATTTTGGGAACTTATTACATGTTCAAAGGAAAAAGTAAACATTGATTATAATAAGAACCATTTTAATTAAGATGTAGAGTTTCTTTATATTTCAAAAGTGGAGTGTAATAAAAACAGATAAATATAATTAATAAACAGAGCTTTTAAAATTGACCACATAAAGAGTTTTTAATATTAAAGATGAATATAATATAATAGAACACTGTACATAACTATTTGCTTATAAATTCAAATATGTGCATATATAAATTGTAGCAAAATTTAATGTGCCAAATTGGGGTGAAGAAGAGATAGAAAACTAAATAAATAACCATTGAAGTCATTGAAATACAATAAAAAAGTAAATACCAAGACCAACAATTTTGTAAAATAAGTTTTATAAAAGAATTTTAAACTATCTCAGAGCAAACGATCCCCAAATTAAATAAACTATTTGAAAGAGTGGATGGGCCAATAAACAACAAAAACATAAAGCTACTAATTAACCAATAAACAACAAAAAAGTAAAGCTATTAATTAAATTGCATAACCTTAATACCTAAGAGCATCACAGTATATAAAATGTAAACTGGAAACTAATCTTACAAGCATTAAATTAGCAATGTTGAATATAACTTTAAAGCATAGTTTTTTTGTAGCTATTTGAAAAATTATGATCAAGACGGGTATGTCGCAGGAATGTAAGAATAGCTCAACATTAGAATACCAATTCATATGAAATGTCATTTTAAATGAATAGAGAGAAATGATCACAGCACGAAAATAGTAAGAAATAGAAAATGTTCTACTAAGCCACAATTATGATAAAAAATAAACTATCACAAAATTCAAATAAATTTCTCTGGACAGATTACAAAAGTATAAACCATAAAGGAAAAGAACCTAAGACTACTCTTCCTGCTTATAGGGCCCCAGTTGGCTCATATTTGCTATTGTCAATATGGCTGCTAATAGTTATTATCTTTATTTACTTTTTCCTTTGGACATGAAATAAATTCCTAATATGGGACTGGTATTGCATTAATCACAGTAAAGATCTGCAATGTTTAATTTTATATGTCAACTTAACTGGGACCCAGTATACCAGATATTTTATTAAATGTCTTGATTATATTGAAATTAAAATATTTAGAAAAACAAAAAGAAAAAGAAAGCCAATATAAATGAGTAAATCACAGACTGGGAGAAATTATTGTCAGTTTCCAATTAGAAAATATATACAGAATAATACACTTCAAATCAGTAGCAATAAAATAAGCCAATAGAAAGATACACAAATGAATTGGACAATTTACAGAAGAGTTAATACAAATGCTAAAATAAAGTATATGCAATACTGAGCCTCAAAAAGTGCGAGGAATTTTGAAAGAAAAAAAATCATTTCAATCTCTTCAAAGCTACAAAATGTTAAGCCATAAACAATATCAAGCGTAATTAAGGACATGCAACAATGAGAATCAACACGCCCTTCTAGAAAGTGGGGTTCTATACAATTGCATTAGAGTTATGTATCTATCATATTTAATTTCTTTGAAAATTTGACATGAATTTCTCATGAGATTGAGAATCCACATGCCCTTCTAGAAAGTGGGGTTCTATACAATTGCATTAGAGTTATATATCTATCATATTTAATTTCTTTAAAAATTTGATATGAATTTCTCATAAAATTGAGATTTGGTAAAGCTGGCAAGTGGAAGTATGGTTGTTTCCATTTTTTTACAATAAATGAAACATTAAAAAATAAAAAGGAAAACTGATTTCAGAGTAAGACTGGCATTAATATCCATAGGGCCCTTTTAGGAGATGAGGTCATAGTAGGAATCTCTAGATAGCTACATTTCCAGAAGTCAGTCAAGCACTTAATTTCAAGGGATGTATCCCTCTCAGTATGGTTATAATCACTGATTGGGTGAAAAGAGAGGGATCACATCCAAAGAATGGAGAGGTGGCTAAATTGAAGACTGAGGAACATAACCTGGGACTACTGTTCCTGATTATAGGGCCCCAGGTTGTTCTGTCTGCTACTGGCAATAAGGCTGCTGGTAGTCAGTGCTGCATAATGGCATTTCAGTCAATGATGGACCACATATCTGGCCGTGGTCCCATGAAATTATAATACCATATTTTTAATGTACCTTTTTGATGTTAGATATGTTCAGATACACACATACTCGCCATCATGTTAGGATTGCTTCCAGTATTCAGTAGAGTAACATGCTGTGCAAGTTAGTGACCTAGGAGTAATAAGTTATACCATATACCCTAGGTATGTAGTAGGCTATGGTATCTAGGTTTGTATACGTACATTCTATGATGTTTGCATTCAACAATGAAATCTCCCAACAATGCATTCTCAGAATTTATTCTTATCTTTAAATGACACATGCCTAATTATACCCAGGCCTGGATATAATGGTTCAAGAGTAAGGAAGGATATGTCTATAAGTCAACTCTTAGACTTCACAGGTCGGCACTACAGTTAGAAATTTAAAGAAACAAAAGATATTGTGCTGATTCATGGAAAAAATAATTGAGTTCGTATAAAAGCTAATTACAATTAAAATATTTATATTGCTGACAATTATTTTGATAAATGGAAATTAATATTTTAGGTTGTATATTATTAAAGTGCTAGTATTTTAATCCGAGTATTATGAACCTTAAAGGGAAATAAAAATGGTATAATTCTTTTTTTTTTTTTTTTTTGAGACAGAGTTTCACTCTTGTGGCCCAGGCTGGAGTGCAATGGTGCGGTCTGCACTCACCGCAACCTCCGCCTCCCGGGTTCCAGCAATTCTCCTACCTCAGCCTTCCTGAGTAGCTGGGATTACAGGCATGCACCACCATGCCCGGCTAATTTTGTATTTTTAGTAGAGACAGGGTTTCTCCATGTTGGTCAGGCTGGTCTCGAACTCCTGACCTCAGGTGATCTGCCCGCCTCATCCTCCCAAGGTGCTGGGATTACAGGCATGAGCCACCGCAGCAGGCCAAAGATGGTATAATTCTTAAATATGTGTCTGTGTATGCCAATGAACAATTGTAAACCATATTTTTATTTAGGTCATGCATCTCATATTTTCCATGAAAATTATATTATATCATAATGTTCCAAATAAAATAACTTCAGATTGCCGCATCTTCTACAGACATTCAGTTTTTTTCTACCTTTGAAGAAATAGAGAAGAGTATTTTATTCTTTGATTTGTGAGTCAAAGAATTATAAATTAATTCAAAACTGGCTTTACCTGAAATGCCTTTGAAATAATGTTATTAAAATCATATGGCATATAATATAGATGAATTGAACAGATCAGATATAATACTGTTTTATATTTCTAAAATTCTAGTGTATATATGAGCCAAGTTCAGTGTGGTAAAACTTTAAAAAATCACCTACAGCAATAAGTCTAATAGATTTTAGATTTTTCGGGATTATTTTTTAATATAATATAATTCCTAAAACTGGAAGATTTCCACTGAAATCTATTTGCCTGTCTTATTCTAATGTAGTGTTCATTTCTGTGATACTTTGAACTTCTGCATAGCACTCATTTCACTGGATGATTTAGCTTATTCTTTTCATAAACTATGTGTTCTTGACATGCCTTTGATTAATTCAACTAACACATGGTCAGGTGTATAAGTTAATGACATGTATGTGTGCGTGTATGTGTGTACATATGCATTTATGTGCACTCACCGATATGTTAAAATATCTAAAATAACTGTTACGAGAAATTGTATGTTTCACTACACATACACATATTTCATAGTATAAATATTTAGCTATTTTGTATTGTATTCAGGCAAGGGGAACCATTAATGGGTTGAATTGTGTCCTCTCAAAAAAAGGTATATTGGAGTCCTAGTCTCCAGAATGTAACCTATTGGAGACAGGATATTTATAAAGGGAATCAAGTGAAAATAAGGTCATTAGTTTGGACCCTAAACCAATATGACTAGTGTCCTTATAAATAGTGGTGATTTAGATATAGACACGCATCATAGAGGAAAAACTATGTGAACAGAGACCAGGAACACAACCATATACAAGCCAACGGGCCTGGAACAGACCTTCCTTTATAGCCCTCAGAAACAACCAACCTTGCTAATGCCTTGATTTCAGACTTCTAGCCTCCAGAGCTGTAAGACATTACATTTCAGTTCTCGAAGCCACTCTCTTTGTGGTACTTTTTATGGCAGCCCTAGCAAATGAAAACAGAAACTTACAAAAACACAACAAAATATTATTTGTTTCTGTTCTTTATATCTAGAACCTCCAAGATTTTCATACACATGGAAAATGCAATAGCTATTTTTTCATAATTATAGCACATATATAAAATCATTTTATTTACATTATTTTATTGTTCAGCAAGAAGTTGAGAAGTTAGACATAAAACACATTAATTAAATGTAAATATGGCACCAGAGTAGTTCATTTTGGGGCAAAATTATTGCATGAGAACATTATTTGTACTCCACAGAAGAATGGGATCTCCTTAACTTTTTCTGCCTGTAATATGTACTCATATAATATCTGCTATTCATTACATCACTATGAAAATACAGTCTAGATGTATATGGGCAATCTCAAATTTAGTACACGGTGAGAATTTAAAAACTGACCAGTTTTTCTTCTTTGATATATTCTTACAAATATTTCCAGAATTATTGCCTTTATAATCAAATAAAAAACCTTAAATTTTATTTTCGTAAATCAAATGTGGTTATTAATAGTTAAGTATTTTTATGTGACGTGTACAACTACAGTCTTGAGTATATAATGAACCATGTCTTTATATTTCTATTACATTTTACAGAATAGTAAAATCCAATAAGGTGTGGGAATAGGAGCCGAGTTCTCAGCCTCTAAATATTTAAAATATAATTGTGGCCCTTCATTTTTATTTCAAAACTTAAACAAAATACTGTAGGTGGAAGAAATCTTAACCAAGTTGTAGTTGTTCCACTACGATGATTAGAATGCTTAAAATTCTTTAAAAACTAAACACTAAAGGTTTGCATAGGTTTGTTTGACTGCTTCTTGATTATTGGCACACTAAATCTGACATGGTTGCAGTAATAATATAGCACTGCAGTTTATTGAGTTTATTAAAAATAAACATTTCTCAAAATGTAATTGCACAAAAGTGAAATAAGGTCTTACAGAGTCCTGCCTTTCAAGAATTGTCATAAGTATTTTGTCATAAATATCCACATTTAATATATATCTATCTTAGCAGACTTTAAGAATATTTATAGCATGGGTTCAAGAATTTTTACATATTCTAATTACATTCAAAATTAAATTGTACCTATATTATCTAAAATTTCTTCAAAAATAAGAGAAAATAAAAAAGTTTCTCATTTAACCTTTATGGAGAAATTTTATTTCACATGAGTATTCCAGTCCTTGGCCTTAGAGATAACAGCCCTTTTCAGCCTATTTATTTATTTTCAGCCTTTGTATTATTTTTATGATAATAGCCCTTGTGGAATAAAATCTGAAGCTACTATTGAATAATATATTATTCTTTAATATTTATTGAATATTCAATTGGAATAGCCGATAATACACTGAGACAAGAATTAGAGAATAAATATGTGTTTAATTATATTTTAAATGGTAATTCTAGCAATGTAAAAATCGAAAGAACTGTAGAATTCATTAAGTGCAAACAAAAAAGCTAGGTTGAGAGAAATGTATCAGTAACAAATTAATTAATTTGAAGCCAGATACTTTTTATATATTGCCTTAGATTTTATGTTGAAATACATTTCCACTTGAATATATAGCAAATTCCGATTTATCCTTAATGGAGAGAGGGTAGTATTTGTTTTTAAATCAAAGATACCGATTATTTTCGGCTTACTTTCAGAGGAGGATACACAAACAAATGAAGTTAGTTTCAGTGTTTCTTACTTGGTCAGTCCTGTAGGAGCTACACAGTATTCTACGTGAGAAGGGAAGTAGGTTGCAGTCAGAAGGCATTTCTATGCTAGCATTTCTGCTGGATTGTAATCATTTGATGTGGTATTCATTTCTTATTTTAAATAAGTATTATATTTACTAAAAGTTTAATTTTACAATTTTATATCTTTATTTCTTAAATAAGTCATCCCCAAAGTATATAAGCTTCATGCTCCACTAACTGGATCTATACTGGGTACCTGGTATTCACATTTTAAAAAATAATTTGATTGAAAAATGTTTAATACTTAACTACTCTAGTAAATAGAATTTAATTATATATAATTACTTTTTAATACTTTAAAACTTTCCATACCATTTGGTTACCGTTGTGAATATCATTATCATAGTAACATACTGAAAATTTTTAAAAAGGTGAAAACACTTTGGTGATCTGTGATAAATTCACAGTCAAGAACTTGAAAACACACATACACATACACACACAAAATAACAATTAATTTAATTAAGCTTTTCATATACTAGTACAAAATAAAATTGTGAAATTGTTTTAATTCTAACATTATAATGAAAGGGTATTTGCATGTGGTGGGAAAGGCAGCAATAGGTCAACTTGCAGTAATCAAAGTGAGGAATTCAACTTAAACAAAATTGTGCTGTAATTTGTCATTGGAAGTGACATAATTACATTTGCTAATGAGCATTACAAACCTAAAAGAAAAATGAACAACAAACATACATGCACAGTGCTCAAAATCCATCACTTAGGCCACACTGAAACACACATGAAATAAGGGCCAAGTAAACTTATAATTTCCTTTACAGATTCACCATATCAGAATCCTTAATGAACAAGAAATCTTTTATCCAGTTTTGCCAGTTTTTATCCAGATTCTATAAGTAAGAAAGTATAAATTGCACAGGTAAGCACTAGCTGTGGTACACCTAACATGCATTTAACTGGAAGCACTTTTTTTGTCCTGATGGCCCCAGTGCTGAATATAAACAGGTAAGCCAAACAGTTGGCTAATTGTTTGGTAATTAAATGTTCACAAACCTTTGTATGTGTGTATATATGTGTACATATGTGCACATGTGTGGTTTGTGTACATTTTCATCTATGCAGATACTTACTGACTCATGGAATTTCCCTGTAGCTGACATTTCTTAAAAAGGCAAAATCATGAGCATATTACATTGTGTTCGTTTTTAGTTTTCATTTCCCAAGGCAAATTGCTTTGATTATAGCAGTAAGTAGTTTAAGCGTTTTTCTGTTTCATAATACTTACATTTTATTTCAAGAGTTTTGGCTCAGCAAGAAACTATTTGCAGAAATAGAATGGAAAAATATGCAATTTGCTCATCAGTTAGAGATGAATTGTCATCGTATATTTTTGATATTATAGCCATTCTCTCTTTCTTTCATACTGGCAGGATGACAGCCATTTTCTTTCTTTCTTACTGGCAAAGCCTGAACTTGTTCCGGTATATACATCACATGCATGTGATTCATAGGAAATCCTAATTTTTTAAGTCAGTTATATGGTGGTCTTGTTCCCTTGAAGGTACATGCTTATGAGATGGACTTGTTATCATTTTCTGACATGTGATATGTGATGGAGGTCCGCTGGGGGTGGTATGTCTTCTTAAAATGTCTCCCACCACTTAAAAAACACAGGAACATATAATCTTTTTCTTATCCCAGAAATTATGTCTTGATGTGGCATGTTGCAAACATTAAGGAAAATAGCCTGAAGATCAAACCAATGCACTAAGCATAAGACACTAGAAAGATGAAAAGCTCTTCTGATGATAGCATGATGTTGACAAAATGCCTAATTAGTAGACTGAATAATATAAATATTCTAGAGCTTCTTGTTATATGTGACAATGAATGTTGTCATTGTTTAAACCACTTGAACTTGCATTTTCTACTACATGCAGACTAATGTTTTCTGATTGAAATGCCTCTCAAGTATGACCCAGTGTGTCTGTGTCCACATTTCTATGAATTCATTCTCTACTCCTCCATTTTTTAAACAACTGAAAGTAACCAGAAAGAATGTTATTAAAAAAATCCTGAAAAATATGTTTTTAAAATCAGAAAAAATGATACATATTTGGCTTCATGACATTTTTAGACCTAAAAATAAATATTGAACAAAATCATGTTATTAATATCAAATAATAAATTTTTTCCTTAATGACTCCTCTTTTGACTTCCTCCCAAGCTCTAAAGAAAGATACCCCATGCCAAAGTTATATAATCTATGCATCTTTCAGAAGACTTTAATAAGAATTCCCAAAATAAATTTTTTTTAAATTTCTTATATCACTTCTAGAGTAACAGTCCCTTAATAACTCCAAACACATTGTATCTATCTTGTTGTGAAATAGTTTCTTTTTCTTGTGGCCATATCATCAAGAAAGAAATCTTCAACATTTATTTTCAAGACTTCTTTTTTTTTTTTTTTGAAACAGAAGCTGGCTCTGTTGCCCAGGCTGGAGTGCAGTGGCACGATCTTGGCTCATTGCAAGCTCCGCCTCTCAGATTCAAGCGATTTTCCTCCCTCAGCCTCCCAAGTAACTAGGACTACGGGCATGCACCACCATTCCCAGCTAATTTTTGTATTTTTAGTAGACATGAAATTTCACCTTTTTGGCCAGGCTGGTCTCAAACTCCTGGCCTCAAGTGATCTGCCTGCCTCGGCCTCCCAAAGTTCTGGGATTACAGGCATGAGCCACCACACCAGGTCTATTCCCAAGACTTCTATAATTTGAATTTACCTGGCCTAGTGTATTTATTTACATGATAGTACATTTTTAGAGTAACAACCCTAGATGTTATACAAAATAACGTATGATACCATCTACAGCACCCATTGTCTAAGGAGCATGCATATTGTATTGAATATATTCAGTAATGGGATACTATGTCCTTATTATAATGCCATTTCTAATGTTTCACTTTATGTTATTTATTATTTTTACTGGAAACCAAATTACGTGTAATTCCTATCCAGTTGTTTTGATTTTTCCCTTTGGCATCATCCATAACAACATAATTTTTTTCATTACAGTCCTTCACATGTTAATACCAAGTTTTATATTTCTTCTTAATCTTATATTTCCAGAAAAACTATCAGTATTGTAACTAAAAATTATTTCACAGAAAAAGGGAATAAATATAATTTTAACTTTCACAAAAATTGCCTTATCTTCAATTTATTCCATATGATATCTAGATTTTCTTCACTATACTGATTACAAAAGTTTAAATTTTCTTTGTAAAGCTTCAAATATGAAATTAAAAGTAAATATGAAAGTAAAAATATATAACATAGTTGACAAATAGCACATCTGAGCTGGCTGCAGTAGGATGCCTAGAGTCCCAGCTACTTGGAAGATTGAGGCAGAAGAATCACTTGAGCCCAGGAGTTCAAGTCCAGCCTGGGCAAACATAGTGACCCCTGTCTCTAACGAATTTAAAATAATTTTAAAAAGTATTTCCTAGTAGTGCTGTGTCTCATACTGGCTTCCACATCATTCATTCAAGTAGCTTTCATTTCTGTTACTTACAAATTAATTTTTTTTTCTACCTCAGCAAGTTTACTTATTCTCTTTACCAAATTGGAAGCACTTTATCTTTGCTCTCCAATTAAGTCAATTCTATATATCCTTAAAACTGGACTCAAGTCATATTTCCTCTATTAGCATTTCCTCTTTACTATACCTAGATGAAAATTCCCCTTTTCTGAAGACCCATTATTATTAAGCTTGAATTACAAAATTTTTACTATTTGTATTCAATACTTCTTTCTCTCTTTTCCCTTCTCATCTCTACCCTCCTCCTTTGTCTCTTTTTTCTGTCTCTCTCAATGTCTGTCTCTTTACCTCTACTTCTATCTATCTTCCTTTTTTGGAAGTTTTTTTTTAATTTTAAAAAATAGGAGCAGCCCCATGCTTCCTTGACCTACTTCATTTTCAATGACATAGCCCTAGGCCTTCGCCATATACTCAACAATATCAGTTACTGTAACAATAACTAAAACGTATTTGTATTTCTGAATCAAAGACAGTGTGATTCAGAAACAAGGAACATGAAAGAAAATAGACTTTTTCAAGGTCCTAGTCTGCTAAAACCCTGACATTTAAAGAATTCATTTATTGAACAAAATAGAATTACCTAATGCTTTGTAGCATAGTGATTAAACTCCAGGGTCTCTACAAACTGTAAGGTAAGACCTTTCTTCCTGACCTGAATGTAGGGCAATCGATAAACACGATGCCTAGGGACAAAGATCACTGGACTTAAGTACCCTTTCCCATTTATGCCGTCATTTATGCAAGGAAACCTACTCTAATTTGCTAGATGGACCCAGTTAACTCTATCCTGAAGTGTAGCTGAAGAGCCAATTTTCCTAACCATGAGGAAAAATCAATTTATATTCATAGAACAGGATCAGCTAATAAAGTATTTTCTGCCTGGTAGATGTCATGAGTTAAGTACTATATTACGTGTACCTCATTAAGTGCCACCACCTCAAATGTCATTTAGGTAAGTAGTAATATTGGAAACCCTCCAGACTGTAAAATAGCTGTATGTGTCTCATAAGCTAAGTCTGGGAAATGCTAACATCTGTGCTGAATCTGCAAAAATGCTGATGCATTTGATCTAATTTTAAAGAAAAAAATGTTTCATATCTGTGTTTTAGTTGTAGTCCTACTCACCAGAATGATGAGTTAAATGATTATGTAAGAGCACTCTTCCTTTGATTTTTGAAATTTGCTTCATTGTTCCTAAAATGCATACTTATGCTATTTCCAGAATTTCAGTCTAAAAGGAACCAATGAAAGTTTCATCTTGCTGGAAGAATGAGAGTATATAAAAACACGATTGTCCATATATTTCTATATCATTTAGAGACTGCATGTTATGAGTACGTTTTTATATATATTCAAATTAATTGTGAAGAGAGACAGTAACTTGAAATATTAAACTTTCTTATTTTCCAAACCATGTAGCTTGTAGGTAACCTTTTCCTGATTCAATACAGGGCTAGACAAGAAGAAGGGAGCATGGCATGATGGGAAATATATGAACCCTGGAGTTAGAGCAAATCAGTCAGTGATGCTTACATTACCTGGAGAAGGATCATTAAATCTGGAACCTAAAGGAGAAATAAAAACTGCCATTTAGGTTTTGACTTGCAAGAGAAACTGCTGAGAATTAAAAGGGATGAACTGAAAGAAACAAGCATTCAGTTTAATGTTACAAAAGTAGAATTGTAAATAAAATATAAAATGAGCTAGACTTTCTGGTTTCAGGGAAAGAAATGATGGACTCTTTAGGTGTCGGTCTGCTTTAGAATTTGAAGCCAGAGACAAGAAAACTACACCTAGAAACATTATAAACACTTTGTCTGACCAGTGCCCTCAAGTATAATAATGGCCTATCATTACAAGCCATGTTCGCTGCCGGCTGCGTGTCTTCCATCAATGGCTTTCTATAATTTGATTCTAAATTTTTTAACAGAATAATGTCTGTCAGTGCCCCAGAAATTGACTGAAACCCATCTGAAATGCTGTAACTAGACATGTATTTTTAATAACCTAGTCACTCAAATCTTTACACTTAATTTAATCCAAATTAAATGCTTAGCTACCTGATACACAGAAGATCAAAAGCAGTGGAGAAGGGACTGCCTTGGCATTAATACTGAGTGGAACTCCATGATGGCAAATCCTTTCCCCTGATGAAATATGTTTCCCCAACGTATTTGCATTCATAATTTTTACCTTAAAATATGTTTATTTTTAACCATTTAAAATATCATTGTTAATATTGAAAAAAATGATGAAACATTTCCAAAAGTAAATATTGAGCTCTTTTACTCAAAATCACTTTTGTGCATTTACAAGAAAATTAGCCATATTACTAATGCATTTATCATTCAAAATGAATTTTTTGAGTTAATGCCTTCAACCTCACCCCCATCTCGAAATACATTGTAATGATAGACAAAAAAGAAAATATATCTGAATGGAAAATCAAAATTTAACTTCTTCTGAAATAAGAAAGATTGGGAGCTTAACTACTAACTTGCTGGATATATGGTTCAGAGACCATTCTGATTTGATTTGCTAGTAAATAAAAATTAAAACTGGTCTGAAAAAGGGGTCCCAGAAAAGACACGCATTCTCAAATTAAGATTATAAATTCAGAACAGTCACGGTGGCTTAAGCCTATAATCCCACAACTTTGGGAGGCTGAGGCAGGAGGATTGCTTGAAGCCAGGAGTTAAAGACCAGACTGGGCAACATAGTGAGACCTCATCGCTACAAAAAAATTAGCCAGGCAGGGTGGCACACCCCTGTAATCCCAGCTACTCAGGATGCTGAAGTGAGAGAATCATTTGAGCCTAGGAGTTTGAGGCTGCAGTGGACTGTGATAATGCCACTGCACTCCTGGCTGAGTGACAAAGCGAAAGCTTGTCTCTAAAATAATAATACTATTAATTAAGTTAAAAATAAATAAAATATGTTACATTCAGTTCTAGATGTGTGGTCATAATACTAACTTATATTAATAACAAGAAAGCATTAAAAACATGAGAATGATAAAAAGTATATTACTTAAAATCAACCTTAACATACAAACAGAATGAAATGTTACTATCCACAGCCTTCAGTGGAAGAACTACCGAGTGTTGTATGTCAGCAAAAGTGAATCCAAAAGAAAAAAATTGCAGAGCAGGAAAAAAGAATAATTGTAGCCATCGATAAGTGAGTTTGTAATCTTAGATATTAGTTCTTATATCTATATATCTTTACATGTATTTTTTTCTATACATAGTTATTATATCTATAGATAATATTTCTAGGAATAGATTTTAAAGTGTTTTAGAACAAGGAGGCCTGTCAATGTTGGGTCAGGACAAATTCACCAGTGTGGAGGCAGTAGTGACTGAGAAGTGTTGCCCTGCATATTAAGGAATATAATGGTTGTCAAAGATTTGTGAGTTCCCTGGTGTCCTCACCAATCCCCCAAAAGAAAAAAAAAATAGACCAAAAGCTTCATGTCCAAACCACCAATAGCAAAGACATATGATTCCATAATTGTACATCTATTCCACTAGAGATAGAGAAGAATAAGCTAAGCATTGGAAAGCTGTAAACTTGCTTGCTATTTGTAATTTTATTTGAAATTTCTACTGGAAAAAAGTGTGGATTATTTTCTTGCATTCCTTGTCATCCATTCCCCAAATTTATCTGAGTTTCACTTCAGTGTCATAGTCTCATCTTTCTTCAAAGGACCTGTCAAAATCAGGTTTTAAAACCCACAATTACATTTGTTGAGGAAATATGGTTGAGGCCATTGTGTTTTATGTCATAGATTGTCGCTGATGTAATGTGCACAAAAGAAAAACAAATCAGAAGTTATTCCAGGAAAGCTTAGTGTCCCCCAGAGGAATACAATGTTCTTACTCTATAAGCAAGGACATTATTTATTTTATTACTGCTTTTGTTAACCTTTTTATTTAGGTTGCCAGTAAGCTAAGATTCAAACATGTGACTCAGCCATGGTGTCTTTATCTCCCTCTCTGTCTCTTCAGGTGTGTAACTCCTATTCCAATCTGTGCTTTGTGCCTTGTTTTGCTCTTCATGCATTCATTTTTATTCTTTCTACATAAATTCTTTAAATCATTTGTGACATGAAATTAGGGTAGTGATTAGTTCATTTGCTTCTTAATTCACTTAACCAGAGAGTAGGAGACAAATAAAATTCTTATGTCAAAATGGAGTTTTCTTGAGGAGGAGGAGCTCAAGATGTGATTCAACAGCCTCGGTTGGTAGGACTTTGCAGGTGCCAAAACATCAGAAGCACAGTGAGTTGGTTGTTGTAGCTGCTGCTGGGTGAATCAAGTCAAGAAAACTCTAGATACAGGCAAGACCTGGAGAATCTGAGACATCCTATAAGTGCAGTTGTATACAACATCCAAACAGTGACACATAAAATAATTTTTAATTGAAATATATTTTATCCCCCCCGAATGATTTTTCCTTCCTAACTTTCATTTACTTAAGTTTGGCAATTCTATATCAAATTCTATTCCTTTTTTTTCTCCTCTGTCTCCCCTCCATTGTTCTTTTACAGCATCTCATGCCCTGTTTGGCTTCAACACAATCACCACATCTGCAAGTACAAATATTCTGCTTCCCCACCAGATTATTGCAGTAGCCCTGTAACAAGTCTTTCACCCTTAATCTCCTCCAGCTCGGCTTCACACTATGTATTATTTCCAGGGCCGTCTTTTAAAAAGACAAAACAAACAAACTCCAAATTATTTCCATGAAACTCTGGAGGTTTTCAGCATCAATCCATTGAATCTAGTCAGAATTCTTCACTCTTTCAGTCAAGGCCCTCTCCAGTGAGGCTGTAAATCCCTTTATAACTACATCTGCTACCACTCTTCTTCCCCACACATACTCTTTCTGATACTGATATAGGGGCCTTCTTTCTGTTTCTAAAATAAATTAAACTTGCTCTTGGCCCATCCTACAGCAGATCATTGCGTATTCTCTTTCTTCTCTTAGAAGATTATTCCCTCAGAGATCAGCATAGATCCATCTTTCACATTTTTTTCAGATATGTCCTTAAAATATGTTATCTGAAATATACCTTCCTTACATACTCAATCTTTCCTTCCAGGCTTTAGTTTTCTACAACGTTTGCCACCAACTGATAGGTTATATATTTTTGTATTTGTTTATTTTCTGGGTGCACCCACTGAAACTTTGTGTCCATGGTTCTTCATTATGCTTAATGAATTGAAGTTATTAATGCCATTGTGTCCTGGCTTATTTCTTTCTGTCCCCCTTTATAACATTTATTTCCAGGAAAATCTACATACTCTGTTTGTTCTCATTTAAATAGGCCCTATGCTTTCTTACATCTATACCTTTGTCATATTTTATTTATGGTTTCTTCCACAGGCATAACATATAATTGAAATTATTTGAATTCTTCAAGTCCCATTTCTTTTCAAAAATTTTTCTGATTCTTTCTACCATTGTCACTATATACTTTCATAATTTTCAATAGGCATAAATATTTTCATGACATATCATTTTACTTATTATTTCATAGTGATTTCTGACCTTCCTTTATGCCATTAAGTAGATTATACATTTTGTAGTAACAATGCCAAGTATTAAATTTGGTTATATTTCTTGAAGCTTCTAAGACAAATAATAGGACTAAAAGGAATCTAAGATATTTGGGCATATGTTAGAAACAATATAGCTCTTTAATTGGCAACATTATTTTAAACACTACTAGAATATATTACATTGCTATTTCCATGTTAAACTGAGGATTCATTAAAAGTTGGCTATTTAAAATGTATAAAGCACATATTAATGTGCGCTGAATCTGAGCCAAGGATTGTGAAAAAATATATATGCACATGCTCACAAATTCATAACCTTAGTGGTAGGCAGGATAACGTACCCCCCGCACCACACACACACCTAAAAGGAACCATGTCTAAATTGTAATCCCTGGAGATTCAGAATATGTTATATTACATGGCAAAATGGACTTCAGAGATATAATGAGGGTTATATAGAACTTAAAATAGAGACACAATTCTGGACTACCAGGGTGGGCCCAAACATGAACCCAAAAGAAGAGAATATCCTCCAGCTGGAAGTGGTAGACGTGAGGCAGAAGAAGAGGTCTGAAAGATTTAAAACATAAGAAGAACTCAAGCCACCAAGCTGGCATTGAAGATGAAAGTGGTTGTGATTCAGGAAATTAAAGGAAAAGAACCCTTGGTCTGACAACTGCATGCAACTGAAATCTTCCCACAGCTTGAATGTGTCTGAAAGCAGGTTCATATCTAGAGTCTCCAGAAAGAACGGCAACCTTGCTGGCACCTTGATTTCCGCCTTATTAGACCCTAAGAAGAAGACCCAGCAGATCTATGCTACCCCTGGACTTCTGACCTGCAAAAACGGGCATAATAAATGTGTGGTGTTTTAAGTTGATAATTTTGTGGTAATTTGTTATAGCAGTGACACAACACTAGTACACCCTATAGACCTTACATTCTAATGGAAGAGAGAAAACCATACCACCTACTGAAAGAAAGCAAATAAGTAAAACACAGATAGATGTGAGTAAGTACTATGGAGAAAAAAGAAAGCAGGAAAAAAAAAGGTATAGAGAGTAATGAGTATGGGGAGCGGTCAAGTACAGAGTTCAATTAGAGCAAAGAATGGTGCAGGAGTTAGGGGGAAGCCTACATGAATATTTTGAGGAGGGTTCCCAGAAAATTTGCAGCTGGTGAAAGCCTTGATATAGGAATGCAGCTGGCATATTCAAGAATCTATTCCAAGGCCAGTGTGACTAAAATAACATGAGTGATAGAAAGAGTAGTGGTGTATGAGTTCCAGGAATGGAGAGGAGGCAAATCAGTTTAAACATTTTGGTTTTGACTGTGAGTTTGATTGTGGCAGAGGGTTAAAAGAAAAAGAATGATTTCCACTTTAAGGGCTCACTGTGGATGCTGGGGTCAGAATAATTGAAGGAGAAAAAGAAAAAAGGAGAGATCAGCTGTAAGGTAATTGTGTGATATAGGAAAGAGATAACGGGAGCTAGCAGCAGCCTGGAGGCAGTTGAAGAGGCGAAAGGTGGGGAGATTCTGTAAAAATATCCCTAGTATTTATGGAGAGATGGCATATGCGGTGGGAGAGAATGGAGTCAATGATGACTCTAATATGTCTGGTCTAAGACCCTGGCAAAACTGGCTTTTGATTAACTGAGGTAGGGAGCACTATGGTAAGAGAAGAACTTGTTGGGAGAAGGATTAGGAGCTGACTTTTGGACATGCTGAGTTAGCTATTATTTATTAAAATGGATATTGAATACACAATGAGATATATTAGTGGTATACAATGGAGATGTCAGAGCAGTAGAGAAAGCTTGAGAATCACCAATGTAGGCAGAATACATAAAGTCACTAAATGTGATAAAACATCAATAGAGTGAAAATACATAGAAACGGGAGAGGTTGGTGGGCTGTCCCTTAGAGCAGTTGGGTGTTATGAGGTCAGGATGTGAGGAAGAGTCAACATGAGAGAGCGAGAAAGATTGGCCTAAAGGGTGTGTTTCAATTCAGAAAATGATCAATTGTGCTGATTTTTTTTCTTTCATTTTCATGAGTTTTTAAAATGAATATGTATTATTATTCACATATTTTTAAAAGTAATGCACTCATTTACTTATTACCAAAACCAAATTCAGTAGATAATTTTTTCTTGATTTGAAAATGTTGGACTTATGAAAATGGCATTTGAGTAGTTTACAGAGTAATAATGTACTTGAAAAAAAATCAAAGCCAGGGAAATTTACCTACTTAGAAAAGAGTAAACAATTCCAAATAAGGAAATTTCTCCCCTTAAAAATGACTGTCCATCCTCAGTGACTGACTGCAAGTGTTGAGAATTTTTGTTTTCAGAACCTGAAGCCAATCTCTTCCACATGAGCCCTAGCTCCTTTTAATCCACATGAAGATTCCCAAGCAAGGGAAGAGATGTCATATCATAAGAACAGTATTATGTATGTGGTTAGTGATCAGTTGGTGATTCTGAAAATAATTATTTTGATTGCTGATCTGATTACCTACTTTTTTATGATCCCAAACCACCTTTAATCTAACTAAGCTTAAGTTTTTCTGATCAGTGTTGTCGTCTTGAAAATATCTCATGTAAGAAATTCCATGACTCCACTTTCTCCTGGCTTCACCCCTAAATTTTTGGCTCATTCTACTTGAACAGTGTGTTTTCCAATTTTATTTGTTCTCATTCTAGGTTTACTCTGAAGCATTCGATATTGCTGGTAACAATTTTGTTTTGATTTCATTGATGTTTGACAGCCACATTCATGACAACCATTTCTCTATCTTTTTTCCAAAATGACTGCCTCTTTCTTTTTCTTCTACTGCATTCTGTGAATTCTAATTTCCAAATAGTCTTATTTATATTTGTTTGGATGTTTATTTTTATTGAGAATTACTCCTAAATTACCTACCTCATTTGTGCTTTATTACCTGAAGTACAGTTCACTCTTTAACTACAAATGGGACATTTTAATTGTTTAATTTCTATTGTTTTAAGCTGAACGTTATGCATACCTGATATTATCATGTGCTGTAATATTAAAACACATATTAAAGAAGTACTTGCTGCCATTTCTCTTTCAGTTTCTATCTTTATTACCACAAAAATTATTATTATTTTATGATTATTATGATTATCACTACTTTAGATGGGGATCTCAATGTGTTTCCCAGGCTGGTCTCAAACTCCCAGGCTCAAGAGCCTGCTCCTACCTCTGGAGTAGCTGAGATTACAAGCAAAATCCACAGTACCTGGCTAAAAATCACTGTCCCTGAAGGTATCTTTCAAGTGTATTACATTTTTTTTTTAACACCATGGTAGCTCCAAGAATCTTATGCAATAGTATGGTTGGTCTCTTCTGTTTCCAAGCATTATTTATTTCCAGTTATTTTCTCTTAAAATAGCTGGATATGTTCTCAAATCATGGTTTTAATCATAAAACATTGTTGTTGAGAGACCTGTTGTGGTTTCAGAATATTTATGTTCTTAAATGCAAATACAGCTTACAGTTTTTAAATGTCCCTCACACTCTGGCATGTTCCAAATTTTAAATATTTTCTTTTCGATAAACACCAACACTGAAGTGATAGGGATTTTTATTAAACTCCCAACATGCCATTCGCACAGGGATCTGGAAATCTAAGATCAAGGTGCCTGCATCTGGTGTGGGCCTTCTTACTGTATCCTCACCTGGCAGTAGGTGGGAGAGAGAAAGACCAACTCCCTCAGTCAAGTCCCTTTTTAAGGATGCCTAATCCCATTCATGAGGGAGGACCCCTCATGGCTTCCTCACGTCTTCAAGGTCTCACTTCTTAATACAGTCACAATGGCAACACCTGAATTTTGGAGGGGAAACATTCAAGCCATAGCATTGTGTCTCAGCCTTTATGAATGGGACACATTTTTCTGAAGGTCATGTGGAGGGACCCTAATTAATTCTACATTAGGAGTTTTATGTCCACAAATTACTACTCTCTAAATTAATTTTAAAATATTGGAAACACTGATTTTATTTTGTGAAAGTAAAGTAAGGCATCCAAATTTGTATATTATTATGAATTTTATTTTTCAACGTGCTGAGACTTGTGCAAATAAAGCACATTTTAATTGTTTTATTTTCTTGAAATTTAATTTAAAAGGCTTAGACTCATTTTATAAATCTCTATGAAATAATTTCCTCAATTTTAATGCCATTATTCAGAAGGAAACTTTAATAGAAAATATTGAAATTATTTGACTAGATCAAACATTGAATAGCATAGAGAAAGGCGACCTCTTAATGATGCCTGAATGGGAATGGCATTATCAATAGCTCCTTTAGTTAATCACTGAAGAAAAGCAGAAGTGATAATTCTGCTATTTTTATCATCTTGATACAGATAAGTATCTATTTGGCATGTATAGCTGATCTGAGAAAAAGATAAATACAGAAGAGTAGAAGTTTTTTTCTTGGGAAAGATGACATTTATTCTTGCCATTTGCTGATTCTGAAAATGGATTTGATCAATCAGAGTGATTATTGCCTATGATTCCAAGTTAGTTTACATTTTGTGTTTCAAAGCATGTGATATTTTATACTTTGAGTAGAACCAAACTAATGTTTAGGAAGAAATGAAATATTGAGCTCTAAAATGTTATGCGAACAAAATTTTCAAAGTGATTTTCTCTTTTTGTTCTCTCTCTCTCACACACACATGCACATCTCATGTCATTATCACAAAAAGGACACAAATTATACCCATAGATGATCTCACGTTTGGGATCGATATCATGCCTTGATTTTGTGTCAGATGAAGTCAGTTTTTACCTCATTAATCATAGATTGTAGAGTACTTTTAAAATAGTGTACTTTTTTTTCATTTAAGTGCCTCAATTTTCTAAAGCAAATCATTTGAAACATTTCAAAATCCCTATGAGAGACAGATTTAGCAATTGAGATAATGACAGTGAGTATACAGAAATCCCTTCCTAAGTTATTCCTTTTAAGTATCTGTAATAGAAATGATGTCACTGCCCTAGTACAGATAAAATGTGCATAGCAGATTTTGAGCAACAAAACCATGGAAGAAATTAATTAAGTATCAATAGAGAATTGCGAGATCTTAAGGTCTCAAAGTATATGAATCTATCTATATAAATCTACCTCAGCATTTCTATAGCTGATGAATAGAAACAGGAATAAAATACAGCACAGCAACCTGTGCTAAGAGTAATGACTTTAAAATGGGTTTCAGAAAGAATATTATCTTTTTGTGGTACTTGAAAATTTTCAGGAGTGATATTCATTCTATTCAAATGTTTTGCAATTGCTTTGACTGACACAAGGCAAAGCATGAGAAGTGAATTTATCTTTAGTTTCATCATTTATTTTAATTTTTCGTTTTTAAATGGCCTTTCATTAATTTTCCTCTCCTTCTATCCATTGTATAATTTTAGAATTTCAAATTACACTAATAATATTTGACCAGACATCAACGATAGAGGGGCCCTGTTCCTCAGTTCTTTTATGTTTCTTGTAGCTGCTTTGGTATGTATGAAAACCTAAGTAATAATTCCCAAGACATTGTTTCTGAACTCAGGTTCTGGCTCTGTTCCTCTCTTACAGCTTTTATCTGGTGCGTACCTCAAGTGATAACAAATTCTGGCATTAATTATATTCTATCACTTAAACATACTTACAGTGATCATGGAGAAATCATGCTCCAATAACATTGAAGCTTATAATTAAGTTAAAGTATAAATGTGTATTCTATTAGAGATTGGAAACTAAAACAGAAAAAAAGGCTTTTAAAACCCTCGCTGGCTTGCTGGATTGCCTGCAAAACAAATTCATTCTCTCTGTTTAAATAAAGTTGGATTTTACTTTCACCATCATTTTCTGGTGCAGCAGCTGAGACTTTGGAAATTGACAGTTTTCGTTCACAACTACATTTACCTTTTTACTCTGCGACCTTTGACATATTACATTTTTGCTCACTATAATAAGTCCATTTAATACCTCATTAGGTTGTTTTGAGAAGCATTAGATTTATTTAATCCTTGTTGTCATGGCATATAAAAATGGAATTGCTAAGTTGTAATAATTTTTAACACATAAATGAGAGTGATTTTAGTATAAAAATTGTAGCAAATTAACATTCAGTGAAATACTTTACATATTTTCTTTCAGAAACTAACAACTTCAGACAATGGGGTTTTAGAAATCCTTTTATAAATTTGGAACAAACCATGAAAACCCCCAACATGTAGAAAAATAATATAAGACATGCTACTAAACATCAAATAAAATACTCTTACATTCCTTTTGTATCAGCTACAATCCAGTCCACAAAGCTTGGTGCTATGATGTGGTTGTATTCCATAATAAACTCAAACTCTATTGAATTAATCTAGGACAAGACAATAAGTATAAGTTATTGTAGAATATAAACTCACTAATGAACCACAGCAGTAACAGGACATTTCAAACAGGTAAAAGTGATCTGCAGTAGAAACATATCAAAATACTTGGTAGGAGTCAAAAGAAAAAAATAAGAACATGGCAACAATAAAATAGCTCACATCAAGTACTGTTTCTTTTCCTCCAGGATAATATGTCCACCTTTTTATTTGCTTTAAAATCATATTATTTAAACTGAGAAAAGTTGAAGTTTGTGCTTAATACATGCACAGCAGGTGCCACACATGTTGTCTTTCCTACTGTCCCGTATAACGTTGGCATATATAAATGCAGTAGCTTTGATGTGTTCTATATTAGACATGTTTGTTTTTGTTTAGACTAGACACAGCAGAGAAACATTCAAACTAGTTTGTTATGGGAAACATTACATTTTGCATTATAATTGTAGCTTAATAATATGATATTTCTGCCCCAATTATTATGAAATACACTAACATACCTAAAGACTGTAACTTACGTCAGATAAGAAGATATGTTAATATACAAAGCTTTTAATGTGTAACATAAATATATGTCACATAAAAGCATCAGATGGTAGCAAAAAATGCTCTAGACTACAAATAGTACCAGAAAAACTGGATATCCTCATGCAAAAGAATGACGCGAGATCCTTACTTCATACTGTAAACAAAAATTAATTCCAAATGAATCATAGACCTAAATATAAGAGCTAAAACTATGAAACTCTTAGAAGAAAATATGAGAGTAAAACTTTGTCACCGAAAATTAAACAAACACAATTGACAAAAAAATCAATTAAAATTAAAAGTTTTATGTTGCAGAGAACATCAATAAAGTGAAAAGAAACAGACCATACAGTGCAAGAAAATATTTGCAAATGATATATTTGATAGGAGACTTGAATCCAGAATATACAAGTAATATATTAAGAACAATGCAAAAAAAATTTAAATGTAGTTTAAGAATATGCAAAAGACTTGAATAGGCAATGGGATTTGAATATATATCCCAAAATAAACATATGCCCAAACACAAATTAATACATGAATGTTTATAGCTATACTATTCATAATAGCCAGAAACTTGAACAAAAACAAATGTCCCTGAAGTAATTACTGGAGAGACAAGAGGTATCATACTCATGCAATAGAAAATCATCCAGCAAAAAAGGAATGAAATACATTCTACACCATGAAAGAACCTTGAAAACATCATGCCAAGTGAAAGAAGCCAGTCACGTAAGTTTACATATTGCATCATTCTATTTATATAAAATGTTCATACTAGGTAATTCTATAGGAACAGAAAGTTGATTAGTGGTTTCCAGGGTCTGGGTCAAGAGAAGGGGAGAGATCAAGAGTGACTCCTCGTAAGTATGGGTTTGTATTTTTTAGCGTTAAGAACATATTCTATAATCTGATATTGATGATTGCACATTTGGGTGATATACTAAACACCACCAGGATATACATTTAAACTAGTAAATTGTATAGTATGAAAATTATATTTCAGTGAAACTGTTACTAAAAATCATGTCTAAGCCAGAGATCACCAACCCTTTAAAATAAATGACCATAAAGTAGATATTTTAGGCTGTGTGGGCTACATATGGTGTCTATTACATATTTTTCTCTTCTCTTTTATTTTTTACATATCAAAACAGTGTAAAAATCATTCTTTGCTTGGTAAACATATTAAAACAGGCTGTAGGCTAGATTTGGCCTGCAGGCTATAGTTATTCTACTCTTGATTTTTTAGACAATTGATTTTCAAACATTGTTGGGCACGAGAATCCCCAGATACCTAATAACTTAAAAGTACAGTTGCTGGAAGCTTACCCAGATATTCTTAACTAAGATGTGAAAAGATAGCCCTTGAGGGATCTTTATTTTAACACTATTTCTATAGAGTTCTTAAACACACATACAAAAAGAAGACTAGGAAAAAATTAATCTAGTACAATTATTACATTTATTATATTTCCGAGGGTTCATCTCTTTTAAGTCCTGTCCAAGATTCCTTTCTTAACTAATGATACAAGGGATGTTAGAATTATGTCCTCCTATATGCTGTCCATATCACTTAATAGAAAGTGTTTGATATTTGTATTACAATATGTCAGTATATTTAAGTGCCTTTACTATTTTCCCTATTTTTAGTGAAAAATCACACTTTTCTGATTTTTTTTGCCATTATATTAGCATTCTTCAAAACAGGAACTGGAGTTAGTAATATGAGGTATTGCAAATTTGTTTAGAAAATGTGAAATACTGTGTTTTCAACTGTATATTTTCAATACCCGTTAGCAAGTTAGGATATTTTGTCTTTCTTGTGGAGAAAAATCTACTTAACTTTAACACAGAGTTTTCTACATTTCTGCACCCCCCGACCCCAACTGCCCTGGCCAGCTAAGGGCATCTCACTTTTTAAACACTTTTTAGTGAGTTTCTAAGTCATATACTTTGAGAACTCTTTTATTAAGTTTTTTTATTAGTGATTTTCTATGCTAATCTATCTGTCGTTAGCAAGTATGGATGCTAGTAAGACAAAAGTTGTTACTTAGTATTAATAAAAGTGTGTGCTGAAAAGAAGAGATTAGTAGGGGAAAAGCACATTCATAAAAAATTAAAATATGAATATTAAAACTCTAAGGCCAGATCCAATTCATTTGTATCTCAATAGGAATCTATGAATTTAAGAGGAAACTAAATGTTTTCTGCATCACTGAATAAGGACAGTTTCTACAACAAGACAATAATATGGAACTGAAATCTTAGTATATCTCATCTTATTAAAACACAATCAGTGAAATTCTCTCAGGGATACTTCCTTATAAAGTGTGTTACTGCTTGAATACTTCCAATTTCATATAAAAATAATACAGAAATTATATCTAAATTTGGAACAATGCAAACCATGAAATAAACTGGACAGTGCTATGAAACTTAAACATATAAGTAACCGTTAGGATTTTTGGAGGCCAGATTTGAATTTTCAGTAACTCTAAACTAGTAAGGAACATAGTTAAAAAATGTATTTTGAAACACAGAAAATAGAGATATGTATCTGTCCTAATGTTATGGTGCCATTTATTGACTTTTTTCCACGTTTGTAGTATAGCAAGTTTTTTTATATTAGTAAAGATAACTATTTCAAATGAAGTGTTTTGCCACATATAATTCACTAGTGTTACTCAATATAATATAGTTGATCTAAAGGTACTTTAAAAGTTCACACAGCTAGCACAGTGATGCATGTCTGTAATCTCAGGTACTGGAGAGGCTGAGATGGGAGGGTAACTTGAGCTCAGGAGTTTGAGGCCAGCCTGAGCAAATAGTGAAACCCTGTCTCTAAAAAATAAATAAGCTCCATGTAGAAATAGAAACCCTGATAACACATATTATTTCAAATTTGTAACCATAATTACTCATTCTGTAGTAAATAATTTCACTACTGAAGTAGTGAAATGGATATCATATATTCTTAGATAGTTTAGATTGAAAAGATCCCTTTCTGTAGTTGAGGTTATTGAAGACTTAGAAATTTTTATAACCTGTTGTCATACTTACTTAAGGGATTATATACCCTACAGAAATTTTGAAGATGAAATTTCTTCTCCTTTCTTTACTAGTTATCATAGTCACCTACTGTTTCATCAAGAGTTGGAAATACAACAGATTTATAGGAATCATATCTGACTTATTATTTACCACAGTATGTAGCATACAATTTGCTCCATAAATATGATTTATATAGTTTCTTACAATATGGCAAAGTAACATGGACTGCTGGCTTCTTCTTCATAATCTAAGTCTGCAAAATCAAAATAGGGGCAAGGACCTGAAAAAATAGTTAAAATATTGCTTGTGATGTTCTCTTACTAGTTAATACAATTGGCACCAGGCTTGTGGTTGGGTGGGTCTCAAAGGCTCTGCATATTACCAGTTAATAACTCCACGGTAAGATGACTTATTTGAGGAACATTACCAGACATGTAAGTATGCTATTTGTAAGATATAGATAAAATTAACAAACCAGACAATAAAGATAAAAAGTCTTTTCTTGTAAATTTGTTTTTTTTTCTTGTAAATTTGTTTGAGTTCATTGTAGATTGTGGATATTAGCCCTTTGTCAGATGAGTAGATTGCAAAAATTTTCTCCCATTCTGTAGGTTGCCTGTTCACTCTGATGGCAGTTTCTTTTGCTATGCAGAAGCTCTTTAGTTTAATTAGATCCCATTTGTCAATTTTGGCTTTTGTTGCCATTGCTTTTGGTGTTTTAGACATGAAGTCCTTGCCCATGCCTATGTCCTGAATGGTATTGCCTAGGTTTTCTTCTAGGATTTTTATGGCTTTAGGTCTAGCATTTAAGTCTTTAATCCATCTTGAATTAATTTTTGTACAAGGTGTAAGGAAGGGATCCAGTTTCAGCTTTTTACATATGGCTAGCCAGTTTTCCCAGCACCATTTGTTAAATAGGGAATCCTTTCCCCATTTCTTGTTTTTGTCAGGTTTGTCAAAGATCAGATAGTTGTAGATATGCAGCATTATTTCTGAGGGCTCTGTTCTGTTCCATTGGTCTGTATCTCTGTTTTGGTACCAGTACCATGCTGTTTTGGTTACTGTAGCCTTGTAGTATAGTTTGAAGTCAGGTAGTGTGATGCCTCCTCAAAAAGTGGGCGAAGGATATGAACAGACACTTCTCCAAAGAAGACATTTATGTAGCCAAAAGACACATGAAAAAATGCTCATCATCACTGGCCATCAGAGAAATGCAAATCAAAACCACAGTGAGATACCATCTCACACCAGTTAGAATGGTGATCATTAAAAAGTCAGGAGACAACGGGTGCTGGAGAGGATGTGGAGAAATAGGAACACTTTTACATTGTTGGTGGGACTGTAAACTAGTTCAACCATTGTGGAAGTCAGTGTGGCAATTCCTCAGGGATCTAGAACTAGAAATACCATTTGACCCAGCCATCCCATTACTGGGTATATACCCAAAGGATTACAAATCATGTTGCTATAAAGACACATGCACACGTAGGTTTATTGCGGCAGTATTCACAATAGTAAAGACTTGGAACCGACCCAAATGTCCAACAATGATAGACTGGATTAAGAAAATGTGGCACATATACACCACGGAATACTATGCAGCCATAAAAAATGATGAGTTCATGTCCTTTGTAGGGGCATGGATGAAGCTAGAAACCATCATTCTCAGCAAACTACCGCAAGGACAAAATACCAAACACCGCACGTTCTCACTCATAGGTGGGAATTGAACAGTGAGAACTCATGGACACAGGAAGGGGAACATCACACACCAGGGCCTGTTGTGGGGTGGGAGGAGGGGGGAGGGATAGCATTGGGAGACATACCTAATGTTAAATGACGAATTAATGGGTGCAGCACACCAACATGGCACATGTGTACATATGTAACAAACCTGCACGTTGCGCACACGTATCCTAAAACTTAAAGTATAATTTAAAAAAAAATAGAAAGTCATCATAACTTAAAGCATTCCAAGATATATAAATAATGTAAAGCACAAAGGGATTTGTAAAGGAAAGCCAATTGAGATACTACACGTGAGAAATATGTTATAATAAAAATACAATAGTTGAGGTAAATGACAAAATGAATTTAGCCAAAGAGCATTTCTTTTCTTTTTTTTTTTTTTTTGAGACGGCGTCTCGCTCTGTTGCCCAGGCCGGACTGCGGACTGCAGTGGCGCAATCTCGGCTCACTGCAAGCTCCGCTTCCCGGGTTCACGCCATTCTCCTGCCTCAGCCTCCCCAGTAGCTGGGACTACAGGCGCCCGCCACCGCGCCCGGCTAATTTTTTGTATTTTTAGTAGAGACGGGGTTTCACCTTGTTAGCCAGGATGGTCTCGATCTCCTGACCTCATGATCCACCCGCCTCGGCCTCCCAAAGTGCTGGGATTACAGGCGTGAGCCACCGCGCCCGGCCCAAAGAGCATTTCTCTAACTCTTCCTGTATTTATTAATTAAGTATACTAAAAAAAAAAATTAAAATTAAGCAACTTACTATATAATTTAGAAATCAAACTAATCACTATGGTCTGAATGTTTGTATCACCCCAGAATTCATACTTTGAATTCCTAACCTTTAAGGTGATTTTATTAGCTAGAGGGGACTTTGGGGGATAGTTAGCCTGACAGCAGAGTCCTTATGAACGTGATCAGTGCCCTTTTAAGAAGAGAGCTCAGGGAGATCTCTCACCCTTTCTGACATGTGAAGATGCAGTGAAAAGATGGCTGTCTGTGAACCAGGAAGTGAGCCCTCATCATCACCCAGTTTGTCAGTGCCTTGATCTTAGAATTTCCAGCCTCAAGAATTGTGAGACATATATTTATGTTGTTTATAATCCATCCAGTTTATGATACATTGTTATATAAGGCTGAATGTACTAAGACAGCCTATAGTCAAAAAAATGCAAAATTGTGTTTGTTTATAGGGTGTAGGAAATGACTGACAAGGACATAAGTGTATTTTCAGGTAAGAGAAATTTTCTGTATCTTAATTACGATTGTGGATACATAGGTGAACATATTTCCTTCAACTCATTTAATTATAAACTTCAGATTTGTATGTTTGCTCTATGTGTATTTTAACTTGATACAATACAAATTAAAAACTCAAAACAAAATAGATAAATTAATGAGGTAATTAGAGAAATGAGAGATAAAATTGAATACAATATACATTATTTTCAAGAGAAAAGTAAATGAAAAATATGAAGGTGATCTTATAAGGAATGACAAATTGTAAGAAATCATAACAAGTCTACCTGGACTTACGAAAGAGTGGGAAAATGAGACAGAGGCATCATTAGAAGAAAAAAATGATGAAGAATGTTTAAAAATTTCAATTCAAATACATAAGAATACCTATAAATCCTGATCAGGGTAATCAAAGTAAAACATGTAAGGTAAAATTTTAGAAAACCTAAAGCCTATATTAAGTTTTAGAAAGAATATAAAGAAGAATATAAAAGTGTGAAAAAGGAAACAATAATTTACCTTTAATGATAAATTATACTAATATTTCAAAACAAAAATAAAATTAGAAAAATGGAATTTTTTCTTCTGTAATAAAATTACATAAATGTCTAGCTAGAATTCTGTACCCAGTGCAAATATATCTTAAGAATATTAGCTAGACATTTTTACCAAAGGAAAACAGGAATAATTTTCTCTTAGCAAAATCTCATTAAATAGAAATGAATTAAATAAATAAATACATAACATTTAAAAAATAAAATTATTTCATATGGAAGGTCAGATTGAAGAATAAATAATAGAAAAAAATATACAGGATGATGTAATGATTTTTAAATGACACTAATAATGATTTTGATATTAAAAATAAATTGAAATTAAAACATACAGCAAAAAAATACTATATGCATTAACAAGGGGTGAGTGAGATTAAAGTACTTTACTATTTTTTGTTAATCAGAAAATTAGTGGAATACTAGCAGATCCAAAGCCACTTATTCACAAATATCAAAATAAGTGAACTCTAAAAACACGTATTTTCAACAAAATTAGTGCCACCTCATTTGGTGTAAAATCCTGAGCTAAACTGATATGAAGCTAATAATAATGTGTATCTATCTAATATAGCTGAATTGCTAGAGATTTCACTAGATATTAATAGATTTTAGAATTTTATATCTTACTCAAGAGGTTAGAACTGTTAGAGTTAAGCTGATGCTCACCAATGTTGTTTTTGTTTTCCTTATGAAGCTGGGTGACTTTTCCACTCCTAGAATTGGCCATAGAATTGGGCTTACCACAGCAGACAAACTATGCTGGAGGAAGGAAAAAACAAAAAGCAATGATGCTTTTTAAATAATCAAAATGTTACAACTTGAGGAGCATCATCCACATGCCTAGATATCACCAGAAAATATTTTCTGAATCTTGGGACTGCTCAGAGGCTAAAGACCTAGAAAGAGCCTTTCTAAAGGTGGAGTAAAATTTCCTCCATTGTGCTCAAGGAATAAAGCAGTGGTTTCACCTACAGATATATGCCAATATTTATTCTGCACTGGCTTAAGAGATTAGACATATCAACTAGAAAAATATCAAAGGATAGCAATGATGTTCTGTAGTCTTTCAGGGATGAGCTTGCAAACATCAGATAACCTCTCTCAATCAAAAGCCCAGAAGCCTATGCTTAAGGAATAGGAATGAAGCAGAGTATACCAAGTATTCCTCAAATTTTAGTCTAGTACTGATCCAACTATATCCATGTTTGGAGAGAAATGATCATACTCTCACTCTATCTGCATGACAGAGGAAAAAAATAGCCTTTTCTAGTGAAAGAAAATATTTAAAGTCTCTACAGTATAAAATTTAGAGTTCCATAAAATTACTAGAAACTCAAATAGACCAAAATATGACAGAAAATTTTGAGAAAAATAATACTAGGAGCTGTGAAAATTGTCAAGAAATTGGAATAGCAAGAAAAAACTGACTATAACTGTGCCAAATATGGTGAAAATATAGATAATGACTAGTGGCTAAAATAGACAAAAGAAAGGAGAATTTTTCCAGAAATTTAAGCCATATTATAGAATGGAAAAATACAATATCTGAAATTAGCTAGTGTATAGAATTAACTGTAAGTGGGCACATAAAAAATATAAATTAACAAGCTAAAAATTTCCCAACCTAAAGAAGCAAGAGAAAAAATATAATAGAAAAAAAACAGATAATGATGAAAGAGCATTCAAAAAGGTAATAGATGAGAAAAACAATTGATTCAGGGTCAGTAAACATACTATAGAATGAATTATTTAAAAAAAAAAAACACTTAAATTTTCTCAAAGAGTTTTCAGTGAGCCAAGATTGCACCACTGCACTCCAGCCTGAGCAGCAGAATGAGACCCTGTCAAAGAAACAAAAAATTAATGAAAATCAAAGTTTTGGCAGGGCGTGGTGGCTCACGCCTGTAATCCCAGCACTTTGGGAGCCCTAGGAGGATGGATTACCTGAAGTCACGAGTTTGAGACCAGCCTGGCCAACATGAGGAAACCCCATCTCTACTAAAAATACAAAAATTAACCAGGCATGGTGTTGCATGCCTGTAATCCCAGCTACTCAGGAGGCTGAGGCAGGAGAATTGCTTGAACCTAGGGGGCGGCGGCTGCAGTGAGTTGAGATTGTGCCACTGCACTCCAGCCTGAGTGACAGAGTGAGACTGTCTCAAAAAAAAGGAAAAGAAAATCAAAGTGTTTTTTTCTTTTTTTTTTTAATCATAAAAATAGCTAAGAGAAAATATGTGTTTTCACTGATGGCTGACTTCTTAAGAGAAACTGTGCAGACAAGACACAATGGAAAGTGTTCTTTTTCTTTCCCCTACCAACTTTTATTTTAGGTTCAGGAGGTACATGTGCAGGTTTGTTACAGGTTTGTTACATTAGTAAATTGTGTGTCATGGGGTTTGGTGTTCATATTATTCCATCATCCAGCTAATGAACACAGTACCTGATAGTAGTTTTTCATTCCTCACCCTCCTCCCACCCTCCACACTTATGTATGGCCCAGTGTCTACTGTTACCTTCTTAATGTGCATGTGTACTCAATGTTTAGCTCCCCCTTATAAGGGAGAATACACAGTGTTTGGTTTTCTCTTCCTGCATTAATTTGCTCTGGATAATGACCTCCAACTGCATCCATGTTGCTGAAAAGAACATGATTTTGTTCCTTTTTATTGCTCTGTAGCATTCCATGGTGTATATGTGCCACAGTTTCTTTATCCAGTCCACCATTGATGGGCATCTAGATTGATTCCAGGTCTTCGTTATTGTGAATAGCGCTGCAATAAATATACGTGCACATGTGTCTTTGTGGCAGAACAAATTATATTACTTTGGGTATATACCCAGTAATTATCTTGCTGAGTCAAGTGGTAGTTCTGTTTTTAATTTCTTTGAGAAATCTCCAAACTGCTTTCCACCGTGAATGAACTAACTTACCTTCCCACCAACAGCATATAAGCATTTCATTTTATCTACAGCCACGCCAGCATCTGTTATTTTTTGAGTTTTTAATAATAACCATTCTGCTGGTGTGAGATGGTACCTTGTGGTATTGATTTGCATTTATGTAATGATTAGTGATACTGAGAATTTTTTTCATATGCTTGTTGGCCACTTGTATGTCTTCTTTTGAAAAGTGTCTGTTCATGTTCTTTTCTATGTTTAATGGGCATTTTAATATTTTTAATGTTTAATTCTTGCTTGTTAATTTATGTTTCCTATAGTTTGTGGATATTAGACTTTATCAGGTGCATAGTTTGCAAATATTTTCCCTAATTTGTAGGATTTTTACTCCCTTGATAGTTTCTTTTGCTGTGCAGAAGTCCGTTAGTTTAATTAGGTCCCAATTTTGTTTATGTTTGCAATTTCTTTTGGCATCTTCATCACAAAATCTTTCCCAGAATCTATGTCTAGAGTGGCATTTTGTAGGTTTTCTTTAAGGTTTTGTATAGATTTGGGATTTACATTTAAGAGATAATGGAAAATATTTTTAAACATCAGTAGTGGAAAAAAGGCGCATTTAAAGTTGCTGCAGATATTTTAAAGATAAATGATACTTTAAAATTGTATGCCAATAAATGTAATAAGCCCTTCAGATCAAAAAGAAAAAGAATGCATTAGAACACAAAAAATGAAAAGTACAAAAATACAATAATTGATAAACTAAGTATTTATGATTATTAACATCTTAACATGTGTTACATAAAGAGACAGCAAAATTTAAAAGACCAACTACAACTTGAGGGAAAATATATCCAACTATTATACCACATAAATAACTACTAACAAAAGAAACTCATACAGTTGATAGAATAGATAGAATACCACAAGAATAAAATAAGCTAAAAATTGGAACAGACGTGACAAAACAGATCACATAAATGGTCCATAAATGTATAAAAACTTTTCCAAATGTTTTAATGACCAGGGAACTGATACTTAAGACCACATTCATTAGATTATAAGAAAAAATGCAAAAGTTAAAAAAATAAAAATGGATCAGTCTAGGTTTTTGTAAATAGTTTGAATTTTGGAATTCTCATCTGCTGGGAATAAGAATTGGTACTATCATTTTGGATTGTCTGGCATATTATAACCATCTCATATCTCATCACTCTGCAATTAAACTATAGGACAATACATGTAAACTTTGGTAAATGCTATATTGAAAAGCATTCACATATGCTCATGGACATGCATTGTTTATAAAACCATAAAAAGTGAAAACAGCTCATATGCCACAAAATAGAAATTACTAAAATAAGAGATATAAATGCATTGTTATATTCTAACCCTCCAAACTTTGAGTAGGTGCTGAATGAATGGGATAAGAAAGCTTTTCATATATCTTGCGGAAAAGCCTTCCAAGCAGAAGGATTAAGTGAAATAAAGACACAAATGAGTGACTACATTGAGTAAATCAGAAGATCTAGAAGTGGTCACAGAATTTCAGCAGAGTGTGAGGAATAAAACAGTGGAAGAGAAGGTCACAGTGGTAGTGAGGGAGAGAAATTTCATATAAATCTATGTTGCTTATTTTGAGAAGAGAATTCACTGTATAATTTTGAGCAGGAGTGTGACATTATCTGGCAAGTTTTAACAGAATCATTTCAAAACAAAATTATAATAGGAGAAAGGATGTAAATGTGTTTTCAAGAAAAGTATTTCTGCAGAATTGGAGTAATCCTATTGAGTCATAACAGTCAGAACAGGATGATCTCTTACAACAGAGAAGTTGTAAAAATGGCTGAATTATGAATATAATTAATAAATGAAGATGCAATACAAAGAATTATGATGGTTCAATATATTTGAGATGCATGATGATTCTATTTTCTGAAACAAATTCTAGCAATATCAAGGACATAACATTTGTACATTTCTTGCACACATATTAATCTGCTCTGTATTTTCTTGGTCAGGAAAACCTCATTCAAGCAGAGAATGAGGAGTCCCACCTCTTTCTATATTATGGCTCTTCCTTTTCTGCATGTGGCTTCCAAGTTTGACCTAGGATGATCTCCATCCCAGCCACAAGAGCAGAAAGGAATAAGGAGGACTGCAAGTAGTGTTTATTTACAGGCTAGGACTTACAGTGATACACATCACTCCTGTACACATTCTAGTGGCTAGAATTAGTAACATGGTCTCAGTTACCACGGTGGAAATTGTGGTGTATTTTCTGCAAGAGGAAATGGTTTAGTCAGATGGCCAGTTTCTACTACAGCTTAAGTAACTGACTGAATGCAAGTGTAATTTACCAAGAAGAAGAATGCCAAAGGAGTTGGTTACTGTGAGAAAAAAAATTAGGACTTTCATTTTGAACAGGTAAAGCTTGAGAAACCTATTAGATGTCCAAGGGGACTTTTTGAAAAGGCACTTGATGCATATGTCTTCAGTTAAGGAGGAAAGCTAGGCAGCTTATAAAATTGAGGAGAAACTAGCATCCAAATGATACTTAAAATAATCTACCCAAGAAACATTGGAAGGGATGAAGACTGAAGATGGCTCCGTGTTATGCTCCAATGTTTGAATCCTGAGAAATGAGGGTAAATCAACAAACAAATCTGTGATAGTAAAGGGTTGGTGGGGTCATTCACAATTTTTTTGTTATTCTTTTACATCTTGTTGGTCAAACAGGAAGTACAATCATCAGTTGAGAACAAGGCTCAAGGTGGAGGCATTTGAAAAGGAAAGAGGAGCGTATAGGGGAATGGAAGGGTAAATGGGCTTGCAGAAATACAGTAAAATTAACAAGAATAGTTGATGCCAATCAATTAGCAGGGGCATAATTGGTGTTATAATTTCTAGATTCAAAATAAGGCTACTCAACAAGTTTTTAGATTTTATTCACCCACATTTATCTGCCCTGCTGTGGACATGAATTGGGATTTTTCAAGCCTGCATCATTAAAAGAGTGATTTGTGACAAGATAGTTGTACTGTTATGTAAAGTCTCAGAATTATGAAATATGGGATCCAAACTGGTGAGTGGAAAATTCAGATGTTGAAGGAACTGTTGCATAAAACATTAAGTTAATAGGATTGGTAAATTTAAAACTTCACTGCTATACATAGAAGATGATGAGTAAATGAAGAGTTTTAATTCTTTACTGATGAGATGATTTAGCAATATAATTTTTTATTTTTTCCGTATTGATCAACGTATGAAATGCAATAATGTATGTATATTCAAACTATTTACCAAAATCCTAGATTCTTGCAATGGCAGAATATTCATAAGAATTGACATAATTTGCAAATGCACCTGTAGTGCAAATATATTATTTTCCTTACAACACAACTGCGTTAGATTTATTGTTTTGTCCTTCTCTAACTTTAAAAATAAATAAAAATTTAACATGTTTCAAAAGATTTCCTAAGATTCTCTTGAGCTGTTATTCTATTATCTCTTATGTGTTTTTAAAATATAGCACTTTTCCTTTAACATTTCATTTAATAATGAGAAAGAGTCTGGAGCACAGAGTGAGAGAAGTATATCTTGTGAACTCATATTTAAAATCAAATTTCTTTAAATCTTTAGTTTTTATACTGTAACAATTTCCTGCAAAACATTGGATTTAATATGAATTTAACAAATCAGTAAATTTGTGCACACGGATGTAGATTGTATTCCTAGTAGTTTTAAACTGCTGCCATCAATAGAAATATATATTCTTAACAAAGCACAAACTTTTTTCTTCTATACAGTAAGTAAAATTTTAACCATATTTACATAGGTAGATTTACAGTTTATATGTATTTACAGTGATTTATATATATATATATATATATATTCTGGTGTGTGTGTTTTTGCTTAGAATTACCCTAAATAATGAAAGTTAACTGGCATTTTTCTTTTCCACTTTCAAACAGCTTTTTGTCTTGTCTTGAACTTGAATTTAGAAATGGCAGAATCTCAATAAAGGTAGAGGGTAATTTCCCGCAAGACCTGGCTAATTTATAGCTTTCAACACACCAATGACCCTTGCAATTTGGCAGTTGCTTCATTAATTCCTCTACACCTGCTCCATTTATCTTATTAGAAAAAAGACAGATAAAAGGCACAAGTCTCTTTCACTGCAGCCATTGTGAAAAACAGTTCTTCTTGTCTTTCTGAAGTAAATTGTAACCAGCCTTATGAAGAACAAAAAGACAGTAGTGTCAGATGGATGTTACCAGTTTGTCACTGAGATGGAGAAGCCTTTGAAAGGCCACATAGTTCTTGGAAGAACTTTTTTCTAGCCTTTGAAATGTTATGCCTTTCCAGAAAGACTGTAGTTCTCAACAGGGACTGCCATTTCATTCACACAATTTTAGAATTAAAAAAAATTTTAAAAATAGAGATTTTTAAATAATATTTTCTCATACATAATAATAAATTGTATAGGCACCTTGATGATTATCTATATGTCTATCTATCTATCTAAAATAGGTAACCTAAACATAGTTTTAGACTACCTATATTTTATATATCTATAATACCAAGCAATTTATTTCCATAAAATATTAGCTGCAATTTTAGTACTTGTAGTAGGATGAAAAACATACTTTCTACCAATAAGGGATTAGATTAATTAAAAACAAAACATTTTTCTGTCGAATTTAGTAAATAATTTATTTAGCTAGTTGACTGTGCAAACATTTTTTTCCTTATGGTATTTTTTTGTAGTTATTTCTATCTTCATAGACTGTAGATTCCAAGAAAATAAATTTGCAATTTGTGCTTTTGATCCTCTTTTATGAAAAACAGCTTGAATTATTGGTGTCTAGTAGTCGAGAAGGGCATTTTGAAAAATAATTAAAATATTTATAAAACTGCACTTTAAAAACTTTCACAAATTTGCATTTATTGTCATATATTAAAAGTGGATAAAAACTTAACTCATATATACATTTCCTCTCTGATATTCTTATTTATTTAGTATAGATCATTGAGAATTGGTGATCATTACAGACTGTGAGTAGCTAATTCTTTGATAAGGTTTCCATGCCAGTGTTGCCAGGAAAAAAAAAAGTTTAACTTACAAAGAAGCTATTTGCTTTCTTGTGTTACCAGAATATAGTATGCATCAAGCTCACAAACTCATTCCATTGCTATCAGCAGAGACTGAATAAGGAAATTTCAGTAAGTCACTTCGCATCCATAATCATTAAAACAGGAACAATTAAGAACACATCCTCCAAATTGATACACCATTGAGATTTTTGTATATTTTAGTCTATATTAGTCAGTTATAAGCATCATAAAAATATAAATAACATGTTTCAGATGCTACTAAGTATTGCTTATGAGATTTTAAAAATAATTCATAAGTTTTAGTAAATAACAAAGGAAAAGTTTTAAACATAATATATATGCATGTCAATAATGCATTACTCTACTGTCTATTAATACAATTTCCTAATTTAAATTAAAATACACTATTAATTGTGGTGGATATCAACAGAAATAGAAACAAAGACAGAATACGTCTTTCATATGCAAAGTATAATAAGACATTGATACAACTATTGGCAAGATAGTGTTTCATTTTATGATTTAGATAAATCATTTTATTATTAAGGAAATTGTAATTTATATAAATGGAAACTGGTTGATGGGAAAATTGTCTTTCTGTGTGAGACTAGATGCTTTTTCAGAAATAATTACCATCAAATGATTGCTTTTGAAATAATTAAAATTTCAAATAGTTATTTCCAAACGTATGGAGGTTCTATTAAAATGTTCATAAAATACTTTTTGCCACTATAAAGTATGTAGTTAGGCCAAGAAATTCCATTGGCCTAATATTATGTCTAGAGGTTACTTTAGGTGTAGTGATTGTATAAAGAGAAATAATATCCAAAACAAATAGCTGAACTAGTGGACAGGAATGAAGACTAGAATCTTGAATTTAAAACAAGGGTGAGACTCTTGGCGGATAAGTTATCTATTGCTGTATAATAAATTATCCTACAATTTAATGGCTTGATGTCTAGAAGACATAGCGCATTGACAATTCTCTCTCAATTCTATTTTTTTTTTTTTTTTTGAGACCAAGTCTCACTCTGTCGCCCAGGGTGGAGTGCAGTGGTGGAATCTCGGCTCGCTGCAACCTCCACCTACCTGGTTCAAGGGATTCTCCTGCCTCAGCCTCCCGAGTAAGGGGGACTACAGATGCACGACACCATGCCTGGCTAATAGTTGTTTTTAAAATTGACTTAACACTTTTGGAAACTTTATGTTTCCATGTCGAATTTAAAGTCTGCTTGTTTTAATTTTTGTTAAGATAATCGAATGTGATTTGTTCTCCTTCTATTTCGTTTAATTTGTCTCTGCTTTCATGATGGTTACCTTCCTTACATGTTTTGAATGTTTTAATGTAACAGTTCACTTTCTGCTAGGATTCTCTTCCCGAAGGTTTGCCAGTGAGATGACACAAACATTTTCCATGACTTGGTTTTTCATTGTTCACAGCTCTTAAGCTGGTTTTGTGTTAGCAGCTAAGCTCTGGGCTCTGAATCATACACTCAGTTCATTTTCAGCCTTGAATTAACAAGAGACAAAGATCCAATTTTAGATTTTGTAGTAACTGTTTTTACCTAAAATTGTAAGGAATCAGCTTATTTCCAAATTCAAACATAGGCGAGTACAATTGTCCCAGCCACCTAGAAACAGATCTAGGACCCTGTTTATCAGGATGATTAGAATTGGACCACAGTGATTCTCTGCTTGGTGGGTTGTAATATTTTAGGCTTTGTTCCTCATGAGTTTTCCCTTTGTGGACCACGAATGGAAATATTAATCTATATCTGTGTATCTATCTATCTATCATCTATCTATCTATCTATCATCTATCTAATCTATCTACCTTCTGTATTCTAACTTTTGAATGCATTTTTTCAAAAGGTAGAGGATCTTCTCTTTGAAGAGGGTTCATAAAAGGTCTTGTAATAAAGAAGTCACTTGATGTGAGTACCCATTCATTTATTACTAGATAAATAGTTGTGCGCTTATGATAGGCTTGGTGCAAGTGTTACAAACACTGGTTAGAAAATTATTTACTTTAAAAATTCTTTAGTTCTATTTTTCCAGAAGTAAACAGTAGTTTTCCAATGCATCTTCAGAAACAAATCTGTTGAAGACAATAAAAATTACTACACAATTCAGATGGCTAAATTAGGATTAAATAATAGGTTACTTATTGCCATACTGTTTTTTGTTTGTTTTTCATGTAATAGGGATTGATTCATAAATATGTAAATCAGAAACAATGGAAGTTATTTAAGTAGTTTAGAAGAGGAATAATGCGACATTTCCATTTATTGGAAAATGAAAAAAAAATTTTCTAGGAACCAAGATAACTGTGACCTTAAAAATTCTTACTCAAATATATTTGTTGCATTATGAATCATGGGAAGTTATTAGCATCAACTAAACTTGGTTCAATGATAGCTTATACAGTTAGGTTATGGAACTATATGTTACTCATTATAAATAGCCTAATGATAAAAATGATTGAAGAAAAAACTTGAGTAGATTATATGTTAAAGTGCCTCATGGATGGCTGCCAACATTTTCAGATTCCATTTCTATAAAGTATAGTACAATAATTTAATGAGATCTATAAATATTACAAAACATTTTCATGGGGAAAATGTATCTAATGTTCTAAAGTTCAAAATATCAGTGATAGAAGATTCTAATACATGAAATGTTCAGCAAGTTCATGAACTTAAATGAATTCTTTTTGAAGCTAAAATACAGAATGTAAAGTAAAAATGGTATTCTGCTGAGTTATTTTTCCTTCATTATAGTAGGAACTGTTCTATAGATTTTAGTCACAAGTTTTAACTTAGTGTTATAAAATGCTTATTAAAATATTATACATTTAAATAGCAAATTAGCAAACATTTTAATACATAGAATGATGAAAGAGCTAATTTACTTAATATCAATAATAAGAATACTTACACACTGTTGGTAGGAATGTAAATTCATTCAACCATTGTGGAAGACAGTGTAATCATTCCTCAGAGACTTAAAGACAGAAATATCATTCAACTCAGCAAACCCATTGCTAGGTATATACCCAAAGTAACATAAATCATTCTATTATAAAGACATATGCATGCAAATGTTCATTGCATCATTATTCACAATAACAAAGACATGGAACCAACATAAATTCCCATCAGTGCTAGACTGGATAAAGAAAATATGGTACATATAGAACGTAGAATGCTATGCAGACATAAAAAAGAAAGAAATCCTTGGCAGGCATATGGATGGAGCTGGAGGCCATTCTCCTCAGCAAACTACCACAGGAACAGAAAACCAAATACTGGATGTTTTCACTTATAAGTGAGAGCTAAGTGATGAGAACACATGGACACATAGAGGGGAACAACACACACTGAGGCCTCCCAGAGGGTGGAGGGTGGAAGGAGGGAGAGGATCAGGAAAAATAACAAATGGGTACTAGGTTTAATACCTGGGATGCAAAATAATCTGTACTGTGAACCCCTGACAGAAGTTTACCTATGTAACAAACCAAACAAACGAATGTACTGCTAAACTTAAAAGAAAAATTAAAAAAAAAAAAGAAAAAAGAGAAATAAATGTCAATCTAAACAAACTATAGAAAAATATAAGGGCTTTTTTTCACACAAAAAAAGAATGGCTGAGACAATTTAATGTATAATTATGTCTCCAGCTCCATTAGTAATTTAAGAATCACTGAATTTAAATTACAATTAGTAGGTATTAGGCGTTTTAAGACTACTTTAGATAAAGAGAACTCCTAGTCTTCTTACAGTTTCTGAAATTTTGATGAATAAACTAGAATAATTATTAATTTCTAAAATATTAACTTTATTGCTGTTAAAGTTGTGGGTTGTAGATTAAAGAAAAATACAAAGTGACTTGCAAGCTTCTCTCTCCTCAATGTCATCCTTGGGACAGCTCTTTAAAACAAGCCTGAGTTTACAGTGCAGGCCAATCTACTCAGTTTCTGTCTCCTTTGCTCAACAGAGCAAAAAAATACATAGAAATGATGTGAATGTTTTCTAGATTAGATCCACTCAGCCAACCTACAGGGACTAACATCAACATGAATGTGCTTTGGAACAATTGCTTCTCAAGGAATCTGAGTAAAATAAATGTGTCACTATCATATGTGCCAAAAAATAAAAGTTGATAATGCATAGTGCAAGGGGAAACAAAATGTACTCTTATGCATTTCTGATAAGTGTACTACCTATTGGGGGGTAATATTTATAGTATCAAACTCAAATATGAATGTATTCAATGACACTGATTATCCCACCAATAGATTATGTATGTGCTTATCCATTAGATATACAATTCTTTTGGACAAAATGCTTGAGCTTGCTTTTTAAAAAAACCAAACCTTTAGAATACACTTTGATAGAGATAATTAATTGTCTCAATCAAATTGTCTCTATTTAATTGTCACAAATAGAGACAATTAATATATATTTAAGTATAAAATTGTACTTTCTATCATTGGTCTGGGATTGACAAACACGTCTTAATAGCTAACTTTACAAAAATGTCCTTTATAGCATTGTTTGCCGATTTCAATTTTTCTTATTTTTATACACAGTTAAGTAGTTTCAGATACATACCAACTTCTGCCCATTTGGACTATTTGATATATAAAGTTTTTATTCAAGTAATTTCAAAGACTTCACGTTTGGTTTATTATGGAAACCAAAATAGTAAAACGTAGTTAACAGAATGAGATCCAATGAGTAGTTTAAGAGTTTCGGAATCAATAAAAAAAAAAAAAAGAGTCCATTGAAGCATACTGTGAATTCTAGAATTTTGACTTTAACTTGTGCTACACTCTTATCTTCGTAAGTATCCAGCTGAACTGATCAGAGGACAAACTTTAAAAATGGCTGTGCATTCAGATAAACTCCACAGGGAAGGAAGATTGTGAAAAGTGATTTCCTAATGTTCAAACTTTGAGACATACATATAAAATTGTCCTCAAAGAAATGTGACTATCCAGAATATCCAAAAACCTTTAAATTCTATAAAGGTCTTCTGCTTATTTATGAAAAATGTAAAAATATATGGCTAAGAAATAAATTTCAACCTTAATAAAAAGTTTCACTAATTTTCAGAAAATTTCTCTTCTTTTGCAACCAAGAACATCAAAAATTGTGCCAAATATTAGAAAAAAATAGTTTGACTTACAACCAAGGCATACTAATGTATTCCATTATTCAGTTATCTTTTTAAAAAGTATTGTTACTTAAAATTACCAATGCAAAATTGTTCTCTTTAAAGTGCAGTAATAATGAGAAAAAAATCAATCCCTAATTATTCTCATTTTCTCACCTATATTGTCTCTTTTACTAGTCCCATCACTCCCATTTCCTCTATAAATATTATACACCTCTCGTGATACCCCTTCAATTCACCAGTACTCCTTAAGTTCAATCTACATAATTAAATATTTTTCTATTATTCTATTTTTTCTATTTAGATTGTATAATTGTTCAAAATTGTTACTGCCTTTCCCTGTGGTAGAAATTTATATCTATACCCCATGGGCATATGGCGTGACCATATGAGTTATAGTAAATAGGCTTTAATCTATTTGAAGCACTAAAATTTGAGTTATTTCACACTTTATGTATCTGTTTTAATTTTTACATTTAAGGCATTAGGATTAAATAAAATTTTCTTTTGAGACCATAAAAGGTAAAATATTTTCTTAAAAGTCACTCAGCAAAAATGGGCAAATTCTAAGAAAAACACAGCTTTAATAAAAAAATATATTTCTATATCCAAAACTACAACTTCAATGTCACAAATAAAAATTAGTACCTTAGATAAGGCTGACTGGAGGAAAACAATTATGGATAAAAAAGGAAACCATAAGGACAGGGCCAATAATTGGTTGGATTAAATAAAACTAAAATCTGGTTCTTGTACCCAATTTCAGTAAGTACATGGCTTCAATCATAACATAAATATATTCACTAAATTATAGAATACAGTTATAAATTGTGAATGACCAGTTTCAAAGGAGAGTGGATAATATATCTTTTACAGCCTTATGCAATTTAATCATACAAAGACATGTATTACTGTATCATTCCAATACATGAGTAAATTTAAGTTTCCGAGGAGACAAACTTATGAAGATTCATCCTAGCTTCAAGGCATGTATTCATTACATTTTGATGCCAACTGTCCTTACCTTCAATTTCATGAAGGAACCACTAACAAAAACAGTGGATGTTTTTTTACAACAGAATTCTTTATGATTTTGGAATAAATGAAAAAAACATTGCTGAGAAATGATTGATCTACAATGTTGGAAAAATCAATGTGTTTATTTGTTCCTCAGTTTTGCCATGGGAGAAAAATGTGTTGGACTTTGTAAGATTATGATTTAGCAGAAGTTCACTTAAAGGAGACAGCAAGAACAAAATGCAAAGCATGTGAACTACTAGTTTTACTAGATAACGTTTGTACCTCTCTGATATCTTGTTAGTTTTATCTAAATCTACCAATATGGACTACATATTTAATAGTTTCTTCTTTTTAGAACAGTTTGAAGTAGCAAAAAACTAATGAAAATGAAATTTACAAGTGGATAAATGCAAAATTTATATGCAAAATTAAATTTGTTATTTTTCAAGTTGATAAGGTAATTCTTTGCAAATTTGGGTACAAAACTGTAAATTCTAAATAGAAGTACATAACAGAAATCCGAGAAAGTTAGAGTCATATTTTCATTATGATTTAAGCATATGCAAATTAAATCTGTTTCAATTAACTTGTGTTTTATGTTAATAAAACTTATGTTTTATGTTAATAACATGTTTTATGTTTTATGTTAATAACATGTCTTATGTTTTATGTTAATAACAATGCATGCACACACTCACTCACACACTCACCACATCAAAGTCGGGTTCCGTAAGTGCTAAATAAGAACTGGCAGTGACACTGAATGTGATTTAGAGATGACTAAATATTGTAATACTTCAAATTCAACTAAAAATATAAAAATATACGTTTTTAAGTGAAGAAACATTTAGAGTACATATAGATCATTTTATAGGAAGACATGGATAATGATAATGTCAAATTAACAAGAGATTAATAATTTCAAAAAAAATACCACAAAACCATATTTCTGGCAGCGCATTTAGAACTTACAAATGTATATCTTAATTATAAGAATTTACTTCTTCAGAATTTTTTTTTCACACTGAATGCCTTGAATTTTTGTCATATTTTTATTTTTTTCTGTTTGGATTTCCTTACCTGGGTTTAGCCAAAAGACAGAAGACATTTTAATAAAAATATAAAACAATTGACTGTAAACTGCCTACTTTTTTCTTGTTCTCTTAGAGTTGCTTACTTTGGGAGGTATTTCCCAGAGTTGTTTGTTTAATATATATAATTCACAGTGTGGAGATGTTTAAACGCTTGCCTTTTCTTTTTGAATTTTTGACGCTTAGTGGAAAATAAGTCACATAGAATTGTTTTCCAAAACCAATCTAATCAAGTTACTCTGTCTCAGACTTTCCATGTTTTCTTTGTGCTTAGACACAGAAGAGGAAAAAAAGGAAAAGATATTTAAAAATCTGGGTTGGGTGCGGTGGCTCACGCCTGTAATCCCAGCACTTTGGGAGGCCGAGGTGGGCAGATCACCTGAGGTCAGGAGTTCAAAACCAGCCTGTCCAAAATGGTGAAACTCCTTCTCTACTAAAATACAAAAATTAGCTGTGCAAAAATTGTGCCAACTATTAGAAAAAACTAGAGTGGTGGCACATGCCTGTAATCCCAGCTACTCAGGAGGCTTAGGCAGGAGAATCGCTTGAACCTGAGAGACATAGGTCAAAGTGAGCCGAGATCACGCTACTGCACTCCAGCCTGGGTGACAGAGTGAGACTCCATCTCAAAAAATAAAAATAAAAATAAATTTAAAACTAAAAATCTGTAGGGAATCACTGAATAACTTTCTGTAAATTTGTCTTTCCATTAAACACAATTGTCTTCACAAAACTGAAATAGCAATGCTCCATTGATCTTTATGCACAGCCTTGCATAATGACTCTGTAGCTTCATGACTAAAATAGCAGTCATAGAATTAAGAGAAATTCTACATTGGTTTGTGAGAGATGATAATTATATATTTAGTTTAATTGGATATATAAATTTTTAATTGACTTCAACAAGTAAACAACATTCTTTAAAATAAATTGTTTGATGTGAATACAGAAATACTATCCTTGATTAGCAATACTTGTATTCTGTTCATTGCCTGGTTTTATGAAACTGACCAAGGTACTAAAGTGGCTCTACATAAAGCTCTGTTTAAATTATTTTTTCTTTTATTGTAATGGTTGATTGATCCTTATTGACTGCCTACAGATTCTTCAGACCAATAATTATCAAGATACCAGCAGTCAGAGAAATGCATTGGACCATCACAATATCCACTCGCTTACCCCTTGCCCACAATCTCACAGTGGTTTTTAAATCTCTTTCCTTGATTTACAACTCTGGTAAACAAAGTCTAGAAAGTAGTGTCATAGTTTATAAGCTCACCTCTTAGAAGAAAGTTGTTTTTTATTGAGATATCTGGCCTCTAGTTCAGATACGCTGTGATGACAATTTGACTACATGGTTCATAAGACAATGAACAATGAGCATGCTTTAACCGAAGATGTTGGTTAGAGTAATTTATTCCCCTCTCTGCCTGTTTGGCATACAGAAAACCACAGGAAAATGTGCTACCAAGTACAGGAAACAAAAGCTGTGTACTAAATGCTATAGATAGATAGGTAGATAGATGATAGATAGATAGATATGTCATTTAATATTAACTCCAGGCATATGATATGACTATAGTTGTGATCTTTATTTTACAAATGAGAAAACTGGCAGATGAGGGAATACCTAATATCACAGAACTAGTCAATGACAAGGTCCAAGTTCAATTTCACAAAGAAGCAATTAAGTAGTTATCACGTATCTATATACTTAATTATTAAGAATATATAATATGCTTGGACAAGGTCTAAGTTCAATTTCACAAAGAATCAAGCAATTAGTTAATTATTAATTATATGTATACTTAATATATATACTTAAGTATGATGTTAGCTGTGGGCTTGTCATATGGTATTTATTGTGTTTAGGACCATTCCTTCTAAGGCTATTTTGTTGAGAGGTTTTATGATGAAAAAATACTACATTTTGTCAAACATTTTTTCTCTGTCTGTTGCAATGATCATATGGGTTTTGTCCTTTATCCTGTTAATGTGGTGGTTAATGGGTCTGCTTATTTTGAACTATCTTTGATCCCAGGGCTAAATTCCACTTGACCATGGTGAATGATACTTGAAATGTAATGTTGAATATGGTTTGCTGGTATTTTGTGAAGTATTTTTGCATCTATGTTCATCAATAATATTGACCTGTACTTTTCTCTTTTTCTGTAGCGTCTTATATATTACTAATAATCATGTCTCATGTTTTGTTTTTCATTTTACTTATTTATTTGAGTCTTCTTTTTTAGTCTAGCTAAAGGTTTGCCAATTTTGTTCAACTTTTCAAAAAAGCAATTCTTAGTTTATCTTTTCTATTATTTTTCTGGTCTCTATTTTATTTATTTGTGTTCTGATCTTTGTTATTTTCTCTCTCTTGCTAACTTTATATTTAGTTTGTCCTTGTTTTACTAATCCTTAAGGTGTAATGTTAGGCTATTTATTTCAGATTTTATTATTTTTTGATGTAGGCATTCAATGCTGTAAACATCCCTCATAGAACTGCTTTGGCTGTGAGAAATTTTCTAAGTTTCATGTAAAGTAGTTACATAACATCTGGCAAAAACATCATTCTTGATTATGAATTATTAAAAATATTACTCTAAATGACAGAAATGAAATGAAATACTTGTAATTTCTACCTTTATTCAATATTTTATTCTAGGTTTTACTAAGAAGTATAAAATAAGAAAATAAAATAACAATACAAGGAACACAAAAGGAGTACTAAACCTATTATAATTTAACGCAAAATGATTGTGAATATGTAGAAACAAAAAAAAAACACACACACAACTAAACATGACATATACCCAATTAAAAACAGGTGAATTAAAGGAGTTCCCTGAGATAAAAATCAAATTTTAAAAAATAAATGATATTCTATATACCAATAAAAACTTACAATGTCAAAACAATGCCATTTGAAATAGCATAAAAATCAATACCCATAAATCTAATGAAAACTGTGCAGTACTTCCACTATGAAGATATAAAAAAATAAAGAAATTAAAGGAAGTGTAAATAATAGGGGAACATAAGATGTTCATAAATTGAAGAAACTCAACTTTTTAAAAATATATTTTTTTCGAATAGACATGTAGACCCTTATTATAAACCAATCAAAAGCTTAGTGGTTATTTTGGAGGAAATGGACAAGCTGATAGAAAATTGTAAGTGGAAATGCAAAGGGAAATAACAACCGAGATGAGCCAGTTTTTGAAGTAGAAACAATTAGAAGATTTATAATACCAGATATTAATAGTAAATAGCTATAGTTGTAATAAAAATGTGCTACTCATGCAAGGGTAAACTAATAACTAAAACAGAATACAGTTTAGAAATAGAAACACATATGCATGGACACGAGTCATAACAAAGTTGGCATTACAGATCAGTGGGGAAAGAGTCAGGTGAATTTCTCAACTAAGAAAACAATATTCACTCTTCCTACCAAAAGAAATCAGTTCTGAGTGGAATGAGTATAACATACTTATTGTGGCCAGGCACAGTGATTCACACCTGTAATCCCAACACCTTGAGAGGCTGAGGCAGGAGGATCTCTTGAGGCTATGAGTTTGAGACCGTCATGGGCAACATAGCAAGATCCTGTTTCTAAAGTAATATGGAAAAAAATTAGTTGGACATGGTGGTGTGCATCTGTAATCCAGGCCACTTAGGAGGCTGGGGTGGGAGGATCACGTAAGGCCAGGAGTTTGAGGCTGCAGTGAGCTAGGATCACACCTCTGAACTCCAGCCTGCGTGACACAGCAAGACCCTGTGTCTTAAAAAATTAATTAATTGAATAATTTAATTAAATATTCATCAAAATATTAACTTTAAAATTGTACATTCTCCAGCAGAAAGCTTAGAGTATCTTCTTAAACTATGAGAAGTAAAAAATTATGAGCAAAACAAATTAATAAATTGAATTATTAAAATTAAGAGTGTATGTATATCAAACACTTTTTAAGGGGATGAAAAATGCTATGAACGAAGTGGTAAAAGTTAGCTTTAACATATACCATCAATCTCCAGTATCCATAATGTGTAATGACTCTCAAATTCAACAAGGAAAATAGAGAATTAGGAAATGTGCAAAATCTTTGAATGGCATTTCCTTCCCCGAAAAACAGATATCTAAATTAACAATAAACACATGAGAAGTGCTTACCTCTTTAACAGGTAGGGGAATGCAAAATAAAACCTCAATGCTATATAACTACATGCCAACTAGAATGATTAAATATAAAGTGGCTTACAATGCTAAGTGTTGGTAAGGGTATGGAGCAAACGGAATTCTCATACAATGCTGGTGGAAATTTTAATTTCCAAAACTGCTTAATGATACCAACTAAAGGTAAATGTACACACATCCTAAAAACTAGCAGTGCATGCCTGTATATCAGCTTTACAATTATGTACAGAAGTGATTATAACAACTGTATTTATAATAGAGTAATAGAAAAACGCTGGAAATATACATATATTTGTTAATAGGAGCATGGATAAATGTTCTATTTATATAACAGAATACTGTACAACACTGAGAACAATGAAACTTCTGCACTCTACAACATGGATTAATCCCACAGATTACTGAAAAAAATAAGCCAAACAAAATAATGGTATGCAGCATATGTTTTTATTCAAAAAATATAATACAAGTGATGTGAACCAATGGTGCTATGTCAGTATAACAATTAAATGATTGTTGGGGGGGTGGATATTTCTGGGAAATAAAGGAGAGTGCCTCCTGGATATTTTTAATGTTCTATTTTTTTACCTAGAGCTTTGCATGAAATCATCTACTTGCTCTACATGGCAGTGTTCATTTAGTGCCAATTCATTACATTGTAAACTTGAAATTTGTATACTTTTAAAATACGGATATTTTACATTATTAAAAATTTATATAAAAGAAATCTTCTATTGAGGTGAATTTGTAAACTTTTTATCCGGTCCTGTCACTTGTTGCATATATTTTTGAGCACATTTTTAACAAGAATGAATAATTTTTGTTTATCCTTTAGTTAACTGAATTATTATCTGAGGACCGTATTTATCCTCAATAATACTCCTGGTTTCAGTAAATTTCGCCCGATATTAACAGCTGTATTAACTTCTTAGTATTTTCCTGATTTTAATTTTTTAAAATTTTTACTTTCAATCTTTCTGTATCCTTGTATTTTATGTGAATCTCTTATAAATAGAATATACATTTATATTAAACCCAACATAGATTTTTGTTTCAACTCAATTTTGCAATATCTGCTTTTCACTGGATAATTAAGACAATTGGATATTTATGATTTTCACTATACTTGAAATATTTAAACCATGTTATGTTGCACTTTCCTTGTATGTCTCTGCAGATGATGTTGAACCTTGTGTAGGTTCCCTTAGATCCTTTTTAGCTCTTGTGTTTTCCCTTGGATTTAGCAATAGCCTGCATCTGCAGCTTGTTTGAAGGACTGTTTGGAGGACTATGCTCAGGCCATTGGAGCACACTCTGCCTGCTGTTACAGAGCTCGGAGCACCTGGGAATTACTGAAGTGTAACTTACAACCCCAGAGCTCTCGTGAAAGATTACATTGAAGATACCTTTAATAAGGCTTTGCTTGAAATCAGATCTTTGCTTGGTTTCCTTCCTTTTTCTGTCTTGCTTCCCCCACTTACTTAAACAGAGTTCCTTTGATATTTAGAATATCACTTACACAGGAATATTCATCATAAGATCAGCTTCTGTGCAACTGGACCTAAGAAAATCGCTTATGTTCCGTTCTTATTTCCTCCTCTCCTTCGTTCTTTTTGATTGAGGGTTTTTTTTTGTTTTGTTTTGCCTTATTTGGGTTGGTTTGTTTTCAAAATGATTTTTTCTCATTCCTTGGTTTGGAAAGAATATACTCCACTTCTCATTTTTTAGTGGTAACCCAAAATACCAAACTGAATGCCTAGTCTTACAAAATCTAAAATTAAAACATATCTTTGTCCATTTCTTATATGATAAAAGGAAGAAAAAACAAACAAAAAACCTTACAGGCCCGGCACAGTGGCTCACACCTGTAATCCCAGCACCTGGGAGGCCGAGACAGGTAGATCACGAGATCAGGAGTTCGAGACCATCCTGGCTAACATGGTGAAACCCTGTCTATACTAAAAATACAAAAAAATTAGCCGGCCGTGGTGGCGGGCGCCTGTAATCCCAGCTACTCGGGAGGCTGAGGCAGGAGAATCGCTTGAACCCTGGAGGTGAGGGTTGCAGTGAGCCGAGATCTCACTACTGCACTCCAGCCTGGGCGACAGAGTAGGACTCCATCTCAAAAAGAAAAAAAAGATAAATAAAAAAACTTTACAAAGGATAATATCAGGCACCACACTCACACCTTCAAGTGAGTTTTAAATTTTTTTTAATTTCCATTTTATTTTTACTGTCTCTAAGTAAATAGTAATGCAGTATTAATATTTGAAATAGTCAACCTCTGGATTTCTTCACATGGTTTTCAATTTCTCTTCTCAGAAATGTTTATTGTTCAATTTTGTGCCCTCCTTTTAGTAATCTTTTTCACTAAAAGACATCCTTTAAGAATTGTTTCTGTGAGACATTTTGTGAGTATTGTCTCTATCATCCCCCTTTGCTGAATGAGCCACTTTATTTTCTATTTTGATCCCTGACTGAGGAGATAGATTTCAAGATCACAAGTTTTATGGAAGTGTCTGATTTTCAGTGCACAAGCTTGTGTGAAGTTTAGGCCTTGTCAACCTAAAACCAAGCCACTAAGAGCTAATAGATTGCAGAGATCTGCAAATCATATTAGGACTAGTGAGGTAACAATGTTTGCTTACCACTTTGTTAATATTGCTTTTTTTTCTTTTTGTCCTTAGGAGATTTTTCTGTGTTTTCACAATTGTGTGCATGTTAGAGTTAGGTGTATTTTTGTCACGAACCATGTGTACATAGGTACCTAATGATTGCCTTTGTTCGTATCTGTGGCATGATTCTCAAGAAGCCTCACAGTGGCATTGTCGTTGTTTTAACAAATTTACCACAGTCTGTGTTCTTGCCACCAGTCCTAACATTTTAGCAGCACCAAAGTGTCACAGTCTTTTCTAACGGACAAAATCAAAACTCTATGATATCAGAATGCTTTTTTAAAAAATATTTTTACTGTGAGAAGTAAAGTTCACTGGCACAGCCAATCTCACACGTATATGACGAGCTCATCCGCTTCCTAAAAGGAGCAATAGGTTGCTTGGTGTGTACGTATGTAAGCAAATTGAGTTAGCCTGTTTTCATATTTAGTGGTGGAGGCTAAGTCACATAAATGCATGTGTATCCTTCATAGGGTATGGCCAGCTAGTGACGCCAATTTGTTTAAGTCAATAGATTGAATTATCCTTTTAGAAAGGTCCTCTTAAATGAATGTTAACAATGCTTGTTCTTTTCCACAATTTTCTGGTTGAATAGTTCCCCTACTCTACCATACATTTCTGTTTCATGCATTTGTTTCAGATTAGGACCCAGCACAGTTGCCTGGAAATTGTTTTATTTTAAAACATATATATTTTTAATCCAACTAAATATATTAATTTAAAAATTCAACTCTCAGAAAAAAAATTCACATTTTTATTTTCTAATTCTAGAGAATATACCTTATAAAAATTATTTTCTTGCCCAGAAAGAACTGTCTAAATCTTTACATTTCTTATTGTGTATAGGTACTAAAGAAAAAGCAACTAGAACTAATTTAATGCCAATGATTTTCTGCATAGCAAAGTTATTTCATAGTACCTCCTTTAATCATTACTACATACAAATGTTGTTAATTATTTTTACTTTAGAAATTAAAGCATTCTCTAAGAGGCAAGCGTTCTATGATCAAATCAGCAAGTGTCATATGATCAAATGTAAAACGTTACTACAACTCATTCATGCAGAACACTAAGCAGACTATAGATTTCATAAGAAGTTTAAATGGGTATTTCAAACATTTATCATAGCATCGCTGCTATTAAGAACTATCAGCAATAGTATTAGCTACCCCACATATTAAAAAACTATCAGTTAGTGAAAACCCAAACACTGATAATTACTTCATTATCACTTTCATAGAAGATGTGCTTATGTGAAACATGGCGTTGTTTTAAGACAACTGAAGGAAAACTGATTTACTGTATCACTATGTTTTGTGAGGCATTTGCCATAATGGAATAAAATGAATGTTTCTGGGTCATAATATACTGTTTCAAATTAATATTTACCTAACCACACAGCAAAAATAGATAACGGTAAAGATAAAAATTACAGCTATGTCATAAAAAATTTTAATTCCAGGATTTAATTACAATTTACACTGCACTCTGGAAAACTTTGAGTTAAAGGTTTACAATTTTTCTTCTTTAACAAGAGAGGTGACCTCAGCCTTCACTAAGTGCTTAGTGCAAACATTTAGCACAGCAAAATTGCAATAGCTTCCCAGGAGAAAATGAACTGGCATTGATAGCAATGCCCTTTATAAAAAAGGAACTTTGAAACACATTTTACTTTACTAAAAGAATGAAGATAGAACTGATTAACTCCAAGCTAATCAAAAGAGCTGGCCAGAACACTAAGCAAGACAATCTCAAAGCTTTTTTTAAACAAAAGTAATCAAGAATCTGTATCATGCTAATGACTTTTATCATAAGGTTCTGAAATCTCTGTACACTTAGTCAAAGGTGCTATTTCAAGATATAGGTTGTCCTTAGTCTCTATTGTACTATGTACTTGCCTTACACAATGATACTGGTATGGAGTTCTAAAGATTTTTTTCAAAAGTTCTCAGCTTTAGAATTTCAGAGGATATAAAGGACTTTAAGTTTTAAAAAAAAGAGTAGCAAAATAACAAAGTTATATATAAACATACATGTGCATTTATTTATTTATTTATTCATATATTGATACATGTGGTTTGATAAAAGATCATAGGACAAAATAAAAATTAAGGAAGATCAGGACCAAGAAATAAGTTGAAATTATTTAGTGTTTAAGAGCCTCTTGAGGCTGGATGCTGTGGATCACGCCTGTAATCCCAGCACTTTGAGAGGCGGATCACTTGAGGTCAGGAGTTCGAGACCAGCCTGGCCAACATGGTGAAACCCCATCTCAATAAAAATACAAAAATTAGCTGGGTAGGCATGATGACGGGTACCTGTAATCCCAGCTACTCTGGAGGCTGATGCAGGAGAATTGCTTGAACCCAGGAGGTGGAGATTGCTGTGAGCGGGGATCGCACCACTGCACTCCAGCCTAGGTGACAGAGCAAGATTCCGTCCAAAAAAAAAAAAAAAAATCCTCTTGCATTCACAATATGAAGTGTTCAGAATAGGTAGCTCAATTTCTAGTGTAATATTTTTCTAAATATCATCATATTCCTTCATGGTTACATCATGGTAATTCTCATATAACTAAATTTGATCCATGTTGTTCATTTAATAAAGAATTTCACAGAACAGATAGATGCATCCAAATGTAAGCTTCTAGTTTCCAACTAAAATGTTTTTAAAGAAAGATAATATGAGCATTTGTTTTAAAATGGTCATGCTAAATAGCCTACAGCTATTCATATCCTTGGTTATTGTGAGGAAGGAGAAGGGAGAGGAGTAGGAGGAGACAAGGACGAGGATCAAGATGATGGTTTTTGTGACAAACAAACGTGTCTGACTCTCTCAACCCCAGTTTCAAAATTGTAAGAAGACACATTGTAATGGCCGAGGTTTGAGAAAGTATATCCTACTTGTTATCTTTATGTTTTATTGTTTGTTTTGTTTTGCTTCTTTAGAGTTAAATTGCTCCTTTCTCTCCATTCCCAAAGTGGAAGTGTAGATGACTGATTTTCAATCCTTCATCTTTTTTAATATATGCATGTAATGCTATAAATATCTTCCTAAGCACTACCTTTGCTAAATCTTAGAAGTTTTGATAAGTTTTTATTATTTTTAATAGTTTGAAATATTTTTAAATTTCTCTTGAGACATTTTTGATCCATGTATTATATAGGAGTGTGTTCTTTAATGTCCAAATATTTGGTGATTTTCCAGCTATCTTTCTGTAATTGATTACTAGTTTAATTCCACTTTGGTCTCAGAACATATTTTGCATAATTTTCATTCCTCAATTGTTTTAAGGTGTTTTATGGTCCACAATATGGTCTATCTTGCTGATTGTTCCATGTGAAATTGAGAAGAATGTGTATTTTATTGTCGTTGAATGAAATACTCTTATCAATGTCGATTGGATGAAGTTAATTGATGATGCTGTTCAGGTCAACCACTATTCTTATTTTCTACTCGCTTAATCAATCAGTTGCTGAGAGAGGTATTGAAGTCTCAAATAATGATAATTAATTTGTCAATTTCTCATTGTAGTTTTGTCCAATTTTATCTCATATAATTTGATACTGTGTTGTTAGGTACATATACCTTCAGGATTTTTTACAGTATTCTTGAAAAACTGACCCATTTATCATGACATAACACCCCTCTTTGTCACTGATAATTTTTTGTATTGTAAACTCTACTGTGTCTGAATTTAAGAAAGCAACTATAGGATTATTTTTATTAATGTTATGGTGGTATATCCATCTCCACCTTTTTATGTTTACTCTACCTGAGCCTTTACTTTATAGTAGGCTCCCTATAGAAAACATCTAGATGGGTCTATGTATATATAAATCAAACCTCTCTTTGTAGTCACCTGGAGATATAAATCTCTAGACAACTAGACAACCACTGTATCTTCATCTTCTCTCGCTTCTTTATTTCCAATATTTCTATTCAGTTAAATAGACAGTCTATTTTCTGCAGATATTTCTTCCCAGTGTGGGTCCCTGTCATCTTGGAAAGGTGTTTTTGTTGGATATTTTGAGGATTTTGCAGCATCTCCCCATGTAGTACTCTCCAAACTTTCTGTGGTAATTTTGGCATCATTTACACACTGCAATCTGTGCAATCTTTTTTCTGCTTTGGTTTTCTTTTTAAAATCTACTTTCTGAATCCTCCACTTTTATTTCTTGTGTATGTGCATGGGGAATGACTAAGGACCTGTAGGCAATTTCTTGATTTTCTTTTAAGTTCGGGACCAGCACAATAGCTTTTTCTTACTTTTGCGTTCCCCTGCACAGTTGTTAATCTTAACTAAACCTTTCTCATGTCAGGATCTAAAACTATGTTAATTTAGTGATTTTACTACAAGTTGTTGAATTAATATTTCTTTTTTATTTTTATTTGTTTATTTATTTTTGAGACAGAGTCTCGCTGTGTCGCCCAGGCTGGAGTGCAGTGGCCCGATCTTGCCTCGCTGCAACCTCTGCCTCCCAGGTTCAAGTGATTTTCCTGCCTCAGCCTCTCTAGTAGCTGGGACTACAGGAGCACGCTGCCACACACGGCCAATTTTTGTATTTTTAGTAGAGATGGGGTTTCACCATATTGGTGAGGCTGGTCTCAAACTCCTGACCTCGTGATCTGCCCACCTCGGCCACCCAAAGTGCTGGGATTACAGGCATGAGCCACTGCACCCGGCCCATTATTGAAGTTTTTGTGCACATTCCTTGGAATTTTATACATATACAATCATATCATTACCAAATAGGGCAGTTTTTTTTTAATTTTCAATCAATGGGAACGATACTATGGCAGGACAATGTTGAATAAGAGAAGTGATAACAGATATCCTTGCCTTATTCTTGATCTAAGAAGAAAATATAGTTATTAATCATTAAATATAATAGCTGTAGGTTTCCTATAATGTCTTTTATCAAGTTGAAGAGGTTTTCCTCTGTTTCTAATTTTTTCAGTTTATAAAATTATGTATTTTTTTATTCTAATTTATTAATAAAGTGGATTATATTGACTGATTTTAAATACTAAACCAGCCTTGCATCTCTGGAATAAAAGCCCCTGGTCACAGTCTATAATCAATTTTATATATTGGCATATTTTATTCGCTATATATTTTGCACCTGTGTTCATGAGGAAGTCTGGTCTGTAGTTTTCCTTTTTTATACTGCCTGTGTTTGATTTTAATATGTGGGTAATACTGGATTCATAAAATGAGTTGTAAATTGTTCTTTCTTCATTCATTTTCTAGAAGAATGGATAAAATCAGTGTTAATTTTTCTCTAAGCTTTAAAAGAATTCTCTGGCACAACCATTAGTAACTGGAGATATATTTTGGGAAGAAATTTTGAAGTACAAATTCAACTGATTTAATTGCTACAAGGGAATTTAAATTATTTACTTTATATTGGTTGAGTTTTGGTAGCTTGTACTTTTTAATAAATTGATTATCATCTCAGTGGCTGAATTTATGTCTGTAGACTTGTTCTTAGTGTTCTCTTCCTATCTGTTTACTGTGTGTTACATCTGCATTTGCATATATATTATATATCTATGTCTTATCTATATAGAGAAAGGTAAATATCTTAGGCCCCCAAGATATTTTGGGCCTCCAAAATCACTAAGCTAAACGGAAAATTCAAGCTGGGAACTGATTAGGGCAAACCTGCCTTTCTTTCTATTTAAAGTTGTCTCTCTGCTCACTGAGATAAATACATATATGATTGCCTCCTTTGGAAAGGCTAACCAGAAACTCAAAAAAATGTAACCACTTGTCTCTCATTTATCTGTGACCTGGAAGCCCCTCCTTGCTTCTTTCTGCCTTTGCTTTGAGTTGTTTTCAGTTGCTTTGAGTTGTCCCACCTTTCCAGACTGAACCAGTGTACTTCCTACGTATGTTCATTTGTGTCTCATTCTTCTTACATACTTCTGACATATATTGATTGGTGTCTTATGTCCCCCTAAAATGTGTAAAACCAAGCTGTGCCCCAACCATCCTGGACACATGTCCTCAGGATTTCCTGAGGCTGTGTCACAGGCGTGTGTCCTCAACCTTGGCAAAATAAACTTTCTGCATTAATGAAGACCTGTCTCAGAGTTTCTGGGTAAATATATATATATATATAGACATATATATAGACATATATATATAGACATATATATAGACATATATATATAGACATATATATAGACATATATATAGACATATATATAGACATATATATATAGACATATATATAGACATATATATATAGACATATATATAGACATATATATATAGACATATATATAGACATATATATATAGACATATATATAGACATATATATATAGACATATATATAGACATATATATAGACATATATATAGACATATATATAGACATATATAGACATATATAGACATAGACATCATATATAGACATATAGACATATATATAGACATAGACATAGATATAGATAGACATAGATATAGACAGATAGACATATAGAGATATAGACATAGACTATAGACATATAGACATAGACATATATATAGACATATAGACATATAGAGAGACATATATATAGACCTATATGTGTATATATATATATATATATATAAAATTCTGTGTCACTTGTGCTAAAATCTTGTCAGCTGTGTTGGTCTTTTTAAAAAATTCACTTCTTTATTGATTTTTCTGTTTTTTTTTTCTTTTTTCAATTTCATTTATTTCTGTTATTATCTTTATTATTTCCTTCATTCTGCTGGCATTGGGCTTATTTTCTTCTTTTCTCACTATTTTTTAAATTAAAAAAATGAACAAAATAAAATAAAAAGCCAGAGGAAGGTATTAATGCAGTCCCCCGCTACCACAAATTATGCAGTCCAGTTTTCCACATTTGGGGAAACCACAGAGGTGAGCACATCTGGAATGCAGTGGATAAGGCTTGCCCTGGGAAAACTACCTTTGTGATTATGATATCTCCTCTGCCATGTTAAGTATATATTTTTTTCCTTAGTTTCTTAAACTGCAAGCTTAGATGGTTGATTCATGATTTTTCCACCTTTGTGATGTAAGTGTTTAGTGCTATAAATTTCCTTCTCAGCACTGCTTTACCTGAATCCCAGAAATTTTGGTATATTCTCTTTTTATTTTCATTTACCCGAACATATTTTTTGTTCTTTGTAAGACTTTTTTAATCTCTGTATTTTTAGAAGTATCTTGCTTAATTTCTGAGTGTGAAAATTTTGTATGATTTCCCTGGTATTTAACTCTAATTTGATTCCATCAGCATCAGAGAACAGATTCTGTATGATTTTATTTTTCTAAAAAATGTGTTGAAGCTTGTTTTATGGCCCAAAATATGGGCAATAAATGATATAAGAGTCTCAGTAGAAAAGGAATGCTAAACAGAAATTGGCAAACTCAGATCTGAAGAGAAAGAAAGCAATCAAGACATCTTCAGTGTCAAAAATTTAAGTATATCTTGCTAATTACCTGTGTTTAATGTGTTTCTTGTTCTGCATTATGCTGTTACAGTCTTTGTTTATCCCTTAAATAAAACGTTTTTGTTATTTCAAACAGCTTATCACACTTAAACTATGAGCATTGAAGGAGAATGCCTTTCCACATGCAGTGCAAGAAACAGAAAAAGAATAGCCACTGGATCCTATGTAAGTACTAACTGGCTACTTAGAGCTGATAATTATATATAGTAAGTGACAGAAAAATGCAATCTCACACCACTGCATCAAGATCTACGGAAATTTGTGGTACTTGTTAACACATTATATGACATAGACTGGAACGTGACCTGCAATCATCAGAACTTCCTAAAAGAAAAGAGCTTGAGACAGGTATGTCACATGTAAAGTGTAAAATAAAAGTATTAAGTTTAATGTTGGGTTTTCATTATAACATGTAAATACATTAATCAGTTAAATAGAAATTTAACAGTTGATTTGGCTTCTGTTTCTTTTGAACCTCAAATTAGTTTTGAAATATAATTAAATAACCTTCCATGGTAGAAGATCTTTTGAACCTATATTGCATGTTTGCATTTTAAAGCACCATTTCTCAATAACATGTTTGAATTCTTGACATAAAGACACATAGAGAGGCCTAACATATACAACCTGCCATCCATCTATGAAAAAAAGAAGAAAACTTATTTTAGCCAGCATGCTATCAGAAAACCATATTTCATACTGATGGGTCATAGCAGAAACACACTTTCAAAATGACTTTAAGGAAAACCCCAAGGCGTGTTTGCTGTGTTTAAAAGGACTAGGAAGTACGAAAATGAAACAGGAGCCATAAAGTGTTTGATATACTTTATGAGGCCAAAATTCCTCTGTGGCATTTATTCCAATTTCTACAAAATAACTTAGAAATCAGAAAATCTTTACTCTCAAGAAAAACTACAAAATGGTTGAAACAAAATAGAAAAATATTTTCTTGCCTTGAATATACTATTTTCCTATGTAAACCATATTTATATCTTTAATACCCTCATTTAACTTAATGTTAAACATATACCATGTGTCCTAATGTTGCTTAGAATTTTCTAAATTTAAGTTTGCCAATATTTTTCACTATTATTGAAATATTACCAAAATTACAAATCTTTTCAATATTACATGCAGTACAAATTTGTTACATTTGAAAAAGGATGAAGCCCTTCCCTGCTAACCAAATATGACCGGAAGCAGAGACCTATACCTCTACAATCATCCTTTCTCCTTGTATGTTCCTAATAGTAGGATTGTCCCTACAATTCATAGTGTAGGATTTCCCCCAGAAAATCTAATTTATTCTTCTTCCCCTGACTGGCAAAAACATACATTTAGAATAAAGTACACCATCATTATATTCACTCAGATTTGACTCCCACTTGCTTCTCACTCTTGCATCCAAATCTGTGATTAATACTCTCTTATTTTTGTTCATTTCAGTATGTGCTTCCCTTTATCATAGCATCCGTATCATTAACTTGTGAGTCAGTATGTCCATATGTTTGTATGTTTTATTTATATACTGTATTTTTTGACTCGTCCATCATTAGGTGTTTGACTTCAGCAAATGTGTTCAATACATTTATGTTGCTAGTGGCTTCAGGGTACCTGAAACATTGTAGAAGTTCAATATATTGGGGTAGAATGCAGTAATTTAAGTTTACTTTTTTCTTTAAGCATCGCTATGTGACAGCTACTGTGCTGGGTGACTTACGGATATACTCATTCTACCATGGACAACAAACTTACTACATTTGTAGGGTGTCTTTCTAATTATCTACCTAGCATCTATCTCTGCTTACTTTCTGCTGCCAGAGGCTCTAGTTTGTTTGGGCATCCACCACTATCAAGTCCTTACTGACCTCAGCTAAGCACTGTGGTTTCAGTACACCTACCAGAGAGACTGGATTAGATGTGAAATGTGTGATGCAGTTCTGTTCATGGAGTAATTGGTAGGAACTTTCTGTAGGGCTTCTGGGAAGGGTTTCTTTAACTTTACAAAATAGGAAGCAAAAAATTGAATGTCAAAATTGCTATCTCATGTTGAATCAATAAATGTTACTAAATTAAAAACCAGACGGAGGCTGGGTGTGGTGGCTCCTGCCTGTAATCTCAGCACTTTGAGAGGCTGAGGCAGGCAGATCACCTGAGGTCAGTAGTTCGGGGCCAGCTAGGCCAACAGGGAGAAACCACATCCCTACTAAAAATACAAAAATTAGCCGGGCATGGTGGAGCACACTTGTAATTCCAGCTACTCAGGAGGCTGAGGTAGGAGAATTGCTTGAACCCAGGAGGCAGAGGTTGCAGTTAGCCGAGATGGCACCATTGCACTCCAGCCTGGGTGACAAGAGTGAAACTCCATCTCAAAAGAAAACAAACAAACAAAAAACAGATGGAATGTTAAAATGGTGGTGCAAAAAAAAAAGTGAAAGCAAAGTGAGTCCCTGATGAAGCAGACAAGTCACAGCATTAAATAGCTCTGGAGCCACACTTAGTTCAGGTATTCCTATAACAACAAGACAATAATTTCCCATTAGGTTTAAGGCGCTTATGTGATTATTTTCTTTTTTTTTTCTTTTTGCCAATACAGGCAAAATTAATCACTGTAGTATTTTGGCCAACATTTTATATGTGGAAATATTGAAGTCAAGTAAGTTTCAGCGAATCATTAATCCTTAGGTTAGTAGCAGAATAAGAATTCAAGTACAAGTTTCTCTCTTTAAGCAAGGATTTTCCATGAGGATATAGAAATTGTGAGAGATCTCAACAACTAGTAAGTAGCTGCACATTTCCATTGCCACAGGCTCTGTTTTTATAGAATAGTTACACAAGACAAACAAAAATAGTGTATCTCGCACATTCGATTATTTATTGATCGATTGATGCATAGTAAACATACATACTTCCAGGGTACATGTGTGTCACATATTTGTAAAAATCTAACAGTTACTGCATTAAATTGATACCAATATAAAAACAAATCCAATCATCAATGTTAACAATGTGAAGAGCATCCCGATTTGTAATTTAATAAATGATATAGCTTTTTTTTTTTTTTTTTGAGACAGAGTCTCACTCTGTCGCCCAGGCTGGAGTGAAGTGGCATGATCTCAGCTCACTGCAACCTCCACCTCCTGGGTTCAAGAGATTCTCCTGCCTCAGCCTCCTGAGTAGCTAGGATTACAGGTGTGCGCCACCACGCCTGGCTAATTTTTTTGTATTTTTAGTAGAGACGGGGTTTCACCATGTTGACCAGGATGGTCTCGATCTCCTGATCTCGTGATCCACCCACCTCGCCCTCCCAAAGTGCTGGGATTACAGACACGAGCCACCACACTGGGGCAATGATACAGCTTTTATATTTGGCTAGCCTAGGCATAAATGGCTTACTCAAAAGGAATAATTTTGATAATAACCTTCAACTTTGCAAATAACGAGGTTAATAATTTACTATGTAGTATGCTAAGATTTCCAAAGTTGATTTATTGATAACAAACTGAGTTGACACAATGTAACAAAAGGGAAACGTGGGCAGGATCACTCGGACTTTGTATATAAAGTATTGTTCATTCCAATACAGAGTTATTAACAGTACATTACTCTGTATGGGTAAGGAAAATGATGCCCTATGGAGAAGAATATACAAGCACTAAAAGAGTATGTTCATAGAAGAAAAAAAAGCAGATAAATTACTTCACATTTTAGAATGATAAAATATTAAGAAAAATGAATTTGAAAATTAAAGACTCATTAGAATTTAAAAAACTAAGCAAAATGTATCAAGAAAATATATGTAATAAAGCATTCTAGGCATACCTCTTTTTCAAGTGATCATAAATCAAATACTAAGAGGAAGATCAGAATGTTTAGTGGAAGTACATGCCAGACTGGTTATAAATTTGGTATATACGTCAAATAAGGAAGAAAAGGAAGACAATTTTACACATAGTTAACTGTATGAAAAGGTCTGCTTCTGGAAATGATATTAACTCCACAGCAGTGCTTATCACTCTGTAAATGGATCATCCAGAAAGCAAAGGGTTTCTATTAGACTGTTGCTGGCTTCAGACTTCCAAGCAAGAAGCAGAAATTACATTTGCAGTATTCCCCAGAGCATTTCCTACTTCTACCACTTGGGTCTTGGCTGCACTGACAGTGCAACTTTGCACAGTCCTTTACTTTATGAAAAGCGCAAAGAGGGTAATTGAGTACAAGGAAAGAAGAGAATTCACTTCAAGGTTATGTTCAAACTATTTAACATTGAATTCTACCAATGATAAATCTGCTGGTTTGAAGCAAAGTCGAGCTAAGCAAAATAGATGAGTTCTTTGAGGTAAATGGGAGAACTCTCTATAGGCACTAGAATTTCATGAAAGAATAGTTAGTACATGCAGGCAAGGGATGGAAATTGTTCTATTTAGCCTGAAGAATATTCAGTAATAGTACTACAGCCAGAATAAGAACTCAAGAAAATTATGTGTCAAATTGTAAATAAAAAAATTTCAATGAATATATATTGCTAAATCCCTTACATATATGAATCAGCTGTGAGAGTTTATCTTTCCTTCTACATAATAAATAGAAATTCAATGCAATAAACAGTAACCCATGTTTAGCTAATAGTTGCCCTACCACAAATATACTAGTAATACCAACAGGGATGCCAGTCAATCTAATAAAAAAAAGAAAACTTGATAATTAAGGGACGCATTAATACTAAATTGTTGACATTTATTTGAGAACAAAATGCTGAATGCCTCTTCCAAACTCCCATCAAACACTTAGCTTGTCCTAGAAGCAATTTTTCATATGGACTACTGTCAGCTTCTTGATGATTAAACGAAAATATTTAATTCCATTTTTTCCATATTACTTGGTTATTGAAATAATTCAATTTTTAAAGAATTTCACTTTGTATTAAGCATCAAATGAAGACATTTTGCATCTCACCTAATGGACACCACAATCTGTTGTATTATGTTTTCAGGAGCAACACAAGTAAATCTGCCCTTACAGAGAATTTTACACATTAAGAAAAAGCCAACTATCAAAACAGAACTCAACGGCATTCTACTTTCAGAGGAATAAATAATTGCCCGCACTAACAGTGCAGACTGCGGAACTCTTGCAAGAAATAGATGTGGGGCAATTATAATGAAACTTTATCAATAGGTTCAAATAAGGTGGTATAGCCTCATGAGTACTGCTATTAAATTAATCCAGATTGAAATAGTAAAGCTTTCCATTACACCCAAAATCATTAGAGTTGAGGCTATAATCTGTCTGATACATTGATTTAGTAGCAACATAAAAAGGACTGAGGAAAACTAAATAAACAAACATAGGAACACCAGAAATGTTTAACTGGCTTCCTTATTCTTTTGTTGCAACTTCTTTGATCCTGACATATTCAAAGAGATTAGTACCACATTTGTGTGCTCACACATGCCTACGTGGGTATGTTGCACAGGCTTGTAAGTTCATGACGTTAATACATCTTCAATGGCTACAATTTGAAGGTTTACACTGTTTCAAGTGAAAAAATATTAAATTTTCAAACATAAAGATATTTTTCAACCTCATATAATTTAATATGCTTGTTTCAGGGGGGTGTGCAATAGGAGAGAGATAAAACTGGATTTGTCGTCAGTCTATGTTGTAATAGTACTGAAGTTTCAACTAGAGGGCATGCTAAATTCAGTACCTTTAGATGCGGAAAAGACTTAAATATAAGAATATAATTAATGTTATTCTTTAGTTTGCATGGACAGCATTTTATGTTACGCAATGAAAATATTTAAATTGCTGGCATGGTTTGATCACAGTAGTAAGAAATTCAAAGTAATTAAAGACATATTAGATTATATCACTGGAGCATCATCCTGTTCCATTTTATCTCCATTAAAGCATATTGATTCAGTGACAGATTTATAGAAACACCATTTAAGGTTAGAATTACTTTTGTGGAGAAAAATGGGTATAAAAAGAAGTGAAACATTCTTATTGTTGTGTATTATTCACAATCTAAATGCTCCACTAATCACAAAACTGCACTTTTTCCCACCATAAACAAACTTGAGTGTTCACATTTTTAAAAATACACATTTCATGTCCTTAAGAAGTGAAATACTCACAACTCCATAACATTCCCAAATAACCCTATTAATGTTTCTCATGTGTAACTTATAAGAATTGAGAAGGAAAATAAGAAAAACATCATTGTTTTATTTTTCTCTTATTCTTGCTGCTGTATGTATGCCTCATCACAGCTGTGTCAGTGATTGATAAAAAAATTTGTCTGATAACTGAAACAAACTTTCAACACTTTCCTAATTTCAATCAAAAGTCACACAGGTGGTAATGCAGCTGTAATTCCATAATAATACCTCTTAAATTCAATAAATAAACACTGCAATTTGGGAAATAGTTTAATATAACATTCGACACCACTCTTCCAACATCAACCAAATTTAATTAAATGTCTGTAATAGTAGTAGTGTATTTTAATACTGAATAGAATGAGAATATATGTTACAATGCTCCTAGAATTGCCATACATTTTACAGAAATTTCCTGGCATTAAGTCCCCTTGCCTCCAATAATTAAAGAAGTAGGATTTTAAAAAGAACAGCCCCTAACTATCTGAGTAGATTTGCAGAGTTTATACTTCTTCTTACATTTAGGAAGTCAATATGTATCTTCTTCTTCATAACAGAACTCTGATGATTTAACATAACTTATTTTCCCAACAACATTTGCATACCAGCCCACCAACTTTTCCAAACAAGCCAAATTATGCTAAAATATGTTATTTACCAGCTTAGATTTCTCAAATTTGAAGTCAAACTTTTGGACATCCATACAGTAATTTTCCAGTTATGTACAGTCATGAAACATATTTAACAAATTATGAGTCTCTTGTCCTCCTTTACAAAGTGTCTATTTCTGTGATATATATTTAAAGTAAATTTTAATACTCAAAAGTGTTTTCATGAAGGAAGTTTCATCACTATTGTGAAGGGCAACATTGCAGAGCAAATGATTGGTGGATTTGTATTGAGAAGTTGGAGATTGTAATTTGGCTTTCACGGTTGGAGTATCTAGATAGAGTGCCAGGTTTACATTCATAAAATGGACATGCTCTCCCTACAAGAAAGCTATAGTTTAAAAATGAGTAACAAAGACTTCAGTATTGAAATCACAAATAAATTCATTGCTTTCTCCGCTAATCTTTTAAATATTATCTGTTAGCTTTTTTCCTCTAAAATAAGGGATTAATGTTAGCAATATCTGGTTTGTATTTTCACAAAGCAGGATTATGCTATGAGGATTACCACAAAAATAGGTGTTAAAAATACCAGAGTTTGTTGCTCTTATGCATTCCTTTGGGAGAGATAAGACGAGGAAATCAATTAACATCAAAAGTAGTAGTTTAGTTTAGGTTTGTCAAAGAACAGGTAGTTCAAGTCATTATTTGGAATTAAGAACATAAAGTAAGATCTTGGTCAAACCTCTAATATTGTAACATGTATAAGATGAGAATGTGTTGAATAATTGAAAAGTTACCTTATTGCTAAGAGTAAACATGTATCTGAATTGAAAAATGAATCAATACCATAAACCTTGTATTTATGGCTTTCTTCCAACCTATAAGAATGCAAGTTTGTTTATACCAGAATATTAAAAATATAATCTTGTTGTTTATTTTATACAGTATTACTTACTGAACATAGCGTTCATGTTTCACTTACAGGAAGAGCACATTGTGTCAAGTGTTATAAACAGAATGTTATTAAAAGAAGCTAAGGGTATTGTGTTACATTATTAAGTACAGTTTTGTTGAAGAAATGTGTTTAATGTTCATGTACAGGAGAGGTGAGTTGTGTTTAGACTAAAGATCATTATAAAGCTTATAATTATAATTAATTATATAGCAGGCAAATGTTTTTTGCTGGAGGGGGGAGATGCCTTTATATATTGATTTTACAAAAGCAGAAAACTCATCTATCCATAAAAGGAAATCAGTAAATGGTTAGAAAAACCTGCCTGAAAGCTTAGAAAAACCTATATGATATAGTAATTGCTGTTAAGATTCTACAAATAGTTTTTTAAAAAAGATATTGCTGTGCTTCTAATTATACTTGAGGATATCTTATTACATGCTACAGAGCTTCTGAATAATTAAATGTAATCGGATATAGAATCTAACTTTAATAATCAGTGTCAGGCGCTAATATGCTTTCCACTTGGTGCATGAACTTCATTGCCATTGGAAGATGTATTAACAAAAGTTGACTTGCTAATCTTATTATTGAAATTAAAATGTATTTTTCATATAATATTTGAAGGCTTTAACACACTGTAGGTTGCATCTCCATTTAAAAAAAATGCTTATACTCATCAATCTATGTATATTTGATGTCATACATCACATTGATGTGCTTAAATGTATTACATGAGTCATTGGTCATTGATATGGCTTCACTCTGTGTCCCAACACAAATCTTACCTTGAATAGTAGCTCCCATAATCCCCACATGTCATGGGTGGAACCAGGAGGAAGGTAATTTTTAATCATGGGGGGCAGTTACCCTCATGTTGTTCTGGTGATAGTAACTGAGTTCCCATGAGATCTGATTTTTTTTTTTTTGAGACAGAGTCTCACTCTGTTGCCCAGGCTGGGGTGGCACAATCTTGGCTTACTGAAACCTGTGCCTCCCAGGCTGAAGCGATTCTCCTGCCTCAGCCTCCCAAGTAGCTGGGATTACAGGTGTGTGCCACCACCACCCAGCTAATCTTTGTATTTTTAGTAGAGATGAGGTTTCACCATGTTAGCCAGGCTGGTCTTGAACTCCTGACCTCAAATGATCCACCTGCCTCGACCTCCCAAAGTGCTGGGATTACAGGCATGACCCAGCGTGCCCAGGTCAAGATCTGATGGTTTTATAAAGGCTTTTTCTCCTTTTGCTTGGCACTTCTTCCTGCCATTATGTGAAGAAGGACATGTTTGCTTCTTCTTCTGCCAGATTGTAAGTTTCTTGGGGTCTTCCCAGCCATGCTGAACTGTGAGTCAATTAAATTTCTTTCCATTATAAATTACCATTATAAATTATTAGCAGCATGGGAATGCAGTAATATAGTCCTACTCCTGCTGAATCTTCCCATATGTCCAAGCAGTAGAAGTATGAAAGCACCTGGTATACCCAAGAGATAAACCACCGAACAATTTGAATGTACTGATATTTCATGTACATTTGAAAAAATAGCTAAAGATTATATGACACTGTTTTAAGTCTACAAAGTGTATGAAATACAAACAAGTTGCTCAGTCAGGACCCTGTGAGAAGCAGGCTCAAACTCATTTTTATTTTGATGTGTTTTTTACTTTAGCAAAATAATAAGATAGTATTAGAACCAATTACCACCTTCTTCTCAGACCCCAGTTTACTCATCTGAGTTCTTCTTATATTGAGGCTAAATCCTGACCGATATACTTCCAAAAACTTTCTGAAAGTCTAGTTTGTCTTGGAAACAAATAGAATCCTCTTCCTGCCTTGGAGTACAATTTGTTGCAGAAAAGTTTGCTTCAGTTCAGAGACCCACCACTTAAGTCCACTGGGATAACATCATTTAGTTGTTGAGTTGTGTTATACGGAAGTCTATCTTGCAGTTTCACCTTTTTGTTTCCACAATTCCCAATCAATTCATTCCTGGTTTTCTTATTTATTTAGAACAGAGGATTGAGCAAATTTGCTGGAGTTTTGACAAATATAATGCTGAATGCCTCCTCTTTTATATTTGTTGCCTAATCCTATTCTAATTTACAAAATTCATATTTATTTATCTATCATGGTATAATACATAATGTTTTGTTCTTTTTCCATGCTGAAGATATTGGAAATAGACTATTTGTTAAATTGTTAACTGTATGGATGAATCATGGATAGAGATAGGGAGCATCTGCTGTTGATTGAAAGGTTAATTGGTTAATTTTAATGATAATTTAGTAAATTGTAATAAAAGCAGGCTCTTTAAACATGTTTGCTAAAAAGCAAACATGAAGATAGATTTAAAATACTTGTGTTCAGTAAAAACAGAACTTGGGCAAGCTGTTCTTTTATAAAAATCTAATGTCTTCGATTCTATTTCAGATATCATTTTTAAAATATGATTTATTTTTCTCTTTCATTTCTTCAGACAGTTAATACACTACTGCTAATATAACAGCAAAGTTTTTACTTTTCTAAATTGGGGTTTTCCTGTAGCACTGTGAAAGTAAATTTTTTTAATGTCTTAATTAGCATCTTGTCTTTCAAGACACAAATTGAGCAAATTAAATCAACATAATAATCACCTAATCAGATGCTTAATTCAACTAGAAGCATACGCACACTTTTGTAACTGTCATTTAAGTGTGCATGTGTATCTTAGCAGCACCACCTTCTACTCTTTTAAATTGATTCATCAATTTTCTCTGTTTAATTATGCTGTATGTTGTAGTTTATGGTGCCTCTCCTGGAATGGTGACTGTCTGAGCATCAGTTTATGTCTTCAAATGTAACTGCGTGCTTCTTGGAAGGAAAATCTTCTGTCCCCATCTTTCTTACTATGTTAATCTCAATCACAAAGAAAACAGTTGATTTTTTTTTCAGAACCTATAATTATTGCTATATACTTATTCGGTATTATTAATGCCAAGGAGAATAATGAGATAGTAATGTTAAAAGGTTACTATAGTTTCATGACTTCAGTTTCAACAGGTAAAAACAAAAATTACAAGTCATCACTCTTGTCCTTGCAAGAAAAGACAAAACATAAGGAAAATATGTGACTTCTTAGACCCCTTGGAGAACGGAGATCACAGGGCAACTGCCATCCTGAAATCTGGAGAGATAGATGATTCCAAAGGCCCATATCCAATATCTGTTGAACTCAAACAGAAGCTGGTGGAGCTCTAAACTTGTGGAAACAATAAAATAGTAAATTTTAACAAATTGTTGAAGACTGAATATGGGCTGAAATGTGAGCGCAAAACTCCGGGATCCTCAACATACGGGCTACCAAAATTTCACCGGTTTTCACTTCAGGAACCCCTGGGAAGGGGTACACTGAACTTCCTAGTTCTAACTATGAAGAGCTGAGAGACATACCCTGTTGCTTTGGTGGGGAAGAGGAAGAAAAAAATATTGTGAAATGCCCCCACGGTGTTGTCAGTAACAAGGGTCTATGCTGTAGGGGAGAAGATATAGCTAGAGCCTTATCCTACCAGGAAAAGGTACATTTATTTACTCCAGTCATCTCTAGATTTCCATCTCAACAAAAATAAAATAAAATGAGAATTATTTATGAAGGTCACAGGGCCACTAAAGGAGAGATTTAATCACAAGATTATAGCATTTTTCTCCTACTGCACAGTTTATCACTGTATCAACAGGGATCCAGTATTATAACAGGATTTACAGCTAAAAGAGCTGAGAGACGCAGACTGTTTCTGAGCGTAGAGCTTAAAGAAACCCAAATTTCACAGATGAAACAAAAATAATACTAGACAAATTTAAAGCCTTTGTCACCTGAAATGATTGCAAATATTAAACACAGCTAACTCCTAGTCAGAGGAGGCTTTATTATTTTAAAGCCTAAAATTCTTTTTTTTTTTTTTTCTTTTTTGAGACGGAATCTCACTCTGTCTCCCAGGCTGGAGTGTACTGGAATGATCTCGGCTCACCACTGCAACCCCCGCCTTTCGGGTTCAAGTGATTCTCCTGCCTCAGCCTCCCAAATAGCTGGGATTACAGGTGCCTACCACCATGCCCAGCTAAATTTTTTTTTAATATTTTAGTAGAGACAATGTTTTGCCATGTTGTCCAAACTGGGCTTGAACTCCTGACCTCAGGTGATCCACCTGCCTTGGCCTCCCAAAATGCTGGGATTACAGGAGTGACCACAGCACCTGGCCAGCCCTAAAATGCTGAAGGCCTATCTACTTCACTTCCTATTGCCTGAAACATTATGGCTTTCAACAAAAATTAGAAAGCATGTTAATAAACAAGCACAAACTGTCCGAAGAGATAAAACATACACCAGAAGCAGACTCAGATATGACACAGATTTTGGAATTACTAGATAGGAAATTTAAAATATCTATGATTAATGCCTTAAAGGCTCTAACAAAGTATTGGACACCATGCAAGAACAGGTAGGTAATGTAAATAGAGAGAAGCCAATTCTAAGAAAGAATCAAAAAGAAATATTTGAAATAAAAAACACTCACAAAATTGAAGAATAGCTTTGATGGGCTCATCAGGAGTCAGAGAGTGGCCACAAAAGGAATGAGTGAGCTTGAATGTAGGTCAATATAAACTTCTCAAACTAAAATTCAATTACAAAAATAAATAAGTAAATAAACAATTAAAATTAAAAGAAAATGAACACTGAAGACCGGAGGGACAATTTTAAAAGGTTTTCTTCTGAATATTGGCCTATAAGAAAGAAAAGACAGAAAAGTAACAGAAGAAATATTTGAAGTAACAATCTGTTCGAGACCAGCCTGACCAATATGGTGAAACTCCACCTCTACTAAAAATACAAAAATTAGCCGGATGTGATGGCATGTGACTGTAGTCCCAGCTATTGAATAGGCTGAGACAGGAGAATTGCTTGAACCCGGGAGGTGGACGTTGCATTGAGCCAAGATTGCACCACTGCACTCCAGCCTGGGTGACAGAGTGAGACTCCATCTCATAAAAAAAAAGTAATAATCTAAGAAGTTTACAAAATTAATGACAGTTGCCAAACAAGAGATCTAGGTAGAAAACACCAAGACAGGATAACACCCCAGAGAACATTAAGAAAGATTAAAAACCAAAAAGTTTCACCTAGTCATATACTATTCAAACTGCAAAACAAAACAAAACAAAAAATGTATTTACAGAAAAAAATAAGAAAATCTTAAAAGAAGCTGGGGAGAGGGAACTTAAGATTTAGAAAGCCACAGATAAAATTACGGTTGTGTCTTCAGAAACTGCCCAAGAGAGAAGAAAATAGAGTTAAATAAAGTGTTGAAATAAGAAAATATAATAATTTTGGATTTCAAGCCAGTAAAATAATTTTTCTAAAGTATACTTGAAATAAAGATACTTTTTTTTTTTTTTTTTTGAGACGGAGTCTTACTCTGTCGCCCAGGCCGGACTGCGGACTGCAGTGGCGCAATCTCGGCTCACTGCAAGCTCCACCTCCTGGGTTCACGCCATTCTCCTGCCTCAGCCTCCCGAGTAGCTGGGACTACAGGCGCCCGCCACCACGCCCGGCTAATTTTTTGTATTTTTAGTGGAGACGGGGTTTCACCTTGTTAGCCAGGATGGTCTCGATCTCCTGACCTCATGATCCACCCGCCTCGGCCTCCCAAAGTGCTGGGATTACAGGCGTGAGCCACGGCGCCCGGCCAAAGATACTTTTAAACAAACAAAAACTGAGGGAATTTATGGCCAGCAGACCTGCTCAGCAGGAAATTTTAAAAGGAAATCATCTTTGAGATTGAAAATGATTAAAGTCAGAAACTTAGATCTGCACTATGGAAAGAAAAATGCTGGATAAGAAATTAGTGAAAATACATTTTTTAATTTAAATAATCTATAAGATACTTGTTAAAAAATATAGTAATAATGTAATGAGTAATTATATTATATGAAAAAGTAAACTGAATGGTATCCGTGATATGTTGAATGTAAGAGAATTGGGACCGTTCTGTTATTGGAGACCCATACTACATGGAAGCAGTATAGTATTATTTAAACTTAGATTTAATTATTTAAAACTTTATATTGCAATCTATGGGAATCTCTAAAAAATTAAAAAAGATGTATAATTCTTACACTAAGAAAAGACACAAATTGATGCTTGTAAAATGTCCCATGAAAACGAGAAAAGACAGAAATGGTGGTGGGGGAGGCCAAAAAAAAAATCTAACAAGTAGCAAACAGTTACAGCAATGTAGATATTCATCCAAAAACATCATTAGTCATTTTAAATGTGAATGATCTAAATACATTGATTAAAAGACACAAATCTGCAGAGGGAGTAAACAAACAATACTGCTGTAAGTGTTACACAATCACCCCACTTTAAATATAAAGGTGCAGTATTTTTTCTAAAACTAAACAAATAGAGAAAGGTATAACATGTTAATAATAATCAAAAGAAAGCTGCAGTATCTATATTAGTTTCGTGAGAATACAAAGCAAGAATCAGAACCCTAAAATCTGATAGTACTAAATGCATATACATCAGAGTTATATAATAAGTTAATGGACGGTAAATGAAGTGTGCCAGGCTTCTCACTATTGGAATCATAAGGATAACCAAAGAGAGGAGGGTAGAATTTCCCAGTAGTAATGAATTCCAGTTGGAGTCATCAGCATGAACTCATGCTTACTTCATGTAGATATCCTTGGTTACAGACAAACAAATTTCCAGATATGTGTCAGTATACATATATATATACATACACACATACTGATATATATATATAAAGAAATATATATAAAGAAATATATATACTGATATATAAATATATAAAGAAATATATACTGATATATATAAATATATATAAAGAAATATATATAAATATATATATAAAGAAATATATATAAATATATATGTAAAGAAATATATGTATATTTCTTTTTTTTTCCTGTTAGCTGAGGAGGCCTAGAAGCAATGCTATCCCAATAGCAACAAGTACAGCTGGTGCCCAAATATTGTTTCCTAATACCATTCTCCAATAAAAAGAACCAGAATTTGTTGGAGATACAGCTGATCCTGAGACTGAGGCAGAAAATATACAAGATGACCCTGGAGCATATTGTAATACCGGACATTTCTGAAAAAAAAAAATAAACAACAACAACAAAAAGTGAAGAGGATATGTCAAATGGAGATAGAAGCCTGTAGAAAGGACTCCCAGTGACCAAAGCTGGAACACTTTGGGTAGCAAAGTACAAAAAGCGGTATTTTGAATTCTAACCCAAACTTTAAAATAAATATTCACAAGTTCATACTCATATAAATGATTAAATAGATAAATAAATAAATGAAGATGGGAGACTAGAAATCTCTCATGCAAAAGATTCCAAATAATTTATGTAGACAGTCATCTCTCAAAGAGGAGGAGTAAAACTCCCTCTATTGAAGTATGGACTCCATGCCTTTAGTGTGGGCTGTATATAGTGACTGGGTGGAAAGGGCACAATGAAGAAATTTACAGCAGGAAGATCGACTTCAGCCAGGTGATCAAGAATAATATCAACGTTGATGCCACGTTGGTAGTATGTATCCCTGATATGATGTGATGAAATAGGTTATCTATGTTTGTTTCTCTCGTCAAATCCGTAACACCAGTCTAATGCAGAGGAAAACATCAGGGAAATACCACTTGAGCGACATTCTACAAAATTCCTGACAAGTACTCTCAAAACTGTCAAGGTCATCAAAAACAAGAGAAGTCAGAAACATTATAGCCAAAAGGAGCCTAAGGAGAGAGAGCAACTAATTGTAATGTTGTATCCCAGATGGGATTCTAGAAGAGAAAAATAACATGTAAGTAAAGAGTAGCTATGTAAGTGAAGTATGGACTTTAGTTAATTTATCAATATTGGTTCATTAACTGTAACAAATGTACTATGTTAATGTAAAATATCAATAATAGAGAAACCTGGGTACCAGACATGAGGTAACTATTTTTGCTATATTTACAATTTTATCTCTAAATCTAAAACTCTTCTAAATTAGCTTATGTTTAAAAATGCAAAAAAAAAGGAATAAAGAGAATTGAGCAACATAAAAAGGAATATATTTGATATCGGATGGAAAGATATTCTGAGCATCATCTATCATCTTATGATCACTAGGGATGAGTATTTTTATACGATTGGTTAGGTGAGTGTTTCTAGTCCTTCTCCAGGCTTGTTTACAGATCTCTTTAATTAGTATAAACATACAAGGAGGGCAGAGTTTCTACACAGAAGAGTGTTGACTTTTTCTGTTACGGGATATATGAGTACCAGTGCTTCCCCCTAATATCTTCAAGTAAATCCCAATATTCTTTTTTTTTTTTTTTTTTTTTTTGAGACGGAGTCTCGCTCTGTCGCCCAGGCTGGAGTGCAGTGGCGGGATCTCGGCTCACTGCAAGCTCCGCCTCCCGGGTTCACGCCATTCTCCTGCCTCAGCCTCCCAAGCAGCTGGGACTACAGGCGCCCGCCACTACGCCCAGCTAATTTTTTGTATTTTTAGTAGAGACGGGGTTTCACCGTTTTTAGCCGGGATGGTCTCGATCTCCTGACCTCGTGATCCGCCCGCCTCGGCCTCCCAAAGTGCTGGGATTACAGGCGTGAGCCACCGCGCCCGGCCAATCCCAATATTCTTGACTTTCTAAGCTCACAGTAGGAAAATAATCTTAAAAACTCCATATCATAAAAACAGATAGGTCTGCACTACGATAGTATCAGTAATATGCACTTACGTCTGTACTATTGAAAGATTCAAGAGTTGAGAAAAAGGACTTCTCAGCAACTTTAATTTGGCATCTCTGGAGATAGTTTTATATATTTATTTTATACATATTTAGGTATTATCTACTTTGTGTCAGGCTCTCTTTCCTAGAGAACATGAAAAATAAAGATTTGTTCCTATTCAGCTTATATTCAGTGGCAGACGTATGATTATGGTAAATGAGATATGGCTCCCTATAATAATAAGTGCAATAAAAATTAAAATAAGTAAATAGTTCGAGCTACTTAGTGAGCATAGGATATAGTTATAGCATGCGAGTGCATCTCCAAGGAAGTAATGTTTGAGTTGAAAAACAAATAATGAATGGCAGCTGTGTGAATATCTGGGCAAGACTATTTTAGGCAGAGAAAATTATAGGTACAAATGCATGGAGACTGCAAGAAACAAAGTTCAATGCGGTGTAGGGTACAGTGAGTCTGTCATTTTGGAAGCAACTATGCAACCAATTAGATGGCATTGCCAAGACTTAATTAAGAGTTTTATTGCAGCTGCAGTGAAAAATACAAAAGAAAGAGGAAACAAAAAGGTTTTCCAGCCAGTGTGAAATGGAAAAGAGCAAATGATAATTATTAATATGTATTTCAGTTCATGTTTTCTTAAAAGTTACACAATATAGCTTAGTTTTTCATTTATGCTTTTGTGGATTTGGCCATTGCCAGCCAAACCATTGCAAATAGTAAAAACAATAACAAAAATTCAAAAGTATGCAAAGGGCCAGGCACTGTGGCTCAGGCCTGTAATCCCAGCACTTTGGGAGGCCAAGGCAGGCTCATGGCTTGAGCTTAGGGCTTTGATACAAGCCTGGGAAACATGGTGAAACCTCATCTCTACAGAATAATAATAATAATAATAATAATAATACGAAAACTGGCCGAGTGTGGTGGTGTGTGCTTGTGGTCCTAGCTACTTGGGGGTCTGAGGCTGGAGGTTCACTTGAGTACAGGAGGTTGAGGCTGCAATGAGTCATCATCATGCCACTGCACTCCAGCTTGGGTGACAGAGCAAGGACCTGTCTCAAAAATAAAACAAAGCAAAAAAAAAAAAAAGATATACAAAGCTCAGCTAATGGAAGTTTTACCTATATAAAACTGAAAAAGTAGTGAAAAATACTGTTGATACAATTTTGAGGAAGATCATAAGATCATAGCCCTGAGAACAGTGAGAGGTAGCAGGTGGACTCTGAAGAGCTGAAACTTTGCAGGGAAGTGGCAGTTCCGTCAGTGAAATTCCAGTCGTTTGTGTTATATTTCTCTGTGATCAGAAGAGTGGCCCAAAGGAAACTTCCATGGCTAATTGCCATGAACCATGTTTAATTTAATAAATCACAGCTGCAGTGCTCTCTCACAGGGAAATCTCTTGAGTCCGTATTGCTTGAGGGGGTTGATATCCATAAAACCAGAGCATTTTCCTGCCTGAACATTAACTTAAAGCTGAAGTGTCTCGAAAATAAAAAGGTTTCATAACTTTAGGTACTGAATGCAATGCATTTGATTTAAGAGCAACATTTAATTGCCATATGAGTTATACTATTTCCTTGGCTTAAGGTAAGCATATTTGAATTTTGAAAAGAATACGATGTTGGCCTTATTGAGCAAGAAAATGTTCATATTAATCCAAAATATATCAACCGGGATATATCATCTAAAACTCATATAGTGCTCTCCTCTGCAGATGTAAGCACTATTAATATTGCCTCAGCACCTAAAACAGTGCCTGGGACACCGTATGCATGAAATGTTTGTTAATTAAATAAATGAAAGCAAGAACTGCAGAGAGGGTCAACTATACATAAATTTGGAATTTATTCACGCTTTTTCAGTACATATTTACTGATAGTTTATTACAAGGTTACTGAAAAACAATGTTACATATACTTTGATGTAGTAAAAAAATTAAATTTTAAGAATCATAATATGATAAAAGTATACTGGGAAAGTTTGCTGCATAGGGAACAAAGTAGTTGTGAAATGTGAGTGGAGCACTCGATGTATAATGCTTTTGTGGCTTGAGTTTTTTTTTCCTTAGTAATAATACATTTCTTTGATGCTTACTTTTGTAAAATTTGTAAAGAAAATTTGAATAGTAGATAGCTTAGGAAACTTAGACTTCTTTGTAAAAAGAAAGTTGGCAGAGGTATTTTATGCATTACCAGCATTATATTATCATCAGATCTAGTCAAAAGCATTTCTTTCCAAAATTGCATAAGACTCAAAACCAGCTATTGTCTCCTACAATCATTGGTTTCAATAGACAGAAAAGAAAAATAGGGCCTTCCAGCATGGACCAATTGAAAGAGAAAAACTTGGAGGTTGAAAAATAAGGTTAAGTGCACGGAAAAAGTACTAGTTAAAATTGCATGCAGTTATCCATGTGAAGGGTAACTGCAGGAAGAATTATATATGAAGCAGATAGCATAAATACTAAGGTAGTAGACCGAGAGGATTGTGGTTAATTCAGAAGTCTATTGAATTTTAAGGAGTAGGAGGCAGTCATGGCTGACTGTGTTTCTTTCCTATTAATCTGGGGTATGGAAAGGCAAGAAGCAGGAACAATTACAAGTGTCTATTGTAGTCATTTAAATGAACCTATACATTATAAATTATATTCAATAAATTATAATCTATAGGTTATAAAATTTTTGAACAAGCAGTTACCACTATTAATTTTTACAAAACATTAATCTCATTAGTAACAAATCACTGGGGAAGAAAGAATTCTAGTTAAGTAAAGTTAAGTAAATTCTAGTTAAGAATTCTAGTTAAGTCAAATTTTTTCTTATATTTTCTAACTGAACTTTTTGTATCTCGTGCAATATTACATAGTATTCATAGTGTAGCCAGTGCATGGCCATAACATTTAAAGGCGTAAGAGGATATTATGGAGAACATATGCATGTATTGTCTGTTTTTGAGTTTCAACTTGAGAATGTAGCTCTGTCCTTCACAGAAAAGAGTGACTGTGATGGTTAATTTTAGGTGTCAACTTGACCAGGCCACTGAATGCCAAGATACTTGGTTCAACATTATTTCTAGGTGTGTTTTAGGGTGTTTTCAGAAGAGATTAACATGTGAATTGGCCAACTGAGTGCAGATGGCCCTCCTCAGGGTGGCTGGGCATCATACTATACACTGGGGGCCTGAACAGAGCAAAAAGGTGAAGGGAGTTTGAAGTTTTTTTCTGCTGGACTGGTTGAACTCGATACTGATCTTCTCCTGTCCTTGAAGACCCAGGTTCTCATGCCTTCACTTTGGACTAGAATATACACCAATGACCCTCTGACTCTCAGGCCTTTAAACTACATGACCAACTTTCCTGAGCCTTCAGCTTAACAGATGGAAGTTCATAGAACTTAGCTCCTTAATCACATGACCCAATTCCTCATTCTCTCTCTGTCTCTCCAAATGTGTGTGTGTGTGTGTGTGTGTGTATGTGTGTGTGTGTGTTTGTGTATAAATACATATTTGTACACATAAGTCCTGCTGATTTTGTTTATCTCAGGACTGGCTAATATAATCTCAAAGAATAACTGTGAATTTACTATATCCAGAACTTTTCAAAATACTTTAATAATGGAATAACTTGTCTGCCAAGTTTTGATTTCTGCATTTTTTTTTTGCATTGAGTATGAGGTATATCAATGTAATCAATCTAGTTATGATTAGGAGTAATTTGTTTATCTTAGCAAATACGTAGTCCAATCCATGTGTCTGAAAATAGGAATGGCAGAGGACTTAGTAAATCATGTAAGAATTATTCTTAGTTTTACTCTTCGGTTTTGATAATGTCTGTGTCTGTAATTGAACTCTACAAACCACAGTTCGGTTATCTTTTCCTGCCAGTAAAGACAAGAATAATTATACAGTGATTGTCACAGTAGAACAAAGATCTAAAATTTGGGGGCTCCGTGTATAACCTTACAGACAAAAGTGTAAAGTAAACCTACAATAGTAAACTTATCTTAAAGTCAAAATTTACATATATGTCTTTATAGACCAAAAGAAGAAAGAGAAATGTGTTCAAATCATCATACATGTTTCTACTTCTGACTGTAGTGGAGTGTGTGAATGTGTATGTGTGTAGGTAGGTTTAGAAATTTAACCAGGACTTCAGTTTTTCTTAGATTTATTCAGACTACTTTAATCTATAACAATAGTTTACACATAATAAATGTTCATAATATGAGCCTTTCTTCCTTTTCTGTCTTTAGAATTTCTTTAGAACACAATGCCCAGACTAATGTAACTAAATATATCATTCTGACTTTAGCTGTCTACGGCAGCACGACATGAGCACATATGAAAATATTTCATGGTTTTTAGTTGGTGAAGTCATTTATTTTTACTTGCTATAATTCTTCACAGAATTATTTGAAATCATTTCAATCACATAACATCTCAGAAAAGATTTTTTCTTTCACATTACTAAAAATGTATGACTCAAAATAATTACTAGTTATAAAAACCTATTTACATACCTTAACATATAAGTAAACTGAATCCTTTCAAGAAGGAAATTTATATACCTTAACATATAAATGAACTAAATCCTTCCAAAAACGAAATATAAGGGACTATTTGAATCAAATCAACTGTGTACAAATCATTAAAACTTAGAATTTTAGTTCTGAAATTAGAAAATTATTGATATGTAATAACCTAAAATGACCAATATATTTTAGTTTTTATTAATGTGAGACAATCATATATTTTCTCTCATTCAGAACTTGGTTACTTTCAAATAATGTTTATAATTTTTTTTTTCCTAGTGCCTTATGGTAATTTTTCCTTTTTATCTCTCAAATGAGTTCCAAGCTGTCTCAGTAAACTGATATCCTGTTCCTTTCTGCTTTCACAAAGAATATTTTACTTAAAAATCTTCTGATATTTTTAAATACATCCTGCACATAATTTATTAGTTTTAAAGTTTCCATAATTTATGGATCAAAAATATTAAGGTCTATTGTAGTTCATCACAATCCTTTAAATTTCTGGCAGGCATACAACCAGATTATAAATGAATCTGTAAGAGAATTTTATAGATAAATGAATTTTATGTAAGATTATATTTGAGATGCAGGTATCTCTACTTCAGAGAGTACTGATATTCTTGCTATGCTATCTGAAATCAAATCACAAAGATGATCACCAAAGAAAGTGAGGCATACTTTTGTCTGATTTTTAATACATAAATCCCATTTGAAATGATTTCACCAATTAAATATAGAAATCATAAGTATGTAATATTCATCTTTATGTTCACTTTCTGAATATTACCACAACCATTTGTAAGTCCTTGACTTTTGCAAATGTAAAAAATAAGTAGGATTTTCTTTACATTTGAAATTTCAAATAATTTTCAGCATGTTTTTCCAGCAACAGCCCTCCATCTTTGATATACTCAAAGAAAGAAATGGTAGCAGAAATCACATATAATTTGCAATTTTAATGTAGAAAATGTTCTTATAAGGACTTATCAAAAATTTAATGCTTTTCCAAGTTTAATCAATAGTGCCACCAGGTGGTTACATTAATGCAAGAAAAAAGCATTGTTAAAATGATTTAATTTCGTTTAAAAATGTTGTTGGGGCTTATTCACAACAAAGTAAAATAATGACTGTATTGAATACTTATATTTAATGGAAAGTAATATGAAACTTTCATTAGCTAACTTCTATTTCTTTATAGCAAATTATTATGAATTACCTAGTTTCATAAAGACTTGGTAAACCATTTAATCCTGATTTGTTGCACGTTATCCCTTCTTCATTAGTAAGCACATATCTTAACTTTCAATTCTACCAGTTTATACAGAGATGCCAACAGTTCAGAAATAACCAATGAGAAATGCACAGAAAGCATCACTAGTTATGTAATATAAATTTACCTTTCTCACTGAGATTTTTCCAGAAGTGTACCTTAATAAAAACTCATGATTTTTAAATTTAGGTAGTATTCTGGTTTTGTAAAAATTAATAGCAGCTTTATCATATTTTTACCAATGCTCATAATTTATGAATCATGCTTATTGCAACATTTAAATTTATTCATTTTCCTTTATTAAATGCAAATATTGTTTTTCCTTCCGTTTCCTTTCTTGTGCTGCTATAGCCTTTGGCCATTAGTAGCATTCCCTAGACTTTCCACCAACTCACCCACTGGAAGAGTGACTTAGCTTACTGCTGAGTTTGGAATGAGGAAGGAACTAGGCTTACATATTTCTGCTGTTTACTCTTCTAATAGGGGTCCGTCCTAGCTGCAGATAGCCTATTTTCTGAATTACTTTCAGTTGTGAATATACTTCGCTGTATAAGTCTATGATCTTCCAAGCCTGCTGATGATTAGTTCACCAATACTGCCTAATTATAGAGAAATGATAAAACACACAAGACCATAAATACAAGCTATCAGTATTTTTGTTAACAAAGATTTGTTTTCGTGTTTAGCTGCTTAACACTTGCACCAATTTCCCAATTAAATCACCACTTGAGTGGGGAAGAAAATAAAGAGGAACAACACATACATTTAATAAACATAAATGAATCAATTTGGATGTTCCTTTAAGAATGGCCCCAGCCAACAACCAGACTGTCATCATTCCAGAAGCTAACATAATAAATATTTGCTGCTTGAAACCGCTAAGTTTTGGGATAATTTATTGCTCAGAAGTAGATAACTAATATACCCACGTACTAATGACTGACAATGAGAAGCCATGAGGTCTACAGACTTGCCAGGTTGAAGTGGTTAAAGCTGTGGCTTCTTCCTCCTGAAGTGGCCTGGCGGGACCAGCTACCACAAGTGGGAATTGCAATGATGATAATGATTATGCAGCCAACTTTGATGGTGAGAGGGAGGAGAACAGGAGGATCAATTAGTGAATATTTCACAATTTGTTGCAATCCCACTCCCAACCTCAAAAGAAAAATCCCAAGATGTGATCATTTCACTTGGACTATCTCTAGACGTCCCCAAGATAGAGCAGTCGGTTTGGTTTTTGAGAACTGTGGCCAGCTGGGAAATGTACCTCTGATATTTTCTCCTTTCCTCAGCTGTCTCTTCCATCGGCTGCCTCTTCCTTCTTTCTTTCCCCTGGTTTCATTGGCATTACACTCCCCCAATAAAGCTTTAACCCAGCTTTTGCCTCCACTACTCTATTTCAGGTAACCTACCTGCAGCAAATATATTACTTAATTATACTTCTAAAAGTACAAGTTCATGTGGAAATCTACCAAAACCTGGTTTTACTAACTTTGGAATTGCTAAAAGTTATATGTAAGTTATATATAATATATTTAACTTATTTTAGCCATAAGAGAGCTCTAAGGAATTTGACAATTCAGATTTCCCCCAAATATTTGGAAACATAATTGTGGAAACTTAAGAGTTTTATGGTGCTGCTAATATAAGGATACCATGAGCTTTAATCTAGTTATTTTGAAATAGAAGCAGTATAGTCTGAATCCTGAGGTTGGCTATGAAAAAAAAAATACCATGTACCAGATGGATATCTAAATTTACATAATGGGATAGAATATCTACTGAAATTTTGAGTCAGATATTTAAGACATAATTTGCCAGCCACATTCTGCATTTAATTCAAGGTTGAAAATGAGTAAGAGTTGGCAGCATCTCTGATGTATAACACATTTACATGAGAAGAATGCACATCGATGCTTTTATTTATTTCTATATGCTATATTGGCTGCATCTGCCATAAGATTAGAGTTGCTAAGTAATGTGAAAAATTATATTTAAAAATGGCAATAACAAAAGCAATCATATATCAAGTTTCAAATAAAAGATATTTAGTTTTTCCTTAGTAGACACTTAATTACATTGAATGATGAAAATATATTGGCTATGTATAAATTAGAGAAAAACCAAGGGACAAAGAAGGATGACCTGAAAATGAGAAACTGTGCCAGTCGCTGCATAGAGGATGTGAAATATCTATGGTCTTGATCTTACGGAGACTTGGAGATGTAGCGAGTAGTAAATTATACCTAATCGGAATAATTTGTGAGAAAATTCAGAAAAACTAATTCAAGCAAATTAACATTTTGAAAGTGTGAATGATTCATAGGATTATTATACTAAACTACATCTTGGTTCCAACCGCATAAGTCAATATTATATTTATACATTTACATACACAAACAATAGCCTGCTAGGGCATATTCTCAGGGTGATCTTGAAATTTTTTAAGCAAATTTTGTTGACAGATATAAAATAATCTTAAAGCAGTGTTTATTTGAGAATAAATATTCTAAACTGCAATTTACCATTGATAGCCATTCTTAAAACATTGGTTCTGAATCTCTTATAAATGTAAATGTATAACGTTTATTAAATATCTTGGAAAAAATCAAATTTACTGTGTATTGCTTTATTTATATTTTAATTTTTTTGCTAACTAGAACTATTTGTTTTGATGAGATAACTATTCTGGCATTGGTTATTCAAATTATTTAATTTATTTGTTTTTTTGGCAAGATTATTCTGTATTGATTTAAACAATAATCATTGAATTAATTTGTATAACATTGCTATGTAACTTTAAGCAACGTTCGTATCACATCAATGTTTTATTACCAAAAAATAATTTATAGCTTTTTTTCATGTAATGTGGGTCATTGGCAAAAATAATAATCCTCCTGGCTTCATAAAATTAAAGGGTTCCAAATCATTAACATACAAAATTAATAATAAACCATTTAACATAGACACTTGAGGGAGACCAGATGTTTCTGCCTAATTAGAGAAGGCCTGACCCTAGATGATAGTGTATTTCAATCACCTTTTTAAATAAGCATAAAGCCAGCACACAGAGCTTAATGCAGCCCACAGTGACACAGTGAGGATTAAGGAAGCCTCAGTAAAATGTCAAAATCATGCAAAGGTGAAAGGGGGAAAAAGTAACACTATCATAAATATAGAAACTCTTCTCTCTTTTTGTCCTATAGGAAAGTAGAGTTGTTTTTTGTTGTTGTTGCAATTATTGTTGAATAATGAATAACATCTACAAATTGAAATTTGAGCAATGCAACTAAGCAGGGATTAAATGGTAATATTTAAACTTAGGTGCATGTATTAAAATCTTAAATCTAAAGAAATATAAAAAGAAACTATGAAAATAACAATTGAAAAATAAAAAAATAATTTTGAAAATATTAAGTAATTGGGAATGTTATCAATCCAAATGCTAATGAAAATATGAACAAACTGTAAATCTCAAGCTTGATCATTAAAAAGTAGAGAAAATACACACACAAACAAGAGTAGATATGAAGAAGCAAATGACATGAAGATAAAAGAGAAGTAATAATAGTTTAAAAATTCTAGAACATGTAGTAAGACATGGCAAACATTTCAATAAAAAAATAGATAATTATATAACAGGAAAATCTAAATAGTCAAAAGAATTACCAAGAAGTTTTAGTACATGTTTCCTTGGACCACATCTACTTACTATAAACCTACATACATTTAAGGTTTTTTTATGGTTTACACTTAAAAGCAGAATTATATTTTGGTCGATTGAAAATATCTGTAACTTTCTTGCATATTGCTCACTTTCTCTTCGACATGACTGTACTTATTTATATTTCCTTATATTCTTATACCATAAAATTCTTTTATACTATCAGATTGTTTAATTTTTGTCAAAGGTTCTGAATTGGTATTTCATTGCTATTGTAGTTCCCTGATACCAATTAGTATGTACTTCTTTTCATAAGTCTTTTATTAATAATTTCCAAACAGTTTTTTTTCAAAGTGGTAGTACCATTTTCATTGCTGCAGCAATATATGACAGTTCCCTCTGCTCACATTCTCACCAACACTAGTCAGTTTTTCTCTCATTTTGTTTTAATTTTAGCTCATCTGGTGGGGTTGTAATAGTATTAACTCTGATGTTGACTTTTTTCTCTTGGTTAATAATGACTTTGAGCAGCTTTTAATGTGCTTACTCTTGACATTTTGCATGCCACCCTGCTAATATATAGAAACACAATGAGTTTTAGTAAATTTACCTTATATATAAATCTTAACAAATTCAAATATTAATTTTAATAGTTTGTCTGCGTAGTCCTTTGGATACTCTGCCTATCAGTTACATTATCTGTGAATGGGGATAATTTTTGTTTTTCTTAGTTCGAATGCCTTTTATTTTTTTCTATTTGCCTATTCCACTAGCGAGCACCTCTAATACAATATTGAATAGAAGTGGCAATCTTGGGCTTTCTTATCTTTCACCTTGCCTTATAACTCTTTCTGAAGAGATATTGTACGAAGTTTTAGCATTTAGCATGATGCTACTTGTGGGCTTCCTGTAGAAATTCTTCATCAGATTAAGAAAGATGTCTTCTATTTCTAATTTTCTGCAAGCTAATATCATAAAAGAGGGAAAACTTTCTACTACTTCGTAGTAGAAATAGAGCTCTCCTGATTTTTACAGTAGTCCCTCTCATCACAGGCCCAGAAAATTAGGAGGGAGAAATGGTTTTGTGGGCCAAGCCCAGGGCCCCACTGCTCTGTGCAGCCCCAGGACATGATGCTCTCCATCCCAACCACTACAGCTCCAGCTGTGGCTAAAGAGGGCCAAAGTACAGCTCAGGCCATTGCATCAGAGGGTTTAAGCCCCAACCACTGGCAGCTTCTGTGTGGTGTTGGGCCTGTGGGTTTGCAGAAGACAAGAGTTGATGTTTGTGAACCTCTGCGTAGATTTCAGAGGATGTATGAAAAAGCCTTCATGTTCAAGCAGAAGTCTGCTGCAGGGGTGGAGCCCTCATGAAGAAACTCTGCTAGAGAAGTGCAGAAGAGAAATGTGGGGTTGGAACCACATATAGAGTCCCCACTGGGGTGCTGCCTAGTGGAGCTGTGAGAAGAGGGCCACCACCCTTCATACCCCAGAAAAGCAGACCCACCAATAGCTTGTACCCTGCACCTGGAAAAGCCACAGATACTCAATGCCAGCCCAGGAAAGCAGCTGCAGGAGCTGTACCCTGCAGAGACACAGAGGTGGAGTTGCCCAAGGCTGTGGGAGACCACCCCTTGCATCAGCATGCCCTGAATATGAGACATCAAGTCAAAGAAGATCATTTTGGAGCTTAAGATTTAATGATTGTCAGGCCAGATTTTGGCCTTGCATGGGGCCTGTAGCTCATTTATTTTGGCCAATTTCTTTCATTTGGAATGGTAATATTTACTCAATGCCTATAAATATTTACTCAATATTTGCAATGTACCCCCATTGTATCTTGGAAGTAATTAACTTGTTTTAAAATTTACAGGCTCATTGGCAAAAGGAACTTGCCTTGTCTCAGATGAGACTTTGGACTTGGACTTCTGAGCTAATGCTGGAATGAGTCAAGACTTTGGGGGACTGTAGAAAAGGCATGATTGATTTTGAAATCTGAAAAGGATATGAGATTTGGGAGGGGCTGGGGCGAAATGATACGGTTTGGCTCTGTGTCCCTACCCAAATCTCATCTCAAATTGTAATCCCAGCATATTCTGAGATCTGATGGTTTAAAAGTGGCAGTTTCCCCTGTGCTTTTTCTCTCTCCTGCCACCCTATAAGATGTACCTTGCTTCTTCTTACAGCACGATTGTAAGTTTCCTGAGTGCCCCCCGCCCAGCCATGTGGAACTGTGAGTCAATTAAACCTCTTTCCTTCATAAATTACCCAGTATCAGGTAGTTTTTCTTTATAGCAGTGTGAGAATGGACTAATACACCGTCTATTAGAATAAACATATTTTTTCTACTTTATTCTATTAATGTCATAAATCAATTAATTTTCAAATGTCAAAACAACTGCATCTCTGGGGTTAGCCTTCATGCTTTTGTTTTATTATTTTTTATATGTTGCTGGATTCAATTTCCTAATATTTTACTTTGGATTTTTGCGTCTATTTTCATGGAAGTTATTAGCATGTAATCTTATTTTCTTCTAGTACTCTTAGAAGTATTTTTCTTTGAATTTTCCTGCTTAGTATTTTTTGAGATTCTTGAATATCTGGATTTTTAAAATGTGAGATTTGGATAATTCTTGACATGGTTTGGCTCTGTGTCCCCACCCGAATCTCAGCTTGAATTGTAATAGCCCCCACACACCAAGGGCAGGACCAGGTGGAGATAATTGAATCATAGGAGCAGCTTCCCCCCCATGTTGTTATTGTGGTAGTGAGGGAGTTCTCATGAGATCTGAATGTTTTATAAGGAGCTTTCCCCTTTGCTCAGCACTCTCATTCTCTCTCATGCTTTACTGTGAAGAGGTTCTTTCCATCATGATTGTAAATTTCCTGAGGCCTCCCCAGCCCTGTGGAACCTTGAGTCAATTAAACCTCTTTCCTTTACAAATTACTCAGCCTCGGGTATTTCTTCATAGCAGCATGCAAACAGACTAATACTATATATATATATATATATATATATATATATATGTATATATATGTATATACATATACATATATATACGTATACATATACATATATACATATATATACATATATATACGTATACATATACATATACACATATATACATATATATACACATATATACACATATATACACATATATATACACACACACACGTATGTGTATATATACACACACACACATATATGAACTATTAGTATACATATGTGTGTGTGTGTGTGTGTGTATATATATAGTTCTAAGTTTAATATGGGGGGGTCAAGTAGGAAATTTTTTGGAAGAAAATTTTGGGAGCAATTACACATGTTTGTGGTAATGACCAGTTATAGGCACTGTTTCAGCATGATCCTGGGTAAAATATAAGTGAGAAAAAAAATGGCTGATACAACTTTACAACTTTAGGTAGAGAATGATTGCCAATGGTGGGATTTTTTAATATATTTGTAAAGAGTAAATAAACTATATTGCTTGTAAAATAAAAAGAAATATGAGTATCAAAGCATAGATAACTTTCAAATATATGAATTTTTAAAAATAATTTTACTTAGTTTTATAAAAATTACACATGATATTTCATTGAGCTTTTATTACCTGATTCAATTTGAAATTAATTTCACACTAGAAATATGCAGTCTCTCTTCCATATGGATGTGTTTTGAAAAATACCAAATTATCTGCAGCTTAGTTTACTAAAGTTTTCCTGAAGCAGAACAAGATATATAAACACATTATATCAAAATCATGTTTATAGTAAATAAAGCTATTATTGCCTCATTCTGTAATTTCTGTTCTACTTTCCTTTCTGGTTTTCCAGGCTCCACTCTCAGTCCCCAAATAAATGACTGAGACTAAATGTTTAAGTGGTCATTTTAAATACTTCATTTCTACCTAATACATATAATAAGTATAGGTAGATTTTTTCTTTTAGAATTCATAAATACCCCATCTGATGGAAATCTAACCAATACAACTTCCAATTTTGCAATGTAACTTCTATTTTCCTTTTCAGTTTCTTCATTTTACTGTGTCCATTTCAACTCTGGTTCCATTTATTCAGCAATTGGCTCATCTAATGTTCTATCCAAAGATTTTTCCTGATTCCTTCATGAATTAAAAAATACAGTCAAAAATGCCTGGTTAAAGTTCTCTTAGTTGGGCAAATTGCTCATAAATATTTAATTCAAGAAACACATAATTATTAACTCATACATTTTCATTCATATAATGGTTCTTTCTGACATGACAGTGTCAAAATTTTATTCTAAGGGACAAACTGTTCACATACAAGTGGTTAGGAAACTTTCTTCATTGAATAGATGGCAAGTAGTTTATAAGCATACTCCTCAGAACAGTGAGTAAAAGAAATTATCTGTTTTATTGTCTCATTTTGGAAAAGCTATTATCTAAACTATTATTTTTCATATAACACAGAAAATATTCCAAGAAAATAGATTGTAAGCATGATTCACTGAGTAAATGTGGCAATTTTTACATATTTTAAAAATAAAAAATAGTGTTTAGATTTATAAACTTGTGTAAGTGCATTAATCAGTAATGTTTCAGAAAATAAATACATAGGTACATGATAAAACAAAAGACGTTTCGCTCTGCAAACAGAAAAAATCATTTATTTACAGCATCTCAAACTTTTCCTCTAGATATTATTTTCATCATTTTTATGTTTACCTTTCCAAGTTAATTTTATTCATCCCATAGCATTTAAAAAATTAACTTTGTATTATTTTTGAAAATCTGGTTTATCAAAGTGAACATTTGCCTGTATACATTTACTATATTTTTCAATACAATATATTTTTTTCAACACAAATATTGTATGTCAATACAATACATACATACAAGTGACCTTGTATGTCACTTTCTACAAAATAATTTGCATGATTTAATATAATAATGGGATTTAGTTCTCAGACAGATGGTTAGAACTCCATGTTCCTTCTTAGAGTATTAACATTTTTAATAACCATCCTGAATGGCATTGTTCTCATCAGACTCAATTTTGGAGATAATCCAGTTATGTGAAACATGATTGTCATCTTCTCTATGACACTTCAAACTGCAATAAAAACATGGAAATGAAAAATATATTTTAAACCAGAGACACAAATCAGAGAAGACATATCAATGTAAAGGTGTTACAGTGTATCTTAGTGTCAAGAGTTTAGAGACCACAAATGATGTTACAGATTCAACTCTCAACACATCATACACCTAAATTAAATGATGGTTTTGAACACAAAGTGAGAATCTAGGGTGGAGAAACATTACAGCTAGATAATTTTTTAAAGTTGACTAGAAATCTGCCTATTTATTCAAAGAAAACAAATTCTATCCATATTCTGATTAAGTCAAATCAAATAGAGTAATTTTACGTGGAAATTTTGTAAATGGTAAGATGATGAGATGGGTGATGGAGGTACACATACTTAATTTTATTAAATAGAAAACAGGCTTGCTTTAAAACAGTCACATCTGCAAATATAATATAAAATTACTTTTATTTGAATAGAAGTCCATTCCCTAATCTTAAGCGAGTAATATCTCCCTAAATGACATGGAAAAGGGAAGGGTGATTGTGCCTATCTCATTCCTGGTATAAGGTAAACATTTCAGATGTTTATTTCTTTTACTCAATACTAGTTATCTTACTTTAAAATTATCTTTAATTATAACGTAATTTAAACCAGTTATCTATCACTTAATGAATTTGCAGTCAAGATGTCAGCTGGGTTTACAGTCATGTGAGACCTCTTGTGGGGTTATAGGGACTGCTTCTAAGATGGCTTAGTGACATGGTTTTTGGCAGAACGCCTCAGTTCCTTGGTACTTAGGCCTCCCTGAGGGCTGCTTGAGTGTCTTTATGGCATGGCAACTGCTTTCCTCTAGAGTGAGTTATCCCTGAAGGCGAGCAAGATAGAAGGTTCAGGGATTCAACGTCTTTTATGACCCACCTTGGGTGTCACATACCATTACTTCTGGCATATTCTGTTCTAAATTAGCAAGTCCAGTTCAGTCCATAGTCAGAGGTAGGAGAATTAGGTTGTACTTTTCTAGGAAGAAGTGTTGAAAGATGAGTGGACATATCTTAAAACTATGACAGGGAAAACACAGTGAATTTGTATATGTGTAATAAATGGGTGCAACACTTAAGAAAGGCAGGGAGAAACAGAGATAATAGCTTCAAGTGACCATAAATGGTGACTGAACTGCTTTTTAAGAAATGCGGTAGGCCATGCTAACTTCTAGGATTCTTGTTTTGCATAATAGTGTTTAAATAAGAATCAAAGATGAATATCGCTAAAAATAAAAGTATATAACTAATATATAGTTATATATATTAATTTATATATATATATATTAATTTCAGAAGGCAGGACCCCAAAGAACTTTGTGATCAATATGAAGATGCCCAAAGGGGAGGTTTGCTGATTGATGCTATTTTTCTTCAAGCCATATCATCTAATATCTATAATTCATAAAAAACAATTGGCAATGAATCTTTTTAGTGCATGTATGATTAGCTGTATATGGACTCTGGGTAGATTCAAGTCATGAGGCATCTGCTTACATTAGGCTTTCGTGTCTAGGTTATATTAAACACATTCTTTGAGGTTACAAAAGCTGATGTACTCACAAATTATCAGGAAAAGTAAATAATCAGTCAAAATCCATGACTGTGTGTTAACATATAATTTAATTTGTCTGTGATTATTTATTTGCTACAATTAGTAAAAATGTCAACAAAACAAGTTTTGCTGGGCACTGTGGCTCATGCATGTAATCCCAACACTTTGGGAGACAGAGGCGGACAGATCACTTGAGTGCAGGGTTGGCGATCAGCCTGGGCAACATTGCAAAACGGTGTCTCTACAAAAAATACAAAAATTAGCCAAGTGTGATGGCACATGCCTGTGGTTCCATTTATTGATCTATTGGGGATGCTGAGGTGGGAGAATTGCTTGCCCCCAGGATGTTGAGACTGCAATTAGCCAAGATTGCACCAATGCACATCATCCTGGGAGACAGAGGGAAACGCTGTCTCAAAAAAAAAAAGAAAAAAGAAAAGAAAAGAAAAAGAAAAAAAAAGATAATTTAAATGCTAAATGTGTTAGAATAATAACTAGGCTATAACAATAAGTCTAAAAATACACTGGATTATATAAGATAAAAATTCATTTCTGTATCATATAACACTCTAGCTAGTCCAAGCAGGTGGGGACTTTGCTGCACAGAATTGTTTAAAACCCTAGTTAATTTCATTTCTTTGCTATCCACAAAGGTTTCCTTTATACCTGAATGGCCAAGCAAGAGTCAATGCCCTTGCTCTGTCCAATAGGAGGCATGTGTAAAAAAGAAAGGAAATCTCTGGCAAGTGTGTGAGTCAAGGATGACTTGGAAATTGCACACCTCATTCCAGCTTACATCGATTAGTGTGAACACAGTGATATAGCCACACCCCACCACAGGAGAGCCTGCCAACATAAAGAAAGGCAGCCAGCTGCCCAGCTCAAAAATCAGGAGAGCTCTACTTCTACTACAAACAAGGAGGTAACAGATAATCTTAGCCATCTCCACCACAGTAAGAAAATGGAGGAACTGGTCTATGAAGAAAACTATAAAGACTGAAAGCTGATTATAAGAGCTGGGTCATTTTTGTCATACCCAACTAAAATGGACTGGAGAAGCCATGGGGAATAAGCACTCAGGGCACAACACATTGATCCAAAAATGTGTTTCTCTGCAAGGCTGGCAGCTAAGAATGCCTGCTGTAACCTGAAAGTGGTTTTATCAGATGACTGCTGAAACAACCTGCCGCAACTTATACTCAGACTAGTTTTTCTGCTGCAGTGACTTAGCAATCAGAGCTTGCCAGCTCCTCAAAACATTATTAGTGCCAATGAAATTTCCCAAAGAACCATGTGTAACATTTCTCCTTTTTATAAAACCTATAGTCTTTTCTTTATCCTTCAGAGAGCACACTTCACTTACACTGAAGGCTGTGCCTTCCCAATCTGCAGGTGGGTTTTTGTTGTTGCTTTTGTTATAGCAAAATAGAAAATAAACTTCTCTTTTTCTTCCACAGATCTTACCATGTTTTGTTTACAAGGCCTGAGATAATTTAGCCAGAAAAAAATAAGTTTGGTAATTTAAATATCTAAACAATGCCATGGATAAAAGAATACAATTGGTCCTATTAAAATTTCTTTTTTCCTAGCCAGGATGAGCATTTGCTATTGAAATCTGAAATAGTTCAGTTCCATACACAGTAGAGGAAGCACTTGGCAGTAACTCAACTCATCCTCTGAGGATTTGTGGCAGCTTTTACCAAACATTCTGCATTCATGGTGCCATAAGTGTTTCATCTTTCACAGCACTCCTAGAGTAAAAGAATTACCTGAGTTACCGGGTGTGGTGGCTCATGCCTATAATCCCAGCACATTGGGAGGCCGAGGCAGGTGGATCATTTGAGGTCAGAAGTTCGAGACCAGCCTGACCAGCAGTGTGAAATCCCGTCTCTACTAAAAATACAAAAATTAGCAGGACATGGTGGTGCACACCTGTAATCCTAGCTACTTGGGAAGCTGAGGTAGGAGAATTATTTGAACCCAGAAGGCAGAGGTTGCAGTGAGCTGAAATCGTGCCACACTGCACTCCAGCCTGGGTGACAGAGTGGAACTCCCTCAAAAAAAAAAAAAAAAAAAAAACCGAATTACCTGAGTTACATTTATTAAGTACTTAGTTCCAAATAACTTACGAATTTATATACCAACAATTCTGTAGCCTTTTGAAAAAAAATACTTCACATTAATGGAAAGAAAACCAAATATTTGTATTTCATTGCCAAAAAAATCACAATTACTTACTAATGGGATATGTGTTCTTGCAGCCAAGAAATGAATTCACAAAAACGTGACATCCTCTAAAGAAATATAGTATGAGATAATGTTGAAACTGAGTTACCTGGAGTAAGTAGTGTCCGTGATATTTGGACATGCCAAGTATTGCTATGCTTCCTTGAAACTTTAGGACATTCTATGATGTCCCTGTGACTGCCTTGACGTGCAGTTTGGGAACTGGAGGCATATGGAATGCAATATATTAATACCAAAGAGTATATTGGCAAAAATATAAATGGATACAGAAGGAGTCTAGAGAAATGTATCAGTGACTAAGCCATAAGAGGGAAAAATGATGATTTTTAGAAAAAAATTCACTTTGGAAATAGAAGGTCATTAATTAGCAAAACAATTGAAGTATTATGTAGAAGGGAGGGGAAAGACCCAGCTTTACCTATTTACAACATGTGGAATCCTTGTTCTTAAATCTACATTCAGTTATAACTAGGTCAAAGTACATTAATAACAGTCTTATTACAAAAAGCAAAAGAAAATGAAAGCATATTAGTGTATTTAGAAAATATAATAAAGAGAGATAAAGTTTAAAAAGTAGCTAAATAAATGTCAACTTAGAAATCCTTATAAGGGAATTATAAATACAAAATAAATAAATAATAACACTATATTTAAATATTAAGCAATTGGAGATATATTAAAACTGTTTAAAGAAACAAAATTATGTAAAATAAACCAAATAATTTAGAACATTTGAGGCTTAGGAATAGGAAAAAAATGGTCTAAGAAAAAAAAATTAAACAATGTAGCCAGAAAAGAAGCAATGAAATAAAACAGTGTAAGACATAACAAATAATTCTGAGAGCAATGGGTACCTGTATGTAATGAACTGCTGTTTCAAATCATCTCCTATGCCTCTAAGCAGACTGCTTAGTGTGGAAACTACAAAGAGTAGAACTAATTATCTTTTGCCTTTTGCTGACTAATGATCATTCTGCTTGAAATACTGTGTATCTGAGGAGACAAACTCTCTTAGTAAGTACTTCGGATAGCTCAAATTATCAACATAGTAGCAGTGCTGGATACTTAAGTACAATCACTACTTAGTTGTTTCCTTCATTTATTAGAGGGAACAATATTTTCCTTCATGACTTTTGTTGTAAAAATAACTATATTTGGGCCAGGTGTGGGGGCTCATGCCTGTAATCCCAGCACACTGGGAGGCCAAGGCAGGTGGATCACTTGAGGCCAGGAATTAGAGAACAGCCTGGGCAACATGGTAAACCCTGTCTTTACTAAAAATTCAAAAATTACCCAGGAGTGGTGCCGGGTGCCTGTAATCTCAGCTACTCAGGAGGCCGAAACACAAAAATTGCTTGAACCTGGGAGGCGGAGGTTGCCGTGAGCTGAGATCACGCCACTGCACTCCAGCCTAGCCAACAGAGCAAGACTCTGTCTTAAAAAAATAAATAAATAATAAATCATAAAAAAAGTATTTGGTTATTTTATATACATTGAGGTTTAGTATATATACAAATCTGTCTGTATATATATTTGTGTGTATAAGTTTTTGTATGTATCTATGCACACACAACTTTAGCACTTTCATCCATATTTGATCATTAAACTATACAAGGGAATAGAAGAAAGAAAATTTCTTAATTTATTTCCAATAATATAGTTAAGCTAGTCAGTATTACTCGAGGATGAATATGTAGATGTTTGTGACATCTTTTATGATGTAGAAGAGAAAAAAAATCTGGCATTCTGAGTTCTGAAACACAAAGTGAGCTTAAGTATTTATATCATTGAATCTCAGTTGCTTCAGTTTCATTAGTGTGAGGCAAATTATTACCCCATCTTGAATTATAACCATTGGGGGATTTCTCAACAAATAAAAATATTGTTTTGATACTAGGAAGGCAAAAATGAAAAATAAAATGTATCAATCACAGTTCGATTTTTTGTCTGCCGAACATTCATCTATCTGTAGTCCAACCATCCATCCATCCATTAGGTCTTTAATGAAAACAAAACAAATACCACCTAACATAAACCATTTATATCCAGAATTACTGGAAGTGAACTCACTTTAATCTCCAAGGGGAATGAGTATACCTCTTATCAATAAGGCCTCAGACCCTCTGTCAAGAATCTATGACTCACATCCAATACTAGTCAAAATATTTTACTACAAAATATGATTCTCCATATTATTAGGCCTATGCGTAAGCTTTTCAAATTAAGAACTATTGACATGATGCATTTACATGAAGGGCATGTAGATGAGTTTAATGAGAAAATTAATGACATGCACAAATATACTAATGACTAGGAAGGAAAAATACAGATCAGGTCTATAGTCCTCCTTTTTGCAACCCTTCACAATCCTATATCTCCTATTTGTTCTCTGCAATATTACCTAGTCTATGTTATCTTCACCTTCCATCTTTGGGTAAAATTCTTTATCTGGTGGGGTGATGTGGGCCATCATAAAGTAGACTTATTTTAATGTTTACTTTTGGACATGTTACTATTAGGAGGCATGTCAGAGAATTTTCTGGGCATATGTTTCCTGATTCTGTTTAAAAGCAGCACTTTTATTACTTTTGCATAGTCAAAATCAGTAACTGAAGATAGTACTTTGTACTGTTTTACCTGTTTTTTTTAGTAAGGTAGAGATACTGAAATGGTAAAGTATCTGCCTGATTTTAAATGGAACTGATTTTGTAGCATTTGGCAGGAGCATTTCTCTATTATATACCAAATGCTCTAAAACAAAGAACCTAGAGCCTTGAGGTAAGTTTGAGAAGACGATTTCTGCAAACAAGTACCTAAGTACAATCATAAGAGAGGAATTCTTCCTAGGGCATGTATTACGGTGTTGCGGGACTTTCCCTTAGTTCAGCTAAAGATGGGGTCCTTGTCACATGGCCATGAAAATTTAGGCTTGCAGCTGATTTGAAGGATGAATAAGGCAGGGTTTTATTGGGTGAAAAGGGAAAAACCGGGTAACATGGACCCTCCACATAGCCAGAGTCCCTGTGGGTGTGCTTCCTGTCTTGCACTTTGAATTCTAGGGCCCACCTAGGAAGAGGAGGAGCCAGGCTCCTCCCTGCTGCAAATGAAGTGAACCTCTGTGGCTCCACTCCAATGTCAGCTCCCCCCAGTGCACAGGTGGGTCAGAGACTCTGCAGGGAGCCCTTCCCACCTGGCCGTCTCAATGGTAATAAGAGAACAAGAAGTATCGTATGTTTGTTATTCAGTGCATAGAGAACATTTTGGCAGGCAGCAACCCCTGTTGCATACTTTCTCTCCTCTTTGATATTGTAATTGAAATATCTGTAGGTTATTCCATGTGAGACCACCTTCCTTTGTGGGATAGAGAATATTTTTGCAGTAAAGGTATATATCTTGATTAGAAAAAATGCTTGATGGAATACTGTGGAAATATATATGGTATTAAGAAAGACCATGCATAGCTCTAGAGGAAGAAGCCTGTAAGCCAATTTTTTAAATGTGAAATCTACATTATGTTTGCCCATTGAGAACAACTTGCATTCATCTATAGAGTGGAAAATTGATTTACAATGAAATTACCACTAGATATAATTTATCCTCATTGTGTTGGTTTCTGCTGAAGGAAAATTAGGGATGTGTCAATGAGCATGACTCCACAAGTAAGACACTCATGTAGCTGCCCTCCATCCAAGTGTTAAGAGACTCAGTGACCAATCACAGAGGACAACTGGAAGGAGAATATTTAGATCCATATGGCAAGTCATCCTGACCATTCTACTATTAAGAGTCTCACCCACAGAAAGATTTTTTGATGAGCACTAATATAAGAAAAATTATTCTCATGTTCTAGGGCTATAAAGAAAGAATTATCCACACATCTCTTCTCCGAACCCCCTCATAATAAAATTCCCAGTTGCCTCCCTAAGTTAAATACTATTTTCCATCCAAAACCTTAGCTATTGCCACAAATAAGTGTAAATCAACTAGACCAGGCTATTTTTTTCCAACCAATGTACCTTGGTACTTAAATTCTGTCTTTGTGATTTATTTTCTACATGCCAAAAGACATTAATAATTAGTGAACCAATAAATATTCTCTCCTTCTTCTGAATAACAAAAGCTCAATTTTAACTACACATATTTCTTCCCAGAATATGGCCTTACATCCAGACATGTCACATTTTGAGGGCCTTTCATTTCTTGTAGCATTCTCTACTTGCCTGTAGACAAGGTGTATAGCCTACTTCCGTGCCATATCTTTAGAGTAGTTTTCTCAGTAGAATTGCTCTTTCCCGGTCCTAGCATTATGTGGAATCCAGTTCTCGCTTTTGTATGCAGATGTCTGTGCAATCATATTCTGTCCCCTGCGGATTCAAAATCACAGATACCAAGGTGCTTAGTGAATCTAGGACAGTTATCTCCGGGGAGTAAACAGGTTTAGTTTTATCTATCTCCTGTGGGTTTTCTTTATATTTCTGTCTGCTGGATAATTTTTTTTTGGCTTTTGATATCAGCAATGTGCTTATCATTTTAAAATTATTTTACTTCCTTTTAGTGATTATTTTGGATTATTTTTTGTGGTATAATTTTTAGCTCCTTCCAGCAAATCTCAATTTTCAGTGTAAATTCAAGCTCCATTTATGTCATGATTTAAATTGTTGTCATTTTTTGGTTATAGAAATTTTTTCTTTCTTTCTCTCTCTCTCTTTCTTCTTCCTTCCTTCCTTCTTTCTTGCTTTCTTTCTTCTCAAGATGTGTAGTTTTCTCTAAGAACCAGGGCTCATTCTAACTCTTTGTACAAAAAAAGGAAGTATGTAGAGGATGCTATAATTCCATAAATTTTAAGCAAATAAACAAAACTAAAAAAAAATGCATAGCTTTTATAAAGGGATACGTTCTATATAAAATTTAAACAACTGTCCAGCTGGTAGGAAGTGGAACTTTTCAAATTCCTTTCCCCAGCTTTTATTACAGAAACTTTTGGGAAGTTGGAATTATTTTGATTATCCTAAGAGGAGTGATAGGTGTTCTTAAGATTTAATTTTCAAGGAATTGAAATTGTTAGATTCAGATTTGAAGATATGTTTGTCTTCTTTCTTTTCCAAAGGGGATCCATGGCCTATTTCTCTCTGTGGGTGCTAGGATGTGGGTGTGGCTTATCCTTCACCTGCTGACCAGTAAATAAAAAATGCATGAGAAATGATTGTTGCCTTCTCCTCTCTTTTCCCTTCCCTTTTGAAAATTCTAGTTAGAAGTCACATGAGCTTTCTGCTTGCCTATTCATTCTTTTACTTCATTTCAAATTTAGTACTTGAAACTAACTATGTTTATTAAAGAAAAACCACGAGCCAGATAATACCATTCTCTCCAGACTCTCTCAATTTGTTGTAAAGGAAAGAGTTAAGGCAGAAAAGCACATGAAACAGCCTTTTAAAACTCAGCAATCTTTGGATAAAATCTTAATAAATGCGAAGTCTACAAGTTTTAAAATTTGTTTAATTCAAAAAATTATTTTTTACGCAGTGTTTTCTTTCTATACATTTTTTATTTAGAAGTTTAAGCTTTTGGAAACAAATAGTATTTCTGAGAATTATGCAAGTGCTCATAGTTTTGTTTGTTTTTGTTAAGAGTCTTTTAATAAGGAGTTTGAGTTTACTGAGAATATAAATTTTGTTCAAATCTAATTCTTTCATTAATTCAACACATATTTGTTCAGTGCTTGGTAATTTTAGGGACCCGGGAGTAGAACCATTGTAAAATCAAAGCATCCTTGCCTTCATGGATCTAACTCCCCAGAGGTTGGATTTGGGTGTTAGTGATGTTATTGGGGGGATGAGAAAGTGCATATTCATTACCACCTTTTACTTGCAGTCCTTTGGGCTCACACACTACATAGCTTCTAGTGATCATGTGATTATCCATGTCATAATGTTATTAGTTTGTCTACCCATACATATACACACAAAATGATATTAAATGAGTGCCGAAACCAAATATCGTTTATCTATCATCTTTATTTTTGGAGGTAACATAGTGGCTAATACATGATAAGTACTTCATTAATGTTTATTGAAAATTAATGGGCTAAAAACAGAAAAATTCATTGGAAAGATTAATCACTACTACTTAAAGTTTGTTTTGCACACCATTTGCCCTCTACATTTCAGTTTAAGCTTCATTCCAGTTCAGGTTTAAAGACCAAAGGTGTGTGGCAGCAATGCTCAACGCAGAGAACCACTGCCAGAGCATCAGCTGAGCTGAGACAGATGTAATGGATAATGGCCTTGAGGAAGCAGATGAACACAGAAGAACTTGGTGTAATGAGAATCTGCAGAGCATAATGTCAGCAACATGCATTGGATACAAGCTGCAAGAAATGAAGAAGCAGTAACAGACGTTGGGAAAAATCCCTCTTTATAGCAGTTTTATGATAACTTCACTCTTGATTTAAGTTTTAAATTTTGAAAGGAATATTTTTAAAGGGACTAATTGCAAACAATTCTGCCTGTTGAGATTTATCTTTAAAAACGGTTCCTACCTGGAATTCTTTTTTAAAAAAGTATTCTGTCTATGCAGGTTACAAAGCCTGTTATTGTTACTTGCACTTTATTTCCAGGTAGCTTCAGAAATTCATCTTGTAAAACATTAAGTGATAGAAGAACATAGACAATAAATATACATTTTCCAATGCTTTCTTTAAGGCCAAAAAAGATTAAATAAGTTCAGAATTATTTGCATTTGCGCTCTTCTATTCTTTTGTTGAAGAAGCTATATTTCTAATTGTGGCTAAGGTTGAATAGAATTTACATTTTATTTCCTAAATGTATAGTTTTTAAAATTATAAATTTACTATTGTTTTTTAAAGAAAATACTTTCTGTCTCTTGGTAGATAAATTGTCTTCACACTAACAATAAAAACCACTTCAAAATGATGTAAGAAGCTATACCAGAGTTGTTTTTTAAATACAAATATGAAACACAAATTATTTAAGAAAACTTGAATGAAAAGTACTGTTAAATTTCTACATCAGCAAAAAAAGTCCTTTATATATATATGTAAATATATATAAATAAATGTATAAATTATATATATATGTATATATATTTTTTCAAGTAAGGAGAAAAGAAAGAGGAAAGTAGGTATGAAGAGGAAAGGCCAACTAATGAATGTATATAGAAAACCCAACAAGCAAGATAACAGAACATTTAACAACTAGAAAGAAGGATTAATATAAGAAGAGCAGATAGGAATTTAACAATGAACAAAGGGAAGAAAAAAGAAAAAGTAAAAGAAAGAGAGAAAGAAAGAAGGAAAGAAAAAGAAAGAAAGAAAAGGAAGGAAGGAAGGAAGAAAAAGAAAAAGAAAAGAAAAGAAAAGAGAAAGGAAGGAAGAAAGAGGAAGGGAGGGGAGGGGAAAGGAAGGATGAAAATCTTTGCTACAATTATTCATAACCTCAGTGATTTTCAGGATTCAGTACATTCCTTACTTGAAATGGTCGTATTTGAATCTGTGGATCATTCCATCCTTAAAACTTTAAAATTGGCTCAACTAACACAAAGTCATTGAATTACGTCTCAAAAAGACTTTCCCTTTCTGGATTCTGGTGTGTCTGCCATGCTTATCACATCAGTTTTCCTCAATAACTCTTCTTCTCTGCTCACTGTGTATAATTTATGGTCATATGGTCCTAGTATCCCATTACAAATCAATCCAGTGACAGTCCTTAAATTCATGTCTGCCACTGTGGCATCACAAAAGTAATTCTTACTGGCCATGATCATCTTAATATTACATGCAGGTCCAGTTTAACTCTACTACAAACGTTTTCACAGGTACCATTTTGGTTCAGGTACTCACCTTTCCTTGCCTGGAATCCCTCCTTATGATTCTCCTCATTTTCATATTTTCCAATTAAAAAATATTTTTATGTTCCATCCAATTTATCCTCCAACCACTTTCAACCTTTTGATGCATCGTCATTATTTCCAGAATAAACTCAATTTTTGTAGCATAGTATATAAAAGCTCCATTAAGAATTCCTTGACTCTTTTTCTAATCTTAGTTCCTATAATTTCTTGCACCATTCTACTCTTTTCCATCCTCTAACTTTCTCGGACTAGTTACAGTTCTGTGAGAGAAAAAAATGCAAAAGAAAAAACTAATGACCTTTTTCATAATGAAGAAATTAACCTCTTTAGAACTTCCACATGATAGTTTATGTAACCATGGATATTCAACAATTTGTCATTTTAAGAATTGTAAATTAATTAAATCCTGCACTTTGAACCTATTTAATGATTCAGACACTAATGAGAAAGCACACTTAGAAAGCCATTGTGTGTCAGGGGAATTAAGTAAATTTGTATGTCTCTGTTAGCATAGTTGAGTAATACTATTTATTTCCTCTTATTGGGAACTGCAGAGAATACAAATCATGACCTCTCTTTCAGGGTTGATTCTGATTCTAGGGATTAATATGTTAGAACACAGAATAAAAGGTAATTCTTTATATTAACAAGAATTTCCACTGAGTTTTTTGCAAAATTTTAAATAGAGGCATTATATATTATTGTATAAACATTTAATTATAAAATAGAGGTCACTGTTTATGCTTTGCTTTCCTAAAATAACATCCGTTAAAAATACAATACTGATTATATAATAAAACTTGCTTCCATTTATAAGTTGACCAACTTTGTAATTGCAAAATTGTCAACGAAATTGAGTAAAAATGCCCAGAAGAGATTATGAAAACATGAATGTTTTTTCGTCTCCCACAGCATTTTAAATATTACAACCCATTTCTCTTTCAAATAAAAATGAAATATTATGAAATTCCCAAAGAAAGTATGGCAAAGTATAATCTAAAAGATGTGCTTATCTCATGCTGAGGGAATGCTGAGGTAACTATAAAAACTTTTGCTTTTTTAAAAAATAATTTTTTTAGGTTATTGATCTACTCCTGGTTTGAGTATTATAGAATTATTTCATCATCTTATGTGATTTTTCACACTTACACTGTCATTTAGCTAAGCTTAAGTGCATGGATCCTCTTCTATTCTTTTGCCTTAACATCCATGGCAAACTAAATTGGTTTCCTAACATTCCCTGGATAAGGCAAAAAGGAAGGGACTTGTTTTGCTCATAATATCCAAACAATACCTAACTCACAGCAACTATTAATTTCCTTTTTTTATTTTGATTTTTCTTCCTTTTCCAATGCCAACTTCCAAGGTAATCATATGCACAAATAATATTTGTTACATATATTAATAATGACTTTCAAAAAAATTATTCTCCATAAAATTATGAATGCTAAATATTCAAAAAATAAATATAGAACAGCCATAATCAGAGATATCTGCCTGAAAAGATTTCCACTTTCAAATGTTGATCCAAAATATTCATTGAATCACAGCATAGAATATGTTAGAATATTTAATGTTGCAATCATATTGCATTCAAAGGAACTTCTGACCTTTAGAATTTAGCTGGCCAGAACTTGAAGACTGCTTTTACACTCAAGCTAATAAAAGTTTTTGAAGAAAACATTGTGAATTTTATATTTTTATAGCTGACAAAAAATTCTGGAAATACTGTGATTTATTTTAATAACTAAAAACCTTGAAAGATTTTAATATTGAGTATTATTGTTAACACAAATAGAGACACTAATCCAAAAGAATACGTAAATGTTACACAATTATGGATCTAAAAATGTAAAAGAAGAATCTTAGTTTTTCATTACATATGGCACTTCAAAGATAGAGAAAAGCTGCAAGTTATAATACAGGCACAAGTATATTAAAACATGTATATTTAACAAGGTAATTTTCTGCTATGCATATACATTTTCTAAGTTTTAGTTTTCATTTACAAAATTATAGAAGAGTGAAAAGCAAACTGGGTAAAATAAAGCATATTTTAAAATAAAGTTTTTAATATTTATTTGAAACATTTGATGAATTTTAGAAATTAATACTATTTATTTTACATTATTGGCATAGAACTATTATTTGACACTTATTAAGATTATTGGAGAGTTATTGATTTACTTGAGATTTAATAAGTGAATTTTTTAAAGTGTATTTTTGATGATACATAAACAGAAATTAATAGTATTGAGTTGTTACAAATCTTCTGCAATAGTTTTCTGAAACTTTTTTCTATTTATAAAATAATTTTGTGAAAAATTAAAGTATAGGTTATAGATAAAATGGGGGTTGTTTCAGAATTACAATATCAAGAATAATGAAAAAAATTAAAGTTAAACTTTTACATTCACTTATTTATTTTGCTGGTATGTTTTTTAAAGCAACTGTTTATGTGCCGATATTCCCAGATTTGATGAGTGCGTATTTCTTTAAGCTACTTCTTGTGTCTTTACACAAAAATATTGATAGCAAAGTGGTTTTTTTTTTTTTTTCCTGGTACAACAAGAAGTCCTGGGCTCACTATGTGACATTCATGTCCACAACTGAAATCAGCCACTTCCCCAGAGAGCCCTGGTTTATTTTCATATAGGAGTATGAAAGCCAAATTCCGGCCAGTCTGAGTGCCTGCTCATTGTTCACTAGGTGGACAGACTACAGGTAAAATTATACAGACATGCAGATATATACACAAACACAGACACATAGATCTGGTCAAAGATTTGGAGTATGAAAATGAGCTGATGGGTGATATTTAAGTTTTGACTTTTTATCAGCATTTTCTAGCATGTCTACTACTTAAAATTTTTATGTAAGAAAGGTACATTTTGTATTGTAATGTAATCATCTGTGATGATTACATTTACATTATCTATCTCTAATCATTTTGTATTTAAATATCTATAAGCACAAGGAAAAGCTGAAATTCATTTTTTTAGTTACATTGCACCTCATAAACAATTCACAACTAGCTTTCAAGATTTATGTTACTTCATTTCAAGAGTAAAACACAATCTGTTATTCAAACAGAAACCACGTGTAACATAAAAGGTTAAAAAATCTGATTAATAACTAGCCTTGAATTCATAGGTTAATATTTATGGCCTACGTCTGAACTAGTTCTTAGATATGAGGTATCAATTGAGTGATAAACGATAAACTAAAAACTTGAGGAGAAATTTGTGAGTATAGCAAAGACTTTCAAGAACATATATTTGCTAGGCACTGTACTTCTATACATCACTTATATGTAGTCTTAAGAATCCCAGCTGCTGAGCATTTTCCTGTTTTACAGGAAAAGAAACAGAAGTATTCAGCAGATTAAAATCTATTTAAATATTACTGTGATCTAAAAAATTCCCAAGTCTATTGAATTGAGATGTAGTATGTAAACTTTAAAAAATTGTTATTGATAATACATAAACACAAATTGTATTGATTTGTTACTAAGTGTTTTTACAATAATTTTCTGAAACTATTTTTTAAAAATTTTTATTTTATTTTAAGCTTCGGGGTACATGTGCAGAATGTGCAGGTTTGTTACATAGGTATACATGTGCCATGGTGGTTTGCTACACCTGTTGACCCCTCACCTAAGTATTAAGCCCCCTACACATTAGCTATTTTTCCTGATGTTCTCTTTCCCCCCAAGAACTCCCTTCTGCTTACAGGCCCCAGTGTGTGATGTTCCCCTCCCTGGGTCCATGTGTTCTCATTGTTCAGCTCCTACTTATGAATGAGAACATGTGGTGTTTGGTTTTCTGTTCTTGCATTGGTTTGCTGAGGATAATGACTTGCAGTTCCGTCCATGTCCCTGCAAAGGACATTATCTCATTCTGGTACAACAAGAAGTCCTGGGCTCACTATGTAATGTTCATGTTCCATAATTGAAATCAGACACTTCTGATGTGTGCATAGTATCCCATGGTGTATATGTACTACATTTTCTTTATCCAGTCTATGACTGATGGACATTTCGGTTGATTCCATGTCTTTGCTATTATGAATAGTGCTGCAATGAACATACACATGCATGTGTCTTCATAATAGAAAGATTTATATTCTTTTGGGTTTATACCCAGTAATATGATTGCTGGGTCAAATAGTATATCTGGTTCTAGGTCTTTGAGGAATCGCCAAACTATCTTCCACAATGGTTGAACTAATTTACAGTCCCACCAACAGCGTAAAAGCATTCCTAACTCTCCACAGCCTTGCCAGCATCTGTTGTTTCCAGACTTTTTAATGATCGCCATTCTGACTGATGTGAGATAGTATCTCATTGTAGTTTTGATTTACATTTCTCTAATGAAGACTGATGTTGAACTTTTCTTCATATGTTTCTTGCCCACATAAATGTCTTCTTTTGAGAAGTGTCTGTTCATATCTTTTGCCCAGTTTTTAATGGGATTTTTTTTTCTTGTAAATGTGTTTAAGTTCCTTGTAGACTCTGTATATTAGACCTTTGTCAGATAGATAGGGTGCAGACATTTTATACCATTCTGTAGGTTGTCTGTTCACTCTGATGATAGTTTATTTTGCTCTGCAGAAGCTCTTAAGTTTAATTAGACCCAATTTGTAAATTATTGCTTTCGTTGCAGTTGGTCTTGATGTTTTTGTCATGAAATTTTTGCCTGTGGCTGAATGGTATTATCTATATTTTCTTCTAGGGTTTTTTATAGTTTTGGGTTTGACATTTATGTTTTTAGTCCATCTTGAGTTAATTTTTGTATAAGGTGTAAGGAAGGAGTCCAGTTTAAATTTTGTGCATATGGCTAGCCAGTTCTATCACCATTTATCAAATAGGGAATTTTTCCCCATTGCTTGTTGTTGTCAGGTTTGTCCAAGATCAGATTGTTTTAGATGTGCAGTCTTATTTCTAAATTCTTTACTGTGTTCAATTGGTCTGTGTCAGTTTTTGTACAAGTACCATGTTGTTTTGGGTGCTGTAGCTTTGTAGTATAGTTCGAAGTTGGGTAGCGTGATGGTTCCAGCTTTGTTCTTTTTGCTTAGGAGTGTCTTTGGTATACAAGCTATTTTTTGGTTCCATATTCTGTAAAGAATGTCAATGGTAGTTTGATGGGAATAGCATTGAATCTACAAATTACTCTGGGCAATATGGCCATTTTCATGATATCGATTCTTTCTCTCCGTGGGAATGGGGTTTTTTTCCTTTTATTCCTTCCTCTCTGATTTCTTTGAGGAGTGGTTTGTAGTTCTACCTGAAGAGGTCCTCTACTTCACTTGTTAAGTGTATTCCTAGGTATTTTATTCTCTTTATAGAAATTGTGAATGGGAGTTCCTTCATGATTTGGCTCTCTGCTTATATGTTGTTGGTGTATAGGAATGCTTGTGATTTTTGCACATTGATTATAGGATCATGTCATCTGCAAACAAAGACAGTTTGACTTCTTCTCTTCCTATGTGAATACCCTTTATTTCTTTCTCTTGCCTGATTGCCCTGGCCTGAACTTTGAATACTATGTTGAATAGGAGTGGTGAGAGAAGGCATCTTTGTTTTGTGCTGATTTTCAAGGGTAATGCCTCCAGCTTTTGCCTATTCAACATGATATTGGCTGTAGGTTTTTCATAAATGGCTCTTATTATTTTGAGGTATATGTCCTCAATATCTAGTTTATTGAGAGTTTTTCACACGAAAAGATGTGGAATTTTATCCAAGGCCTTTTCTGCATCTGTTGAGGTAATCATGTGGTTTTTGTCTTTAGTTTTGTTTATGTGATAAATTACATTTATTGATTTGTGTACATTGAACCAGCTTTGCATCCTGGGGATGGAGCTGACTTTATCAAGGTGAGTAAGTTTTTTGTTGTGCTGGTGGATTCTGTTTGTCAGTATTTTATTGAGGATTTTTAAACCAATGTTCATCAGTGATATTGGCCTAAAGTTTTCTTTGTTGTCGTTGTTGTTGTTGTTGTTGTTGTTGTTGTATCTCTGCCAGGTTTTGGCATGAGGATGATACTGGCCTCATAAAATGAGTTAAGGAGGAGTCCCGCCTTTTCAGTTGTTTGGAATAGTTTCAGAAGAAATAGTACTAGCTCCTCTTTGTACCTCTGGTAGAATTTACCTCTAAATCCATCTGGCCCTGGGCTTATTTTGGTTGGTAGGCTATTTATTATTTCAAAACTTGTTATTAGTCTATTCAGTGATTCAACTTCTTCCTGATTCAGGCTTGGGAGTGTGTATATGTCTAGGAATTTATCCATTTCTTTTAGATTTTCTAGTTTATTTGCATAGAGATGTTTATAGTATTATTTAATGGTTTGTATTTCTGTGGGGTCAGTGGTCATATCCCCTTTATCATTTTTTGTCTATTTGATTTATCCCTTTTTTCTTCTTTATTAATCTATCTAGTGGTCTATTTTATTATTTTTTTCAAGAAACCAGCTCCTGGATTCATTGATTTTTTGAAGAGTTTTTCATGTCTCTATCTTCTTCAGTTCAGCTTGGAGCTTGTCTTTTTCTTGTCTTCTGCTAGTTTGGGGGTTTGTTTGCTCTTGGTTCTCTAGCTCTTTTAGTTGTGGTGTTAGGAGGTTGATTTGAGATCTTTCTAGCTTTTTTATATAGGGATTTAGTGCTATAAATTTTCCTCTTAACACTACTTTAGTTGCATCCCAGAGATTCTTTGTTCTCATTAGTTTCAAAGAACTTCCTGATTTTTGCCTTAATTTCACTATATACTCAGGAGTCATTCAGGAGCAGGTTGTTAAATTATCATGTGATTGTGTGGTTTTGAGTGAGTTTCTTAACCTTGAGTTCTAGTTTAACTGTGCTGTGGTCTGAGAGGCTGTTTGTTATGATTTCAGTTCTTTTGCATTTGCTGAGTGTTTTTACTTCCAATTATGTGGTCAGTTTTAGAATAAGTGTCATGTGGTGCCAAGAAGAATGTATATTCTGTTGTTTTTGGGTGGAGAGTTCTGTAGATACCTATCAGGTCCACTTGATGCAGAGCTGAGTTCAGGCCTCCAGAATATCTTGCTAATATTCTGTCTAATATTGACAGTGGGATGTTAAAGTCACCGACTATTATTGTTTGGAAGTCTCAGTCTCTTTGCAGGTCTGTAAGAGTTTGTTTTATGAATCTGGGTCCTCCTTATGAATCTGGGTCCTCCTGTATTGGGGATATATATATTTAGGATAGTTAGCTCTTCTTGTTGAATTGAACCTCTTACCATTATGTAATGTCCTTCTTTTTCTTGTTTAATCTTCATTGGTTTAAAATCTGTTTTGCCAGAAACTAGGATGACGACCTCTGCTTTTTTCTGCTTTCCATTTGCTTGATACACTTTCCTGCATCCCTATATTTTGAGCCTGTGTGTGTCTTTGCACATGAGTTGGGTCTCTTGAATACAGCACATTGATGGGTCTTGACTCTATCCAGCTTGCCATGTGTCTTTTAATTGGGGCATTAAGCCCATTTATATTTAAGGGGAATGAGAATAGGAAATGCACTCCAAACAAAAGTTGTTGTCTTACTATGAAAATAAAGTCTCTCAAGTAAACACTTTCAGGAGAATATCATATTTGGGTTGGCATATTTTAATATTTCAGAAAAGTCAGAGTGTAGACAGGTTGTATCTGATGCAAACTTACATAATTAAATATTATATTTCAGGGAATAAACCACATTATCAAGGAATTACATTTTCCATAGTTTCAATTTATATGAAATAGCAATGAAAAATGGTTTTTATTTTTCTTTTATATATGAAACCCAGTATAAATTAAATAAAAGTTTGAAAGTAAAATTAAACATTTGCCTACATCTTTTTTATAATGTACATTGTTGAGAAACGAAAGCGGGCTATGTTACCAGAAATCCTGACTTCTGGTAATGCGTAATGTAGCCATCTAATACTGATGGATGTTTTTTACTGGTTTACCCAAGATTTGCTGAGTTCTTATAATGAATTCGGAAAAGCTCTGTGAACAGGAAGACAATCAGTGTTCAATAGGTAAATGATGTCATTAACAAAAATATATTAACAAACCCCCTTCAGGGTGTGATAAATGCTGTGAAGGGAATAAATATGGTGACAAGATTAAGTGTAAGTGGGTAGTGAATATTTAGTTTCACAAAATAGCAACGGAGATGAAGAATGATGAGAACTAGGTATTACATTTGATGGAGCTGATGTGAAGCAAAGGAGTCTAGGACAGTTTATTTGCTTGAGTTTGCAAGAACGTGGAGCTATTTTATTTATTGCAATGGAGAAGATTGGGAAGAGTTCTGATTTGTATGTTTTTAACTTGAATATGCACTTGTGACATTCAAACGAAGTTACTGTGAAGGCAACTGGCAATATGCGTAGAGTATATAGTCATTAAGAATATTCACATGTAAATCTCCAGCCAGCATAGATGTATAAATATGTAAACTCGATTCACGAACTTCTTGTCATTGTGGTACAAATAATTCACATCTGGTTGCACCTTTCCCACCAAACAAATAACACTGTTAGATAAACAGAAAGAACAACTAAACAAATATTGATGAGCTCTGAAGCAATACAAATATTTCTGTGCTCCACAAATGGAATAGAAACACATAGTGGCAGAGATTGTGGAAAACTGAATATTGGTATGTGCTAGATTACAGTTTCTAAAGCAAGACATGGATAAAGGGGAATAAAAATAAGCCTAAAGAGACAACGGCCTGATCCTGTATTATCAACTGAAACCAGACTTTGTGGTCTTGAAATGGGACTGAAAAAAAAAATGCTGCCAAACTTTCTAAGGATCAAGGGATCGTGAGTTTACTGCACACCTTTGCGAAGCAGAATGTAGCCATATGATCTGCTGATCTGCTATATTTGTCCTTGGATGTGAAGAAAATCAACCACACACACACACACACACACACACACGAGAAATAAAAGAAAAATAAGAAAGGAAGGAAGGAACGAAGGGAGGGAGAGAGGGAGGAAGGAAGAAAGAAAGGAAAGGAGGGAGGGAGGGAAGAAAGGAGGGGGTGAGGAATATAATTCACATTGGAATGTGAATCCATTTCAAATAAAATGTATTTAAGGCCTGATAAAGATTCTGAATTAATGATATGATGTTTTTGAAAGATAAATGAAGCTACCTGGAAGCTGGATTGTGAAGGGCAACAAGTCAGAACAAAAAATTAAAAATGAAAAGAGTGGAGAAAGTCCACAGTTAAGAAAATATTGCTAATTTGAAGCTACCTGGAAGCTGGATTGTGAAGGGCAACATGTCAGAACAAAAAATTAAAAATGAAAAGAGTGGGAAAAGGCAATAGTTAAGAAAATATTGCTAATTTTTTTAAAATTAATAAAAAACATGATATCTCATATTGAATAAATACTTTATAAATCAAATACAAAAACAGAAATTGACAGTGCACCAAATTCCATCAAAGAAAAAAATTACTGGATGAATTAAACAGGTGAGGAAGAATTTATTCAAGATTTTTCAATAGGGGTCAAGATTATTGGCATAAAGAAGGGAGATTCAATTCAGTTGAAAGAAAAGACAGGAGAGTTCTAGAGCTTTGGGTTAAACTAGTGGAAAATTTAGGGGCGAGTTTGGTTAATGTGATTAGGCCGCCTACGTTTGCTAATTGTAGCTTACTGAAATTAGGCACTTATTCACCCACAGAAAATGAAAGATGATGACTTTTCAAAAGCGTGGCTCCAAGGTCCTTGAGAAAGACACTGCTGGGCTGTAAAACTGACAAAAAGGCTAGGAGAAGATTTGTGTCTTAAAGGGGTAGAAAAAGAATTAATAATTGCAAGTCTTCTCATATAAATGCTCTAAGAAGACAGTTCAGGGTCCTGTAGCAAGAAATTTGTCATCTGTTTAGTTAAACTGAGGGTCAACATTAATGCCATCCTGGTAAATTCAAAGAGAATAATCTGAAGAGCAATAGAATAAAAAGTATTGCAGACTAACAACACGATTTTGCCACTAAGTACACTTAGGGTACGCTCCACAGGTAAAAGAATGCAATTTTAAAAGAAAGAAACAGGAACAGGAAGCAGTACTGAGCAAAGAGCTTGGTAATTTCATGGGTAAGTCTAAATAAGAAGGGCCCAAAAAACAGGCCAACTCAAAATAAAACTAATTTCTAATAGGTTAAAAACAATTATGAATTAGTATATCTAACAACTAAGATCAAATATTTTAGTGGGTTCAACACAATTTATGAGAAAATTCTTGTATCTTTCTTGTGCAAGAGCAGAGGGACATCACCTTTGTATTTTAAATATTGAATGCATATTAACATCGTATTGATCAGAAACAAATTTATATCTTTCAAACTAATAAGGAAAAAAGTACAATATCAAAGACTTGATCATCTCAACAGAAAGCAGCAAAAGAATAAAATGGTAGCAAAGAAAAACAATAAAGAATAGAAAAAACATACAGTAGAAAATACATTTTGAACATGTTTATTATCTGGATATTACATGTATGTAATAAATATAGAATAACAAATACAACAACGATAATATAATTTTTTCTCCAAACGAAAGGGGCTAATATAACTTTTTGGCTTCATCTATTTGGGCTGCAATAATCAAATAATTTAAACAGAATAGCTTATAAACAACAGAAATTTATTTTTCACCTATTTGGAGGCTGGAAAGTTCAAGATGAAGGCACCGCCAGATTCAGTGTCTGGTGAGGTCCAGCTTTCTGGTTCAAAGATGATTCTTCTGACCGTGTCTTCACCTGGTAGGAGAATCATAAGGACCTTATTCCCATTCATGAGGGTTCCACCTTCATGACTTAATCATGTCCAAAAAGTCCCTTCTCCTAATACCTTGAGGGTTAGGATTTCAACATATGAATTTTTGGAGGGCACAAACATTCAGTCCATTGCAACCTTTTCTTTCTCATAAAAATAATATCTGATGCAAAAACACAAATACAAGTTCCAAATCTGGAGAGTGGTGTAACTTCTGAGCACTTATAATGAGGCTACCTCACCAGAGGAACTGAATTTTTAATTTTATTTCATTTTAGTTAATTTAATTTAATTTTAATTTGATTTTACATCACTTCATGTGGCTAGTGTCTGCCTTATTGAACAGTACAGTTCTAGAGTACAACTGTATAATAAAAACTACATAAAAATGGAATATGGTATAATAGAAAGAATAGGTCTTTGAAAGTGTCAGGTCTCTGAGAACTCAAGTGTAGAAGATATTCAGGTATCAAGGGAAAGAATTGGACTTGAAAAGACCTACTCATTTTTCTGAAAAACAATACAGATGGAATAATTATGCAAATCAGCAAATTTTTATTAAGAACTAATAAGCAGGGACCTGGGTGATAAGTTAACCTACACATATAGAGTTTACATTCTGTTGGAGAAAAAGATAAACAGGTATTTAAATAACATGAATTCATCAGAGATAATTCCTTTGAAGAGGCCAGTGTTAAGGTGGTCATTAATGTCTTCTCTGAGGAAGGGATGAAAAAACAATCTCGAATGATGTAAAGGAGACAGCTAGCTAATAGTAAGGAAGATCATTATAGTGGGGTAAAATATGAAATTGATAGGCTTTGGGGACAGAACACAAATTGACAGGTTTGAGACAGACAGAAACATTATGTAGGTTCCAGCAAATAAACAATGAGGAAACTGATGAGGTTGGACAGACCGGCTGCAGAGAGACCTTGTAGGACATTCTTGGGCTTGCAGAAGATGGGACAATGAGAAGCCATGTAAGATTTTATTTTTTAATTTGTGTAAGTTTAAGGGGAACAAGTGCAGTTTTGTTACCTGGATATATTGGATAGTGGTAAAGTCTGGACTTTCGATGTATCCATCACCTGAATTATGTACATTATACCCATTAAATAATTTCTCATCCGTCACCACCTTCCCACCCTTCCAAGTGTTCAGTGTTACAATTCCACACTCTATGTTCATGTGTACACATCATTTATCTCCCACATATCACTAAGAACGTGTGGTATTTGACTTGCTGTTTCTGAGTTGTGTCACTTAATATAACAGCCACTGGCTCCATCCGTGTTGCTGCACAAGACATGATTTCATTCTTTTTTATGGCAGAATAGTATTCCATGGTGTATATATACCACATCTTTATTCAATCATCTGTTTCAATATAAAAGTGAGATGGTCATCTTACAGTATTTATTTTCTTCAAGTACTTATGGAGCAAATATTGTATGTTCTGACTCAAGACATCTTTCAAAACTTTTGTAACTTGTTGATGGGAAGATTTTAGAAGAACAAGAGTAGAAGCAAGCAAAATAATTCCTTCACTCAGCAAACAATTATTGAACAATTGCTATGAGCCAGGCACTATTCAGGACATTGGGAACACATCAGACATGCATTGTAATATTTCAAGAGGATTTCAATATTTCTTATTGTTTTCATTTTATCCCCAAGCTAAGGGCTATAAAATGCATGGATAAAAATCAGTTTCAAGGAGAAAATAGCAATACATATTATATGTAAATTAACAACATGTAGGTAGATATAGACAGAAAAGAAGGAGAAAGAGACAAAGAAGGAAATGAACAGGAAGAAGAAGAAGAAGAAAAGAATTTGAAGGGGAGGGAGAAGAAGAGGAAAGGAGAGGAATGGGAGGAAAGTGAAGGAGGAATAAATCTAAAACAAAATAAATGATTCCCAAAACCAGAAGATAAGTCTTGGTTTTATGTTGTTTGTACATGTGTGCTTACAGTGTTTGAACAATCAGATAATCTAGTACCGTCTGGTGCTATGTCTTAAATTTACTAATGAAACATAGGATGCAATTTGCCCAGCCTTTCTCTCACTCCACTTTCTATATTCGCCTTACTTTTTTCATGTATTCACTTTCGTATGTATGTATGTATGTATGTATGTATGTATGTATGTATGTATGTATTTTTGAGACGGAGTCTTGCTCTGTCGCCCAGGCTGGAGTGCAGTGGCGTGACCTCGGCTCACTGCAACCTCCACCTCCCGGGTTCAAGCAATTCTCCTGCCTGAGCCTCCGAATAGCTGGGACTACAGGCACCCACCACCACACCCAGCTAATTTTTGTGTTTTTAGTAGAGCAGGGGTTTCACCATGTTGGCCAGGCTGGTCTCGAACTCTTGGCCTCGTGATCTGCCCGCCTCGGCTTTCCAAAGTGCTAGGATTACAGGCGTGAGCCACCAAACCTGGCCCTGTTCACTTTCTTTGACACAACCCTTGGAGATTTTTGGCACCACTCTTTCTAGGAGGTATTTTCATTTTTATCTACCCATTCCCTTGAGAGGTCTATGAATAGCTACAGGGGCCATAACATTTGCCTAATCAAATTCTGAATCATTTTGCCTTTTGTTGAGATGGGAAATACGCTTCATGATACTAATGAAATCACAAAAATGATTCATTAATAGAAATATATGTCTCTATTAAGTATAATATAAAATTAAATGTGAATTCAAAAAGGTCTCTCACATTTTACATTTCATTTATTTATTTCAGTGTCGCCTAAAGATCTTTTCTGCATACAACATGCATTTGCAGGTTATGTCTTCTTGTTATTGAGAAGGATTCTCATCAAGTCCCATGTTAAGAATAAACATGTCTGGTTTTGCTTTACTGTCTGCAGAGTTGAAATGGACACTACACAATCTAAGACGAGTTTCATCTGTGGCCATACTGCCCTGAATGCATCCATTCTTGTCAAGACAGAGTTTTTCTGCTGTCTATCTCTATTTTATCCTAAGAGTTGTATGCATTTCCTGTACACATTACATCAATTTTTTTTTTTTAGATGGAGTCTCCCTCTGTAGCCCAAGCTGGAGTGCAGTGGCGCGATCTTGACTCACTGCAACCCCCGCCTCCCGGGTTCAAGTGATTATCTTGCCTCAGCCTCCCAAGTAGTTGGGATTACAGGCATGCACCACCACACCCAGCTAATATTTGTGTATTTTTAGTAGAGACGGGGTTTCACCTGGTGGGCCAGGCTGGTCTCAAACTCCTGACCTCAGGTAGATCCACCCACCTCGGCCTCCCAAAATGCTGGGATTACAGGCGTGAGCCACAGCGCCCAGCCACTTACATCAAATTTTAAAAAATTATTAGTATGATAAGAAAGTAAAAGAAAAAGAAAGTAGCATCTATCTCACTGAAACACATATTAGTTAGGTTGAGAAACAGGATGGCTTTTCATGTGGAGTTTAAAATGCTGTCTTTTCCAATTAAGTTCATATTGTTTTGAAATATCTGCTTCTTCAGTTTTCTAATTACAGAGCAATATCACCCTTCAAATATCTAAAATCCATTTAAATAATAGGTTACTTTCTAAAATGTTAAATTTATCGTCTCTATTCTCTTTCAAATAAATAACTCTTCAAGTCGTTGATTCAATATTTTAAAACAGGGAAAAATACACAGATGATCTTGATCAGAATTGGACTTACAACCATTTCATAAAGGCATATTAATAAAATATTTATGAATATGAAATCTACTCTTCAATAATTAACATTGGTCCCTTTTAAAATATCAGAGCATTGGATCCAGGTTGATTCATAAATGAATGAATTGTTCCTTTCTAAAAGTGAGTCACTGGTATATTTGAATGAGAATATTCCTCAAATGGACTCTAGTGACCTTAAATGCTCACTAAAAATATGAGTAATTTAATCATTTGTAAGAAAAAGTCCATTACAATGCCAGGATAGAAGCCACAAAGAACTTTATGTCAGGATAATGCATGCCTTAAATTGAACGTGAACATCCTGAAAGTTAGTACAGTCAATGGAGCAATTATGTAATGTTCTCAGTTGGAATGATAATCAGGTCTCCATTTACATTTTCTAACAGCTAGCGTAAAATATGCACAGTATTTACCAGTGTACTTAATTGGTCCCAAAAAGTCTCTTGGAATTCTCCCTCCATCTGGATCTCTTGTTTTTAGGCAGATACTTTCCTTAGTTTATTGTAATAGTATCACTTAATATATGAACGAATAGGAGAAACATCATACATTGATAATTATATGACATATTCCAAAAAAAAATAAGTGAAGCCTTTAAGCATGTTATTCTCTCCAAGGGAATAAAGAGAAATTAAAATTAATTAAGATCAGTTTTTTAGGCATATTATGAGCTTTTCAATAAAACATAAGCTTAGTTTCATATTGTAAATATTTTGGACTTTTATCCCACCAATTATCAAGACAGCAATTTCTTCTTCCTAACTAGAAATCTTCTATCCAACACTTGAAAAAGGTAATAGAATAAGGATAATAGTAATATCTAGACCATAGGATTTTCATGGGGATTAAATGAGAGACTAAACACACAATGCTCAATTAAGTTTTTCTTAGATTAAGAAGTTTTCCACACTTTTTGCACTTAAGACTAAATTCACAATTTGCCCAGATAAGGCTCAGTTTAATCCTCTTGTTCTGGAATTCTATCTAGTAAGTACATCTTGTCATTTTCAAAAGAGTTCCAATTGATATGATAAATGAACAAATAAAAGCTTTAGGATAACCGGAACAGCTTTTTTATTTTTTATTTTTTTTGCACAGTGCATATACAGATGCACTGTATATGTGGATCTGGATCTGGATGTCACATATAAGGATCTGGATATCACATATGTATCGATATGGACATGGCTATCACATGGATAATGGTTGTTTTTGCACAGTTTATTGTTTTCCCATTAATTTTCAATGCCACCTGTGTCATATATCTGGTTGTTATATATTTGTACTTCTTTCAATACACCATATATTCTGTTTGCTAGATCAATTGCTTATTTCACACTCATATTATACTTTTTAATTACTATAAATTTATTGTATATCCACAACTAGATTATCTCACTCAACTTTTGTAGCTTAAAATATTTTTTCTATTGTTTTCCTTTTGCTTTTCAAAACACATTTTTTAATTAATTGGGAAGCTTCATCCTGCTGAGCTTTAACTAAAATCTCATAAATTTTATAAATTAATTTAAAAAATGAATTTTCTTCTCCTTTCGAACATATTAATCTCAATTATGATCATCTTTAAATATCTATAAATAATTTTAAAATTATTTTCTCTCCAGTAGTCTTACACATATTAGTTACTTGTATTGCTGGGTATTCTATAGTCTTGGTCCATGTTATAAATAGTCCTATATAAAATACTTGTTTTCTAATTGCTTCTGGCATACAAAAATGTAATTAAATTTTTCATATTAATTTTACATTGAAATAACTTAATAAACTTATTTATTCTAACATTTTATTTGTAGATGAAATGGAATCATCTAAGGAGAGAATTATATTATTCATAATAATGAAAAGTTTGCTGTTTTCTTTTGTATTCTTACACCTTTGTCTCTTTTGAATAAGACCACCACTATATTGTTGCATAGAAGCATTGATTTTGTTCCTGTTTTAAGAATTATTCTAATGTTCCAACATTTAGAATTAGATTATTGTAGAATTTGGTGTATACATTTCATCCATTCCAGAATTTGATCTCTATTTATGGTTTGACAATAATTTTTATTAAAACTGGTTGAATTGTATCAAATGCTTTCTCTGCCTGGGCTCAGGAGTTCGAGACCAGTCTGGGCAACACGGTGAAACCTCGTTTCTACTAAAATACAAAAGAAATTAGCCGGGCGTGGCGGCTGGCGTGTGCCTGTATTCCAGGTGCTCTGGAGGCTGAGGCAGGAGAATTGCTTGAACCCGGGAGGCGGAGGTTGCAGTGAGCCAAGATCGCACCACTGCACTCCAGCCTTGTGACAGAGCGAGACTCCATCAAGGAAGGAAGGAAGGCAGGCAGGGAGGGAGGGAGGACTTTTTAATAATTTCTCATAATTTGAGAAATATTCTGGTTATGAAACTAAAATTGTTCAGTCAGAAATTGAGAAGCATCTGAGATGTTACCCATTTGATATATATCCTCTGAATCAGGTTGGATCTTTATAATTCTCAACAATAAGAGCAGCCAACACTGCACAGAGTAATACTAAGAACCAAATGGTTACACCTGTATATACAATGCAGTGACATCACAAGGAGTGGAACTCTGAAATTATTAATCTCAGAGTTTATATAGGTATGGAAATATCTGCCCCCTTCCCCTCTGAAAAAAGAGGGAGCAATTATTTTTACTATGGAATGTAAGCAAATCGTTTCTTAGGGATTGGGAGACTTGTCTCTATCCCAGGACATGAGCATCTGGCAACAGAAGAGATGAGAAGGTAGCATTACTCTTTGAATGAGATCAGTATTGGCTCTATCATAAAATATTAGCTCCAAGTTTAATGCCTGCAAAATATAAAGAGCAAATGTTTCAGGCAGAAAGGATATGTTCTGCCTTTATAGAATGCTGATTTTGTTGCTTAGAATGTTAGGACCTTGTGGGAACATTAGAAAAATATAGATAGATAGGTAGGTGGATAGATAGATCAATGATAGATAGATAGATCCAGGAAGAATCATCTTCTAATAGAAATCCTGCCTCCTAAAGGCAGAAAGTAGAACGTAATTTGGGCCAAGGCAGGGACATGCAACTTAAACTCTGCCATCAGAGGCATCCAGATGGTATTTTATCTGGGAACAAAAAAATTAGATGCTACTCATAATCGATTCCTGGCATAGCAGGTAGAGCTTTGCAGTGGGACATCCGACTTTTAGAGGCTCTTTACAGGTACAAAGCTCCTATTGTTAGTGGTCCACACTCAATATTTCACTGTACACTGGGATCACAGCAGCAGGCAGTCTTATCATTAAATCCAATTTTCTAACTTGGTTGCAGACTCTGTAATCTCACTATACTTTAAAAGATTAACGGTTTGAGTACAAAGTTTCAGCTGTATACATCATCAGGTTGTAAATTTTGTTTCCTAAATAATCTATTTTTTTCTCATTTTGTTTACCAAATATATAAATGACTGACCAACTGTGTTTAAATATCCAAGAAATGTAGTAGCTTAGCCAATTACATTAATATGTAAATTAATATTTGACAATTATATTTTAAAAATATCTTTGAGATCTTATTATTAGGTTCCTTATTATTTGGAATATGTTCTTGACAAATTGTTGTTCCAGTGCAGAAATCTTTATCATTTAAAATTTTTGAAGTACTTCTAATTGTGTCTGACAGTTATTAATATTCACCAGCTTTCTTTTGACTTATGTTTACCTTTTTCATTACTGTCATAAAAACTTGCTGTGCCATATATATATGTGTGTGTGTGTGTGTGTGTGTGTATGTGTGTACATATAAATATGTGTGTGTGTATATATATACTTTTTCTTTTTTGGGGGGTATGGAGTCTTGCTCTGTTGCCCAGGCTGGAGTGCAGTGGCATAATCTCGGCTCACTGAAACTTCCACCTCCTCGGTTCAAGCGATTCTCGTACCTCAGCCTTCCAAGTAGCAGGGATTACAAACATCTACCATGACTCCTGGCTAGGTTTTGTGTTTTTGGTAGAGACAGGGTTTCACCATGTCAGCCAGGCTGGTCTCGAACTCCTGACCTCAGGCGATCTGCCCACCTTGGCCTCCCAAAGTGTTGGGATTACAGGCATGAGCCACCACGCCTGGCCCCTATTCATTTTTTATTCCATGATCTTCATGATCTTGTCGAGAATCTATCTTTCTGTCTATGTATCATCTTTTTATAATTATGTCTTTTACTTCTGGTGAATTTTAAGAGACCTTTTTTTCTTCAGTGTTCCGCAGTTTTACCAAGTATCTCAATGTGCTTTCAGTATAGAAGAATATGACTGTTTCGTGTTGTTATGCTTGGAATTGTGCTTTTTTAAAAATAAGCCAAATCTCCTTACGAAGTTGGGAATATCCTAAATAGTTAACTTTTGAAATATTGCCTCATAACTCTATGCTTGTTTTCTTTCCCTTTTAGAGATCTACGTGAACAAATGATAGTGCATAGGTTTATGGCTTCCATATTTGTCAACCTTTGCTTCACTTTTTAATTTTTTTCTGAATTTTTTTCCATATCTAGCTTACAGTTCAATAACTTTTTTATCTTTAAGATTTTAATGTTTTTATTTTTAAGCCATGCTTGTACTTGGTCGTATTTTAAATATCTTCTTTAATAATTATGCTTATTTAAATAAATTTATATATATATAATTTTGTTATATGAATGTTTTGGATATAATTGTGCTATTTATATTTCTTCTTATTCTTATAGTTAATTGGTAATCCAATGTCTTTCAATGTGTTTATGTTATACGGCTTTGTTCATGGGAATGTTTTGAACCTGTATTTTGGGTGTTTACACCAAAGAGGTTTTGCTTCTATTGCTCTCAGATGCTTCAGGCTATGTACCATGTTACCATAAATGTCTAGGCTGGAGTTACCCTGTCTTTGAAGGCAATGTAAATTTGAACACTGGGTTATGATAGACCAAAGTTCATTAATTATCAGAGAGCCTTACTGTTGTTGTTATTATTAAGTCATTTTCAATCAAGTTTGAAGGAGACGTATTTCTTTTTTTTTTTTTTTTTTTTTTTTTTGACGGAGTCTCACTCTGTCGCCCAGGCTGGAGTGCAGTGGCGCGATCTCGGCTCACTGCAAGCTCCGCATCCCGGATTCAAGCCATTCTCTTGCCTCAGCCTCCCAAGTAGCTGGGACTACAGGTGCCCGCCACCACGCCCGGCTAATTTTTTGTATTTTTAGTAGAGACGGGGTTTCACCGTGTTAGCCAGGATGGTTTCGATCTCCTGACCTCGTGATCCGCCCGCCTCGGCCTCCCAAAGTGCTGGGATTACAGGCGTGAGCCACCGCGCCCGGCGGAAGGAGACGTATTTCTTTATTTTTTATACTTGCTGGTGGATGGACTCATTCTGGCTCCTCATTCCTGTGTGCAGTTTAGTACTGTGTTTATCCAGGATTCTTATTTATAGTCCATCATCTTGCAAAATCCAGAGTCTTATTTCCTGTGACATAGATGCTAATACATAAGCTGCTTTGTTCCTACTGTGTCCACGGTAGGTAAAACGTCATCATCTGCATACCATTCTGTTTTTCAGGTTTCTTTTTCTTTTAAGTTCTTGAGTAATATCCCCTTTATTTTTGCAGACTAGGTTTATATATGGATAGATAGCAATAGTCAAATTTTGTTATTTGCAGTATTTATGTTCTATAAAGTTGTGGCAAACAAGAAATTAGCAAATATTAAATCATTGCTTGCAAAGGAAATACGGGGTTAGTTTGTTGTGAGCCTCTGGTCACAACATTTTCATCAGCTAATCAATATGTAATCTTGTTTGATGTGTGCTTCTGTTTTGAGACACCTTACTTAAGATATATTGCTGATTTATTAACATTGAACTCTCATCAGCCAACAGCACTAAAACGCATGCCTGAACAAACCTTACCTAACACACATAACATCAAACCTTTGCAGGTCCCACATCTGTGAATTCAACCTATTGTGTATTGAAAATATTAGGGTAAAAACAACAATACAACAAGAAAAATAATACAATTAAAAATATGGTATAACAACTACTTATATAGCATTTGCACTGTATTACTTATTGTAAGTAACCTGCAGATTATTTGAAGTATATAGGAGGATTTGCATACCTAGTATGCAAATACTGTGCCATTTTATATAAGAAACTTGAGCATCCCCAGATATGGGTATTCCCAGGATTTCTGGAACCAATCTCCTGCATCAAATGAAGTTGACTATATTTTTCTCTGTAAGACACATCATAGCCTTCTTGTGCTTGGGAACAATAGACAGAGCTTTAGCAATATTCTGGGGTGTGGGAGGCATTTTAAACAGCCATATCACCAACAAAGAGCACCAAATAGACTGTGAAAAAGATCCTTGTTTATAGCATGAAAAATGAAATAACAAAGTAGAGTATTACTTTGTTTAACCTCAACTGGGGGCATGCACATTGAGAAAATCAAATTTTTTTATTCTGTGCATGTTAAAAAAAAAGACCGGGAAAGTATGAGTGAGTATGGATTTTTGAGATAACACATAAATTTAATACATCTTGGAGAAGTTGCAAATATGGAATTCACAAATAATGGAATTTGATGTAGACATATAGATGTAGGTATGTATTATACTGGTATTTCATATTAGCAATAATGAATGCCACAGTGTCAGAAATAATTAAACATGTGTTTTGTATTTTCAATAACATATATCCAGTCCCGATAAAGACATTATAACCCTCATATATTGTTGTTAGAGTAAGTTGGTGTAATTTTCTGGAAAGTGATTTGGCAACATATGTTAACAACTTTTAAAGATTTATAAAAATTAATTTAGTAATTATCCTCCTGGTAAGCCAATCTTACCAAATTCCAAGTAATGAAAATAAAATTTATATACAGCTGACCCTTGAACAACACAGATTTGAACTTCAAGGGTCCAGTTATCCATGAATTTTCTTCAGCTTCTGCCACCCCAGCTACAGCAAAACCAACCCTTCCTCTATCCCTTTCTCCTACTTAGCTCACTCAGTGTGAAGCTATGACCAACAAGGATGATGACCTTTATGATGATCCACTTCAAGTTAATGAAGAGTAAATGTATTTTCTCCTTCTTATGATTTTCTTAATAACATTTTCTTTTCTCTAGTTTACTTTATTTATGAATGCAGTATATAATGCATATAACATACAAAGTATGTATTAACTGTTAATATTATCGGTAGGGCTTCTGGTCAACAGTTGACTACTACTAGTTAAGTGTTTGGAGAGTTAAAATGTATACACGGATTTTCAACTGTGTTAGGTTAAGCCTCCCTAAGCTTTGCATTGTTCAAGGGTCAATTGTATGTACGTCATTACTGTAGCATTAAAATTACTCTATGAAGTTTGGGAAGAAATAAAGTGTCCATCTGCAAGATAATGCTTACATAAATCATATTTATTCATGTAAACATTATTGAGTAGGTATCATAGATTCTTTGACAGTAGTTTACATTTATTAGTATGGGAAGCTTTTTCTGATATAAAGTTAGGACATAAAGTAACATGAGTATAATATTATATAGTGATCTCAGCTATGTAAATACTTTATAGGAACTAAATAAAATATTTGTAATAATTGCATACAGGAGTATGTTTTCTGTACTATTTTTAATTTGTTTTTACCATAAGTACTTCTTTACTAATTAGACAAAATTAATGGATAAAATGGAGTATAGAGTTGCTACCCAGATAATAATGTTTAGATATTTTTTAAAGTCCTTGTTGATAATGATAGTTTTTGTGATAATAGATATTGAGGTATGTGCTCAATGATATCAATCAGTGTGAAATAAAAACACTTGTGAGATTGATGTGGGAAATAAATGTAGAAAGAATTACACATGGGGAATATTTTCTCTGCCGTTTTGTCTCATTTATACTATAACTGCAAAATCTCAGAGTACCTTCAGGGACACACAATGTGTTGAAGTTGTACAATGTATTTTTAAATGAATTCTTATTTACACAAATAAAAGCATGTTCAACAAAGGGGCCTAAGCATTATTAATAAGTTATTCAGAAAACAATTGCAGATCATCTTTGAGTTGACATAGTTGAATAAATATATATCAATTGTCTTTAATTTTTTTATAGTTTTCATGTTAAACAGACAATATTCACAAACCTGTTGTGAGAAAATCTGCTATTACTTTAATGATCTAAACAAGACTTCACAAGAAGAAAGGAATTAGTTGTTTACAGATTTTAAAAGTATTTACTATGTATGTTACTTTATGCTTTAATAAGTTATGGTTTGTTAAGAGGTCTTAAACAAAGTAGATGGCCAATAAATATTTTATTTCTGTGAATATCCTGCCAGGTACAAACATAGTTCTCTCTATTAAAATTGATTCCCTAAGGAAATCACTCTGCCTGCAGACATAAAATTAATTAATGCTTAATTTCACTTTTATGGCAATGTTTGCTATTAAAGTGTAAAAACTAATTGCCAAAAATTATGAAGAAAGACATTTTTAAGAATTGACAAAAGAAGTGAAGGAAAAGTAAAATATGTATCAAAAAGTCAATTAACATAGAATTTAAAAATTAAAATGTTTTTAAAGAATATGTTAGTTTTTCCTTGAATATTTCCAATAAGTTCTATTATATCTTTATATATTTAATAGCTTTAAGTCCTACAATGCTGTCAGATATTTAAAAATTATAGGTTAAAAACAATAGCATATTTTTTGAAATAAAATAGGTTTGTAACAAAAAATAATTTTGAAAACAGCAAATTTACTTGAAAGACATAAAACTGAAATTTTATTCTTTTGAAGTTCTTTAAATTTATATTTTGCATTTAAAATGTTTTTTTCTTCATCTTATTTTTCTAGTTAACAATACATTAAAATTACCTAATGAAAAGTAAATACCCATGAGTCAAAAAAAAAAACAGGCAAAGTCATTTCTAGATCATTCATAGATCAATTCAAAACAGTGATATAGGTATATCAAAATTAATTAAAAATTAGTAAGTAATATTATAAGTATTCAAAATTAAAAATAATATGAGTAATTCAAAATTAGTGAACAGAGATGACAGTTTTATAAATTAATTTGAAAAGATTGTTGATGTTGGTAAAAGAAACAATAATTTTTATTATTTCCAAACATACTCAATGTTTAGTCTGAATGCTTCCCTGCCTTTTTGATGAATTATATCTTTCTTGTAAAACTACTACCCTTTTTCATTAGGACATAGTTAACTGCAAAATTTCCTTATTTGTCATTCTCTGTTTTAAAAAATATTAGTGTCTAATAAGAAATAAATCACCCCAAATTTATATCTACATCTAAATATATGGAGCTTATTTTTTTGAATATGGCTATTTTTTCCTTGGGTGCTATTTTCTGAATTTAAGTGACCTTGCACCAGAGATACTAAAAAGTTATTATCAAGATTTTCCAGAGACATTGGCCATTTTACCCATCTGTGTGTGACTTTGACATTGCCAATTATATCTTGGCTGGAAAATATCATTATAGTTGAACAAATACCATTAACAGAAAATGTTCAAATTATTCAGACCGTATTTATGAACAACACATTTTGACTTAAGCTTTCCAAACCTTTGCCACTATTTCTTGTGGTTCCAATTTATTTCCCTTTTCACATCGTTATATTAGGAGATGGAGAATATTTAAATATGTTTCTATCCACACATCCTGGCTCATGACTCTCAAAGCTCTCATTAGTCTTTTCTTATAATGTTGGGGCACTTTGGGCCCCAGAAGCAGGCCTCAGAAAACAGAATTTCTCTTTCTGACTTTCTCCAGTCCTCCTTTTACCTGCTCCTTTTTCTCCAAAGGGTAGAAATCTTCCCCTACCTTTGTACCTTGGAGCTGGCCATACAAAAATTTCTCTAACCTACCTTGTTTGATCATAGGTCATATGAGCTGCATTTCAGAGGCGGTCCTGTGCCATACCATGGAGAAAGGAATGCTGCACAGAGGCCAAGATGAAATCTCCACCGACAGACCTTGCTGGATTTTCCCACTCAGTCTGTGACTATTAGATTATACCCCTTTGTCCAATTGCATTTGTACACAGTTGTTCATGCTTCAGTCATGCCTATTCAATGAAATTTCCATAGAAGGCCCAAGAGGAAAGAGTTTGAAGAGCTTCCAGAAAACGGAACATGTGGAGGTTCCTGGAAGATAGCAAGGCCGGAGAGAACATTGAAGCTTTGTGAGCCTTCCCTCATACCTTTCCCTATGCATCTCTTCATCTGCACCCTTTGGAATATCTTTTGTAATAAACCCGTTTCCTGGAGTTCAGTAAGCTGCTCTAACAAGTTTATCAAACCCAAGGAGGGGGTTGTGGGAATACCAATTTACAGGCGGTTGGTTAGAAGCACAAGTTAAACAACCTGGGGCTTGTGATTGACATTGGAAGTGGGGGCAGTCTTGTGCGACTGGGCCTGTGGAATCTGATGCTATCCCCAGAGAAATAGTCAGAAGACAAATGGAGGACAGCAAGCTGGTGTTGGCTGAATAATTGATTGCTTGCTTGCTGGTAGGGAGAGATCCCTACACATCTTGTCATATAAGTCTTATGTTGATTGCTGTGATGTGAGAGCAGAGGAAAAACAGCTGGAGTTGTTTTTTTTTTTCCTAACCGTAGTATAAAATGTATTCAAAATACAATAAAAATATTGCTGAATTAATATAGTCTTTTCAATGATATGTTTTGTTTGACTTGTCATATCATTTATGCCACAGCACAAATTTTCTGTCATCACACTAAAGCTCTTAACATGGTTTTAAAACTCCTGGGGTTATAAAAAATGTAAGCTCAGTTAACTTTTTATTTCATTGCTGATGTTATTAATAATGCCAGATTAATTTTGCTGTCCACAACATTGAGCAATGGTGTAGTTTTGCCAAAGACAAATGATATATGTAATTTGAAGGTCAGGGAAAGTGATACGATCGTTTCCAAGAAGCATTAATATCGCTTTACCCTTAATCATCTTGTCTTAGAGTGAAAACTTTAAAAGTTTAAAGGAATCAGTTTTAGAGATAAGAAGACTCAGTGTGTTTTGGGAAAAGGCATATTACTGTTACATTTACATGATGCTGAATTGTCTTGAGATGAAGCCACTTGGAAAATGAAATAAATCTATTACATTCTTTATTTCTGCATTTTACTGCTGTTAAAATAAAACATGTCTATTTCTGAGATTTTCTTCAATAATAAGTAATAATGTCAACAGAGTCTAGAATAGTATAAATATCTAATGAGAAGTTTTCTCCACTTCAAGAAAGAATACTTACAGTTATTTCTAATTTTCTGTGTTTTCTATAATTTTATTTTTCTTAATTGAGGCTATCCAATTATACTGATTAATTGGCATGATTTTTGGCATAATAATTTAGAATATTTCAGAGTTTCTATGAGTTTAAAATGTAATAGTTTAAGGCAGCTCAGCATTTTACTGCCTCTTATATGCACTACACTTATTATGATTTGAGATGTATTTGATGATTTAAAAAATAAAGTTAGTTACAATATTCTCTGTGGGATGAGATAGTAATTTATCTTTTTAATAAGGAAGCAAAAGGAGAGTGCTACTATGTCCTCTAACTTTGGGGGAGTGAAAACAGAATATTCAGCAACACCAAAAATAAGAAATTGCTACTGAATCTTCATTAAATAAGGTTGTTGTATAATTCATCTTATTACTTTGGGCCCCAACATTTTAGGTACAAACATAATTAGGCATTTCTATTTCCTTTAAATATATTCAGTGATTCTTTTTATTTTTAGGCTAAAATGTGGCTTCACATATTAGGAATATCAGAAACCAAAGTTTGAATGAAATGCGCACACAAACTACAAGTACTATCAGGGATTGTCTATCATGCAATGTTGATTACCTCTACGGCTCTTTAACTCTGAGGAAAATATATGTGCTATTTTTGATGTTGTAGCCCTTCTTCTTTCTTTATGCTCTTTCTAATTGATCTATACCTGTATATCATAACAGCCCTTGTCAGACTGTACTAGTTATAGACATATTTGTCTTTCCAAATTACTCAGCATTTTGTTTGTGAATGATACTTTCACTATTCTGTAGTCTTATTCTTAGTTCCTACTGCGTGAATCCTGAAAGTTATGCAGTTTGAATGCATCACATGGCAATATACCACTTTCTTCTGAAAGTGAGTATTACTGAATTTCTGATCCAGCTGATATTAAACCTTTCCTTGATTATGTAATATGAGAAAAAGGAGAAGTTGAGTCTTACCTGACATTTTTTCCTCATTACTTAAAAGTCTTTTCCTATTGCAACTATCCATACCACACTATTAAATCTCACTTTCAACATTACTGAGAGTAATTCTGGTTCCTTACCTTAGAACTCTAAGAAGACAAATGTAGGCTTAGATGAAAACAAGTGAAAGAAGATCAGTATACATTTGAAGTACAGTAACTTGAGCATATCTTTCCTATTCATCTCACTGAACTTGGATTTCTCTAAATATGGCAATGTAAACAGGCAAATTTTAGATTACTCAACAATCTCTACAGACACTTTAAATTCAAGTACATTTACTCTGTGTAGAGGAAGCACATGTCTAATAAAAGCCTTTTGTGAGATATTGGCCCTCTGAGAGAATTTAGGACTCTTAATAGAAACTTATTAGTCTATGCATATGTACATGCTCAAAACTGATATTTTCTCCAACGTGCAGAGGCTGCTATGTGTTCACCAAAACCTATTTGCACTTTTGGGACTTACGGCTAGAACTATAATTCTAAGCCTCCCTTATAGATACATGTGTCCATAACCAATTACCTGACAGAGTTATCTGCCATGTACTTTACTGCTTCTAATTTGATACATACAAATTTGGAGCCTAAAATTGAATTAGTTCAAAACATGGTGAAACCCCATCTCTACAAAAATACAAAAATTAGCTGGGCATGATGGCGAGTGCCTGTAGTCCCAGCTACTCAGGAGGCTAAGGTTGGAGAATCACTTGAATCCGGGAGGCAAAGGTTGCAGTGAGCCAAGATCATGCGATTACACCCCTGCCTGGACGACAGAGCGAGACTCGGTCTCAAAAAAATAAAAAAAAGAAAGAAAAGAAAAAAAAAAAGAAAAGAAAGAAAGAAAAACATCAGGACCTGGATCTCTTGATCAAGCAGTTCCATTTGGCCTTCAGATGAATAAGCCACTCAGGTTTTTTTTTATTATTATTAAATTTTCAGCTGTAAGGTTTATACATGTAATATCAAATTTGCCCCAGGAGGGTAGTCAGGCTGCAATACATTTCTAAAATATGAAAAATTGTTTAGCGTTAAGACAACCGAAACACTGACAGCCACTACTTTAGTTATGAGGAAAATGGTTTATAAAAGAGTAATGGTGTTGATATTTAATTTGTCCTTTTTTAGGAAGGCATTGTGTGGAGTGACTATTTCAATAAATAATTGGCTGTTTTGCTAGAAAAAGAGAGAAAGGCATAACAAACATCTAGAGATTTTGAGCAATGAAGCCTTTGGAAAAGGAAATGCCTTTAGATACCAAACAGTAAGAGATAACTCTGAAAAGAAACTGGAGGAGGAGAGGATGATGAGGACTCAGGTCTGTTGCAAAGATCAGATTAATAGAGTACCTCTGCCTACTCACAAACTAATGTCACGGGTAGTCTTAAGTTAGCTGCCATTAAAATGAGAAACCATGAGATATGGCTTCGGAAATAAAGCAGGCTTGGAAGTTATATCTAAGGCAAATTGTGGGTATATCCCTCTTACATGGTCTGATTAGAAGCAAAAATGAGAATCCTAATAATCAAGAAAATTGCCTGTCCAAAAATTACACAAACTTAAACTATAAATATCTTTAGCTTTTGGGGTGTTAGGAAAAAAACAAAATAAAACAAAAGCTCTTAGTCTCCCAAACACTCATGGCAAGTGCAGCCATATGTGGAAACAGACACAAAAAAAGTATAATCTATGGGGAAAAGAAGCCATTAAGCTTGTATTAAAACATTGCAATGCGAGGACAGTCCAAGAGGACTATTCTGTAGACAGAAAGTATTCCAAAGAATTTAGAGCTTAAACTGGGAAAGGTCAGATAGACTGAGTTTTATTTCAATAATTTCTCACTATTCAAAATGTTGTCAGATGTGAGAAATTTAGATTGCATTAGACATGGGACAGCATTCAGCAACTGCAAAACTAGGGCCACAGTTTAACAGACACTCTTTGATCAATTTCAGTTTTACAAGAGGAGTAGGAAGAGTTGCTAGAGTCAGTAATAATGTTTTGGTCCATTAGCTTTTTCTGTAAAGCATATTTCCTGACCAGAAGGATAGTCTGTAGTCATCTACAATGTGTTCACCTCCAAACCCTTTACCTGCTCTTTCTGGAAGCATAGCTATACCACATTCTCAGTCTCAATTACGTGGGGATGTACAACATGCATGTTGCAATGTGTGCCACGCTAAGGCCCAGTCTGCAGAAACATGTCGCCAGCAAATCTCCTAGTTCTTTCCTCCTCTTGCTTGATACAGATAAGCACAGAATTATTAAAATCTAGACGCTAAAGACAATGGAACTAAAGGTGAGAAAAACTTGGGGTACCTGAATTACTGCTTGGAGAAGTACTTCTTGCTCATCAAGAATAACAATTTTTATTTCAAGTAAGAAAGAAATAAACCTCTGTTGAGTTAAACCATTGTGATTTTGTAGATTATTTCCAAAGGCAACTTTTGTAAATTATGTATTTTCTTTAGGCAACTGTCAATTGGTTGCCTAACACTTGTACTCTGTTCTATGTCAGTGATCTGAGTGCCCTGCATTCGGGTGATTGACATCTTCTATTCTGATTCTCTGGTGCCTGAAATGCAGCTTTGAAACATGTTATATTACACTGTATTGGGCAGGAAAGGAGCTTCATGACTAGAGTGTTTGAAACAAAATATTTGCTTCCCTCATCAGGAAGAGTCATGGATACTACTATGGTCTGAATACTAGTGTACCCCCAAAATTAATATGTTAAAACCAAATCACCTGATATGATGATACTAGGAGGTGAGGCATTTGGGAAATGATTGGGTCATGAGGGAAGAATGCTCATGAATGGAATTGGTGTCCTTATAAAAGAAACCCTTGGAATGTATCTAGCCCTTTCCACCATGTGAGAACACAGCTAGAAGTTACCATCTATGAACCAGAAAGTGAGCCCTCACCAGGCACTGAATCTGTTAGCACTTTGATCTTGGACCTCCAGCCTCCAGAACCGTGAGGAATAAATTGCTTATTAATTACCCAGTTTGTGGTATTTTGTTACCACAGCCCAAAAGGATGAAGACAGGTACTACTCTCTTTCTTATGTATCCCTCTTCCTGTACCATTTTTGTAAGTCCACACAACCCTATATGTATTATTATTTGCAATGTCTATTGAATGCTGAAGTAGAACTGTTCCTTTGATACCCATTGATAAGAAGTATTCTAATTGTAGATTCAGTTCAGAATACGAATACTTTGTTTCCTCCAGGCTTCTGATTGATGCATTTGGCCCACAGGGACATGACAGTCAATTGAAAAAAAAAAAAATATCTGAGCCCCTTCAATCTTTCTGATCTCATTCTTTATTACTAGCTGCTCATCTACAGTTCCAGCCAGCATGGCATTCTATGCCTTCTTCAAGTATGTCAAGTGTATTAGTCCGTTTTCACTGATAAAGATATACTTGAGACTGGGCAATTTACAAAAGAAAAAGGTTTAATGGACTCACAGTTCCGTGTGACTGAGGAGGCCTCACAATTATGGCAGAAGGTGAAAGGTACGCCTTACATGGTAGCAGGCAAGAGAAAATGAGAGTCAAGTGAAAGGGATTTCGCTTTTGAAACCATCAGACCTCGTGAGACTTATTCACTACCACAAGAACCCTATGGGAAAAACTGCCCCTGTGATTCAATTATCTCCCACTGTGTCCCTCCTACAATAAGAGAGAATTATGGGAGCTACAATTCAAGATGAGATTTGGGTGGGGACATGGCCAAACTATATCACCAAGGTCACTTCAACCTTAGAGTTGTGGCACTATTTCCTCTGACGTATTCTTAATCCTCATTGTTACATGGTGGTTAACTTTTGACCATGCAGGTCCTAATTCAAATGTTAACCCAAAGATCTTCCCACTCTTTGTAAAACTCTCCAATTAATCTCAGTCCTACAAAGGTTTTTTTTTTTTTATTTTAATGATTTTAGTGATTGTAGTTTGAATCCAGTGCTGAAATGTGGCTCTCTCAGTGTTCCTGTGCACTATAGACTGAAGTGTTCACTTACTAGCAGATGTACCTACTGAAAATCCAGAGGGCCAGTACATTGGGCCATAATGTATATTCCTACTTCTTAAGATCTAGTCCAGTCCTTCTTACCAATTTCAATGGGCAAAATGGAGAGACAGAAAGAGGGAGAGGGAGCCAGAACCAACTGATTCTACTGAACATCAGCAGTAACCTTTACCTACCATCCCCTTGGATAACTCACTTGTACCCCTAGTTGGGGGAAAGAGTGGTTAAGGGATTTAGAAAAGCACTGTAAAAGTCTCTCTTTCATAGTTCTCTCCTCTATGATTGCATTAATTGAAATGGTTGAGTTTGCAAAAACAAAGCAGATTATAAAGGCTAACATGACTGGCAAGTCCAGGAATAATAGAGCTGGCTTCAAACTCATTATTATAAAGACTCTCATATTAATAACAAAAGGACTTAATTTTCCTTCATGTCTTAATGCTTTATATTTTCTGTTGGCTCTGTTGGCTGCTTATGTAGGTTTTTATGCTATTCAGTAGTGGGTTTTATTAGTCCCAGTGCTCCTTGCATACTTGGAAGGAGAGGACTGTCACTCTCTCAAAGTCCCAGCAAAATCTCATTGCATCACAATGGCTCTGACAGCTCATTTGAGCACCCCTGAACCAATCTCTGAAGCAAGGAAATATAGTGGGATTACTTGTCGCCTATAAGCTCACACCCTTTCCAACAGCTATGTTCTTGGGGGGAGTTGTAGTTGTCCAAGCTAAATTACGATATTAAGATAAAAAAATAGAGTAATGATTTATAGATATTGAAATCCCTATTTTTGACCACTAAAGGAGTGAAACATATTTTTTCATGAAATTGTGAAAAGCAAGGTCATTCATGTTTATCTTTCCTCATGAAATAGAAGTGTCACATTGTTAAAATGTGAATAGGCTGGTTTGGTTCTGATCACCTTAACACTTTCAGGTCCTAAAATGAGAACATGGAGGCTCATAGACTCTAAATATTTAAAATCAATAAACTGGTTTAACAAACTTAAATAACATATGTTCTGTTCTACTACCTTGAAAATATTATGTAATATTACATTAAATATATACATATATTTAAATAAATGGCTTTTATATTGCTGAAATTGGCAAAGATGACTTACATATTTTTATTTTGGCTATCAGACCATTCAGTTGATGAGCTATCAGTGTCTGAATAAACAATAAAATAAAGACATGCATAATCATGTTATACTTAATTAAATTTTTTATTGCTTTTAATTGGATAAAAGTAATAATTTGACTAATTTTATCGATTTATTAATCAAAATTTGATTAACAGGTTGCTTAATCAAAATTTTCATGTGAGTTTTTTACTACTGAGTAACTAAAATAACAAAATCAAATAAAATTTTACATATTTACAAAATTTCAATGTTTTTATCAAAATATAAACTATGATAAATATAAAAAATAAAAAGTATTCTTTATAACATATTTTTGTGTAAAATGTACAGAATTATTAATTAAAATTAAAGACAAAATGCCAGTTATAGTGGATGGATATCAACATATTAAATCAAATTTATTTATGTAAAGCTTAATTATTTTTTAGTTTATTACTTTTTGTTATATATTTTCTAGAACAGAACTGCTGCTATATTTTTTTAATTTAATGTCAATCTATTTGCTGATGTAAATAATTAGTATCAGGCTTTATATGTTATTTTCCAAAACTACATATACAGCTTCGAATGACATGCATGTTACCCTATTGAAAATGATCCTCACTGGCAGTGTACAACTCTTATGACTATTCAGTAACTCATAAATTCCTCTTGCGGGGTCCAACTGCAGTACTCATAAGGGTATCTTTTAAAATAAAACACGTGCAAAAATATTGCAAATTCATAAAATATCATTTAATGCTAAGTTAGAAGTTATCCACACATCTTTCATACTTCTGTGGGAAAGTGCTTAGAAAAGTGACCCCACAAACGTCCCTTTAACAGGAACATGTTCCATACTCTGAGTTGACCTCAGCCTTCATGCTTTCTGAACTTGCCAAGGTAATCACTTTAAACTCTCATTCGTTATTGCCTGCATTAAGGTCTGTGGTTTGTGTCTTACTCAGATCAGGGTTTATAACAGATGCTTTTTAAAATGCCAATGCAGTTTTCAGCCACAATCACTGAGTCAGGGTTTAAATTCAACATCTGGCACTATATGTCAGCACCTGAGGTAAATAACACTCTTAGTGATGTACTTGTCTGGCCCAATGAACGTGTTCATTTGAAACTGTCATTGGTAGATGCCATGATTTATTATAGCTTGTGCTCCTTCAAAATATTCTACCAGCCCTTGTTCAATAAAATATTTAGACTAATAACAATGCTAGCTTTTCCAACACTGTCTTCTCTGCTGTTCGGGTACTGGAAAGAGAAAGTAGAAAACAGAGACTTGAGTAATGAAATAGAGAATGCTGAAAGAATGGAAGTCATTTACTGACAGAGAGAAATAAAACAGCAATCAAGAAATAAGAAATAAGACAACCAAAGGCTGCTACCACTGCTTCTAAACTTCCTATTTGTTTGTTTTAATGCAGACCAAATCACTTGGGCTTACCTAACTGACAGGCTTATTAACCACTCTTACCACCAATACTCATGTGAAACATGTATCTGAGTTTTTATAAAATATGATTTCCAGAAGCAATTGAAATAAGAAAATGACTACTTTCAGCAACATGATTGATAGAACAGAATGCAGTTAAATGAACCAGTATGTTCTTAGAATAAAGAAAATGAAACTTATCTTCAAGATAACCAAATAGAAATAAGTTAGAATTGTCTAATTATTAACGGCATATAGACATCCTTTTTGTTTTTGAAAGTACGCTATATTTAAGATATCTAAGTGATTTGTAATATTTTGATTGTGTCATAATGAATAAATAAAAATTCAAATAGATGTTTTACTAGACCAATATGTTAAAAAATAAAAACTTACCCTTCTTAGTAAAATCGTTACAACTTATATACAGAATACATGATTTTATTAGTGGCCCATCTATTTGATATATTAAAATATTATACATATTTATTCATCTCTTTGCCTCATACTTTTTAGATAGCTCTCTCTTTTAACTATTTCAGAAGCTAAACTTTCTTATTAAGTACTTCCTTGTGTAATATATCTTATGAATAACAAACTCTCTATAGTAGTATTGTGACTATGCTTCCAGGTTAGCCAATAAAGGAAACTCAGAAAATATGCAAAAATTAGTTTTGTATTAAATTGTATTTTAGTTACAAAAAGTATTGAACAGAAATATCAACTATAAACATGAATTGGCAGAATTTGTACCAACAAATTAATAAAATTACTAATATGTACCATTAACTTGCGGTATGTTGAATGAAAAGCAAAATAGGTTTTTTACTTCTACATTGTATATGATTATACATGCCAAATGAGCAGAAAGTTGGCATGAAAATATTAGGTAATACACACACACACACACACACACACACATAGGCTCATGTTATGTTAGTTATCAGTGGAAGATCAAATAATCTTGTTTCGTTGACAGTATGATCAATCATCAAACATGAATCAGGCTTTTCCAGCAATAATCTCTTTCTAACTTATTGACTTGACTATGCTTAAATATGACTGGTTTATTTCATTTTTCACAGTTTTCATCTGATATGAGTGTTGTTTGAGTGTGTGGGCATGTGTGTGTGTTAGAAATTGGTGTGAGTTTTAGTAAATCTGTTTGGTATTAGTAAAGCTGAATGTATTTTAAGATACATCCATGTAACTAAAGAAGAAATTTTTCAGTCCTTGTTTTGATAGAAAAATATATTTTTACAACTCCCTGGTCCCAATTCTTCATACTTAAATCATTTTTATAGTCTTGATAATATTGTGGTGAAGGCATTTTATTAATCAATGATTATCCATTAAAAGTCATTAAAACATATGATCGGCTATATTTTGTTGGAGAGGGTTCACTAAAAATTTGAATAAATAAACTTGCTACGAGATTATCGGAAGTACCAGGGACTATCTTAAATGTATTGAGTGTCTTTAATGCCAGAAGTTAGTAAAGAAAAACAAGGAGTTGTTTAAAGCCTTTAGTTATTCCATGATCTCCTATAAATCCATTGCTATGCAAAGTCATGCATTCCTCGGGGAGGAATGCATCTGAAATATGTCTTTGGTTTTGAAAACAGTCCATTTTAAACTGTGCAGATTTAAACACCAAAATGCTGAACTTCAATTCATGACACTAATGCTCTTTTGTATAATCAAATTTATGAACAACAAATCATGATGGATTACTTTTAAAAAATCAATAAAAGTATTTCTAGATTATGTAGCTAAAAGGTAATGGTCAACAAGTTCTGAAAGCATAAAATATTTCTAAAGCTACTTACAACATATGCCTACTATGAGTTACATATATGTATGTGTGTGTGTGTGTGTATATACATATATATATATATATATGTCTGTAACTATTTCTATAATGTCATGTTATATTAAATCTATTCAATAGATATAAATAGTAAATATATATATTGAATGTAACATAACATTATAGAAATAATGTTTAACAGGCTATAGCATTTTTCTTCTTTAACCCACATTTCTGTAGTGGAATGGCTAAGAAATCACTTGCAGTTAGTAATATAATGACATGTAGTAGTTTTAGAGATCTCAGAATCTATTTACTCAAGAAAGAATGACCTACAAGAGACCTTAAAATATACTGCACAGATACACTTCCTGTTTTGGTGAGTATTTAGTAATTTTAAAGTGTCATGTTAAATAGGTGCAAATACAGATAATAAAATTATCTACAAGAGTACAAATTATAAACTGTCTATTAAAATCTACAAAAGAATGTCTTTACTAAAATAGCCCAATCATTTTGTATAGAGTCTGTTCATTTTTGTCAGTCTAATATATTCTGTTGTTTCTTTTAGAGTTAGACTGTTTGAGGATAGGAACCCACATTCCATAATTTTATACACTAAAACATAATTCCACTATTACTTCAGGATTTTCAGGATAATATTTTGTATGTGATAATGTGTCAGTCTTTCCTTCAAAGTCACTGTCTGGGAAACCCTACAAAACTGAGTGGAAGCTGATGTCACCACTGCGTAGCCTTTTGCAAGACCTGTCCAATAAAAACTAAAAGACTGAGGCACCAGAAACATCCACAATAGTAGAGAGTTAAGAGACAAGTCAACCACAAATAATACTTGACAGAGACCTGAACAGTATGGAATCAACAACCAAAAGGCCTGGTCATTGGAAGTAGGACATAGCTAGTTATGCACATATAAAGGGATAGACAGCAGATGCTTGTGGAAGCCTATTTTCTTTTTAATGTCATTTTGAAATCTGAATGTGTCTCAAATTTCCATTCCTATTTCCCAACATGGAAGGCATAATTACCTGTTGTAGACTCTTTTGCATCTAGGAGCTAGGCATATGATCTAGGAGCTGCCATTTGGAGGTTTCCACTAAAAATTCCAATTCAGCAGAAAGTCAAATAACCCAGTGTTATTTGTAATCAAATACTTTCAAGAAGTGAGGTGGAGACCCAGGAGTGGTAGTGATAGAAGCACTGGACACAAAACCCCATATTTGGTGTCCATAATGACACAGAGAGAACACACATGTACTCCTCTGTGATAATCATTTGTCCCTCTTAGAAATAAACTACCCAAGATCCTTTAATACATTTTTGGATTAAATGAAGTAAATATATTTCCTAGTTAAAAATATTCCTCACCAAAGATATACAGGTGGTAAATAAGCATATGAAAAGATGCTCAACATTTTACACCATTGGAGAAATGCACACTCAAACAACAATGAGATACCACTCCATGTTTATTAGAATGGTCCATATCCAAGACAGTGACAACACCAAGTGCTAGTGAGGATGTAGAACAGAAAGAACAATCGTTCTTTGCTGGAAAAATGTGAAACGTTATAACCACTTTGGAAGAGAGTTTGGAAGTTACTTATAAAACTAAATACACTCTTACCATATGATTGGACCTTGGTATTTATCCAAAGGAGTTAAAAATGTATGCCCACCTAAAATCCTGCACATGGATGTTTCTAGCAGCTTTATTCATGATTGCCGAAACTTACAAGCAATCAAGATGTCCTTCAGTACGTGAATGGATAAACTGTGGCAGAATGGGTCAATAATGAAATATTATTCAGCACTAAAATTAAATGAGCTATCAAGCAATGAAAAAACATGGAGGAAACTTACATGCATGTTACTTAGTGAAGGAAGCCAATCTGAAAAGGCTTCATATTTATGATTCCAAAGATATGACATTATGGAATAGTCAAAACTATGGTAAATAGAACAGTGAGTACCAGGAGGTGAGGGGGAAGAAGGAATAATTAGGCAGAGTACAAAGAAATTTTAGAGCACTGAAAATACTCTGCATAACAATGTAATGACAGATACATGTCATTATACATTTGTCCAAACCCACAGAATATGTACAACATCAAAAGTGAAACTTAATGTAAAAATAATGATGATGATGATGATAATAATAATATTGACTGAGATAGTATGATGCCATGTAAATATATAGATACGTATTTGTAGCAAATATTTTTACCTTCCCTTCCAAATAAGACAGATAAATCTGTGTTTCTTTGGTAATAGGTTAATACTAGAAAGAAACTCACAATTATATTGCCTGTATAATTCTGAGTCATTGAGAGCGACTACTGTTTTCTTATATATTCCCTGATGTAAACACACACACACACATACACACACACACAGAATTTGAAAACCAAGTGAAACAAAGTGGAGCTACATGTTCCCCACCTTAAATGATAAAAGTGATCTAGGATCTCAAAAGAAGGAAAGTAAGTATTCCACAGTTTCTTGTTAAAACTCCAAATACTTTACTGTTGCTTAAAAAAATGCAGTTGTGTTTGCTTCCTGTCTTAGTCCGTTTTGTGTTGCTATGAAAGAATATCTGAGACTGGGTAATTTATAAATAAAAGAGGTTTATTTAGCTTGCAGTTCTGCAGGCTGAGAAGATCAAGGGCATGACCCTGGGTTCTGGCGGGGACTTTCATGCTGCATCACTGGATGGGAAAGAAGGTCAGAAAAGAAGCAGATGAGTGAAGAGGGAAAACCTTGAAGGATGTCCTGGCTGTGTAACAGCACGCTATCACAGGAACTCATCCATTCCCAAGATAATCCAATCTCGCAACAGCGAGAACTCATTCACTACCGCAAGAACAGCATCAAGTCATTCATGAGGGATCAGCCTCCTTTACTTACAAATCTCCCACTAGGCCCCACTAACTAACATTATCACATTGGGACTAATTTTCAACATGAGTTTTGGTGGGGACCAACAAACCATATTCCATAGCACTTTCCTCATAGTCTTATAGTTTATTTGTTGCCTCACAGCGGGAGTTTGACTGGAGGAACAAAAAGTAAATAAAATTAAAGAATATGTGGTGGGGACCAAGGAGAGAGAAATAGTTCACCAAGTATTTATTTTGGAGATTTTCCTCAAGCTTTTCCTATTTGATTTTTCTTAATGTGTAATAAAAAAGAAACTATCATGAAAAGACACCGTTTCTTTTCTTATTGCCACATTTTCTTATTTCTAATATGTACATTTTTCACACTTTTACATTTCTGAAAGAAAAATCAATTAGATCAATGAGTGTGTATAATGCAGTCTTATTTTTTTTTTCTGAAATATCTGCTACTATAACAATGAGGCTTCTTCCTGTCTTAAAAACAGGAAAATAACAATTTGAATAGTAAGCTATTCTATTGATAACAATGAAAAAATAATAGAATATGTAAATCGTATTTATAATCATGTTACCAAATGTCAGCATTAATTGACAATGCTGACATACGTATGAATTAAAGTCCCCAAGTGGAATTGAAGCACTTTCCGCACCACAGCAGATTAAAGATGCTGTCTTCTCTGAAACTGTAATACACTCCCAGAACATGGGGTTATTCAACACTTTAATTTTGCAAAATACTCTGAGCTCTATTAAACAAGAGCAAGCCATTTCCAATATTTGCTATGTAATTTAATCTTTTTTAAAAAACAGTTTATATGCCACATTAATAAATAAATTAAAAGCAGCCTTATATTTATTTAAAAATAAATACAAAACTTTCAGTTTATGTTTTACTATATGGTGGAATACCAGTGTCAAAAACAATTTTTAACAGGAGAGGAACTGGTTTTGCGATTTAAGTGTCTGGCTGGATTTTGAATACAAATACAATTTCTATTAATTTTATTGTTATTTTTATTGTCATTAAACATCACACATTTAAAATTAAAAAGAAATAAATCCTCTTTAGCTAATAAAATAACTTGAGGTCCAAATTGTTACTGTACTATACTTCATTTATGTTACTAAACTATGTTTTATTTATGTTACTATACTTTGTTTCATTTATGTTACTATACTGTTTCATTTATGTTACTACTCTATGTTCATTTTTTCTCTTAAGCAGACTAATTTAATATTACTGATTTAATTCCTACTTATGCTCTGAATTTGTTTTTTATACTTAGTTATTTTTACATTGTTTCTAATAAAGTCTAATCTAATGGGTATGGAATATTAAATTTAGTCTTACTATGTTAAGATCGCTTAGCTTTCTTGCCCCACAGGATACTGAATATGATTGGCATGAAGGTTGTGTGTGTTTTAGTGCCATCAAAAGAGAACCCTTGCTGTCTGCACTCAGCAGAGGCAGGTGACCTCCATGACATCACACTTTGTATTGGTTGCCTAGGGATGCTGTGACAAAGTACGATAAATTTACTGGCTTAAGCAACACAAGTGTATTGTTTCACAGTTCTGGAGGCTAGAAGCCTGAGGTCAAGATGTTGGCAGGGCCATTCTCTGTTTAAAGGCACTAGGAAAAAATCTGTTCCAGTTCTTCCTCTTTGCTTTTTGAGATATGCTGGCAGTTTGGCATTCCTTGGCTTTTAAACACATTACCCTGGCCAGGCACGGTGGCTCACGCCTGTAATTCCAGCACTTCGGGAGGCCGAGGTGGCCTGATCACCTGACGTCAGAAGTTCGAAAGCAGCCTGGTCAACATGGTGAAACTCCATCACTACTAAAAATACAGAAATTAGCGGGGCATGGTGGTGTGCGCCTGTAATGCCAGCTACCCAGGAGGCTGAGGCAGGAGAATCTCTGGAACCCAGGAGGCAGAGGCTGCAGTAAGCTGAGATCGTGCCACTGCACTCCAGCCTGGGCGACAGAGCAAGACTCTGTCAAAAAAAAAAAAAAAAAAAAAAAAACCCACGTTACCCTGATTTCTGCTTTGTGTTCATGCGGCATTCTCTCTATAAACATTGTATTTATAAGGACACTAGTCACATGGGCTGAAGTCTCACACTAATGGACTTGACAATTACATGTACAATGGCCCTATTTCAAAACAAGGTCACATTATGAGTTATTTGGGATTTGAATGTCAGTATTTGGAGGACGCAATTCAGCCTAGAACATACTTCCAGAAAGTAGGCTGTGGCGCTTTCTTATTTACTCTATAGATTCAAAGCCTTATTTTCTCCTGGCATTCTTAGAAATTGTATTTGCTTTCAAAATTTTGAAGGCTTCTAGCCAATGGATGACAAAGAAAGACTTGCTTTTTTTTCTGATACAAAAGAATTAAGGAAAAAAACTTTAAAATAAGAATGATTTCTAATCATATCAATTTCTTAATGTCCTTTTTAAGTCTGTTTTTTGTGCCTGTAGGTGGCATTGGGGAGCATTGAGAAGACCATGGTGTTAGGTGCGATATAGATAATTGATGATGGAGGAGTTTGAAAATTACCTATAAATGTAAAATTACTCTTAATAGTTTTGTTGGAAAAAAAGTCTTATTGTCAAAATTTTTGTTATTGATAAAATTTTCTGGATATCTCTGATTACCTGCTATTGTATGTCAGTCAACATCCCTTTCTATCTTCATCTTAAGAAAGGTAAAATACAATTGATTCTGTACCGAAAAAAATAAGAACATGTAAATCTGCAATTCAAACATTTCTTCCCATATATTTTTCCCTTTTTTATTATTTAAACTTTTAAAAATAAAGTTTATGGTTTTTTAAAGATTAAATAACATAGCATATTTTTAGTACTTATTTAAAATTATATAATATTTAAAATGAACTGGTATAGTATCTCTTAAAAATTACCGAGACAATAGTCTAGTTCTTTCATAAAGAATACTTTTTTTTTCTGAAAACGTTTTGCCCTGAAAACACTTCTGTGGGGCACCTAAGTGACTACAGTTCGTGTTATATAGATTGGAAAAGGTCACCCTCAAGCATCTCTTTCATTACACAGCCCATTAATCAGGAAATCGCTGCCTAGTTCTAGTTCAAAGCTTTTGATGGTAGAATGTTTGTGTGTGTGTGTGTGTGTGTGTGTGTGTGTGTGTGTGTGTGTGTGTGGTTGGTTGGAAACTTCTGTTTTTCCTTTTTTTTTTCTTACATTCTCTTCATGTCTTGATAGCCTGGACAAAATTACTTGTGTCTTTTTGGATGTAGTTGTTGACAGAGTTGTGCTGCTGAATTATTATGTTCAATAAACTCTGAAGTTTTATCAGTGCGTGTGTGTATGAATCCATATTTATCCTTGTCATATCCATGTGTCTTCTGAAGATGGTAACCAGTGAAAGTAAAAACCATTGAGCAACTAGCATATCACCTGACCAGCAGTGTATGTCTTTATGAATTTAATACTCAGTATAGTGGGAGAAATCATTGGTATTTCATTCCCCTGGGACAATTCATTCCCTTTTTCCTGATGTAAAATTTTATTTTTACCTTAAACCACCGTTTTATTTTTAAATCATTAGCTCATTTTCTTTCCCTCTCTCATTAATCATGAAAGGGCCTTAGATGATAAGCCAATCTCTTTTATAACATCAAGGGGTACATACAGCTGGTGCGACAGAGGAAGTCATTGCTTTGTTTTATACATATAAGACTGCTATGGGGAATATAAAAAAGACACAAATCCTACCTCTTAGACATTTCAGATAGACAGCAACTCTGCATATTAATTCTACACCCTTGATTATTGCGTTTAATTCCCCTCATCAGTCCAATGCTAGATCATTAGCTTAATTTATTTGTCTACAATGATACATATAAATTCTATTCATAAGATAACTCTATCCCTTCAAGAACTTTAGTTGTATTTATTGTATTATTCCTTAGGTTGAAAAATGACTGCAACTTATAAAATTATGTTGGAAAGTCTAAATAAAACTCACACAACTGTACCTAATAAAATATATATAATTCTATTTTACTTGGCACTGGTTTATATAATAATATAATTTCCAAAATAGAAGGCTAGTAAGTGGATGTTATCTTGTAGTTTGAATTTTCTTTGGCCGTTCTCTGGATAACCTATGTCATCATTAGAAATGTTCTTCATGCTTTGGAATACAATGTTTAAGAAAATTTCCTGTGGCTGCATTTTCTCATTTCTGTCATATTATTTGTCTTATCCATGAAAACTTCTGAAAACATATTAAGTTCTTCTATGGTTCAAAATTCTTGTGGGCTATATGTTAAGTATACTATAGCTACAAATTAAACTGAAAAACATTGATTCTTAACCTTAGTTCAAATATAATAGAGGGTCTAAACAGCATGAAAAAAATTCAAATAAATATTATGAACACACACACTATATATATATGTACACATATAAAAAATAATTGAATTCAAGTATTATTCAAGTAAATACTATGAACAAATAAATGTAAATATTCAAATGTGAATAAAGTTTATATTTATATATAAATTCAAATAAATATGAACATGCTATATCTATAAATATATATGTCTATATATTTATATATATGTCTATATATTTATATATAAATATATGTATAAACATATATGTTTATATATATTGTGTGTGTGCACATGATATTTATTTGAATTTATACATACATATGTTACTTGAATATTCTGAATACTTCTTTCTCCTCAAAATTCATATGTTAAAATCTTAACCCCGAAGTGATGATCTTTGGAGTGAAGGCTTTCGGGGAAAAGATTAGGTCATGGATATGGAGTCCTCATAAAGAGTCCAAGGGAACTCATTTGTCCCTTCTGCCATGTGAGGTTACAGTGAGAAGACCTCTATCTATGAAGCAAGAAGGCCCTCACCAGACATCAAATCTGCCGGCAACTTACCTAGGATTTTCTAGCCTCGAGAACTGTGAGAAATACATTTCTGTAATATCTGAGCTTCCCAATCTAAACTATTTTGTTGTGGCAGCCTGAATGGACTAATACATGTATTAATATGTGCACACATACATAAAATATATTGTATTCATATATACAATATATTTTATATTATATAATTATTAGAAGTATATAATATATAATATTTACACGTTATATTTAATTATAATTGTATTTCATATAATTATGCATTACAATTAAAATTATATGAAATATAATATATTTTATAATTTTATATATTATATAGTTTATATTAATATATTTAGTTTATATTATATAATACATATATTATGCAAAATATATCATATTTACATATATATATAGTAAATCCTCACAACCTCTACAATAGATACGAGAACTTTGATTTCAAGCAAAACAGCATATAACAAAACCAATTTTTTTCATAGGCTAATTGATATAATCAAGGGCTAAGTTCCCTTGGCATACTTGTAGTCACAAAAACATCTATACACTTCTAAATAGATAACAAAACACTACTAATATTAAACATTAAAATGAATGTAACCTGTACATACATTTAAGACAGATAAATACAAATTAAGATCATGATTTATTCATGTATTCTAGCTCAAGGTCGCAGGTGGCCAGAGCGTATCTGGACAGCTCAGGATGCAAGGCAGTAACAAGTGCAGGTCAGAACTCCATCCCATGGCAGGTGCCCTCACACCCACACCCAGACTCACTCATCCTACATTGTTATGGCACAATGTACACACTCCAATGAACCTGATATGCACATCTTTGGAAAGTGGGAGGAAGCCAGAATACGCAGAGCAAACCTGCACAGACATGGGAAGAACATGCAAACTCCACACACACTGTAGCTCCAGCTGGGAATCAATTTCTTTTCTCTTCAACATTATAATAAGATGACATTGAACAAAGTGACATATTTGAAGATCACCTGTATGTATTATGTATGCATGTGTGTATGTGTGTGTATGTGTTCAACTAGAAGTAGAATTAAAACTTGATGGAAAATGTTATCAAGAAATAAGAATCATATCAATAACCCCTGGGCACGTTTGTCCAAGATATAGCTGCACCTCAGCAGCGTAGAGTGTCCTATGCATCTGGGAGTCTTACTTCTGAGCTGACAGCTACAGTCCAGACTTCTGAAGGGGAGTAGTAAGGCTGATATTGAAAAGACCAAAATAAGCTAGATAATAAAGCCAACTGCCACTGCCAGAGTGAAGAGTGCTTCTGAAGAGCCACTGACAAGAGAAGAATGCAGACAGGAAGGAGAAAGCTCCTGTCCCTCCTCCTGCCTCCTGTCCCTCCAAACTCTCTCCATTGTTCTCTATTTGCATAACCTAAGGAGAAGCCAGCTGGCAAAGAAGAAAGACAGTTTGCAAAGTCCCATCCCTGGCATCAAAAAGTAGGGTATAGATCATCAGGTTTAGAGTTGAAAGAAAATAGTTTAACAGCTGGCCGACTAATAATAAGCCAAGAGCTTTACTGATGTAGCAGCCACCGCTGCCTTCACCACTGCCTTCTGTTTTTGTCCATGCACTTGTTCTTGTCAAGCTTGTCAATATCCCCCTGGCAGTAAGGCAAGAACAGTGTGCTTTGGGCCTTAGCCATCATCTCAGTGCCCATTCACCCATCTCCTCTCTAGCAGTGTCCTTGGCTAACACTAATTCTCAATCTAGTGCAGACTCTGGAGCTTAAGGCAATTTTTGTAAGATATCAGTTTTTGCCAAATTAGTCATTAAAATTGATGACCTTTTAGTTACAATTTTGTCTACATGTATTTTTGAATGAAAAATTGATGTAGCTGGACCAACAAAACAAAATAAAAATAAAGAAAATTTTGGGAAAATGAGCAGGATCTAGGTCTAACTGATATGAAATCATTTTATGAAGAAAGAATATTGTCTAAAATTGGGCAAGAAATAGCCAAATTAATAGGTGAGGGAGATTACAGAGTTCAGAATGGTAGTGATTATTTTGGCGTCATAATCCACACAACACAAAGTGTGTATTGGTGTTTTTCATGAGGTTGTCTCTCTTATAAAAATTAAAATTATATAAGACTGGAGACTGTTTTTGTGTCAAATTTGGTATTCAACAGTGAACAACTACTTTGAGAAAATTCATATAACTACTCCAGGGATGAGTTTACTCACATTAAAAAAAAATGGGAATTGTAGCAGTAACTCAGAAGTTTGGAGGATGTATATTCATATTTTCCATATTTTGAGATATTCAACACATTATATAACGTGGATCAGACTTCACAATTAAGGGGGCATGATTGTTTGAAAAAATATAAAACTGACTAAAATTAAAAAGAGAATTTATGAAGTTCGGTAAATTAAAAGTCAGTAGACTGGCCAGGCTTCAGTTACATTATTTAATAAGAACCCAAGGCTTTTCTTTCTCTCCAGATCTCTGAGCTCTGCATCCTTCATCTTTCCTTTATTTCTTACTTTAGCAAATTTTCTTCAACAGTCTTGGGCTCATATACATACTGATCATCGTGCACAAAAAAGAGCTTTTTCCACAAGCAACAAATAAAAGTCTCATAATAGTCTCTGCTGGGGCCATACTAAGTCAAATACACTATCCAGAACCAGCAGGCATAAAGGGAATATCATAGTGGATTTTCTGAAAATCTCAGAGGAAGTATGGGTTTTTATTAGACTTTATCAAAATTCTCACTCTGAAGAGACAATCGTAATATCGTTGCAACTTTGTGCATAAATAGTGATTACAAAAGTGATAAACTAATGTGAAAACTTGCCCAAAGAAGACCAGTCCTGAGTAGGAGCTAAATACCAGCCTATCCCATGTGGAAAATTATCATAACAGTAAAACCAAAGAATTATTTTTAAAAATTCAACTTTAGTTTTTCCCTGCTTATTTAAACAATATTTAGGCCCAGAATAAAAAAGAATTACATTTATTCAGTTCTCATTATGTGTCAGTTGATGTGCTACGTTATTAATATAAATGGTGTGATCAAATCCTAATAAGACCCATCCAAAAGTAGCTTGCAATCCAAAAACTTGTTTTAAAAGTTAGGAAAAAATATAAGAAAAAAAGTGAACAGATGAAATCCATCTATAAGTAGAACCATTGGCTAAATGGATATATGTTTATTCAACTTCAGTGAATATGGCGAATCAGGATCCAAATAAATTTACTCTCTACTATCAGTATATGATATTAAGGAGGTGGCTGTGTATAGCTTAGTCTTTAAAAATCTTGAGTATTCATAGGAAAGGAGAGACATGAAATTCCTGGAGGAGAGGCAGAGACAAGGTTGAATGTTTCACTGGAAGACAATCTTATGTTCATATTTTATTATTCAAATCTAGAGAACAATATTGATTATATCCTTTTATTAATATGGACTACTATTTATTCTGTATTTATAGGATTAGTGTAAATTACTCATTAACTCTAACTTTGGAATGTTATTTAATAGAAATGCTTAAAATGTCATAGTTATTTTAATGACATACATGTACATTTAGGTAATTGCTATAGTATAATACATATTAGCAAGTTTACAATAAAATTATTATCCTTATAATGAAATACGTATCTTATCTCATAATTTGTTCTCTTTATTTTGTGCCACACACTTCTACATCCAAGCTGTACAACATAATAACTGTCTTGGAATAGCTATGAAAGATATTTTGCTTATGTGAATATCTGTAGATGTATCTATCTGATGATCCCACCTATTTTAAAATATATTAACCTCTTCTTATTTCAAACTTCAAAATTATATTTTTGTTAAATTATATATAACTATGTATCATATATGTACATATATGTATATACATAATTTTGGCATATGTGTATATGAAATGGTGAAGTTCAAAGATGGATAAAATTATCAAGGAACTGTAGTATATATATATATATATATAAAACTGCAGATTAGTTTGAGAAATGGCTAAATTTTAAATATTCTAATAATGAAAATAGCAATAACTAAAATGCTTGCTGAGGAGGCATTTAGTGTGTATGTTGTTACACTAAGACTATTTTTATGATTTCATTATGTCACATTTTCTGATGTTGTATTACATGTTATGAATAAGAAAGGAATATACAAGTTTCCCTTTAGCCTAGATGGAGACGTGCAGTAGCCAGGTACTTTTATTTATGAAGTATAGAGCATATGAAGTCATTTATTATACACCAAAATGATAAGAACACAATACTTGCATTAAGTTATACATTCAAAGGGCTTGTAAGTCACATGTTGTCTACAATTTAATGGTCAATTTTAATGTGTTAAGAGAGAGCAAACTAAAAAAGCATGAATATGATCTTAACTACTGAGGGCCAAACTCCCCATAAAGTTGTAACAATTAAGATTCTCGAGCTAAGGGAAAACCAAAAAGGAAATCAGTTGCTTAAGACACAGTTGCTCCTAGAGCAAATCATGGAACTATCTGCTGTTTGCAAATTATTTGCTTGCAGTTTTATAGAGGTAGTTACTAAAATTAGAATGGTTTTCCAGTACAACATCCTTTTATCTTCACAAAGGCAGATGTAAGTACAGCCTGTATTATGTTGTTTAAATGCTGCCAAATGCTTTAGCTCACCTTTGTCATTTACCTCTTTGTGCTCTTCTTATTAGATTTAGCTTACTATCCAAAAATCAGGGGAAATGTGGAGACATATGGCAAGCAGTAGATGTAGATCATATTCTGTTTCTCTTTTTTCAGGAACAGTGAAATACACTATATTTGTCTACTTAAATTCAAGTCCCAACTTTCCTTAATATTACAGCGTATGAACTATTTGGTGTTGATTTATTTCTGTTTCTTCTTTCAAATAACAAGGATGGCTTCTGTATCTTACTTTTCTTTTCTTTGTTTCTTTTTGTTTTTCTTTATATAATGATGGTCTTACAATAAACACTTTTACTATTGAGATTCTCAGAGATTATTAGCATTAGGAAATATAGCCATGCACAAGAACTGTTTTTGTACCTTACGTACAATTGGCACACATTTGGGTAAGACACAGAATATGCTTATATATTTATCTTAGTTTGTGATGAGGAGCTGATACTATGAAATTCAAAATTTCAGATTCTTGCAAATACTTGTAGTATATGTACATACTTGCATCCATTATCTTTCACTAATTATTAGTTTTGGAAAATTCTCATAATAAACGTGTTCTCTCTTCATTAAGTGATTTCAAAAGCATATATGAGTATATATATATATATATATACCTTCTCTTAGAAGTCTCCTCTAGAAAATTTAACATGAACACCAGTTATCTGTGACACGATAATAGAGTTGATGCCATTAATTACCCCCTTGGAGGTCCAAATATGTAAAATTAGGGACACAGAAAGCATTTATCCCCCAAAGCAATCAGACGTATAATTAAGAAGTTGGCCACATTGATGCATATAAATAGCCCACAACTGAAGAAAAATGATAATGTTAATTATTAGAACTGGAGATATCATCCTTAACATACATATTTATTCATTCTCTCAAAACTGGTCAATATGCCCTGGTTACTTTTTATGTGCTAGGTTGTGACATATTGATATTTTAGAGGAACTAAATGTCTCGTGAAAGGGAAAGCTATATAGGAAGATAAATTATCATACAATATAATGTAAGTAACAGTAAGTGCATGAACAAAAAGCTAAGGACAGAGAAGACAACAACTAGGATAGCAAAAGGTAGGAGGACTTCAAAAAAGGACTTCATCTGAGTTTTAACTAGCTGTGTTAATTTAGTGTACAATTAACTGGATTTTTACCTAACAAGTTTTCAATCTACTAAATTTGTAAAGCACATACTGTCTTTCTGTCTACAATAGTAATAAGGCAAAAAATGAATAATCACTTATGTACTAGTCCCTCAATCTCTGCAAATGGCAAAGACTCCACCTTCTCTTAGCCTTTGTAAAGCAAATCAGTGGGGAGAATGTGATTAATGGGAATGGATCTGTGGATCCATTTACTACCATTGATAATGAATCTGTGGTAATTTACTGCTATTTGCTAAGGTAGGTAGGTACAGAGGCAGGCTGCTCCAAAACTACTCATTTTTTTTCACACAATTCTACAGGACTCGATGTATTGTATTTGTGCTAAATGGAGCAGAGTAGGGTGGAATTGGTTGTGGTCTTCAGTTGGCTGGAACCTAGATTCCAACTCCGTAAAGTCAGTTTCACTGTTGTTGTTTTGCCATTGATAAGATGATTATGCTTGAAGATGGAAATTAAGGATCTATTCCTAACAAATTTGCTCAGAAGAGCTAATAATAACCAAATTATTATATCTACTTAGTAATCATCACTGAACCTATATGAGAAAAAAATGTGTGTGCTAGTTTATGATAGTTCATGATGTTGCAATTGATATTCCAAAAATATAGAAGAAATGTGCATCTTACACTCTACTGATTAATGTATATAATGCATGATGTAATAAGTGTTCCTGATTCTACCAAGATCATACCATTACTGGTGAGTTTGGGGTAAATCTTACCATTTACCCCATACCATGGGCATTCTTCCGTTTTTCCAGTTCTCAGCGGGAATGCTTTCTACTTTTCCCCATTCAGTATTTTGTTGGCTGTGAGTTTGTCATAGATGGCTTTTATTACATTAAGGTATCTCCCTTGTATTCTGATTTTACTGAGAGTTTTAATCACAAAGGGATGCTGGATTTTGTGGAATTTTTTTCTGCATCTATGAAATCATCATATGATGTTTGTTTTTAATGCTGTTTATGTGGTGTATCACATTTACTGACTTGCACATGTTAAACCATCCTTGCATCCCTGCTATGAAACCCACTTTATCATGGTGGATTGTCTTTTATGTTGTTGGATTTGATTACCTAGTATTTTGCTAAGGATTTTAGGATCTATGTTCATCAGGAATTTTAGCCTGTAGTTTTTTTTGTTTGTTTGTTTGTTTGTTTTTTTTGGTTATGTCCTTTCCTGGTTTTGGTATTAGGATGATACTGGCTTCACAGGATAATTCAGGGAGGGTTCCCTCTTTATCTTGTGGAATAGTATCAGTAGAATTGGTACTAACTCTTCCTTGAATGTCTGATAGAATTCTGCTGTGAATCCATCTGGTCCTGGACTTTTTCGTGTTGGTAATTTTTTAATTACCATTTCAATGTCGCTTCTTGTTATTGGTCTGTACAAGGTATCTAGTTCCTCATGATATAAGCTAGGAGGGTTGTATCTTTCCAGGAATTTATTTATCTCTTCTAGGTTTTCAGTTTATGCGCATAAAGGTGTTCATAGTAGTCTGGAATGATGTTTTGTATTTCTGTGGTGTCAGTTGTAATATCTCTGTTTCATTTCTTATTGAGCTTATTTGGATTTTCTCTCTTTTTTTCTTGGTTAATCTTGCTAATGGTCTACCAATTTTATTTATCTTTTCAAAGAATCAGCTTTTTGTTTCATTTATCTTTTGTATTTTTCATTTCAATTTTATTTAGTTCTGCTCTGATCTTGGTTATTTCCTTTCTTCTGCTGGATTTGGTTTGTTCTTGTTTCTCTAGTTCCTTGAGGTGTGACTTTAGAGTGTCTGTTTTTGCTCTTTCACAGTCTTTTATGTAGGTGTTTAGGGCTATAAACTTTCCTCTTAGCGCCATTTTTGCTGTGTTCCAGAGGTTTTGATAGGTTGTGTCACTATTGTCATTAAGTTCAAATAATTTTTTAATTTCCATCCTGATTTCATTTTTGACCCAATGTTCATTCATGAGAAGGTTATTTAATTTCCATGTATTTACATAGTTTCAAAGGTTCCTTTTGGAGTTGATTTCCAGCTTTATTACACTGTGGTCTGAGAGAGTGCTTGGTATAATTTCAGTTTTATTAAATTTATTGAGGCTTGTTTTATGGCCTGTCATATGACCTATCTTAGAGAAAGTGCCATATGCTGTTGAAAAGAATGTATATTCTGCGGTTATTGGATAAAATGCTCTGTATATAGGTGTTAAGTCCATTTGTTCCGGAGTGTAGTTTAAATCCATTGTTCTTTCTTGAGTTTCTGTCTTAATGACCTGCCTAGTGCTGTCAGTGGAGTATTGAAGTCCCCTGCTATTACTGTGTTGCTGTCTATCTCATTTCTTAGGTCTATTAGTAATCGTTTTACAAATCTGGGAGCTCCAGTGTTAGGTGCATGTATGGCTAGGATTGTGATATTTTCTTGTTGGACTAGTCCTTTTATCATTACATAATGTTCCACTTTGTCTTTTTTAACTGCGGTTGCTAGAAACTTTTGAGTGGGAAAAGGGACAGTCAGCAAAGTAAACAGACAACCCACAGAATGGGAAAAAATCTTTACAATCTATACACCTGACAGAGGACTAATATCCAGATTCTACAATGAACTCAAACAAATCAACAAGAAAAAGGCAAACAATCCCATCAAAAAGTGGGCTAAGGACATGAATAGACAATTCTCAAAAGAAGATATACAAATGGCCAACAAACATATGAAAGAATGTGCAACATCACTAATGATCAGGGAAACACAAATCAAAAGCACAGTGTGATATCACCTTACTTCTGTTAGAATGGCCATAATCAAAAAAATCAAAAAATAGTAGATGTTGGCATGGATGAGGTGAATAGGGAACACTTCTGCACTGCTAATGGGAATGTAAACAAACAACCACTGTGGAAAACAGCGTGGAGAGATTGCTTAAAGGACTAAAAGTAAAACTACCATTTGATCCAGCAATCCCACTACTGGGTATCTACCCAGAGGGAAAGAAGTCACTATATGAAAAAGATACTTGCCCATCCATGTATATAGCAGCACAATTCACAATTGCAAAAACAGAGCCAACCCAAATGCCCAACAATCAATGAGTGCATAAAGAAACTGTGGTATATATATATTCGATAGAATACTACTTAGGCAGAAAAAGAAACGAATTAATGACATTCTCAGTGACCTGGATGAAATTGGAGACTATTATTCAAGTGAAGTAACTCAGGAATGGAAAACCAAATATCATATATTCTCACTCATACATGGGAGCTAAGCTATGAGGATGCAATGGCATAACAATGACACAATAGGCTGGGTGCCATAGCTCCCGCCGGTAATCCCAGCACTTTGGGAGGACGAGGTGGGTGGATCACCTGAGGTCGGGAGTTCAAGACCAGCCTGACCAACATGGAAAGACACAGTCTCTACTAAAAATACAAAATTAGCCAGTCGTGGTGGTGCATGCCTGTAATCCCAGCCACTCAGGAGGCTGAGGCAGGAGAATCATTTGAACCCAGAGGACAAAGGTTGCGGTCAGCCAAGATGGTGCCATTGCACTCCAGTTTGGGTGACAAGAGGGAAACTCTGTCTCAAAAGAAAAAAAAAAGACACAACGACTTTGGGTACTCAGGAGGAAAAGGGGGGAAGGCGGCCAGGGATAAAAGACTACATACAACTAGGGTACAGTGTATACTGCTCAGGTGATGGATGCACCAAAATCTCACAAATCACCACTTATGAACTTACTCATAAGCCAAACACAACTTGTTCCCCTAATAACCTATGGAAATAATAAAATAAAATAAAATATTCCATGGATGATAAGTATGACAATTAAGAAAATAGAACTAATATCATTAAATGTTAAAATATCTGCCAAAAAAAAGAGAGAAATGAGTTGCAATGGAAAGGCAAAAATCTCAGAATAGAAAACACAATATCAATGAAAAAGAGCAAAGTTGGATGACTGACATTACCCTATTTCAAGACTTACTATACAGCAATTGTAATCAAAACCACGTGGCACTGGTGAAGAAACTGGGCATATACTTCAGAGGAACAGAATAAGGAGCCCCAAAATAGACCCATACAAATATAAATAAATAATCTTTTACAAAAGAGGGAAAGGCAAATGAAAAGAGAGAGGATAGCCTTTTCAACAAATGGCACAAGAAAAATCGAACTTATACATACAAATAAATGAAGCAAAAGACAAAAATTATGATTTTCATAAAAGTTAACTCAAAATGGTTCATGAATCTAGATGTAGAATTAAAAAAAAAAACTTCTAGAAGATAACATGGGAGAAAATCTAAGTGACTGGTTTTGGCAAATGTTTTTTGATGCAACCACAAAAGCACCATCCATAAAAAGGAAAAAAAAATGTAAATTTGGACCACATTAAAAATAAAATTTTCTACTCTGTGAAAGATACTGTTGAGAGAATGAAAAACCAAATCTCAGAATGGGAGAAAAATCTTTGCAAAACATGTACCAGATAAAGGACTGATATCCAAAATAGACAAATAACTATTGAAACTCAACAACAATGGCAATAAAAATACAAACAATTCAATTAAAAATCTGGAAAATAATCAGAACAAACACCTCATCAAAAAAGATACAGATGAAAAATAAGCATATGAGAAGTTGCTCTGTATCATATGTCATACATATGGAAAATACAAATTAAACCAACAAGATATCATTACACATTAGAATACCTAAACTTCAAAACACTGTCAACATCAAATTTTGACAAGACATGCATATGGAGCAAACACTCGGGTATTTTTCTTTGTTTTTTGTTTGTGTTTTGTTTTGTTTCCTTTTCTTTTCTGGTAGGAATGCAAACTTGTACAACCACCTTGGAAGTTAGTTTGGCAGATTCACACAAAGCTCACAAAAAACTTCATACAAAGTTCTCACCAATATGATCCAGCAAGTGCCTTCCTTGGTACTTATCCAGATAAGATGAAAAACTATGACCAGCTAAAAACCTACATACAAATGCTTATAGCTGCTTTTTCTTAATTGCCACAAATTAGACAGAACCAAGATGTTCTTCAAGAGGTAAATGGATAAAAAACTTTGTTTTATCCACACAATAAATTATTTTTCAGTGATAAAAAGGAGCTATTAAGCCATTGAAAGTCACAGAGGCACCTTCCATGCTAAGTAAACAAAAAAGCCAATCTGAAAATAAAACATACTGTGTGATTTCAACTACATGATATTTTGGAAAAGGCAAAGCATAAAAGACATTCAAACATCAGTGGTTTCCAGGGATTTTATTAAAGGGAGGGAGGGATGAACAGGCAATGGGCAGGGATTTTAAGGCATTGAAACTGTACTTAATGACAATGTTATAATGGATACATGCAACTGTACATTTGTGGAAACCCATAAAATGTACAACACAAGGAGTGAACCCCAATGAAAAGTGTGGGCTTTTACAACAATGTACCAATATTGATTCATCAATTGTAACAAATATACCATGTCAGTGCATGCTGGAAGAGGGGAGTAAGGTGATACATAAAACTGCTCTAAAACATAAAGTCTGCATATTTAAAAAATAATGTGTCATATTTCATGTAGAATTGGTAGAATCAGTATATATAATCCTATATATCATTGAAGAGTAACAATGTATTCCATGTGGAATTATGTTTTTTCCACATGAGAACAAAGTCTAATGATTCAACATATCAAATACTGTGATATTTGATATCCTTGGAAATGGTGAAATTCTTGTCCCTGGAATTGTTTAAGCAGAAGGGTGATTATAATTTTTTGGATATGTTGCTAAAGAGATCCATACACACACTGATGAGTAGGAGAAAATGAACTCTCTCAATGTATCCAACCATAGTTATACGACTTTAAAAGGAATATAATCATCAAATTGCCAATATTGAAAACGAGTAACTCAATTACTCCTATTGACTTTTTATTTATGACATAGGAGTACCAAATTATGACTCCCTCTTTAAAAATAAGTAAACAAATATGCAGTGTGTGAACTTTGCATCCTAATTCAAGCAAGCAAAATTAAAATAACATTTAGAACAATAAGAAACATGTAAATTTTGGCTGGGTATAAAATATTATTAAAATGTAACGAATATTGTTGAGTTATTAAAGACATGGTGGTAATGTAAAATCAAAATATTAAAGTTAATGAAGCATACCAAATTACTGTTGGGTGAAAAGGCAAGCTATGTAAGATTTGCTTTAAAATAATCTAGCAAAATAATGTACCTATATATCTATATATAGATATACAAAATTATATTAAGAAAGATTGACCAAAATACTGAATACATACTGATCATAATAGTACCTTTACTTTTGTGTATGTTTCAACTTTTCTATTACAAATAGTGTAATTAAAAAAATAATTCTTGCAAAGAAAAGAAATAAAAAGTCCCCACATACTTGGGTAAATACTTTAATATGAAAGGTAAACTCTAAAACAATGAAGCAGAGAAACAAGAACCCAGAGAATAATAGTTTAAAGAAAGCATTTCCTACCCCCAATGATGTGGGTCGGTTTCATGAGAGCGCCGCTCATGACGGAGCGGGAGCTGTAGGGTGTGGCTCCCTCGCGCCCCACAGCCCTGCGGTTGGGTTCCCTGAGGGTCAGCAGTTACTTGACTCTCACGAGAAACAGTCCCTCGGTCTGGCAGAGGCGGATGACGATGACCAAGGGAACCCACAACCTGGAGGAAAGGGCCAGGCTCCAGCCCAGCCCGATGGTGCAGATGGTGTCCACGTAGGTTTCGTTGTTAAGTCAGGGGTGTGTACTTGACGATCGAGAAGACAAAACATCCAACACAGAGAAATGGAGTGATCACAGCCCAGCTGTACTTCATCCAGGGCCCGGCCCGATAGCCGATCACGTTCTCAATACTGTCATAAATATTATCAACACCATATATCCAGGCAGTAACTATACAGTCAAAGAACGCAGCCCCTAAAAGGCATACACCGCTAGCTGCGTAGTAGTCAAAGACATAGACGCCAACCTCCGTTACCATTGTCAGCCCCAGCAGGCAGCTGATGCTACACACGAAGGCGGTGCAGATTTCCCGACAATAACCTTTCCTTAGGAAGGATGGGTAAAGATCAACCAAGGACGTGATCTCCCCTTCGACTTCAACAAACTGGTCATCCAGTCCAAGCAAGAGAAGCACAACAACAACAACAACAAAAAGGGACCGAAAACGTGGGCAGTGGCATCATTGTCACAGCTTTGGGGTAGGCAACGAAGACCAGGCCAGGCCTGACTCAGACACGTCAGCAATGGCCACCCCTTGCTTTCGTGCCATGAAGTCCAGGATGGAAAAAATTGCAAAGCCAGACACAAAACTGGTACCACTGTTCAGGCATCCAGGCAGCATGCAGTCCCTGTACGAGTTGTACTTGTACTTGTTGTAGCTCCGTAGAGAGGTCACGGCCCCCAGGCAGATGGCCTAGGAGAAGAATATCTGGGTCGTAGCGTCAATACACACCTGTGCGCCCTCGAGGCAGGTGATGTCTGGATACAGAGAAAAATTGATGCCGGCACCCATGCCGGGCAGCATCAGCCCTCGGACCAGCTGCCTCAGGAGCATGGCGAACTGGAACGTGGCTGTGAAGTAGACGACCTTCCCCGTGGACCTGACATCCTTCTAGATGCAGAAGAAACAGGCTAGCCAGACAAAGAGAAGACAGAGAGAGAGGTCCCATTTCAAAGAGCCCGGATGGTCGATTCCAGGGGACAAGCTCAGCACGTTGCGCCCCTAGAACTCAGTGACAGGGGAGGTAAGGTTGGTGGAGCTGATGGTGATCCAGACACTCTCGTTCGTGCGCATGGTGTCCTCCATGCAGGGGGGCGTGTTCCAGCTGTGGTTGCAGTGTGCCCTGGGCAGCTCCTTCTGGAAGGACTGGAACAGGTAGTCTGTAGCCCAGGCCACGATGACGATGTAGTGGACGTTCGGGAAGGGCACAATTACGATGGAGGCAGAGCCGATGCCAGAGAACAAGTGCCAGATCTTCTCCCAGTATGTGATGCCCCCTTCAGAGGTGTACTGGCCTGTGATGATCTCCAAGAAAAACACAGGCAGGCCGCTCCAAACAGGAAAGTATGAGAAATTCACCTTACCATTATTGTATCAGAGGTATGGGAAGCGCCAGACGTTGACCAGGCCCACGAAGCCGCCAGCCACGGAGATCACCAAGTCGATCTTGCTAGACGAGACCACTTCTGCCTCTGCGGAGGTTTTCCCTCGGCCTTGTCCTCAGACCGCGCTCTCTGGCTCTTCCCCAGCGAGGGCTTCAGGATGTCCTTGTGGAAATCTTTCAGACACTGCAGCTTCTCCTTGGTGACCATCTCTTCGCTTTCCCACATGGAGATGAGGAACTAAGGCTCAGAGACGTTAAGCGACTTAATCAAAGTTGCACAGCCAGAATGTGGTGGTAGAAAGGTTTTTGACACGTGCCTGAATAATGATACAAAAAAGGAAGGGGTCTGTCTGTGTTTACATAATTTTTTCCCTTCCCTAAGAAAACACACAAAAATAAATAATGAGATGTAGAAATTAACATTAACAGCTACTTTGGATGGTATTTTACCCAGGTTTGCACTAATTATTCCTTTCTGGAAATGAATTTATTGTTATGCAGCTTACAGTGAAAATGTTAAAGAGAGGTTAATATCTCTCAACCACAGATTAAATGCCTGGAGGCCATGACCTCTCTAAGGAGCTAAGAATAATCTATCAGTGAAAACAAATATAAGGATTTAGAATGGTATTCTTGTCTATTCTTTGTAACATTTTAAAATATAGGGCTTCTATTTCAAATATGAATAATTATTTTTAACATCTCATATCATATGGCTTTTTTATTACGATAGCACCAATACAATTTATGTCTGTAATAGCAATATATTAGGATTTATAACTAAGTTTTAAGCGCTATAATTTTAAATAAATTCTACACAACAAGATAACTAATTAATATTCCTTGGTATTCTTTTCTCTGATAAACTCAATGCAGCCTTAGAAGAATAAAGGGAAAGGTAACTACATAGATAGTAACATGATTTTTAAGCTCTGAATTAATTTGAGAAGGATAATAATAGAATTAATGATAGAAATTAACAAATTTATACACCTCAGATTGGCAATAACACTTGTCTTATTAAAATTTAAATTAGCCTTAATGAGCTCCCAAATAAGACTCCTTCATGATTCTATCTATTGTTGTTAAGTATAATGTATTTTAGATTTTTTTAAATATCAAATTATGTTATTTTCATTTTTTCTTTGGAGATGAATTTTATCAACTTCTTTCCAATTTTCTCTTTGTCTGTTATGAGTTTTATATTTATTTTTATAAAAGGAGAAAAAATATATATGGAGAGTGCCTAACCCTAACTACCAGACAACCAGGGAATGTTTGAAATATATATTATCCAAGAATTCCAAGGATTAATGGGCTGCATTAATATAGGCCTCTGAAGAAATTTTTATGATGGAATATTGTGTTGTCGCTACATTATTCACTCAGTCAAGTAATACTTTTGAAATTTCTCGTTCTAATCTTTTCTTTCTTACACAATGATTCCATAGGAATTTGTCCTTTGCTTGCTTTACAGAGAGCTCAGTTTCCCTTGAAGAGTTTCTACTTCTTCTAAGAGCACCTCGTCTTTTTAGCCTTTATGAACCAAGCAACCTTTACAGAAGGCTACATAATTTCTAACTTTATCTTTACTCTCTGGTCAGGAATCACAAATGTTCCTATCTTTCAGCAGTTTGTAAAACTCTTACTTTATTGTTGAATTAATAACATCAAAATGTTGTGTTCTGAACAATTTTTTGACTTGTTCTTTGATTCAATCAAGAAAGTAAAACTAGATACAGAGTCTTTGTGATCCAGCTACTATGAATTCTTTTTCCTGAGATGGATACCAAAGAGTTTATCAGCACACTTTGAGCCTGGTAATTATTTTAAAAAAGGTTAAAAACAGTTTGTATAAAAATCCATGCTACCTACTTTTCTCATTTTTCTTTATAATCGTAACTAGAAGTACTTTTTTCACGGCCTGTAAATTAAACATTAAAATTAAAAGATAAACCTAAGTTCGTGTTCTCAAAGTGATAAAATGAAAATAATGCCAGTACATAATCATTGATGAAATATGGGCACAGAGTAGCAAAGAACTGGGAACAAAATGGAAATCTAGATAGAGTTTCGAGTAAAGTATGTGTTAGAAACCTCAGTTTTAAGAGTGATAAGAAAGTCACAATGAAGTTTTATTATTTTTTTGCATATAGGGAGAAATGTATGTGTTTTTGCTTTGTACCCGCTTTTGTATAGAGGTACTTCATCTCTGGATTTCAGTTTTGCCAAAAATTATAGACATGGACATCAATCAATTCTGAGTTCCTGGCCGAGCATGGTGCCTCATGCCTGCAATTCCAGAACTTTTGGAAGCCAAGTCCAGAAGATAACTTTTGGCCAGGAGTTCAAGACCTACCTAGGCAACACAAGTGAGACCCCGTATCTACAAAAAGTATTATCTGGGCATGGTGGCACACACCTGTAGTGCCAGATACTCGGTAGGCTGAAGTGGGAGGATTGCTTGAGCCCAGGAGTTCAGGGTTGCAGTGAACTATGATCATGTTGCTGCACTGCAGCCTGGGTGTTGGAGCGGGACCCTGTCTCTTAAAAGAAAAAAAAAAAAATCTGCGAGTCTCTTCTGTGTCAGGTTGTGCCTTGGAATATGAGGTACTAGTATTAACAATTACAGACTTTTTCCGGATCATTAAAGGCACTCTGGTTTCTATGAACACTATGGCTTATATGACTGCTTGTTCTTATGCATCAACTCTTGGATCCTCTACATTTTTCTTGTGTTGCTGGCTTTAACACATCATTCTGTGAAAAGGCCTTGAAACTTATAGTAGTAATTTGAATCAACATCTATTCCAGCTAAAAATTGCAAAAGAGTCTGACATTAAAAAAAATGAAATTATCTATTTAATGGTAGAAGAATCACTTAAGAGATGACATTACTGGTACTAAGATGAAAGCAGAAAAAATATTCAAGAGGAGGATTACCTTTTGAATGTGTATTTTCATCATAAATAAAAAAGTAAAAGGTAAATATAGGGAAAAAAGAAAATTCTACTTTCGTAGGTACAAATTATTATCTTCAGCCACTTTTAAAAGATAAAACATAGTTCAGAGCAGCAGACCTCTGAAAAAAGAGAACTGTCACATTGCTTTAAAAGACTTGAAATGTATTATCACAGAAAGATTTTATAAAATTATCTTCCCTGTAGTTCTCAGAATGAAATGGAATAATAAAGTGTCTTAAAGTGATCAGGAAAGGAGATAGACTAATTGTATTCTCAAGGTCTTTCCCAAACCTATAATTTTATGAATACTTCATTAGCTGTAGTCATATTCAATAAAAACTGTCATAAAACAAAATTTATTTCGTGGTCACAGAAGTTACACTTTTACTCACAGTACTTCCTGACAATTTCAGAAAAATACCTAATTACATAGTCATATGTAAAATGTACTTTTTGGTAAAAGTAAAAATAAGTTTAACATTGACCTTCAAATATTTAATTAAGATACAACATTTTTATGTGGATTCTATTTGTTAGAAAATAATAAAGCAGAAACAAGCAGGCAGTATATGTGAATACTATTCAATTTCACTAAAATTCTTATTTATCCAGAAATCGATTTCCTTTAATAATGCTTGAACATATATTTTATAATGCTTTCTAATTAAGTGAAATGCTTTTACATATGTCTCTATATGAAATTTCATTTAAATGACCTCTAGCCTCGCATTCCAAAGAGCTGTGGGGATCTACCTGAAATACATTAGGAGCTACCAGAGCAGGTTGGTTGGGGATTTTGCCATTTAAAAACAAACAAAAAAAGCACCATTTGGTATTATTAATACAATTTTATTTCCAAAAAGTACAACTGCATAAAAATTAATCCAACATTACTTCTTTAAAATGATCCCTGTAATTTCCAATGCAAACTAAATATGCAAATGTATAACTACACTTGCACCTATGGAAAGTGTAAACTTCTTGAGTAGAAGCTTTAATATTGCATTTTGCATAAGAGTAACGATATCTTCATATTATATAGCACCATATTACTTCCCAGAAAACCACAATATGTGGTTTATGGAACTATGAGCATAAGTATACAAATTGTTCTAAATTATTACTAAAATTATTAACAGATGATCTCTTATTTACATGCAGGTTTTCCAAATCAGTGGCTACACTTTCTATTATTTAATGTTTTGAAGAAATTGCAGCAGTTTTTTTTTATAGTGAAGGCTGAATCCCTTACAGTAACCTTTATAAAGATATAATCATCATGATTAGTTTGAAACATTATAAATATATAATGAGATAAGTGAAGATGGCTTTAAATAATTAGAGGAAAACCTCAAACTGTTCCATTTCCTGGTCAATCGATAAGAAATGATCCTGAACAAGAATCAGATGACCTCTGAAAATTCTATCCTTTTAGCAATTATGCCGATGTTAATAAAGTTAGACAATCTCCACTCAATTTGACCTTATAATAGTATTATAATTGAATATTAAATTAAAAGATGCAATTAAGATTTAAACAAAATGCTTTCACATTTTGGAGCTGAAATATCTTTTAAATCTAAATTCTTTTAGAATTCAGATCTCTTAGTCACCTAATTAAAAGCAATAGTAAAGATTAAAATACAATAAACAGAGTAAGATGGGGCTGTTAAGAATCAAGGAATGATTTGTAAAGAAAATAAAATTTTTAACCAATAAAATTTGTATTTTAAAGATGTAAATACAATAATTCTACTATTGTGTTGTGATAGAAGGATTCATTATTTTACCAATGTTCAGGCATTTTTGTTTTCATATGATATTTTTTAGAAAGAATCTTCCATCTTCTTGTCAATAACAAAATTAACTAATAGGCTCTTTTTATATTGCATCATCATATAAAAGCTTTATAAATCGAACATATTTCTAACATAATAAGCAAGGCACAGAAAAATAAAATTTACATGTTCTCACTTATTTATGGGAGCTAAACATTAAAACAAAGTCATGGTGATAGAGAGAGTGATGGTTACCAGAAGCTTCTAAGGGTAGTTGGTGAGGGGATGGGGGGAATTGGCAAAGGTTAATGGGCACAAATAAATAGAAATAATGAATAAGATCTAGTACTTGATAGGAAAACAGGGTGACTATAGTCAATAACCATTTAATCGTACATCTTAAAGTAACCAAAAGTGTATAACTGGATTCTTTGTAACACAAAGGATAAATGCTAAAAGTTATGGATACCACATTGGCTCTGATGTGATTATGACACATAGTATGGCTGTATCAAAATATCTCATGTACCACATAAATATATACACCTGCTACGTATCCACAAAAATAATGAAAAATTTTAAAAATAAAAATTAAATTTCAACTGATAGTATAAGTAAGAAATAATATAAAATGGAATATACCATATTCTTGCACATTTTAAAGGATAATTTAAGGGATAACCAAATAATATTGTTGGACACCAATGCTTTGTATTTGACACCTTTTTTGAATAAGTTCATACATCAAACAGAAATGAATACCTAATCCCAACGTATCACATTTTATCTGAGAGGAAAATGGAATGGTCCTTTCATAATCATCTTCTTTAGGCAAGACCGGACATTGCTTCTCTCCCTTAGTATCATGACCTTCTTTAACTTTTGAAATGAATCACACTGATGATATTTGAATACATCTTTTCCTTTTCATTTTGGGTGGGCTTTTGTCTATTTTTCTATAGAAATGTTATGACATAGCAAACTTACTCGTTCTTATGACATATTAAAAAATATATCTTAGGGTCAATCCCTTCTGTGTTTTAGATTTTAAAAAAATACGTTATTGAGAAGGAAAGAGCCCGATCCTTGATGTGCTATACTCCACTAGTGAAATGTTTTCAAGCCCACTTGTTTTTAAAGTGAAAGAAGGATGGAGGTAGCATTACCTAAGAGGATTCTGGATTAGCTACACATGGGCTGGCATATGTCAAAAAGTCAGCAAAGTTTTTAGAACATAGTGCCAAATAACTAACTTTCAAATCTGCTCAGAATGTTTTTCCTCTTTCCCTTGGGAGACTGGTATACACAATGCTAATTTGGTGTGAATGAGACATAAATAGAAGCAAACTGTGAGATGCTTCCTATATTGAGATATGGTTACTCAAAGAGAAAGATATGGCCATTAACATGAATGACATAAGGAAGCATTATGATTGTTACAGGTGGGATAAATAATTTAAAGAATAAAGTCACCATATTTAATCATTATAGTTTAGTCCATATAAAATAAAGGTGAATTGTTGGATTTATTACAAAATGTAGCTTTGTTAAAACCAATTAAATAAGAACTGAATTAAGGGAATTTTAAAGAACAATTTTCTGTTTAAAGTTTATAAACTCAAGGTAAACTATGTTATTATATAGCATATATGAATCATAATATAGTTTGTTTTTTATTTTTGAGAAATACAAACTGGATATCTATAAAAATACTGTGACAATATATTAGGTGGCACTTATAATGTAAAAATAATTTCGCTGCTCCTTTTTTTCTCCTAAATTAGAAACTTAGTTTTTTTGTTTGTTTTGGTTTTGATACTTGGACATTAGAAAACATGTGAGTTCTAGTTGGCACTTTTGGTGAACTTTTCCATTTTGAGTTCATTTTTATGCTGCTTTCTAATTTCTGAAAATACTTCCCACATGACATATTGCACACATTCGGTATACAGTTAATCAATGTACACTTTTCTTGGCTGAGAATCATTTTCTGTTTTGCAGATAATTTTAAAACTTGCTATTTTGAGTAAAAGGGAGTGAAGGTCAAGTGTATTAACTATCATTTTTAAAAAACCATACTAACAAACTTGCTTGCCAGATAATGCCACCCTCGAATAGGCCTCAGCAGCAGAGTGACTTCTGTTCTTTGAGGGCTTCAGGCTCCTTCATAAATTCAGAGCCATGTTCACTTACAAAGAATTGATTTCCAGCTGACTGGGCAGAATCAATGGATCAACTGTTACAGATTTTACTACTTGTACCCTTGGCCAGAGCCTGTGATTTGTGTTTACAATCCATAAGAGTTTTCAGGCCCTTCAGATCTGCCTGTACCTAAAAAATATTTATAGTAAAGCAATACTTTTAAAGCAATACCTCTGCCATTAACATCACAGCCTATTTATCTGGGTATTTTAATTCATTTTAAGTAATAATGAAAGTACTGTAAATATCTTAATATTTGTCTATTCACAGAATTAATAATTTGAATCATTTCTAACCTTTAGCCAAAGAAAATATACATATATATATACATAAAAATGTATATTGTTACTGAAGAAACTAAAGGAACATGGTTATTCTTAAGTTTACCTGAAAAAAGAAAATGCATACAACGTTGATATATAATTTTTTAAACATTTTTATTGAAAAAGATTGAGAACTGAATAAACAGTGAAATGTGGTCTTAACAAGGCTGAGGAAAGGCACTTTTTAGACATACATTTGCTTTCTCTTCAAATAGAATATTATGGTCTTAGATCTTTTTTTCTTTCAGGGAAACGTTGATAAAGAACAAAATGTATGTTAATGAATATAAAAACTAGTATAGTGTACAATGAATAAGATATTGAAAATTAAATATCCCTTTTAAGGAGATAACTTAAATATATTATAGTATATCTATGTAATTAAAAGTTTAAATGATTAAGACAAAAGTATTAAAATGTTAAATGAAAATGATGTCTGTGTATGGACCAGGTAGAATCCTTTAGAGATAGGTAAAATATTAGCAGGCAAAAGAATGTATAAAATGATGGCTTTTAGCTTATTTGTTGTCTTAAAACATAAGCACATAAATTAATTCTGGTGGATCATACTTCTAAAATTTGCTATTTCTTAAGGATCGGGTTGGGTGGTGGTCTGGGTCGGGTATGCAATTGAACATTTACTTTATCTTTTACAATGTCTTGTATCGTCTGACATTTTATGTCTACAACGGGTGTTAGTCAGGGTTCTCCAAAGGGGCAGAACTAATAGGCTATATGTATATATAAAAGGGAGTTTATTAGGGAGAATTGGCTCACACGATCACAAGTCCCATGATAGGCTGTCTGCAAGCTGAGGAAGTAGAAAGCCAGTAGGGACTTAGTCCAAGTCCCAAAGTGTTAAAAGTAGAGAAGCCGACAGTGCAGTCTTCAGTCTGTGGCTGAAGGCCCAAAAGCCCCTGGCAAACCACCGGTGTAAGTCCAAGAGTCCGAAGGCCAAAGAACCTAGAGTCTGATGTTCAAGGGCAGGAAGCATCCAGCACGAGAGAAAGATGAAAGCTGGAAGACTCAGCAAGCCAGCTTCTTCCAACTTCTTCCGTCTGCTTTCTCTAGCCGCGCTGGCAGCTGATTGGATGGTCCCCGCCCCAACATTGTGGTTGGTTCTTCCTCTCCAAGTCCAGTGACTCAAATGTTAATCTCTTCTGGCAACGCCCTCACAGACACACCCGGAAACAATACTTTGCATCCTTCAATCAAGTTGATACTTAATATTAACCATCACACAACCAGAAAATGAAATCAAGATTTTCCACTTTAAAAGTGAAATAAAAATTCGTAATTGTGATTGCTTAAATGCATGTGCCTGTGTTTATATAAGCAGCCAAATAATAATACCAAAATATGTATTTGTTTAGCATATATATAAAAATTATTATGAGGCTTAATATATATTTTTTTCTGTAAGAAAATGGATGGAGGCTTTCGCTCAGTTGTTAATAGAATGTATTTTTGTTCTTTTTCTAAAGAATTTTGTGCTGTTCTGTTCAGTTTTTCTTTTGGGCAATCAGTCTTAGAACTAATTGCATATTTCTCATTGTTAGATTTAATCAAGTGAATATTGTTTCCCAACTCATGCAGGTATGTTCCAATTCATGGCATAAATTATGTTTACCAGAACAAGCTTGTCTCTATCTTAATTCCTTTTGTTTTTTCCATAACCTCATCTCTACCTTATGTGTCATTAATTTCTGTAAACAAACTTTAAAAAATTGTTAAAACAGTTTTAGATTTACTGAAATACAGCAAGATTGTGTGTAGAAAATTTCCATACACTCCACACCCATTTTCTCCTATTATTAATGTCTTACAAATAGTGTGGCACATGTGTCAAGATCATTGAGACAAAATTGGTACATTATTATGTAATCTTTAGTGGTTTTTTTTCAGATTTCTTTAGTTTTTATCTAACGTCTCTCTTTCTGTTGTAGGGTTACATACAGAGTATTACATTATATTTAATCATCATATGTTCCTAGGCTCCTCTTGACTATGATTGTTTATCAGAGTTTTCTTGTGTATCAGGATATTGACAGTTTGAGAGATTTGGTCAGACATTTTATAGAATGCCTCCCAGTTAGAATTTGTCTGATTATTTTCTCATGATTAGACTGAGGTTATGTGTTCTTGGGAGGAAAACCACAGAAACAAAGAAGTACCACTTGTATCACATTGTATTAAAGAACACACTGTCATACTACCAGCATGATATTAGTCTCGGACAACTCGTTGAAGTAGAGCTTATCACGTTCCTCTACTGTAAAGTTTTTCTGGCTCCCAGCCCCATTGCATACTATAGTCTTTGGAAGGAATTCATTTATGTGTCATCCACTCTTAAGGAATGGGGGGTTATCGGCCACATCCTTGATGGGGGAATATCTATACAAGTTGTTTGGAATTCTTTTTTTATGGGCAGATTTGTATTTTTCTATCTTTATTTAGTGAATTATTTATTCATAACCATGTATCAGTATGGACTTGTGAATATTTATTTCATGTTTTGGTTTATATTCTAAGACTTACATTTTTAGGAAGTGTAAATACATTATGAGATATTACTATAAGTGCAGGAATGGGAATCTCTTGAGTTGGGTCCATTAGGAGACACTCAGTGTTTGGTTAACCAAGGAATATATGTATAAACATGAGAGTTCACATGCTTTGGGGTTAATGACAAAAAAAAAGGTAACATCAACCTGACCTCAGACAACTTTATTTTAGAGAAGGCAACTTACCTAAAACAGAAGCTATTGGAGCGATAAACTGGTAGGAAAACTTAATGGTAATTTTGATGAATTGCTGAAGGCTGAGTGTGGATTGTCATGAAAGCAAGAAACTCCTTGGGCCTCACAGTCTTGAGGTGGTACCATAGACATAGCAAGAGGACAAGCCATAGACTGAGAGAAATATTTGAAAACCATATATCTGATAAAGGTTTTGTATCCAAAAGTATACAAAGAACTGTTAAAACTCAACAATAAGAAAACAAACAACACAATTAAAAAATGGGCAAAGGTTCTGAAATGACACCTCACCAAATAAGACACACAGATGGAAAATAAGCATATGAAAAGAGGTTCATTATCATTTGGCATCACAAAAATTGCAAATTAAAACAGAAATGAGATATCACTAAAAACCTACTAGATTGGTGAAAATAATAATAATAGCAACAACAACAACAAAATAAAAAACTGACCATAGCAAACACTGGAAAGGGTACAGAGCAAAAACAACACTCATTGCATTTGGAAATAAAGAATGGTACAGCCATTTTAGAAGACAATTTTGCGGTGTTTTATACAGCTTTGAAACATGGCCTCTTAATATGACCCAGCGATTGTGTATCTAGGTGTTCAACGAACTGAATTGAAAACATGTTCACAGGCCGGGCACGGTGGCTGACACCTGTAATCCCAGCACTTGGGAGGCCGAGGCAGGCGGATCACTTGAAGTCGGGAGTCTGAGACCAGCTTGACCAACATGGAGAAACCCTGTCTCTACTGAAAATGCAAAATTAGCCGGGCATGGTGGTGCATGCCTGTAATCCCAGCTACTCGGGAGGCTGAGGCAACAGAATCACTTGAACCTGGGAAGCGGAGGTTGCAGTGAGCTGAGATCGTGCCATTGCAATCAATGGATGCCTGGGCAAGAGGAGCGAAACTCCATCTTTCAATAAATAAATAAATAAATAAATAAATAAATAAATAAATAATAAAACAAGTTCACAAAACACCTATGCATGAATGTTTCTAGCACTTTATTCTCACCAAAAACTGGAAGAAACAAAGATACTCTTCAAGAGGTGAATGACTGAACACACTTGGTATATCTACACGTAGAATATTATTCAGTGATAAAAATAAATGAGATATCAAGCTATAAAAACAGAATAAATCTTAAATGCGTATTGCTAAGTGAAAGAAGACAATCTGAAGAAGCTATATACTTTGTGATTCCAATGATAGGATATTCTGAAAAAGGGAACATAGTAGACAATAAAGAAATCAGTGGTTGTCAAGGTTTTAGGAGGGAGAAAAGGAGAGTTGAATAGGTGAAACACAGAGGAATTTTCAGGAAGGTGAAACTATTCTGTAAATAATATGATGGTGGAAACATGATGCTATTCATTAGTCAAAATTCACAGAACTTTACAGGGAAAATAATAAACCTAATGTTCTAAAATTTAAAAAAAATCAAAAGTTCAGAAGATGGGAGGAGAGAATGCAAAACATGTTAAAAAAACTAGCTAAATTACAAATCTGTAAAACAATTTTACTGATCTTTGAAAATCAGTGAAATTTTGAAGATTAAAAGTTCAGAAAATTTTATGTAAGTACTGTGTTCACGTTGATAATGTTTCCTATGGACATACTGTTTAACAATTCTGATACCACTAGACACTAGTTAAATGAATGATGGGTGGTGGGAGCCATATTTCTCACAGTTGGAGAGGAAGCTACAAATAAACAAGGGGACAAGGCTAGAAAGATCCTTGTAGCAATGGATCAGAATTGGATGCATTGCTATTAACTCATGCTCACCTTAATATGGATACAGATGGTTACATATAGACATATTTGTAGATATTTGTATATACATGATTAATATACACACATTTATTTATCTGATGTCTGCTCAGTAGGACTATAAGCAGTGGCACCATCACAGCAATGAGCATATCTAGTACCACAGATCTTGGTATCTAATACCATCTCTAACAAAGAAACCAGGTCCGTGAAGAGATGGCAGATTCAGGGACAAGGAAGACACAAAGTAACCCAGAGCATCTTGTAGAAAGCAAAAGTAAAGAAGTGTTTTCACATGCACACAGACACACACACACACACACACACACACACACAGAGAGAGAGAGAGAGAGAAAGAGAGAGAGAGAGATTTTTTTTAAGGAAAAAAAATGGTAAAGGATTGGAACCATGATAGCTACTCTGACAGTGAAAACAAAGGAACTGATAGGGAAACATTACGAGAAAGACTCTTATCAGTTTTTGACTTATTTAAACGTGAAGACTAGGAGGAAGAGAAGTGCACTTAAAGTGCTATTCTCCATTTCAAACTTCCGTGATATCATCCTAAAAAGCACGTTATAGCCTCCTAGTATTACAAGACTAATGTTTCCCTTTAATTTTTCTAAACACAGACTTTTCTTTCTGTAAGTAGTACTTGTAACCTCTCCTTCTTCATTGACAGCTTCTACTTTGTCTTTATTAAACCCTTTCAAACTCTGACACCACTCCAGTATGCCTCGTTATAGTAAATGAAACCTTTACCCTAGGAGGGCATGGAATGAGAGTGAGAAATGTGGTGATGAAGAACACATTAGAGGGCTAAAGGAAGTCCAATGTGGCTAAATTGAGAAGGTCAAATAAAGATTGGCTCTGGAAGCAGTTGGATAACTAGACAAGAAATTGAATACCTGTCTGAATGTGAATTCTGTTTACAGTGACAAGAAAAAAATAGAGGACCCCCTAAGTGTAGTTGTTGGGAGGATAGATTAGTTCAATTATAGACCTGTTCATTTGAGATGCCTGTGAGAAATCGAACAGAAGAGATATAGGAAGAAGTTGGATATTCAGGTTTTCAGTTCAGGAAATAAACAAGAGCTAGGCTTAAGTGGTGTATTTCTGAGTCATCTTTCCCTAGGTATATAATTGAGGCCAATGTTTAGGTACCTCTCTTATGCTCCCTCAAATCCTTCCATGATCTCCGTTGCTCCTTTAAGCACATGATATAGTAATTGACTCTTTTTCTTTTTTCATTAAACTCTATGAGTCTTAAGGGTACCTTTAAGAAATTCTTTGAGGGCAGGATTTGGTCTTATTCATCTTTATCTCTCCAGCACATTGTAAAATATTTATTTAATAAATAAATTCATCCTTTCACATAAATTGCCTAAGTAGAAATTCTGTGGGTTAAGAAAAGTCAGCCATAATTAAGGTGAATAGGTATTTTAATCCACATATTATGAAACATAAAGTAACTTCTGAATATTTACATGATTTACTCACTATGACATAGTAAGAAGTTACAGAGTTGAGGATAGTAATCATCTTTTTACTTTTATTTTTTCTCTTGGCTATAAGTGTTTCTTAATAATACTACGGAGAATTTAATTTTCAACACTTCTCTGAAGATATGCATGATTCCTAGTAGAGTACAGCTTCATCAGGCCCTTTAGTTTATTATTAATACTGAATGCTACAAAATATATATAACATTGTAAATGAATTGTTTCTTCTAATGTGTCTAGAGTAAGCTGCACTAAGGATAAAGAGGCTTCAAATTTCTTTTAAAGTATGGAAGCTGCATAGCCAATATCCACTTGGGAATGAATGAATCCCAATCTAAAAGTCCTTATTTCCAAGACATATATAATTACAATCTCTTACCAAATACCATGTCGGTGTTTAACAATTTTATTTGTAGAGCAAATCAAGAAGTCAAACAAATCAAGCCTTTAGGGCATTATAGTTTAAGTATGGTTTTCCTAAGTATGTTCCATGGAACCAATCATTCTTGTATGAAACATGAATGAGATGAATGCTGCCAGAAGAGACAAAGGTCATAACACCCTGGGGTGGTTGCCTTGCTGGTCCTCTTTTTCATCCTAATGTATTAAAAACTTATCAGTAATAAAAAGTATTAAAAAGAGCTGACAATTTTCTAGGCAATGTTCAATTTAGAAAATGTCTAGAATATGCTGATGATAATTTCTCTGTAGGAATATTTTAAGCCTTTTGGAGAAGAATTAATTTTTATAGAGATGCAGGTAATCATTGCTTAGCAAATAATTGCTGATGTGTGGTTAATCACCAGTTGTTTTATACAAGCAAAATAATTTTGAATGTTTTTATGTAATTCTATTTTTTAAATAATTATTATTATTGCCTTCCTAATTTAATAAACTTCATCAGCACTTCTCACAACATGACAGATGTTTTGCCTATAGTAAGTTATCACCAATGGATGAAGCGTTCAAAGTTATTATTTGAATTTTTATCATAATTTTAGTATGGTTCCATGATTTTATTTTTTTCGGTATTATTACCTTTTCAGCAAACAGAAATAATATTGAAGCAATCCTATAAAATTTCACCTAAATTTTAGAGACTGGGTCTTATTTTTGATCACTCAAGACTCAACTAGAAGTGATTTTAATATATAACCCACTGGTAGGGTCAATAAACATTTGATGGCTTTGCAATTCTTTCTTGTGTATAAAATAAGACTCAATGGTGAATTGTGTAAACTGTACATGTTTTAAGAATTTATATATAGTACTTGAAATCTGTTTCCTTCTTCCTACCTTACGACCACCTCTACATCTTAACTGCTTGCTTATTCTTTACTCTATTTTTTGTCGGTTTTCTTTCTTCCTCCTAAATACCTAGGTTGCCCTGTCCGACCTGAATATTTACTTATGTAGCTACCTCCTAATAATACCAGCAACAGATTAAACATCTGTATTTTGGGCTTCCAAGTATTACTGAAGATGGACAAGAAATTAATAGATTTTAAGTGTCAGGAAACATATTAAGTATCAATTCACACACCTGTAACAAAGCAAGCATGAATTTATGTCCCAGGTTTGCCATCATTTCCTATATGAGTACCAGCAAATTATTTAACATATCTGCCTTTCCTTTTTCTGACTTGTATGTGATGGTCATTAGACAACTTATTGGCTATTGGTTAAAAAACACAATGTACAAAAAGCATCATAATATGGTGCCCAGGAAATATTTTTCAAAAGAATATGTTCCTATAATTATGATTTTGTCATTATTGTTTCATTGCTTTTAACGATGATTTTATCTGTTGTGTTTCTGTAGTTAAGGTACAAATATCTCAGAGAAGTTATCACTTTTAAACTTTTTTCTTTGGCCTTAGTGATGAAGCACAAATTCACAGGGAGAGTTTAAGGAAAAGGAGCACAGCATAAGGTAGGTGTGACTTATGGTTGAGAAATGTGGTCCATAACATATTTTTATGTCATCTAACTATGGGAAATATTGAAGCACACTGTTTAATATTATGTATTTATTTTTACCTCAATATGAGTATTTGAGCTTTAAAAGAGCAGGAGATTACTGGTGTACTTTTTAAGTTTATTTTAGCAAAATGTTTACGTCACTTAAGTGGAATACATTAAAAATACATATTTAATACTTCATCAAAAGGAGGAAAGGATTTTCTTATGAAAATATTTCTGCCAGGTAATTTGTCAGGAATGGAGAATGATACATGCAAATTATCTTCCACATGTAGTTATTCTATCCCTTCTGATTAACCAAATCTTACATTGTTCTGCCCAGAATTTTTTTAAAACAAATCTCCAATTAATCATTTAATACATAGATAATAATAGTTTACATGTATTGCGATTTTGAACGATAGGCTCAAGCATCTACTCAGTAGTAGGGCTGGGTTTTGAGCAAAAGTGTGCTTTACTTTAGAGTTCACATAAGCTATAATGCCTCTAACTAAACTATACTATCTCTCAGAAATTGATTTTCTCTGATTTTTTTTTAGTTTTTGTTCAGAACTATACTCTTAAAGACATGAAAAAGAAATATGCGAAGTAAGTGGATATACAAAAAGTCCAGATGTAGAAAAAGTTAATATTGGACAGCAAACTAAGCAAAAGGCGACACTGAAAAAAAAATCTAAAACTGATTTATGTAGAATCTACCTGTTCAAATATATGCGGTGTGTGTTTCTGTGTGTGCAAGTATTCCTGAAATGCACTGCCTTAGCACTATAAAATATACAATCATATTTGTTTCTTTTCCTGAATGTAACTGAACAAAAGGTTCAACATTGACATTCCATTTGGATTATAAGGGGAAGGACATTTCAAAGACAAAAGCCCATCAGAGAATACAAATTGCTTCTAAGTTCAAATGTAATAAGCATTTGCAAGAACAGTTTAGTGGATATCAACTGCCACTGAGATTGCATTCACTTAAGGAAAACATCAAAGGAAACCAGAGTTCTCACCACATCATGATTTATGGATTTGGCTTGAACACTTGTAATTACTCCCTTAGCATGAGAGGATGAGTACAGATGCAGGAGCTCCACCAAGCTCAAATTCCAGAGAAAACAAGGCACTTGATTCTTTTTTGCTGATGTATTCTCAAGGGTATTATAGTAGTAAATAGGTCAAAATATTGTTTCATGGCTCACTCTGTAATGGACAAAACTGTGTCAAGACGGCTACTGTTTGTTTGTTTCTTTGTTTGTTTGTTTGTTTAATACCAGATATTAACCTTTGAAATTCCCTCTGGTAAAATTTTTGGGAAAAAATGTGCTAATGAAATAAATGTTTCTATTGAGAATTTTTACCTAAACAAAAGAGTTGATTATGTCTAAGTAAAATTAACTAATATTAACAATTATAGAGATGTGAAAAATTTCATAAGACTATAGGATATTTCCACTTTGAGTAAAAAGAGTAATCATTGTTTTTTCTATGTCTAAAAATGCAAAAATTAAGAAATGCTTTTCACCTTATTTACATTCAAATGTCATGTCAATTTCATTTGGATTTTCTGTCCAGCTAAAATAACTAGTTAAATTTAGAGGTTGTAGAAATTAGTTTAATGCACAAAGTTCTAGAAAGCTACAATCTACTGACGTTTTATTTCTACCACCATAACAAATTTATTTATGGCCAATTCCTGCATTAACAAAATAAGGCATGAGGGAAACACAGAGAAATTCACATGGTTAGTTATGTTTTATCCAATGAGTAAATTTATTTAAAACGTAATCTTATTATTAATTATTTATCAATCATTTATTTGTTAATGTACACAAGCAATGTTGGGGCTCAGAACACGATACCCCAAAGTATGGCACTTTGACATGCTGAGTACCTTGAACTGAAAGAGATTGGAAGAACCTCGGAAGCAAGGTCTTTTTGACCTTCTCTCATCTTCATGTTTGTCATCCCTGTATCTCCCCAAAATCATGTCATAGCAGAATTCCTCTTCCCCAAGACAGGTGTATTAGTCCATTTTCACAGGGCTACAAAGAATACCCCAGACTGGGTAATTTATAAAGAAAAGAGGTTTAATTGACTCATAGTTCAGCATGGCTGGGGAGGTCTCAGGAAACTTGCAATCATGGCTGAAGGCGAAGGGGAAGCAGACACCTACTTCACAAGGTGGCAGGAGAGAAGAGAAATGAGAGCACAGGAAAAAACACCAGTTTTTTGTTTTTTTTTTTGTTAGTTTGTTTTTTGTTTCTTTAAATTGTAGTAGAACTTTATTTTTTTTAATTTTATTATTATTATACTTTAAGTTTTAGGGTACATGTGCACAACATGCAGGTTTGTTACAATGTACATATGTGCCATGCTTGTGTGCTGCACCCATTAACTCGTCATTTAGCATTAGGTATATCTCCTAATGCTATCCCTCCCCGCTTCCCCCACCCCACAACAGTCCCCAGTGTGTGATGTTCCCCTTCCTGTGTCCATGTGTTCTCATTGTTCAATTCCCACCTATGAGTGAGAACATGCAGTGTTTGGTTTTTTGTCCTTGCGATAGTTTGCTGAGAATGATGGTTTCCAGTTTCAGTTTTAAAACCCTTAGACCTCGTGAATCTCACTCACTATTATGAGAACAGCATGGGGGAAACCACCCCATAATCCAATCACTTCTCTCCATGGACACATGGGGATTACAGGTCCCTCTGTCTTGACACAGGGGAATTACAATTTTAACTGACATTTGGTTTGGGCACAGAGCCAGACCATATGAACAGGTCATAGAAACTAGAGCCATTCTCCCCAAAATCAAGCCATAAGACCAAGAAAGGCCACACTCTCTCTCTTCTCTCTTGAATACCCTAATTCCAGAGGAGTCCTACCCCATATTCAGGAGGAAGGAATGCTACATAGAGAGTCCAAAAAGAATCTGGACAGAGAGGAATTGCTGGAGTTCCCCCTTCAGTTTACTGCCATTAGATCATACCCTTTTGTCCAATCACATTTCCACATTGCTGTTCATTCTTCATCAAACCTAAGCATAAAAATATTTTAGAGATTTTTTTCTAGGTCTTTGGGTCTTCATTTCTGAAGGCTTTGATAAAATAAACTTGTTACACTTTGCTCTTATTAGCTTGTCTTTTTTAATAGGACCGTCGGCTGTGACCCTTATGATGGGTGAAGAAGAGCATGACACCCTTTTCACCTCTATAGTAATAAAGGTGAACAAGAATAATAAATGCAGAATCTTATAAAGACAACTTTATAAGAATGAATACTCATTGCCTTATGAATACTCAATGCCTAAGTGCCAGTTACACAAAATACCTCTCTTTTTTCCGGACTAATTAAAACCAGTATTATTTTACTCTCTGTGATGCCGCTGACATTATGAGTTTGTCTTGCTCTCTCCCTGTATATGCTTTTGTGTTCAGTTCAACGGAGGGTTTTTTCATAAGAATTTATATCCACTCTCAATTTCTGAGGTCTTGTTCATACATGATGTGTGTATATACATACATGCATGTTTATATAATTTAGATATAGATATACTTTTATATATTTATATGCTATATTAATTTATAATATCTACATATTTATTATTAAAAACAGAATTTACCTTAAGTAATTTGGAATGATATAAATATACAAGTTATGAACATTTATTATAGTAATTGAAAATACTTAAGACATTTTTAATATCAGAACACATAGAAAATACTTTTAATAACACTTAACTGTTGATTAAAAAGAAGGAAAATATTTAATAAAGTATTCCACAAAGTAGTTATTGAACCATTGTAAGATAGATATTTTTCTTATACCCTAATGGACATACAATAAAAGGCCCAAATACTGTAACTATAACTTCATTAATGTTTCATAAATAATAATGATATAGTATATCTGCCCAACTAGAAACTCTGTTTATTCCTATAACACACTGACTTCTATGTAAATATTTATGCAAGAAAAATATATTCAGTTTAAAAAAGAAACACAGAAATGCAGGACTCATAATTGACAAAAATATTTTGAAAAAGAAAATGAAGTTTGAAGTTACACCTCCAAATTTCAAATTTTACTATAAAACTACCAAAATCAAGACAATATGTTACTGAGGTAAAAGTGCACATATAGATCAATATAACAGAATTGAAAATTCAGAAAGAAATTTTTACATGCATTGTCAATTGTTGTTTGACATAGATATTAAGGCAAATCAATGTGGAAAATTAGTCTTTCCATCAAATGGTGCTTGAACAGCTGAATGTCCACATGCAAAAAAAAAAAAAAAATGTGTTCTTACCTCACATTATACACAAAAAGATATTCCAAGTGAATAGTAGATCTTAGATCTGAAACCAGATCTGCAAAACCTGAAACTCTAAAACTCCTAGAAGAAAACACAAAAGAAAATATTTGAGACATTCTGTCAGGCAAAGAGTCCCTTAGATATGATGCCAAAAACAGAACCGATAAAACAAAAACACAACACATAACAAGATAATTGAGACTTTTTCAATATTAAAACCTGTGTGTTTCAAATGACATGACTAATAAAATTAAAAGGCAAACCACAGAGCAAGAGAAAATATCTGAAAATCACATCTCAACAAAGGGCTTATATTCAGAATATTAAAAAGAACTCGTATAATGCAATAGGAGGAAACAAATATCCAATTAAAATGGATGACATATTTAATTAGACATTTCATCAAATAATATATAAAAATATCTAAATAGCACATGAAAATATACTTATCATCAGTTATTAAGGAAATGAAAAATAAAACCATAGTGAGATATTACCTCACACTTACTAGAACAGCTTTTATCAAAAAGAGAAAAGAAGTTTATGCAAGAATGTGGAGGAAGTGGAATCCTCATACACTGACAAGTGGGAATGTAAAGTGATACACACACTTTGGAAAATGGTTTGGCAGTTTCTAAAGAAGCTAAACGCAAGGCAGGGTGGATCACACCGGTAATCCAAAAAGTTTGGAAGGGCGAGGCGGGCGGATTGTTTGATATCAGGAGTTCGAGACCAGCCTGGGAAACATGAAAAAACCCTGTCTCTACAAAAAATACAAAAATTAGCTGGGCACGGCGGCGCACACCTGTAATCCCAGCTACTTGGGAGGATCTCCTGAGCCCAGGAGGCCGAGGCTGCAGTGAGCGGTGATCGTTCCACTGCAAGTTAAACATAAACTTGCCATATGACCCACTTGTTCTGCTCTTAGGCATCTAACCAAGAAAATGAAAAACACTTGTATGCAACTGTTCATAGCAATGTTGTTCATAATGGCCAATAAGTAAAAGGAATCCAAATATCCATCAGCTAGTAAATTAGTAAACAAAATGCAGTTTATACATACAGTGAATTCTATCCAGTAATCTAAACAAATGATCTACTGATTTAGAGCACAGAAACATTATGTTAGACACAAAGGTTATATATTTTATGACTCCATTTATATGAAATGTCTCTAAAAGAAAAATTCACACTGACTGAACACAAAGTAGTAGGATTTGGGGGTAGAAACTGAGATTGACTAAAATTCCTTCTCAGGGAAGTTTTGAAATGATGGAAATACTCTAATACTGAATTGTGGTAACACTGGCAAAACTGTAAGTTTAATAAAAATCACTGAATTATATACATAGGATAGATGAATTTTATAGTATTAAAATTACACCTCAACAAAATTGTTTTTAAAACATAAGCCATAAAAGGCTAAAAATTTTAAGAGGCTAATCTTTTTTTTTTAAATCCTGGAATGTGGAAGGCCTACCTCAAATAATATGTAAATATTTAAAAACCGTAAGTAAAATGATTGATGGATTTGACTACTTGAAATTAAATAAAACTATGTTAAAAAAGAAATTTTAAGCTAATGATAAATTAAAAGTCAAGTTATAGACAAGAGAAACAAATTCCACCTCATATAGGAGCCAATAGGGTTAGATTTTTCAGGCAACAAGAAAGCCAGGGCAGGGGACAGAATGAATTGAAGGGACAACGACAGCAGCAGGAAGCCCTCAGGTGGGAATGCTGAGCAGTCCAGATGAGAGAAGTTGATGGTTTGGACTACTGTGCTAACAATTGCGTCACAGAGAAATGAGTGAGTTAATACTATCTATTTGTGTGGGAGCTGAAAGAATGAAAAAAAAAAAAAAGAAGGAATCTTATAATTTTGGTTTGATCACTTAACTACATTTTCGTGCTATTTACTGAGATTGGGAGAAGATATCTGAAGAGAAAGTAATTCTGCTTTTGTTAAACCACCTCACAGCATTTGTGATTAGGACAAATGTGCATTTTTTTTCTGTGCCAGGCTTGTTACCTCCTTAATCTATCGTACTAGGTCTTCTCTAAGCCAAAAGCCTTATTCTCCATCTTCCCAAATATGTCTCATCTGGTCGCAAAAATCTTAAATAAAATGTTAGTTACTCAAAAAGGTCTTATGTCTCACCAAATTTTACTTAGTCAATATTGAATTTCAATTAACTTTCTAACTATTTGACATCACAGTCCTGTTTGATTTTCTAGGTGTCCATAGATCAACATTTACCAAGCTGATGTTTACTAAGCATCACACCATATCCTGCATCATGCAATGGTTCAGTGATACCAGAACCTGAAATTCTAATAAAAAGAATCAATAAGGTAACAAAATAAGGTGAGTGGAATCCTGACATTGATGTACTAATAGATATGCTGCAATAGGTGTAAGAGATCATTAAAAGTGTTCAGTTCAATATAAAATGTTCACCATAATTGTCAGGGGATTATTAACTTTTGGGGGACTTCTTTATATAACCACCACGAGGATCTTGGTAAAGACATTTATTCTTGTCACCTCATTGCCTAAAACCTCCTAGAGAATTTTTTGTGCACCTAGGATAAAACAAATTCTTTACTTTGGACTATAATCTCCTACAAGATTTGGACTTGCCAATTTTATTTTCCAACAGTCTTTCTCAAAGATCTCAAGCTACTTACGCATTGAGAATATTTATAAAATGATTTTCCTTTTACTTGAATATTTTATCCAGTGAACTATCCCACAGAAATAAAAAATCAGTAATAAGGATATATGAATGTTTACTACTGAAATATTTGCATTAGTTAAGCAATATGAACAATGTTAATACTCATCCGTAGTGGCTATTTGATTATGATATGTTTTTATTGTGCTGTTATTGTCACCAAGTGAAGCAAAAAATTCAAGTTGCAGAGCAGTTATATAACATATATTGATATGGAAATAAATGTTAACAACAAAACAACAAAATTACCAAAAAAAACTCTATATGACTTTATACATTTCTATAAAAACAAAAGAGATACATACTGACTTCCTATCATTGTTTATGTAACACTGAGTACAATTGTGTGGTAAGAGTGTACACATCTTTTGTATATCTATATATTGATTGATTATAATGAGCATGCTTTTGCTTTTTAAAAAAATTGGAGAATATTCTATTGAAATACAAAGCAACATATATTCCTCTAATCCTCTTTGTGCCCTTAACTTCAAAGGTATTCAAAAGAAACAAGCATTAAGAATTGTATAAAATCAGTCATACATATTGAAAATTTGTTTCTTGATGAAGCATATTTTATATGTTCTCATGTGGAGAGACTGAATACATGGACTTGTATTCAATCATTCTAACTAGTTCTTGTTTTTTATTTAGTTTTTTTATATAAGAAAGCATTTTTCCCCCTGTGGTTGAACTGTAAAGAAATTTTGAGTATGGGAAAACACATAAGCTAATTTACCAGCATTTATCATGTGAATAAAGATTTTGTATAGGTTGTAAAAATGCAGTTATTAAAGGCATAGGAAAGAAACATTGATTCTAATCATTCACTGTTGTTTCTGGAGAGACTGATCAGACTGTAATGGGTTACCTAGACGTAATGAAAAAAGAAAACGGTTACCATTCTAATAAATTACTGTCTAATTCTGTATATTTACATGTACATTTACAATACATGTTTTATTCACATGCATATAGGTAAACATATATGTAAATACTGCAATAGGCAGCAGTTTGACATATGCAATAGTTCTCAATATCTATACTCATGAGATATTATTGATTTTTTGATCTTTATATAAAACTATCTAATTTAAATCACTAGCACTTTTTTTAATAGGTGGACTCCACAATTTTTACATGGGTTATTGCTGTTTGTTTTATAGCCTAGTTTACAAGTGTAGTTAGTGTTGTCGTTTTGTGTTTGTGTGCTTGTGTATGGTTGTATATGTTTATGTGTATAAATTTTTCAGTAATGTTTGAAAATATTATATTTTGTATTTGAAATATATACATACTCTCTGCATGCATTGTCGCTATCAATTATATTATTTAGGTTATTTATATTATTTTGTTGTGTTTGGTATATCTGTAATGAACAGACAGAAAAAGTTTATCTCAAGTTACTTGTATAAATGTTAAATTTTGTTGCTTCATGTGTATAGTAACATGAGAATATATTTTTAACTCTAAGAAAATGATTTCAGAATGTTGTATTATTAATAGAGAGCTTTGCTGATATACTAAATTATATGTACTCCTTGCCAACCTGCTTAGTCTGTTTAATTATGAAATATACTTTAATGCTGTATGTTTAAAAAAAGAAGTAAAAACCGTAAAGCTCATTAATTTGGGAGACAAAGATAATGTTTGCACCAATTACCTTCATCCTAATCTCTTGTTTTTCATCCCAAATCAAAAGAACCTCATGATCTTGCTCTTTCTCAAAATGGATGTGACTTGGAATGGATGAGAATATTAGATTCATGTTTTTCTTAAGCCAAGACATGATGGTCAAAGAATACCATGAGAACTGGTGGTCTAAACCGATGAGAGCAGGGTTCAAGGAGATTACTTGATGTTATTTGTCCAGCTCTTAGCAGAGTGTGGTCAGCTTTTCCTCGTCCATCTCCTCAAGACTATTACCACAGAACTAAGTAACTGGACCTTTTGGTTACACAGCTTTTATCTGCTCCAGTTCAATGTCTACTTAGTGTGGGGAAATTTTATAATACTGAAAACAAAATATTTTTATGATATATAGTTCTGAAAATATTTTATTCCTGATCTTGTATTATTTTAGAAAAAAACAATCCTTTGAAAATCGATAAAATGCTATTTCTCTCTCAGATAATACCCAAAGGATTATTAGAAGCCAATGGTGGAAATACAATACAAAATTTCAGCCCAGTCACATGGACCTCAGAAAACACAAGATGGGCTAGAAATTGTCACTTTTGGCCCCACAACTGACTTATATAATAACTCTACATTGTGAAAGCAATGAACAAACCTTTGACCAGCTACTAGCCATCTCTATCACAAAGTCTGATTCACAGATGCCTTATAGATCATCTACTGACCCTTACTCCAAATATCAATTATGAAACAGAAATTATTTGGAAAAATATAAAACATTGTGCCACTCTTTCTCTACCGTTAGCCTCCTGCTCAATGACATGATTAACATAATACACATTGCAAAATCTTCCCTCATTGAAATGGGTACTACTCCTTACCAGACCAGAACAGTGACCTTTCTGTCTAATCCCACAAGCTTCTTGTATGCCTCTCGATACACATAGAGACAAAACAGCAGGGGAACAAAAAGCTGATTGAACTAGAGAGACTAAGCTTTGCTGAGTATATTATATTTTAGGATGTGCTACCACACAAAACTATTATGTGTGAGACAAAAGACAAAACAAGTTATAATATCACAGCATGTGGGGGAATAGTTGTTTGTTTTTCTTCTCTTCCTGTTCTTCTCCCCTGTTTCCTTTCTTCTTCCTCAATCCTCCTCCCTTCTCCCTTCCCCTTCTGCTTTCTCTTCCTTCTCCTCTTCATTATTTTTCTTTCTCTTCATATATGTGTACCATCTAATAATGATAGGAAATTATGCTACCCCTTGTGAGTAGTAGTAAAATAGAGATACTAGCTAGAACCTGAGAGTTTGAAAACCCTATTAGTATGCAAAGAAAATATGCATTTGACTTAAAGATATATACTGAGTGTTTTAGGGTAATTAATGTTAGCCACTCTGTAAGAATAATAACTCTAAAATGTCAGAGGATTTTAACAGGAAAATGTTCTTTCTGTCCTCATCTTATACACACGACATTTTGGAAAGGAAAATGAGTATCATTTAAAAGACAAAACTGGCATCGCGGGAAATTCAAAATTCTTCTGAATTTGCAGAGAGTTCAGTTTGTTCAAGGATGACAAGAGAAAAACATCTGGAACAAAACAAAGCACAAATAAGCAAATAAAATGAAAAGACATCTGAAAAAGTATAGAATTGCACAAATAAGAAGAAGCAAAAACAATCCTGAAATTGCATAGAAAAGGCATACCTGTGAAAGTAAATGTATTAGCCTGTTCTCATGTTACTCATGAAGACATACCTGAGATTGGGTAATTTATAAAAGAAAGAGGTTTAATTGACTCACAGTTCAGCATGTCTGGGGCAGCCTCAGGAAACTTATAATGATGGTGGAAGGGGAAGCAAACACATCTTTTTTCACATGGTGTCAGCAAAGAGAAATGCAGAGCGAAGAGGGAGAAAAGCCCTTTATAAAACCATCGGATCTCATGAGAACTCACTATCATGAGAACAGTATGGAAGTAATCACCTCCATGATTCAACTACCTCCCACTGGGTTCCTCCCACGATACGTGGGGATTATGGGAACTAAATTCAAGATGAGATTTAGGTGGGGACACAGCCAAGTCAAATCAATAAGTAAGCACAGAATGTAAATTTTAAAATTAAGACATTGTATATTGCATCTAATGATATCTAGGTGACATGGCCTCAGTAATAATTAGAAAATTGGAGAAGCAAGGAACATGAATAGACACAAAGTCATCAGGATTATTTGCCAGAACAACACAGGATGAAGAGTGTGTAATGGATGAGATGAGAAAAGGCTGAAAGAAAAACTAGATTGCAGCAAATTTAAAGTTTATATGTATATTTTTATGTAATAATATTGATATATTAACCATTATTTGAGCATTATGCCAATTGGCATTATGCCAATTGCTGTCTATTGCATACCAGTTACATTTAATGCATTATCTATTTTAATTTTCCTAGGATATGGTATTTGTAGGATATACCTATTATGATCTATTGTATGCTATTTGAGTGCCCACTATCAGTCAAGGAAAAACTGAAGAACTGCAACAGATAGAATAAAGATGAAAGAACCATGACAATTTCATGCTAAGTGGGATCCTGAACTAAATCTTGAACCCATAAAAGGACATTAGTGGCCAGGCGCGGTGGCTCACACCTGTAATCCCAGCACTTTGGGAGGCTGAGGCAGGTGGATCACGAGGTCAGGAGATTAAGACCATCCTGGCTAACAAGGTGAAACCCCATCTCTACTAAAAAATACAAAAAATTACCCTGGCGTGGCGGCGGGTGCCTGTAGTCCCAGCTACTCAGGAGGCTGAGGCAGGAGAATGGCGTGAACCCCGGAGATGGAGCTTGCAGTGAGCCGAGATCGTGCCACTGCACTCCAGCCTGGGTGACAGAGTGAGACTCTGTCTCAAAAAAAAAAAAAAAAAAAAAGAACATTAGTGAAAACATTAGAGAACCCAAATGAAATCTGTTATTTATCTAATAATATGTAACATTGATAGTTTTTTAGCTGTGGCAATTGAATTATGATTAGTTAAGATTTTAATATTAAGGGAAGCTGGGTGTAGAGTATTCAGAATTCTTTGTATTATGTTTGTGCAAAAGTAATTGCAGTTTTGGCCATTGAAAGTGATGGCAAAACTGCAATTACTTTTGCACTAACCTAATACTATTTTTGCAATGCTCTGTAAGTCTATAATGATATCAAAAATTAAACAAACATTATTAAAATACGGGCATGAATTTTTATTGTCATTTTTTTCAGTTATTTTCAGACTGTCTTCCTCTACTTCCTTGTATTCCATAAAGGAATGTAGGGAGGATCAGTCTTTTCTGTTACCTCTACTTTCAATGTGAGGTGATCGCTATTGGAACCGCAATATTGGCCTTTCCACTCCATGTGACATATTTGGGGGTAGAAATTAAGCATGGTTAGCTCAGCCCTTCTCTTCTCTTTTTGCCTTTAGGTACTAGTTGCCCTTTGTAAGTATGCACTCCACACTGTGCACTGTGTCTCGACACTGTAGGATTTCCCAGGCATGCTTCCATGTGGAGAGGTCTGAGGTTCTCTAGTGCTACCTGTGACAAGGTGAATACAAATGTCTATTTTGGGATTCAAATCATCATCGTAATGACCGTCCATTTCTGCCGTGCATCAAAATTCATTTCTCCACTTACAACATTTTCAGTAATGAAAGTGGCCATTTTATCTCTATTGCTGTTCCTTTAACTATCTTAAATAACTGCAAATTCAAGCTAAAGAAAAAAATTTAACAAAAGTAGTCTTATTTAAGATCTAGTATAGCGTAATAGTTAAGAACGTGAACTCTAGAAATACATTTCTCAGCTTCTAACTGCCCTTCAGACTTCTAAATTTCTGTTTCCTACTGAATATGTGATCCTTGATTTAACCTTGATTTTTTACCTGTAAAATTCAGTAGTAATTAATTTTGCTTATAGACTTTTGTAGATTATATATACATACACGTTTGTATAATTTGATCTTCTCTACTTTCTCTGTAGAGACTCCACATGTATTTTGTCTCAGAAATAAAGAGATTGTTCTTCAAAAAGAAACACATTGATAGTTATAAATTAAAATTCATTAATCAATTCATTCATTAAGCAGATATCCCTTGTACAACTATCTAAATGCTTTCTTTGAGGAAATTGGGTCATGAAAACATAAATATGTTATCTGATATCATACAGTTGGAGAAACACCTACTAAAATTTAGGTTTCCTGATGCTACAAATGGAAACACAAGATATCTTAAGATAAAACATTAGCTCAGTGATTAAGTGCTCAGGACTCAGACATCTTCAGTTAAAATCTTGCTCTGATAGTCAGCTGTATGAAACTTTTAATTCTCTGTGTCTCATTTTTCCTTTTTATAAAACATATAACAACACCTAGCTTGAATCTTTACTGTTAAGATTAAATGAGATGATTTGAAAGACTGTGTGTGTGTATGTGTGTGTGTGTGTTTGTGTGTGTGTGTGTGTGTGTAGATATTAGCAGAGAGAAATCACTTTGTGCTAGGATAGAAAAGTTAAGATATAACAAACTATTTGTGAAGCATGAATAATTAAAAATACAAGTTTATTCTGATTATTTTATAAGTGCGGTTCTCTTGGCATTTCAAATAATATTCCATTATTTACAAAAATTAAGCAGAACTAACTGAGTTATTTATATGGATAATACCTCCCATGACTAATCATTGTAAATGTAATAAATTATTGCTATGGGATATGGTGCAATTGAATTGGACTTAAATTTTTATATTTAACATCTGCTCATAACACAGCCACCGAGGAATATGTATCTTAATACCTACAATGCTTCTTGCAATGATGTTGCCTAATGAAGTCTTTATGAAGTTCACATAACTGTTAGTTGGAGGCACAATATAAATTTTCTGATGACTTTTCAGTTATAA